>NC_000002.12:64167625-64792625 GCF_000001405.40 Homo sapiens | reverse complement strand
CAGAGAGGTTTAATGACTCGCCTGGATTAGAGAGCTAGTAAGTGGCTGACCTCCCTGAAGTTGAAGCTCATCCACAGGGATCTGCTGCCTATGACTGAAATAGAGAGATGGGGAAAAAAAAAAGCATAAGCCACCTGTTTTGATCATGCAGTCCAGTAGTGGTCAGTGCAGGCAATTCAATCCAAACTGGTTGTTAGGTAGAATGCAGTCATTCCTAGAGTTAGTTAGCATATTTGGCAGAATATCAGTCTTTAAAAAAAGTTTTCTTTTAATCAAAGAGAAAATTAAAAGATTTACACACACAGTTACATATACATAAAAAGGCATACGGTAAAAAAAAAAAAAAAATGCCTAAATTAATTTTATTAAAACCAGGGTTTCTCAAAGCTTATTTGACCACAGAACTCTTTTCTATTTTGTATTATGAAAATTGAGTATAAATAAAACTGGGGAATATAAGAGCATTTTGGACTCATCACCGAGTTTCACCAGCCATCACTAACCATTACTATTCTGTCCTATTTGTTTTATCTATAGTCACTTCTTTTTCCTGAAGTATCTTCAATGAAGTTTCAGACAGCATATGTTATTGTACAGAGTATGCATCTAACAATGGGGCGATCTTCTTACATAAGGTGTCCTTATCACATCCGTCAAGATTGAAATAGTTCCTTAATATAATCTAATACTCAGTTGATATTCAAAGTCCCTGATTTAAAAAGTCAGAGCTTTTTTTTTTCAGTAAAAACCTTTGGAACTATTTGCTGATTCTACTGATTCAATTTTACTACCAAGAGCTGGCACCAACCAATCACGTATTAGAAAAACTTGCAATCATTGGTAGTTATTTTCTAGGTCACTGTTAAAGAGCTAAAGCTCTGCTATCATTTGAATATGTCCCCCAAAGTTCTTGAGTGTTGCAATCTTGATCCCCAATGCAGTGGTGTTGGGAGGTGGGGCCTAGTGGAAGATGTTTGGGTCATGGGGACATTGCCCTTATGAATGGATTAATTTTGTTATCTCAGGAGTGGATTCCTTATACAAGGATGAGTTCCCCACCCTCCTTTGCCCTTCTGCCATGGGATGACATAGCAAGAAGGCCCTCATAAGACACTGGCCCCTCTATCTTGGACTTCCCAGCCCCCAGAACGGTGAGCCAATGAATTTCTGTTCATTATGAATTATCTAGTATGTGGTATTCTGTTCAAGCAGCACAAAACAGACCAAGACAATCCCTCCTAATAATTCAGCTTGAAAAATAAAGGACTAAGTATGTACAATCCTTCAACCTCAAGATTCCCTGTGGCTAGTGAAGAGACTAATAACTGGATTGTATAATCTTTTTTGTTTTCATTTGAATTTCCAAACAGAAACAAAGTAGAATCCTTTTAGCATCCCAAGAATATGTATGCCGAGGAACACATTTTTGGAAGCTTTGATTCAGACAAAATAACCAGTTGAAAGAAAGCTTCACATGGCCATTTTGGTATTTGAAAGCTATATTTGGTATTTGAACTCTGAATATATAGGTTTTTCTTTTTCAAAGTCATCACATTCTAAAAGGAAGAAATCTGTAATCAGTCCTGGTTGTGATTCCTAGTACATGTGTAAATTTACTGCACACACAAACACACAATACTGCAAATCTTAAAACAGACAGAGAAGCATGGTTGTAAATTTAAAATCAGGATAAAACCATCTGAGGCAAGTGACTAGGTTATTCAAGATCTATTTGAAGGAGATTAATCTAAAAGAGATACTTGCAGTATGGATTTGCAATGTGACAAAGTAATAAACCATACAGCACAGCAGCAATTTGGTTTCCCAGTCTATGAGAGCAGCTGAAATAAACACCTCATACCAGTTCATTGCCAACAGTATTTTCTAAATTAAAGAAAAGATTAAATTATTTCATTAACTGATGCTTCAATGACTAGCTAAATATTTATATACTCCACAAGCACTGTACTCAAAATTTACAGTAGCAAAGCAGCCTGCAGAAACCAAAATATTGATTGAGTCATTAAAACTCAAGGTTATTAACCCAAATAACTTCTTGCTTTGTATAAAACGAATTGTGAGGCCAGGGAATGCATTTTCTGAGACAATTACCAGGAATGGGGGCTCTAATGACTTTACTGTTTTGCATAAATAAATAGTAGTTGCCTAATCTAGGATTCCAGATGAGTTTTGTTCCACACCCCGGTGTTAATCAAAAGCATTTCTTACTATGAGCACAGGTGATTGTTAACCTGAAGTTAGACTTGTGCACATTCCAAATGTGAAATTTGTGTTCCTGAAGCAGTACACATCCTCAGGCAAACATCAGTATCTGATGTCCGCCGTAAAGTTGCAGGAAGGAAAACAAACATAAGTGTAAGCTAGCAAAGAATGAAATGTATCTCTATTGAAAAAGCCCTATATAGTCACCAGCTGGTTTGACACTGCGAGCAGAAATTCTACTCAGCTTCAGGGTAAGCCAGGGAAGGTATTGGGGGTAGGGATTTGTACTTCCATGGTATGCTTCCTGTGAGGAGCCAGGCAAACCTTTCCCTATATAACTCAGGACATAGCCAGGAGGGGCCTAGTTAATTGCTGCAGGACAGGATGGACAAGAAAGAGTTAGGGCCTCAAGGCCAACTTTCTATCTGGAGTGGGGAGACTCCAGGGAGACAAAGCCAGCTGAAGGGACAGCGAAGCTAGAGCCTGACAATCTGAAGGGTGTGGTGGCAGGCAAACTCTGGTAGTGCCAGCAGTCTGCATAAGGCAGCTCCACACAGAGTAGTGGAAGTGTCCCAACAGACAGAGCGTGGGGCTCAATAATCCTGGAGGTGGTGATATTCAGGAATCCAGGAAGATATTTGTAGGTCAGCAGGATACCAGGACCCAGGCACAGGCTGTAGGGGGGATTTATGGGTAGGTGGAGACCTAGATTATCAGAACAAGACAGAAGCGCAGTGGTTTAGCTACAGCATAAACTAGCTGCTGTGACAAAAAGATCCGATATGACAGGGCTTAACTAATACAGGTGTTTTTTTTTTTTTTGAGAGTCTCATTCTGTCACCCAGGCTGGAGTGCAGTGGCACTATCTCGGCTCACTGCAACCTCTGCCTCCAGGGTTCAAGTGATTCTCCTGCCTCAGCCTCCTGCGTAGCTGGGATTACAGGCATGCTCTACCACGCTCGGCTAATTTTTGTATTTTTTAGTAGAGACGGGGTTTTGCCATGTTGGCCAGGCTAGTCTTGAACTCCTGACCTCAGTTGATCCGCCCACCTCGGCCTCCCAAAGTGCTGGGATTACAGGCATGAGCCACCGCGCCCAGCCAAATAATATAGAATGTTATTCCTCTCTCATGCAACACTACAAAACAGGAAGGACGTCCTCAGCTCCATGAAGTTCTCCAGGGACCCTGGAACTCCTCCCCTGCCTTACAGCTTCCATCCTTGTGTCTAAGATTGTTGCTCCGGTTGTCCTCTTCTTGGTCACAGCTGGCTACCAGCACCATATTGGAGTTCCAACCTGTAGGAAAGAGAATATGGAGGGCAAGAAACTTAATGCTATGGACTGAATGTCTTCCACCCAATGCCCATTCTTATGTTGAAATCTTAATCCCTAAGGTGATAGTATTAGGAAGCGTGGCCTTTGAGAGGTGATTAGGTCACAGGGTAGAACCGTCGTGCATGGGATTAATACCCTTATAAAAGAGGCCAGAGAGAAACCCTTTGCCCCTTCCACCATGTGAGGACAAATGAGACACAGAATCTGCTGGTGCCTTGATCTTGGACTTCCCAGCTTCTAGAACCACACACACACACAAATTCTGTTGTTAAGGCTACCATTCAACTTAGGAATCCTATTACTGAGGAAATATACTCCAAGGAAAATAAATTGTTCTACCAAAAGGGCACACGTACTTGTATGTTCATTGTAGCTACTATTCACACCGTATCTCTGTTGCAAAAGCCCTATATAGTCACTGGCTGGCTTGACACCGCAAGCAGAAACTCTGTGGTCACACTGCCTTCTCTTCTGTCTGTGTAATGCCCCTCCACTTTTATCTTATAAGGACATGTGTGATTGCATTTTTAGGGCCCATCTAAATATCCAGGATAATCTCCCCATCTTGAGATTCTTAACCACATCTACAGGCTACTATTCACAATAGCAAAGACATGAAACCAATCTAGGTACCCATCTATGGTGGACTGGATCAAAAACATGTGGTACATATACACCATGGAATACTACCCAGCCATAAAAAAAGAACAAAATCATGTCCTGTGCAGCAACATGGATGCAGCTGGAGGCCATTATCCTAAGCAAATTAACACAGGAACAGAAAACCAAATATCACATGTTCTCATTTATAAGAGGGAGCTAAACACTGGGTACATATTGAAATAAAGATGGGAATAATGGACAGTGCAAATTCCTGGAGGAGGGAGGGGCGTGGGCTAAAAAACTACCTATTGGGTTCTATGCTCACTACTTGGGTGACAGAATCTACCCCACATCTCAGCATCACGTGATATACCCATGTAACAAACCCGCACAGGTACCCCTCGAATCTAGAATAAAAGTTGAAAAAAAATTAAATTAAAAATGTGTGTTGTTTACAAGCCACCCAGTTTATGGTGCGGTGTGTTATCACAGCAGTCTCAACTCACAAAGACATGATTTTGAAACTCGGGAAGCCGAAGTTACATCACTTCTAGTCATTGGCCATGCCTAGTCACAGGGCTACTCTCAGTTATAAGGGAAGCTGGGAAATGTAGTCTCTACCTATATGGTCATGTGTCCAGCTAAAATCCAAGGATAAGGGTTGTATTAGTTTCCCATGGCTGCTATAATGAATTACTAAAAACTTGGTGACTTAAAAGAACAAAAAAATTTATCCTCTGACAGTTCTGGAGGTCTGGAGGCCAGAAGTCCAAAATCTGTGTCAGCCAAAACCCAAAGTGTTATGAGGGTTGTAGTCCTTAACAGAAGCTCCAGGGGAGAATCCCTTCCTTGTCTCTTTCAAATTCTGGGTGCTGCTGGCATTCTTTAGTTTGTGGCCACATCACTCCAGTCCTTGCCTCTGTGGTCACACTGCCTTCTCCTCTTCTGTCTGTGTAATGACCCTCCACTTTAGTCTTATAAGGACATGTGTGAATGCATTTTTAGGGCCCATCTAAATATCCAGGATAATCTCCCCATCTTGAGATTTTTAACCACATCTGCAAAAATCTTTTCTCCAAATGAGATAACATGACAGGTTCCAGGGATTTGGACGTGATATTCTGGGGGGTTGTTATTTAGCCTACTGTGGGTACTCAATTACCAAGAGGAAGAAGGAGAGAATGGCCACTGCAGTACCCAGCAATCAACATCGGGAAACTCCCGTCGTTGCAGTGAGCCTCACCCAAAGCTGAGTACCAAAGACAGTCTCCTGCTCTTCAGGTTCTCCCAGTTGGGTTCTAGATTGGTATGGAGCCTGGGGGCAGGGATATGTCCTGGCTGGCACACACGACCCTGCCATGGAATGGAGGGCCCCTATGCAGAGGAAGCAAGCAGCCAGGTAGTCGGTGCCTGGTAAACTGCATCATCCACAGTGAGAAAGCTCCATGAGTGTTACCTGAGGACACATGAGGTTCTCAGACCAATAAGTACATACTGAGGCCTTGGCAAGTTTCTGTGAGCAGGTCACAGTCCCTTGAGACAGAAAGGGTGCCTTTCACCCCCACATCTTTTACCATCCTCACCCTCATTCCCCCAAAACACCAGTCTAGATGCTTGTTAGTGGAACAAAGAAATCCCCTTTCACTCACTTCCCCAATTCCACTCCCCAGAATTAACCACTGTGAAGTTTGATCCTTCCTGATTATCCTCTTTATAAATACACACAGACAGAGGAAAATATAGAGGTGCCTGTTTGCATAAATGGAGTTATGCCATACATGTATATTTTATTTGTTCACTTAATAATATATCATAGATGTTGTTGCTTGTCAATGATAATACCAAATTTCATGCTCAGTTGTGCCAGGCAATATACCAAGCTCTGTAATTTTTTTTATTTCATGTCACCTCTCAACCATCTCATTAGGCAGGTGCTATTATAGTCACCTCTTAAAGTTGACAAAACAGTCACAGAGAGCTTAAGTGACTTGCCCAAGGTCAATCAGTTGATAAGTTGCAGAGCTAGGATTTGAACCCAGATTGGTCCTTCCAATCCAGGTAGGACTTCAATTTTTGCTAGCTCCTTTTGCTGTTGATTATGTTTCTGCCACAGACATTCCTTTTTTTTTTTTTTTTTTTTTTTTTGAGACGGAGTCTTGTTCTGTCACCCAGGCTGGAGTGCAGTGGCGCGATCTCGGCTCACTGCAAGCTCCGCCTCCCAGGTTCATGCTATTTTCCTGCCTCAGCCTCCTGAGTAGAGTAGCTGGGACTACAGGCGCCCGCCACCGCGCCCGGCTAATTTTTTTGTATTTTTAGTAGAGACAGGGTTTCACTGTGTTAGCCAGGATGGACGCAATCTCCTGACCTGGTGATCTGCCCGCCTCAGCCTCCCAAAGTGCTGGGATTACAGGCATGAGCCACCGCGCCCAGCCTCTGCCATAGACATTCTTGTAAGCCCTTGTCATACAGCCCCTCCACTGGGGACTGCATCAGCTACTGCACCAGGTAAGCTCAACGTTTGCATCACCACCTCTTAGACTTCCCCAGAAGCTGCTGTGGTCTCCCTGGCTACTGGACTGCTGACTGTCCTGTAGAACACTTGGCCCCAGCTGCCCTGGCTGGCTTGTGCTGGGAAGGATCCTTCAATTCCATTCCAGAGGTTGTACCTGCCCTAGTCCCAACTCCTTTCCTAATCTTCTCTCAGCCTCCACACTTGTGCTCCGAAGCCCTAAAGGGTTTGACCAAACATCTGTAGCCCCTGCTCAGATAACTTGACCGTGCCTGGCATTTCTGCTTGAAAAGCTAGTCATGAACGGTGGCTTTAGACCCTCCCCTGGGGCTCTGAGTGGGCACTGCTCCCCTCTGCTGCTGTAGCAAATAGAAGGTTTTTGTGATGGTCAGGGGCATGTGTCAACCTTTTGTCTTGGGTCTCCCCTTTGGCCTAGAGCAGGTAGCAAGGGCCTAGTGAGAACTCTGCTCCTTTTCTGGGGCTGTAACCATGGAAACAGATGCCATCAAGGGGATGCAACCTCCTTTCTGCCTGCCCTCACTCCGCAGGTGCTCACCTTCTAGGTGGTGCTCTCCCTCCTATTTGCCCCCTTGCCTCCATCCCTCCCTCCCATCAAAAACTTCTCTTGTGCACATGCAGGTCAAGTGGCTATAATGTGAGACCCTGAGCCCATAGTCTCGAGTCGCCCTCAGGAAGAACAAGGACTTGGATATGAGGGTGGATGACCCCCTCATCAATGTCAGACATAGATGCTGGCAGTTGCTCCTGTGGTAGACAGGAGTTCTCTTCAGATAATTTGGAGCTGGGGGTCTGACCCTGGACCTTCAGAGGCTAAAGGCTGTCCTTGGGGCAGGACCAAATGAATGCTCTGAGGTGCCAGGATAAAGGCCTCAGCTGCCCATCTCTCCTTGGTGCAGCTGCTCCTGGTGAGCCCTGCTCGTGCGCCACGCCCTCCCCAAAGCTGGTCTCCCTGGTCAGTCCAGTTGCAGTCTTCGCCCTCTGGCCTAGTTGCAACAGGAGTTTCCGCAGGCCCCAGCAGGCCGAGGGAGGAAAGTGCAAAGAAAAACAAAGGGGTTTCCACACACTGGCCACAAACACACAGCACAGTCTCAGGAGGCAGCCCAGGCAGAGGTTCAGGTGGTTCTCTGTGAGCCTGTGAACTCTTAGACCTGCTTGCCCTGCCAGCCTTGACCCTGCTGCTCCAGCTGCACAGTGCCCCATGTCCCTTTGCTCTGCCCACGCTGTAGCCTCCCTCTCTTGGTGGTGATGCCATGAGCGGCAGGCGGCAGGGTGAGTGCCTCCAGGCCCTTGGTTTCGGGAGAGTGGGGGCACCTACCCCACTGGCCTCCCTGCTTCAACTGCTCACCCCTCAGGGCCTCTCAGAGCAGGGAAAGGCCACTCCACCTGGCCGCAGGCCCTGCCTGGACCTCTGCTCCTCCCACAGGCCAGCAGATCCCCTGTAGCTCCCTATACCCCGGCAGCCTGTGTGTGCTGGGCTTAAATACTCGTTTCCACACCTAAGTAACCCAAAGTCTGGGGCAGGATTGCCAAGAGTTGCTGGGGCTGATGTTTTCTGAGTTCTGTCCACCTCTGGGTCCTGTGGCTCCTGCCTCTTTCCACACACTTGGGAAAAGCTCAGACCTTCACCTACTAACAGGCCTCTCCCCCAAGCATTTCGTGAGTGTAGTCAACTTTTCTGAAAGTGGAAGTTCCACTGGGAAGGGCCCATGTTGAAGCCTACTGCCTTTTGTCATCTGACTAGTTCTCCTCATTTGCCTTCCTTTCCCCCTTCCCCTAAGACCAGAACGAATCTCTCTACTTGTAGGTAAGCCATTTAGTGTCCACTTTTGGTAGCAGAAACAAGCTGTTGGGGTCACCCTCCATCCCAGTGGTTTATCAAAGTATCCCTCCCAAACACACACCAAGCTCTCCCTAAGCATTGTGGTGAATAACAATGTCTGCATTACATTTCCCCTCCCAGCCCTGGACTTAGAGATGGGGGAAGCAAGGAAGATCCTGCTCCCTCTGCCCAGGACTGTAGGCTTCCCGTGACAGTCCCCCTGAGCAGTGGTTCTCCAAGTAGGACCCTGGGACCAGCAGCTTGGCATCACCGGGGAACTTGTGAGAGGTGCAGATTCTCAGACTCCACACCAGACCCACTGAATCTGGATCTCTGTGGTGGGACCCCACAATATGTTTGAACAAGCCCTCCAGGTGGGTCTCATGCACACTCCAATTTGAGAAACATTATCTTAGGACTCCTGATCCTCTTGCTCTCCTAGGAGGAAACAGGTCCACTTCCCTCCCATCACAATGAGACTGAGGTTTCTCCCATGTAGTTGTGTTTTGTCACTTTCGATTAGGTGCTGTGGTCCACCTTGCTAGCCCATGCCCTCTGTCTTGGGCCATAAATCAAACTTTTTCATCATCTCTCATGAGAAGCTGGTTATCCACCAAAGCTCAGTAGGAAAGAAGCTTAGAATATTGGCCCTCCCAGGGAGTACTGTTGTGTTAAGAGGACAAGAAAACTAAACGTGTAACCTCACGCTTTGGGTAGAGGAAGGACTTAGGGGAGGCAACATGATTTCCTCACACTTTGGAAGCCACCTCATTGGGAGGATTCCCTTATTACTAGGAAGGGGGACAGGATCCATGATGCTTCATGCTGAAGTCAGACTTCCATTAACCATAACCTTCTGGAACACAGGGCTGGAGTGGGAAGCAGAGGCCGATCACATAGGGCCTTAAAAGCCATTTCTAGAAGCTGGACTTGGGGAGAGCCATGGTAGGCTTTCAGGCATAGAAAAGATATGCTCAGATTTGAATGTGGGAGATGGCTCTTCCTTGCAAAGAATGGATTGGAAAGGGGTTGGGTGAGGTCAGAGACAGTGAATGCTTGGAAACCAATTTGAGGAACAGGTGAGAGGAATTCAACAGTAGCTAGATTTAGGGCATTGGCAGTGGTAATGGGGAGAAGGAAACAGACTCTAGAGATGTTTAATGTGGTGGGAGAAGGAGAAAGAACACCCATATATGACACTTATGATGTGCTAGGCACAATCACAAGCACTGGACATTGAAAACTTACAATGACAACCTTGTGAGGTCTGTACTATTTTTTAAAATTATTATTTTAAAGACAATAAAGACAAGGTCTTGCTACGTTGGCCAGGCTGGTCTCGAACTCCTGGGTTCAAGCGATCCTCCCACCTCAGCTTCCCAAAGTGCTGGGGATTACAGGCATGAGCCACTGCACCAGGCCCAGTCTGAACTATTATAATCCTCATTCTACAGATGAGGAAACTGAGATGCAGAGGAGCTAAATAACATGCCCAAATAATTTCTGATTGAGTGAAGGTAAGAGAGAGAGGGAAGACAGTCAAGAAGGGCGCTTTGGTTTCCTACATCAGTACTGGGTGGATACAGTACTATTTCTTGAGATCGGGAATTGGGGAGGAGAAACAGGATTTTCAGATAGGGAGATAATGAGTTCTCCCTTGGACTTGCTGGGTTCTGGAGGTAGAAATATCCAGTCATAAATCCTTACTGTTCTCTTTTAAAGAAGCCAGCATAATGCAATTTAAACATTTTTATCAGAGATTGTTATGATGAAAAAATATTCAGTTGTTCTGAGGTGGGTGAGCTTCAGTGATGTAGAGTTACCAGTGTAGATTATTTTTAGGGCTCTGGGGCTTGGCTGAGCTTTGGGATTTTTATCCCTGAATCATGAAAGATAAAGCCATTGTCTTTTCATGAGTAACCACCACCTCAGAGTATTTAATTGTCTTGTTTTGCATGTAAAGCCACTTCTTTGGAAAAAGGATTCTTCACCCAAGAGATCAGAATGAATCAAGTAAATACGTATTTAGACAGTTTCTAAAAATCTGTAGTTTAACCCAAGAGACCAGAAAGGTTCCTGTCTCCTGGTAAACAACAATTAAATGGTATATTAAAATGTATATTATGTATCTGATTGGTCCACAGGGTAATTAGGCATTTTAGGAATATTTTTAAGCATGTGTTCTATATCTCTCAGCACTGTTTCAATCCATCAAGTAACTGAATACTTAGAACATGTGTTCCGCATAGTAAGAGTCATTTTATAAATTCCCATTAAAGGGAACTAAACTAAAAGGCATCAGCTGCAGCCCATTTTTCAGAAGTGTTTATGCTGACCAAATGTAGACAAAGGAAAACAAAATTATAGAGATAAATTGTCCACCATGGAGTCTCACTCCCTGGCTTGGTAATAGCTGAGGGGTGACCCTAGACTGTGAGGAGCAAACTTTGGGGGTTTCTTGGGCACCTTCTGTAGTTAGGCTACAAGATGTGTTGTGGTGGAGGGGAAGGGTGTTATAGCATAGGTGCAGGTTATAGCCCCAAGGGAAAAGTTCACACTTCCCTGAAGAGAATGAAAAGCAGGTGTTCTCTTGGCTGGTTGGCCACTGGAAAGGAATGAGCCAAGGTCCAGTTCTCTCTGATGTGTTGTGTTGGCCAAGAAGTTGGAGCAGAGGTGAGAGGTGAGTTGGGTACTCATGGGGGCCATAACAAAAGGAGGTGCAGGGGCCGGGCGCAGCGGCTTATGCCTGTAATCCCAGCACTTTGGAAGGCTGAGGTGGGTGGATCACTTGAGGTCAGGAGTTTGAGACCAGCCTGGCCAACATGGCGAAACCCCGTCTCTACTAAAAATACAAAAAATTAGCTGGGTGTGGTGGCACGCGCCTGTAATCCCAGCTACTTAGAAGGCTGAGGCAGGAGAATTGCTTGAACCTGGAAGGTGGAGGTTGCAGTGAGCTGAAATTGCACCACTGCACTACACAGCCTGAGCAACAAAGCAAGACTCCATCTCAAAAAAAAAAAAAAAAAAGAAAAGAAAAATGGAGGGGCAGGACCTTCCTAACAAAACTCAGAGGGCATGTAGCTATGGCCCTGAGGCCAAGGGGTTCTCCTGGCTCCCTGTGTGTGCTAACAACACCTGCTAAGGCCTACGAGCTCTCTTAGCCTCAAATTGTTCTGAAGGAGGCAGCAACATACAAGGCACTCTATTTTCCCTAATATGTCAGCCTATCCTTTGTATTCATAAAGTGCTGTTTGCATATTAACTCTTTCAGGCTGTAAGGAAACAAGGATTCACTGAGCATGCCATTTTCCTAGTCTGAGAGTCTCTCTGAGGCCTTGGCCATTAAGTAGAAGGAACTAAAGCTTCTTCTAGGCCAGGCACGGTGGCTCAAACCTGTAATCCCAGCACTTTGGGAGGCAGAGGCTGGCGGATCACCTGAGGTTAGGAGTTCGAGACCAGCCTGGCCAACATGGTGAAACCCTGCCTCTCCTAAAAATAAAATGAGCCAGGCATGGTGGCTTGCGCCTGTAATCCCAGCTACTCAGGAGGCTGAGGCAGGAGAATTACCTGAACCCTTGAGGCGGAGGTTGCAGTGAGCCGAGATCATGCCACTGCATGCCAGCCTGGGCAACAGAGCGAGACTCCGTCTCAAAAACAAACAAACAAAAAAAAGCTTCTTCTAAACTAAATGGACTTGGTGGAAAAGGGAGGTTTGCAGCATTCTGAGCCAGAGTGGTAGCCACTGTATCTTAAAGGTCAGAAGAGCCACACAGGAGAGAAAAGGAGCTTAAGAACTTCAGATCTCACTCGGAAGAACTGTGGAGTAGGCAAGTGAAAAAATAAAGTGATTCACCAAAGATTAAGTACAGCAGGCAAACATGAGAGAGAAGAAAAGGAAAGTCAGCAAACAGGAAAGTGATTAATAGAGAGGAGCTGAGAGGAAGTAATAATTGGATGAGAATTTTTGAAAAAGGGAGGAAAGGGCCGGGCATGGTGGCTCACGCCTGTAATCTCAGCACTTTGGGAGGCCGAGGCAGATGGATCACCTGAGGTCGGGAGTTCGAGACCAGCCTGACCAACATGGAGAAACCCCTTCTCTATTAAAGATACAAAATTAGCCGCGCATGGTGGTGCATGCCTGTAATCCCAGCTACTCAGAAGGCTGAGGCAGGAGAATCGCTTGAATCCGAGAGGCGGAGGTTGCAGTGAGCCAAGATCACGCCATTGCACTCCAGCCTGGGAAACAAGAGAGAAACTCCATCTCAAAAGAAAAAAAAAAGAAAAAGAAAAAGGGAGGAAAGGAAAAGTAAAACTTTCAGAGGAAAAGGCAACCAATGTCAAAGTATGGGTTTCGTGGGATTAATCAATGATTTCCTCACTGCAGAGAATTTTTCCTCCATATATAAAGAGGAGAATTCACTCTCCTAGAAAAGATGGCAGCACCCCTCTTGTTTTATCTGTGGCATTAGGACAGCTCACAGCACTGGCTCCTATCTGGAAACTGGAGAATTCTTTTGATGTTATTTTTGGACGCAGTCCTAATCAGTTTTAAAGTATGACACAGAAGCATTCTTCCAATGTTTAATGTCTAAAGTCATTGATGCTGCTGGATGAGGAAGGAAATAAACTGCGTAAAATACCTGAGTGGGTCTTGGCACGGTCTTGTGGCCTTAAGAAATGACTGTGACCTCAGAATCTATATCAGATAAGGCTGCCAAGAGAGCTTTAGAATGGGTCACATATTTATTACCAGCAATGCTGAGGCTGCACTGGATGAGGGCTGCCCAACTTCATTCTCAAATCGTCATCATTCAGTGAACACATCCTGTGTATAAGCATTGCCATGGATACTTTGCATTTACCGTGCCCTGATTTTGACAACCACCTTGCAAGGTAGGGTCATATCTGTTTCATTTCACAAAGGGGGAAATCTGGCATGACTGTGGCCTCAGGAGTGCCTTTACACTTCAGTGCTGCCTGCATAGCCACCTAGGAGTGGTATCCTTGCTGAAATGTTTTGTTGCTATTTTTTCACAAGTAAATCAAAGAAGCCACTTGCTGAACTGTTTTATGTGCTCATTCTTTACAGGACACCAGCTTGTCTTCAATCCAGACTCTATTTCTCTCACGGTCAGTAAGTCGTGGGTTAATAGGAGAAAAAAAAGAGCCCTGAAAGGTTAGGTCCAGGACTCTGGACAGACAGTTCAATCACCAACATCCACTTGGTCATCTGCAACATGTCTGACATCTGCTAGGTGTGTTTTAAGGGATATGAGGGAATTTGTATGACAAAGGGGCTTATGGCTTTATTCAGAAAAGAGTCAGTCAGTCAACTGAAAAATCAGTCAGTTGATCAACAGCTGTTTATTGAGCATTTGTTCAACTATGTGCTGGTTAAGGCCTGTTCTAGGCTCTGAGATACAGCCATGAACAAAACAGACAAAAATCTCTGCCCTCAGGGAGTTTATAGTCTCATAGGACAGAGAGAAAAATCACTAAAATATACAGCATGTTAGTGATAGGGTAAAGAGAAATGTAAAGACAGAAAAGAGAATAAGAATGGAAGGTGTCCACATGTAAATTGTGATGTAGTAACATATTTGCTTCTTTACTAAAACATCAATTAACATGATCTAATGGTGGGTCTAATAACTACAATCTTTGAAATCCCCTCCTTTTACTTCTCTGACACCACTCACTACTGGTTCTCCTAAGTAATAGACATTCTTTTTTCACCTCTGAGAGACTTTAAGCTCTCTTTATGAGGTTATTCTGAACTACGCTGGTGATCCCCTACCACTCTTCATCCATTTGAAAAATATAAAGACCTTTTACTTGATACAGGGCCACATACAGAGCTTCTCTAACTGGAGTCTCCATGTAACTCCAGAGGCTGTTTTGCTGGGTGCTAAGAGTTGAGGAGGGAAGTCAAACTTAGGAGGTCTTAGAAGCCTTCCCAGTTTACCCTCTCTACTACAAGTCTTCCCTCCTGTGTTATCGCTCAAGTTGCAATAATAAAATTCTGTAGACTGGGTGGCTTACACAACATTCTAGAGGTTGCAAGTCTGAGATCAGGGCGCCAGCATGGCCAGTTTTGGGTGAGGACTGTTTCAGGCTGGTAGGCATGCACACACATGACCCTTTCTTTGTGCCTGCTTGGAGAGAGACAGAGAGACAGAGAGACAGAGATAGAGAGCTCTGGTCTCATCTTATAAAGGCACATATCCCATCCTTAGGGCTCCACGGTCATGGTCTAATTACCTTCCAAAGGTATCATCTCCAAATACCTTCACATTGGGAGTTAAGGCTTCAATATATGAATTTTGGGAGGATGTAAACATTCAATCCATAACATCTCCCAAACACACCATTCTATATCTCAGCCCCTTGTTGGCTTTCTTCATAACACACTGTTACTTGTCCTTGTTTTCTCAGTTTACTTGGTTTGTGTCCATCTCCCCAGCTAGGATAACAGCTCAATGAGGACAGACACAGTTTCTCTTATTGTGATGTCTTCATCTCCCAGGACACAACATGTGGCATATGATAGAGGCTCAGTAACACTTACTTAATGGATTTAAAGATGAATGAATGAATGAATGATTTCCCATAGTCCTCACTCGCATCATAGGTTAAGGAACTTACCAGGTCTGGGCTTTTGTCCCCATGTCTGTTCTCACGGCGGAATGTAGATCTGCTGCAATGTCGGCCTAACACTGGCCACAGTCTCGCCATTTCCATTTTCCCTTGCTCCTCATCATCCATCTTAATGCTATTGCTCTTGGTTTCACATGGTTTTAGTCCACACCATATGATAACTCACATTTGTTTAAATCCAGTGTCTTTTGTGTGCTCATGACACATTTCCAAATTCCTGAAAATTTGGTTGTGCACTGGAAGAGACTGAAAGATTCAAAACAGGACTAAATAAGTGAGAAGTAATTACAAAGCAACATCTCACATTAACTATAAAAGTGTCTACAGTTTTCTCGGGGGTATCACCAGCTTATTTCCCTGGCCATACATTTACATGCATCTACCCATATTCTAGTATTAGGTGTAACTCCTTTAGTATTTAATGTATTGGCAGCAAGCTGTACACAGCTCTACACCCGGTGGCACTACCCCCTGGCTAACGTCATTGTAGTGACTGTATGTTACTGTGCAGTAAAAACACATTTCACAGATTATGCTAAATTTGTTTGCCCACCTGTTTAGGATTTGCAGGCCACCACTTGCACACCGCTGTACTAGCCTATTGACTGTCTGTCTTCCCATGCTCAATGTGAACCAAACAGGAGAGCCACGGTTGACATACATGGGTGCTGTTTCCTCTATTGAATTTGTATCTGTATATAAAGTGAGGGTATGTAATTCTCTGTAGATGCAGCCAGGGTTTTGGCTTCTTCTATTGAGTATTTTTCTTTTTACAAATTGAAGGTTTGTGGCAACCTTATCTTCAGCAAGTCTATCAGTGCCATTTTCCCAACAGGGTGTGCTCCCTTTGTGTCTTTGTGTCACATACTGGCAATTCTCACAGTATTTCAAATGTTTTGTAGTTACTCTATTTGTTATAGTGATCTACCCCACTGACCAGACATTCCCCTGTCTCTCTCTCTCTCTCTCTCTCTTTCTCCTGCCTTGGGTCTCCCTATTCTCTGAGACACAACAATATTAAAATCAGGCCAATTAGTAACCCTGCAATGGCCTCAAAGTGTTCAAGCGAAAGAAAGAGTCACATATCTCTCCCTTTAAATAAAAAGCTAAAAATGAATAAACTTAGTGAGGAAGGCACATCAAAAGCCAAAATACACTGAAAGCAAGGCTTCTTTTGCCAAGCTGTGAATTCAAAAGAAAAGTTCTTGAAGAAATTAGAAGTGCTACTCAACTGAAAACACAAATGATAAGAAAGTGGAACAGACTTATTACTGACATGGAGAACGTTTGAGTGGTCTGGATAGAAGATCAAACCAGCCACAACATTCCCTTAAGCCAAAGCCTAATCCAGAGCAAAGCCCTAACTCTTTTCAATTCTATGAAGGCTAACAGAGGTGAGAAAGCTGCTAAAGAAAAGTTTGAAGCTAGCAGAGATTGTTTCGTGAAATTTAAGGAAAGAAGTCATCTGCATAATATAAAAGTGCAAGGTGAAGCAGCAAGTGCTGATGGAGAAGCTGCAGTGAGTTATCCAGATCCAGCTCAGGCCTTGATAAAAATGTCTACATTAATCAATAGATTTTCCATGTAGACAAAACAGCCTTCTATTGGAAGAAGATGCCATCTGGGGCTTTCATGTCTAGAGAAAAGCCAATGCCTGTCTTCAAAGCTTCAAAGGACAAGCTGACTCTTGCTAGGGGCTAATGCAGCTGATGACTTTAAGTCAGAGCAAATGCTCATTTATCATTCTGAAAATCCTAGGGCCCTTAAGAATGATGCTAAATCTACTCTGCCTATGCTCTATAAATGGAAAAACAAAGCCTGAAGGACAGCACATCTGTTTACAGCATGGTTGACTGAATATTTTAAGCCCACTGTTGAGACCTACTGTTCAGAGAGAAAAAAAAAAAAGATTTCTGCTCATTTATGATGTACCTGGTCACTCAAGAGCTCCAATGGAGATGTACAAGAAGATTAATGTTGTTTTCATGCTCACTAAAACAACATCCATCTTCAGCCCATGGAGCAAGGAGTAATTTTGACTTTCAAGTCTTTCTTTTTTTTTTTTTTTTCCAGACGAAGTCTCACCCTGTTACCCAGGCTGGAGTGCAGTGGTGCAATCATGGCTCACTGCAGCATCAACCTCCTAGGCCTAAGCCATCCTCCCACCTCAGCTTCCTGAGTAGCTGGGACCACAGGCATGCGTCACTATGTTGCTCTAAGTTTTAATTTTTTTTGTAGAGACAGGGTCTCCCTGTGTTGCCCAGGATGGTCTCAAATTCCTAGGCTCAAGTAATCCTCCTGCTTCAGCCTCCTAAAGGCTGGGATTATAGTCATGAGCCACCACGCCTGGCCTGACTTTCAAGTCTTAATATTAAAAAAAATACACTTCATAAGGTTATAGCTGTCATAGATAGTGATTCCTCTGATGGATCTGAGCAATGAAAATTGAAAACCTTCTGGAAAGGATTAGCCATTCAAGATGATATTAAGAACATTCATGATACATGGGAGGAGCCCAAAATATCAACATTAACAGGAGTTTCAAAGAAGATGATTTCAATCTTCATGGCTGACTTCGAGAAGTTCAAGACTTCAGTGGAGGAAGTAACTGCAGAGGTGATGTAAATAGCAAGAGAACTGGAATTAGAAGTGGAGCCTGAAGGTGTGACTGAATTGCCAAAATCTCATGATAAAACTTGAATGAATGCTTCTTACAGATAAGCAAAGAAAGTGGTTTCTTGAGATAGAATCTACTCCTGGTGAAGATTCTGTGAACATTGTTGAAATGATAACAAAGGATTTAGAATATTACATCAACTTAGTTGATAAAGCAGTGGCAGGGTTTGAGACAATTGGCTGCAATTTTGAAAGAAGTTCTACTGTGGGCAAATGCTCTCAAACAGCATTGCTTGCTATCGAGAAATCTTCCCTGAAAGGGAGAGTCAATCAATGTAGCAAACTCATTGTTGTCTTATTTTAAGAAATTGCCACAATCATCCCAACCTTCAGCAGTCACCACCCTGATCAGTCAGCAGCCATCAATATCAAGTCAGGATCCTCCACCAGCAAAAAAGTTTGTGATTCAATGAAGGTGCAGGTGATCATAGCATTTTTTTAAGCAATAAAGTATTTTTAAATTACGGTATGCACATTGTTTTTTAGACGTATGCTATTGCACTCTTAATAGACCAAGCATAGTGTAAATATAACTTTTATATGCACTGGGAAACCAAAATAAATTAGGATGACTCGCTTTATTGCAGTGGTCTGGAATTAGACCTGCTATATCTCTGAGGTATGCCTGTATTTCTATCTGCAAGGTAGAGCTGGGTATTTCTAGCTGTGTGCGTAGAAAAGGGTGGAAAAAGGGTACTGAGAATGATCCAAAGTGTCCTGGGCAAAAACAGGAACTGTACCAAGGACAGGCACAAATGGTTGACACCCGTGGCCATACACAGTAATCAGAGCAAAAGAAGATTAAAAGCCAAGATCAGCCACGAATCCGGAAGAGCTCCCTGCTCAGGCCCCGCCCACGGGCTGTCTCCTAGAAAACCTGTCCTCCAGTGATCCTCTGTAATGAAGTGGTACCAAAACATAAAGCAAGAAATAGTCAACTGAGCAAGATGCTCTGCGGCCAAGACATGATGGACATCAGAACAGAGTGAGAAGGTCCCTGAGCAGTTCAAGGTGGAGAAGGGCGAGGGGCAAAGTAGAGGTGGAAAGGGTTGTTGTATTATATATAGTTTAGGCTACTGAGAACAGCTGACTGCTGATTAGGAATTCCCAGACTGGAAGGATTATACAAGACTTATTAAGCGGAAAGAAAGCGAAAGTAGTTACAGCTACATGGGCTCCGACTTGTAAGTAAGGATGATGTGGAGAGCTGGGTTTTTGCGCTGCTCCAGATGAGAATCTTGGGAGTCTGAGGCTAGTAAACAGGTGCCACTATATCCTGGGTTTAGCCCACATCACCAATATTTTGTTATTCAAATGTATTAACATTTCAGTAATGGTATATACAATCTCCAGCCTCCTCTGCCTCTTCCCACTTCTAACTTACCTACAGTTTTACATCTTGGGAGGTCATCCACTAAGAAAAGTGGGCCAAGAGTGGGTGAAACCCAAAATAGCTAATTTTTCTACTACACATGTCAACTCTGGTTTAAAGTTTTTTCCCCCCTGGGGAGGAGATTAAAATCACAATAACAGCAAAAATGAGAACTCATAATTTTCTATGGATTTCAATTAACATTATCTATGAAAGTACCATCCCCCACTACCACTAATTACCAAGAATTTACTATAGTAGGATGAGAATATTGAGACACAATTACAGATGTAAGTATAGACACATGTGCATACATTTCAAATTTAATATTGAGAAGAGGTCATTAGAAATAGAAAGGTTTTGGGGGCTCATTTTTAGGATATTTTTAAAAGTGAAATAGAAAGATTTATTGTTATCAGATAACTGAGTTATTTTACCATGGGAAAAATGTAAAATTTTACATATTGAAATCCATAAATGCTCAAGAAGCCTAAATAAAGATTATTTACCAAAAGCTAAAATGTAAGTTATTTTTAATAACACACAGACAGGTGGATCGATTAGAGTAGAAACCAGAAGTGGGAGACTTAGCTAGTTATTTACATTATCTGTTTAAACCAAAAGAGAGATTTCACTCACTCATTACTGATTATGTAGTGTAGACAGTCAATGTAGGTAACTTAGGTCAAAATACCCACATTGTGACCCAGCCTTTCTAAATTATTGTTCTTCATCAAGCCAAAGTTACTAATCTCCTCTTGTGTTATACTGGTCACAGGAAAAAATGAATTCAATTTCAAAACCAGGTCACCACGTCAACAGTTTTGAAATCAATTTTTATAACTTAATGGCTGATTTCCTCACAGTTCGCCAAAACACCAGCTCTTGACCTATTTATTTCTTTCATTTAGATATAATAAAAGACTAGAGATCATCTTTAACCTAGTCTACCCTTTTAAGTGAGTTAAATGAGAGTTTTTTTAACAAACCTTTGATTATTCCGCATGAATACCCACAATTCAGAGACATAGTTCTATTTGAACACCATTCATTAATTTTTTATATAAATCATAGACATTTAGAGTTAAAGGTATCTTAGAAATAAACTAGTCTGTATCAATCAGCATCTTGCAAGTGACAGAAAACGAATTTGATCCAGCTTAGGCAAAAGGGGTGAATCGATTGGAAGGACATCTGAGTGTCCCACTTAACTGCAGGCAAGGCAAGGGTACACGTGGGTCTCAGAAACACTTGATACAAATGCCATCAGAGGGACCTATCTCTTGTCTCTGCTTTTCACTGCATGTTTGCTTCTTAGACTTCACAGGGTGAAAATAGGGCTGCCAAATGGTCCTGAGCCCCACTCTACCTACTTTTACAGACTCACCACCACAGAGGTGCTGATTTTTCTCAGTACCAGTTCAAAACAAAACAAAAAAAATCCCAGGGAAGTCCTCTGATTGGCCCAGCTTGTGTCAGATGCCCACTCATGGACCAATCAACTGTGGCCAGGGGGATGGAGTCATGTAAGAAAATGGTAATCCCAATAGTTGGGGGCTGGAGAGAAACAGTTTCTGGAAGAAGGGAAGGATGATGGGAAGATCCACCCCAACCCCAGAGTTCATCCTAATTCATTTTACAAACGTGGAAATTTAAGCTCAAAGAAGTTAAGTGACTTACTCAAGGGTACAACCTGTACTTAACTCTTCTGGCACTTAGTCCAATGCTTGGTTTACTCACCCACACTGCTGTTCATTCTGTGGAATTTGCATTTCAGGGTCTTCAGCACAGAAAAGGCAGGGGCTAGGGTGGAGTGGTGGGGAGGAATTAGGGTCTTACGCTACACTTAAACTTCTACCCAGGATTTTGTTGGAGTTCCAACCTCATCAGTCTGTTATCTGGTTTTGCTTTATTTTCTTACTGGGGGAATGGACACCCCAAGCGGGACTCTCCCTGTTGCCCTCCTACCCTGTCAGTTCCAGGGGGCTCAGCCTGTTCATGCTGAATAATTATCATAAGAACACCTTACACTGAGAGAGGACTTACAATGTGCCCAAGACGGTCCGTTGTGAGCCTTCCCTCATTTAGCCCTTACAGCAGCCCTATGAGGGAGGTATTAGTGGCATTATTATCTCCATTTTGCAGATAAGAAAACTAAGGCACAGAGAGGTTAATGAACTTGTCTAAGGTCACAGAGTGGGGAAGGGATGGAGGCAGGGTGTGAATGCAGGCAGGCTGGCTCCAGAGTCCTTGTTAAGTACTGCAGTTCTACTGTTCTTTTCTAGTCAAACACCTCCAGCCTGTGGCTGCCTGCACTCAATCCGGTAGGGTCTGGGACTCCTCCAATGTCTGCTGACCTAAGTGTTGGCTCATCTCTGGGGCTGTTGCCAACCTGTCTCTGATCAAGGCTCTTCCCACTACAACTGTACTGCTCCCCACCCTCATCTTTTGCCACTGCTGCCCAAGCTGCAGCGTCTTGCTCGGGGCCTGCCTCATCACTGCTGACAGCTGCTGTTGCCGCGACTGCTCCTGGTAATGGATCTGCTCTCTTGCTGCTGGAAGGAGCCAACTCTCCTGCTCTGTGCAGATAAAGGCTTTGCTCCCCAAACTTGATAGCACAGCTTAGGACAGTTTAGGGTCCTCTCAGAAATCCTTGCTCTTTCAGGTTTACAGATTCTCCTTAAAAGGACCTGAATCAAGTTCCAAAGGAACAAAGGTGATTGTCATAGTGCTCTCTTTGCAGAATTGTAGACCTCTGTAAACACAGACCTGGGTCCCTAAGTGATAAATAAGAGAGAGCTACTGCAACTGTCCCTCACTAGATGATGAGTTTTCAGGTCCTCGTGGTTGGGAATGGCCTTTATCTCCTCCTTGTTCAGAGGGGTTCATATTACAGGCTTTGGAGCTAGACAGCGGTTTGAGTCCTGGTCTACTACTCATTAGCCTTGTGACCAAAGGCAAATAAACCCTTAATCACTCCTCTCTGCTTTGGTTTTCTCATGTGTAAAATAAGAGTATTAATATATATCTCAAAGTCCTCTTGTTGCTAAATGAGATACTGAGATTAAAGCACATAGATTAAATGAGATACTGTGTTAAAGCACATAGCAGAGTACCTAGCATAAAATAAATTTCAATACTGATACAATATGATTATTATTTTAGAGTCTTAACCCTGCTGGCTAGAACCTGACTTTTGGATGCTCAAATCTTTACAATGTTTTGAAGGGTGTGAGGCTGGCATGTGGGGCTAGGATTGCTCATGACCTATAGCTTGTTCTTGATTCCCCTTCAATCTAGGTCCTGGCTGGCAGAAAGCAGGTTTGGTAACTTAGGCAGGCAGAAGAGGTGGCAGGATGGAGGAAGGGCTCCTGATACAGAGCTGGTACCCACAAAGACAAACCTGTCAGTTACCCTGCACTTCTCTCTCCTCAGCTGGACAACTCTTCCTCATCTCTGCATGTTGTCATTGCTGCCACTGGTTGTAGGTTTTTCTGTCATGGCTGCACCACATTCATTTCTATCTGGTATCACTTGCGGAGAAACGTGATCTGTGCTATGTCCAGGCCCCGCCCAACCTGGGGGTCAGCCCTGGCAAAGAGAACTGCCTCCTAGATATTTATCATAATTGCACAACCCCCACTCCTACCTCGCCCCCTCACCCTGGGACCACTCACACACCTTCTTACCTCCAAATATTTCAGCCACAAACAGCATGCTTTTTGTTAAAATGTTAACCATTCTTTTGCCTGATTTTTTTCTCACGTCCCACATCTAGGAGCTATTTCTGATTTGCTTGGTTGATAAAGGGTTGTACTTTGTACTCTAAACCACACCCAGAGGAAACAGCAAAGTGGCCAGACATTCCGCAGATGAGGACAAATGCAAAAAAATGAGACCAAGGAGATGGCACTTCATGGGTGAATGAAAGATGCCAGTCTCTTTCACATACTATATAATCAAAATTTTACTTTAAGATAAGTGGAGGGTGGCATGCTGGCTCACACCTGTAATACCAGCACTTTTGGGAGGCCAAGTTGGGAGGCTCCCTTAAGGCCAGGTGTTGGAGACCGGCCTGAGCAACATGGTGAGATCCCATTTCTAAATAATAATAATATGATAATAATAATAAACGGATGTTGTAAAATCCCTATTTAGAGACCTAATTTGAAAATACTTCCCCCCCCACCGCCGCTTTTCCTGCATGCCTTTTTTATTGTAAGCAAGCACCCAAGCACCCTAGATATTACAGAGGTTTGTGATTTATTCAGCTAAGACGGTTTGACCCATATGTAAGTATAAAATCCCAGTATCCCCGACTCCCTGAAAGTGGAACTACAACACATTATTTCCCTCAGATAAAATGCAATGAAATTCTCTTGTCCCCTCCCTACCCCAGGAACGCTTGAGCCCTTAAGGGAACAGAACTTATGGCAGTAGGAAGAAAAAATCATGCAGATACAGTTACTTGTGACAAAAAAAAAAAAGAGGAAATGAATTGGAGAAAACAAATTATGAGAGGGATGGAAATAAAACCAGCACTTCGAAAAGGGCAGAAGAACCCAAAGAAAGCGCCAATCAAAAGGGAGAAAGAATTGCAGCACCAAAAAAAAAAAAAAAAAAAAAAAAGGTGCAAACTGGGGCAAATGTATGTGTGTAGGGAGAGAGGGAAGGAGGAAAAGAAGGAGGGAGGGAGAGAGGGAGGGATACCTGGACAGGGTCAAGCTGGAAGAACAAGCAGCGCAAGACAGGAGTCGGGGTGGGGGAATCCCAGAAAAATCTGTTTACAAAAAGACAGGCTTATGGAAATTCCAAAAGTGACTTTAGAGATTCAGATCCAAAATAGAAAAGGACCCAAATACACACATGTCTGTGTGTATTTTAACCAACTGCTGATGTTCTATCTAGACTGGAGGAAATTCTCCCCGGCCTTGAACAGACGCTGTGAGATTTTAGATTTCAAGAGACCTAAATTATCTTCCACGTAGCCTCTTACTGCGCCCCCGCGGCCCGCTTGCCCCAGGCCAAGCCCTCGGGCGCGGCTGGGACACAGCGAGAACGCGCGGTGCGCTGGGGCTGCCCCCTCGCAACTCCCTCGCATTGTCTGCCCGCCTCCCAGTGTCTCCGCTTCCCAGGCGCGCTCGGGTTATTGTTCTCCCTTCGCGGGCAGGGAGGAGGGTAGGACCGGACGGGGGAGGCAGCCGGGGGATGCGGGAGGCGGCGATCGGCTGCCACCCGAGCAGGGGCGCCTCGGTCCTTCGCACCCCGCCGTCCCTCCGCTGAAGACCGTGCGCCCCGGAGTGGGTCTAACGCAACCCTGAGCTCGGGTTCTGCAGAGGACCGGGTCCCCTGCCCCTGCCTGCAGGTCTCCAGCTCCTAGGAGGGAGAGGGGCGCGGGCCAGGGCGGGGAGCGGGAAGCCGGGCGGGCGTCCCGGTGCCGCGCAGTGGCTCCCGCGGGCTGCCTGGGCGCTTTCGGCTCGGGGGAGGGACGCTATGACGCACCCTGTCGGTATTAGAACACTTCACCTTCTATTTATAGACACTCCTCCGACCGCGGACCTAGCTGGCCCTCCCTCTCCTTGCCTTCATCGTGAACGAAAAATCCTACCTAGAATGGGAGATGCTAATACACAATGATCGGAAAGAATTCAATTTTGTGTATCCCTTTGTAATTCCAAGTATGAATTGCAGGTCTAATGATCTCTCTCTGGCCCAAGGAATTCCCCAATTTTCTAAAGCTTTAAAACCTACACTACTTTATTTTACATCCCTTCTAAATATGTCAAATTCGTCTCTTGTGAGTTCATGAAATATTCGCCAAGAATTTGCTCAAGCTGGGTAAGACGTAAGCCCATCGAATTCAGGGAAGGGATGTTTCTAGCTGGCTTTCTGTATCTGCGGAACCCTAGCAATTCTAAACGTAGCATTTATTCGGGAAGAGAGAGCATGTAAAGGAAAAATATTGCACATTTCAAACAAAAGCAAAGTTTGTCTTAGTGTTGTTGTTTTTTTTAATTGTGGCTTTTGGATACTGACTTCGTGCTTTTAGCTGTACACTAACCGTGTAATTATAGGTGATTAAAAATAGTTCTTACCTAGTCACGTTAACATTTGCAGTAATTAAAACGGGGAATTTTTTTAACGGTAATTTATTTCTTATAATTTGGTTGGTCTGCTGCAGTCAGCACTGAAGAGGAAGCCTGATTATCTTTCATCTTGGTTTCTAGTCAGTTTCACTTTCTAAACTCCACATACTCCAGAGTCGACTGCCTTTTAGATTTATTAAGAAAAAGGATTGGATATACATACATAGATATAGGTTTGTTTTTTAAAGCCTAACTAAACCATGGCTTGGTTACCATGCCAATTATTCTATAACCACAAAATTCAAGTAGAGTAGCATACAATGTACTGTTCTTGCTAACAACTAGTCTATGAAGTGGGGGTGTCTGTAAAAACAGCATTATTACATGGTTTTGCTGAGGAGAGTACTGTGCCCTACCACTGTATGAGTACTTAAACAACAACCACAATAGCAATTGTTAACAGTGCATTCATTATAAAACACCCATTTGATGGCAGGACCCTCATGAAAGACAATTTGGCAACTGCACTTACCCTTGGATCCAGTCATTTCATTTCTAGAAGTTTATGCTACAGATGCAGTACTTACATGTGAAGTCATTGGTTGTTGCAATGTGTGTACTAGCAAAAGGTTAGAAACAATATTAATGTCCCACAATCATGGTACATCTATATAATGAACTGTTATGTGGCCTTGAAGAAGATTAAAACAATCCCTTTATGTACTGATAGGGAAGTATCTCCAAGATATTGTTAAGTGAAAAAAGAAAGGTGCAGAAACAATATAAACTACTATGATTTACTTTAGAAAAATAAGTATACATGGTATATATGAACTTGTATATATATTCAAATTATATATATGAAACCTGTAACAATGTTTGCCTTCTGGGAGGTAACTGAGAGGCTAGGATGGGAGAGAAAATTATTTTCCATGATCTATCCTTTTGTATCTTGGAATTGAGTATGTATCATCTATTAAAAATTTTTTAACTAAAAATACCCTTAATTTTTTTTCTAAATTTAGGCACATATGGCAGGCAGATCTCTCTTTAATTTACAGGTGAGTTAATCTTTGGAGGGAAATCTTCAGTTTCTTCTTTTGCTTGTCTGTGGAGGCCTGAGGGTACATAGTAGACACTCAATATTTGTAGAAGTTCTGTTTTGGGATTATTATTTTAGAGAAGTTTACTGGGAAACAAACAAAGCTAATCTTTCATCCTTAGCATGCTTTTTAAAAATTTTTTATGGGTACATAGTAGGTGTATATTTTATGGAGTACATGAAATATTTTGATACAGGCAAACAATACATACTTATCACATCAGGGTAAATAGCGTATACCTCAAACACTTAACTTTCTTTTAGTTTATACTAAAAGAAACATTCCAATTATACTCTTAGTTATTTTTAAACGTGCAGTGAATTATTGTTGACTGTAATCACCCTGTTGTGCTATCAAATACCAGAGCTTATTCATTCTAACTCTAGTTTTGTACCCATTAGCCATCCCCACTTCTGCCATCCCCGACTACCTTTCCCAGCCTCTGGTAACCATCATTCTACTCTCTATCTTCATGAGTTCAATTGTTTTAATTTTTAGCTCCCACAATTGAGTAAGAACATGTGAAGTTTGTCTTTCTTTGTCTGGTTTATTTCACTTAACATGATGTCTTCCAGCCCCATCCATGTTGTTGAAAATGACAGGATCTCATTCTTTTTTATGGCTGAATACTTCTCCATTGTGTATATGTACCACATTTTCTTTATCCATTCATCTGTTAATGGACATTCACTTTGCTTCCAAATTTTGGCTATTGTGAATAGTGCTGCAATAAACATGGGAGTGCAAATATCTCACTGAGATACTGATTTCCTTTATTTTGGGTATATATCTAGTAGTGGGATTGCTGGGTCAGATGGTCGTTCTGTTTTTAGTTTTTTGAGGAACCTCCGTACTGTTCTTCCTCAGCACTCTCAACCTAGCTGGACCTAATCTATGAATCACCATAGAAATCATTTGCTCAAAGCTTGGTAGACCTGTGTTATCAGCATTTTAAAAAGCATTCTGTTGTTCATATTTTTTCCTCTATTCTTGTGGCATGTTAGGAATAGAAGTAACGGCAGAGTTAAAGGTCTACTGAGTATCCATTATAAAATAATTATGTAAAAAATTTATAACATCAATTTTACGTTACACCAGAGTGTAACTTAAAACAAAGATCTGTTTATCAGAATTCACATTTCCTACAATGGCTTTCTGTACTAGAGATCAAGTAGTTAGATTCCAAAATATTCCAGTGAGGTAATGTGTACACAGTCCTTCTGCCTGTTACAAAAGTGAAAAAGCACAGGCATTGAGATAGAAAAGGGGTTGTGCACTACAGGAGTCATGCCAGAAATAAGCCAAATGATTTGTTTTCAATTCCATTGTAGGTGTTTCTTACATAGGTTTATGTATAAGTTAGTGTTGTTACTCTTCAGTACAATAGGAAAGGGTGCAGGATTGATGGTGCCAGGGCGGTTTCCCTTCAGAGGACCCAGCACTAATGCCCTGTGATGAAGATTTTGATGAAGACAAAGAGGAAGAAGAGGAGGAGGGATATATTTGAATAAATGGAAATATTTTGAGTGTATCTGTATATGAGCTAATGTACACAGAGCACTTTACCAGAGCCTGGCAGATAAGAAGAGCTCAAAATAGATTTATTATTGGAATGAGGAGAGATTTACAATAGTCTCTTGGGTCACAAGTTGTGGTTAGGGTCATAGAGTAGGGCTGCTCACTGCCCATATTCCACTTTCTTAAGAACCACAAAATTCCTGTGCAAACTTTCCACCAAAGTAGACCACTTTCGTGATTTGTACTCTCTCTATGCACCAGCTATACTATTTATAGGGACCTTTTTGAAAGCTTTTAAAAACTTTAATTCAGGCTACCTTTGCTCTCTACTTCAGTTTAGCTTTGCTCTAAGCAATAATCATGGCTTTTAGGTGTCAGCGATATATATATTATATATTTAATATAATATATATGAATATGCAATATTCATATATTAGAATAAAACATATTCTGTATATTAGAATAAGAAACGTTTGTAAGGCTGCTGAAAGTATCTCATGTAGCACGTCTACCCAGTTGGGATACGGGAAAGGCAAGATCACAACGTACTTGTCCTTAAGGATCCTGCAGATATGCTATAACCTGAAGAGGACTTTATAACATACTTGGCAGCTACTCCTCCCCTTCCACATCCTAGATTTGGTTAGGGGTGGCTGTCCTGAAGCTGGAAAAACATGCCATGTACCTGCTGTTTGTGCTACAAGGAAGACACTTCCAGAGCAGAAAGCTTTTCCAGTCCTGGCCACACATGGTTAGGTCTGCTGTGTATCCATGTATGTCTGCGTATCTATATTCTAGTGCATTCCTGCATTGGTGCTGGTCTCAGCTCAGACATAACCTTTCAGACAAATATACTCCAGTCAGCTACTTAAGAGCAACAAGATTAAATTCTGTGGGTGGTGAAGAAGTTGGGTGTTTTCCCGGAAGAGCCTCAGTTTCTATAACCTATCTGGCAAAATCTCAGGATACAGAGACTGAGGCTGGGGAAAACCTTATCTTCTGGAATTGGCCTAAGATATATAGGCCTATATTATATCATGCACACAAAAGAGTATATTAAATGAAAGTGTACAGCTTAAGAAATAATCATAAATCGACACTCATGTGTCTACCACCCAGCTTAAGAAATAGAACATTACTAGCCCCTTGGAAGTCACTGTGAGCCCATTTCTGAGCACATTTGCCTCCCTGGCCCCACCTCAGGAGCTATCATCCTGAATTTCATCTTTCTATGTAGTTTTACTGCCTACATATATATTACTGAATAACATGGTGTTTAATTTTGTCTGCTTTTGAACTATATATAGATAGAAGCTTTGGTGACTTGCTTTTTTCACTATCTTTTTAAGCCCCATCCAGTCCTTTCCTTCCTCTTTCCACTGCAAGCCTCCATAGTGCCCCTCTTGGATTCTTGTGTTTCTCTCCTGACCAGGCTCTCTGTTGTCAGATTGTTTCCTCCAGAATTCATCGTACAAACCACCACCAAATACTCACCTTAAAAAGCAATGTTGACTTAAAAATCATTTTCTAGAAGCACATGCAGTATTATGAGAAATGATTACCATATATTGTTACATTTACACATTTTGTACGAATATATTTCAAATCACTTAGGAACCAAAATTCGAACAGTGACTCTCCCTGAACGGTAGGATTATAGATAGTTTAATTATTTTATTGGGATTTTCTATATTTTCCAAGGTTTCAATGGATTATATAAAGCCTTGGCAGCAAGGTACAGCAGCTCTTTCCTGCTTTCATTTTCCAACCTCCCAGGGGCTTCTGGGGAATGACCTGATGGGTAGATGGGAGTGTTGAAGCCAAGATCATGACTCAGATCCCCCTTTCTCAGAGATACATTCGTATCTAGAGCCCCTGGCTTTCTCTCCTACCCTCAGTCCACAGCATCATTATCTTGTCTGCAGCTGGGTAGTCTGGCTCTTCATTTATTCTTCCAAACATGGCTAGCATCACAGATCCCTTGCAGTTGTACAGGGCCTCACACTCAGAAGGGCCCAGGTTTGTTTTAATACTCTGCCGTGCTATCTTGAAAGTCTTAATTTTACTTTTGAACCTATGATTTGTAGGTGATGTCTGCTGGGACAATGGCGCACAAGCAGAGGAGATATTCATCAGCTGTACATCTGCTGTTCCTTGCTGCCCCACAAGCCCAGAATTCTGGTTGTCTTACAATGTTCGGAGGTTCAGTGACATGTGTGTTTCATCTTTGATTGGTAAGTGGGGGTGCTGACAGCCCTGAGAGGTCACATTTTCCATTCAAACCAGAACTTGTTTTGAATGCAGAAAAAAAGGCAATGGCATTCTAAAAAATGTGAATGACCAGGGAAATGGATCATATATCTTTTCTTACTTGTTATATTTCCCTGTATTAGCTAATCACATATGCTGAACATGAAGACGTAGAAGAAATGGGAAATATTGGGCAATGTATAGTTCTTTTTCCTTTCAGCCATTCCTTGCTCATCACTAAGCTGAAGATAGAGTGTTGGTAGAATGCTTACATATCAAGGAATAAAAGCAATTGAGCTGGTTGTGCAGTGTTTCCAATATTCTGGTAAGAACAAAATGCATATGCATGTACAAGCTGAAATGTGAACTGGATAATTTCAGTGATTCCACTATAAAGTAAATGCTCTTATATTTGCACTTAAAACTGGTAGTGCACAATATAAAAATGAACAATAATAGTCAAGCTAATAAATTAAATTTTCCATTTTTAAAACTTAGAATGACGTTAAATAAATGAAAAAAACCCACACCACAAGTTCGGAGACACACTACAGAAGAAAGGGAACATCTTTATATTCTAGTACTTTAACAGCCCTTTTTATTTCCAAGCTCCACAAATTATGTAGCTGTCCTGCTTCAAAATCTGTCATTCATGTTGCATTGTAACTTATGAAAACCCACGCTTCTTCTTTAAAACTATTGTCTCTGTTGTGAGTTCTTAAAGTTCATTTTGAAAACTACAAATCAAGAATCGATTCTTTTCTTTGTTTCTAAATCTCTGCTGTGCTACCTCTGTACCCCAAGAAAATGGACAGGAGTATAGGAAATGCAGGAAAGCCACATTGGTTAATACCTCAAAACACTACCCCCCTATATTAAAAACAAAAACAGAACAAAATCTAGCAGCTATAAATTCCTTGAAGGCAGGGACTTTTTTTCTTCCTCCTGGGTTTACCACAGTGTTTTCCTTTTTTCTTGTAATAAGGACCTAATAGCTATTTGTCCCTTTCCTCAACAAGTGTTTGTTCAATTAATTTTTTTGTTTTGTTTTGTTTTGTTTTGTTTTTTGAGACGGAGTCTTGCTCTATAGCCCAGGCTGGAGTGCAGTGGCACAATCCTGGCTCACTGCAACCTCCACCTCCTGGGTTCAAGCAATTCTCCTGCCTCAGCTTCCTGTAGCTGGGATTACAGGCATCTGCCACCAACCAACCCCTGCTAATTTTTCTTTTTCTTTTCTTTTTTTTCTTAAGAGACGGAGTCTCGCTCTGTTGCCCAGGCTGAAGTGCAGTGGCATGATCTCGGCTCACTGCAAGCTCCGCCTCCTGGGTTCACACCATTCTCCTGCCTCAGCCTCCCGAGTAGCTGGGACTACAGGCGCCTGCCACCACAGTCGGCTAATTTGTATATTTTTAGTAGAGACGGGGTTTCACCATGTCAGCCAGGATGGTCTCGATCTCCTGACCTCGTGATCTGCCCGCCTCGGCCTCCCAAAGTGCTGGGATTACAGTCATGAGCCACCACGCCCAGTCATTTTTTTGGTATTTTTAGTAGAGATGGGGTTTCACCATGTTGGCCAGGCTGGTTTCGAACTCCTGACCTCAAGTGATCCGCCTGCTTCGTGCTCCCAAAGTGCTAGGATTACAGGCGTGAGCCACTGTGACAGGCCTGTTCAATTAAATTTAAAACACTCTTCATTTTGCTTTTCCAGTTCTCAACCACCACCAGAGGGTCCCTATTGTCTTATCCCATAAATTGAAACTCTTAACCAGGCATCTAATGCTCTATAATCTGGACTCAGTCTACTTTTCCAAATACGTCTCCCAAGGCTCCCTGGAACTCAGTAAGTAATTACTGAGCAAAGATGGAATGACTGATCAACAGCTCCTAGGAGTTACAGAAACTGCAGCTGGATAAATCATTAGACCTTTTAGGGTCAGGTTTATGAAACAGATGCAAGCTAACATTAAGGCCCCAATATTGGGAGCTGGTGGTGAGTGTTACAGACCCTAGGCGAGAATAGTAAGAAATGCGATTCCGAGAACAGTCATCCCGGCAGGATCATATTCTGGCTTCTGCAAGATTCAGGGACCCAAAGTTTGCTGGAGAATTGCCTGCAGCTGCTGCTAGTCCACCAGGAAAGGGTATGAGCAGCTGGGCCTCACAACAGGGGCCTTCCTGTAGAGCTCCCTACCTGAGCTCAGGCAAGCTCCTACATATGAGAGTTTGAGGGCCATGAAATCCTAGCCATTACTAAGGGTCAGAATTTAGTATACTGGTAATAGCCCTTAAGAAAAGCTTCGGGCAGAGACTGGCTTTTAAAGCAGCATAATTCAAACAGGCGTTATTCTGAGCGTACCTTTGTGGGAAACGATTTTGTTTTTAACATGCCTACTGGAGGGCTCATAACCTAACAGGGCTGGGAGAAACTTCAAGAACCATCTCATCCATTCCCCTGTCTTTAGCTAGAAAACCCTTAAATTTTTTTTCAGAAAACTACCCATGTATCCCCAGCCTTTTGGTAACTCCATTTGTTCATCAATCCTGATTTCAGGGAGCTATTTCTGATATTTAACCTAATCTTCTTCGGCTCTCTTTTTTCATCTCATGCTTCTCAACTCTAAATGGCCCTCGTGCCTACTGCTTGCTTATTGACACAAAGTTGATATTATAATCACTGTTATTGTTTTATCCTTATGGTTATTATTAGAACTGACAGCACATTAAGAGGTGTACAAAGATACATAAGTAAATATATGTTTAGATCAGTAGTCTTACAACTTTGAAAAATCCAGGACTGTTTGGGTGTTTTTTTTTTAGACGGAGTCTTGCTCTGTTGCCCAGGCTGGAGTGCAGTGGCGTGATCTCAGCTCACTGCAAGCTCCGTCTCCTGGGTTCATGCCATTCTCCTGCCTCAGCCTCCCGAGTAGCTGGGACTACAGGTGCCTGCCACCACGTCCGGCTAATTTTGTTTTTGTATTTTTATTAGAGACGGGGCTTCACCGTGTTAACCAGGATGGTCTTGATCTCCTGATCTCGTGACCAGGTGATCTGCCTGCCTCAGCCTCCCAAAGTGCTGGGATTACAGGCCTGAGCCACTGCGCCCAGCCAATTTTTGTATTTTTAATGCAGACAGTGTTTCACCATGTTGGCAAGGCTGGTCTCAAACTCCTGACCTCAAGTGATCTGCCCGCCTCGGCCTCCCAAAGTGCTAGGATTACAGGCGTGAGCCACCGCACCTGATCTGTTCGTATGTTTTTAACTTGGAAATGGGGATGTGAGCAGATACGAATAGCAGAGTAGCAGGATTGTTTTCTATATCTCAGACTGTGGCCCACTCCTCAACAGCCATCACTCATCTTGCACCCAGCCTGAGAAGAAAACATATAATCGATAAATGTCTTTTAAACATGCAAAAGGGGAGCAGGAAGGTGATGGTGGATGCTATGAGGGTAGAAACCATGGGGGCCTGGGGACTGCATGAAAATCTGCCTCAACCTCATGTGAGAACTGGAAGAAAATATTTGTCAGAAGTGAATTGTAACAATACCTACCCTACCCTTCCCTCAAAGTGTCCCAGCTAAAAGCAGAAATGAAAAACAAAGAGATGTACCCTATAGGAAAGACATTCAAAGGCCTGGGGCTTACGTGATCTTGTTCTGTTTACCTTTTTTAAAAAATTCATAAAACATTTAAAAAAATGTATCCATGTTGCAAAATGTACACTTAGTGCATTACTTCCAACAGCTGCATGTTGTTCCATGGCACCCATTACCTCGTACTTACCCATTGTGCTGGTGATGTATATGCTAAGGTTGCCTTCAATATCTGGCTAGCTCAAGTGCTGCTGTGATGAACACCTCAATTGTGGTCACTTAAGGACCTGTGCAAGAGCTTCTTAGGGGTGCACATTCCCAGGAGTGGAACTGCTGGGTCATCGGGAAAAATACATTCTACCACATTCTATATTTCATTAAGTATTGTTAGTTAATGCTCCAAAATGATTGTACCAGGACTTAACTCCCAATAACAAAGCAGGAGGATTCAAATTTCTTCCTATCCTAGGCAACACTTGATATTACTAAACTTTCACGTTTGCCTATTTAATAGATGTAAATAAGTATTTTGGTGTTTTTATGTACAGTTATCTGATTATAAGTGAGGTTGGATATCTCTTCATCTACTTGTTAGTCTCTCAAGGTTCCCTTCTATAAATCTGCCTGTTCATATCCTTTGGCTATTTTTCTATTGCATTTCTTTTTTTTCTCAGTTATTTGTAGGAATTCTTAATACTGTATATTCTAGATATTAATCTTTTGTTGGCTTCAGCCTTTGAAAATACTTTCCAATCTATCAACTTTCTCTAAACTTGTTTATGATGTTTTTTGTTGAACAGAACAGTTTAAAATTTTGATGTCATCAAGTTCATCTTTTTTTGATTTTATAGTTTATGCTTTGAGTCTTGTTTAAATGCTTTTCTTCTTTTTTCTACCCTAAGATTACAAAGCTATTCTTCTATTTTTAATTTCTATTAGTTTTACCTTTTACTTTTAGGTTTTTTTTTGTTGTTGTTGTTGCTAATGTAGAGCTCACCTTTGCATATGGTATGAGATAGGGGTTTAATTTTATATTTTTCTCACAGTGAATCAATTTCCCCAACATTATCTATGAAACCAAATCTCTGTGTTAGATTGGATTATTGTTCCCAATCCTTCTTGTTCTCCTGGCTCTACAATTATACACCTGTGCCTTTTGGCATGAAGTTTTGCATTACCTTCCACTATTGATGTTCAACTTGGCCATATGACTTGTTTGGCCAATGGAATGTTGGTGAATATGATGAGAGGAGAGGTGTTAAATGTATTTGAATGATTTGGCTTGACCTCTTGCCAGAAGGAGACATGTGGTGAAGACTTGAATCTGACCTGCATCCTGGAGCCAAGTCCAGCTGAATTCAGCTGAACCCAACCAAGTCTTAAGGAGCCCAGATGAGATGAGCTGAATCTCAGTTCATATACAGACCCATAAGGGAGAAAAATAAATGACTACCATAAGCCACTGATAAGTTGGGATTATCTGTTACATAATATTATTATTGCAGCAAGCAATAGCTGACTAACTCAACATGATTTCCTCATGGATTTGTGGTGTTACCATGATCACATATCAGATTCTCTTATGTAAATGGGTTGTTTCTGAGTTCTCTATTCTGTTTCATGGTTCTGTATGTCTGCTACTATAAAAAATGACCGACTTATAAAGAAATTTAGTCTTCCATGTGCATTTTAGAATACGTTTAAATTCCCCAAATCTTGCTACAAGTTTGGTTTGCATTGAATTTATAAACACATTTAGAGATAATTGAGATCTTAATAACGTTACATCATCTTATCCATAAACATTATATATACCTCTATTTGGGTTTCCTTTGAATTCCTTCAATAAATTCAAATATGTTAATTCCTGGATACTTTATAGTTTTGTTGCTTTTATAAATAGTATCTTATTTTCTAGTTTGTTAGTGTAAGTGTGAATGAATACTTTCAGTTTCCATGAATTGATTTTCTTTTTCTTTTTTTTTTTTGGCGACCAAGTCTCACTTTGTTGCCGAGCCTGGAGTGCAGTGGCGTGATCTCGGCTCACTGCAACCTCCGCCTCTGATCCTTCAAGCAATTCTCATGCCTCAGCCTCCTGAGTTGCTGGGACTCAGGCATGCACAACCACACCAGGCTAATTTTTGTATTTTTAGTAGACACAGGGTTTTTCATCATGTTGTCCAGGCTGGCCTCTAACTCCTGACCTCAGATGATCCACCTGCCTTAGCCTCCCAAAGTGTTGCCACTGTGCAGGGCCATGAATTGATTTTCTATTTGGGAATCTTGCTATATCAGTTGGGATTAGATTTGGCTATAGGTAATGCAAACACACAAACACAAACTGAAATAAAAGTGTCATGATGAGACAGAGGTTTATTCAAGAAATTCAAGAAGTTTGGTGAGTAGATAACTCAGGGCTGGTACTGTTATATCAGGTGTCTTCTGTTTTGTTGCTCTGCCATGTGTGGCTTCCCTATCCAAGGTCAGCTTATGATCTAAAATGACTGCTAACACTGCAGCCATTATGTCTGCATTCCAGATAACAGGAAAGAGGATGAAGGCACACTTTCTCCCTTTAAGGATGTATGCACTACTTCTGCTTACAACCCGTTGCCTGGGGCATGACAATACTTAGCTGCAAGGGAGGCTGGCAAATGTTGTTTTTATTCTGGTTGGCCCTGTGCCCTGCTAAAAAACCTAGTATTATGGAAGAAGGGGAGAACAACATCTCTGTCACCTTGCTGAACGCTTATTATTTCTAATAGCTTGCTATTTCTATTGGATGTTTTACGTGGTTGATCGTATTACCGCAAACAATCCAAATTTAGTTTCCTTCCTTCTAATTCTTCTATTTCCTCCTCCTTTAAAAAATATCATTCTGTTAGCCAGAACTTTCAGCGTCATATTAAATAGTAGAGGCAACATTATCTTGATCTCAAACTTATGTGGAATGTGTTTAAAGTTAATCCATTAAGTAATGTACTTGCTGTACATTTTGGTCCTTTATGAGGTTAAGTAAATTTCCTTCTATTCCTAATCTTATAAAAGTTTTTATCATTAATAAGTTATATACTCTCTCAAATGCTTTTTCTTAGTCTTTTGAAATGGATTATATTGATAGACTTTCTGATGTTAAATCATACTTGAATTTCTGGAGTAAAGTCTACCTAATTTATTATGTTTTCATGATAGAGGACTAGATAGGTGGCTAGTCAGATAAATGCATTCTAAAGACAGGGAAATACGTTTTAAGGTTTCTCCTAGCTCACTGTAATAAGCATGTTGGATTTAGTTTGCTAGTATTTTACCTATAATTTTTGCATCTATGTTCATAAGTGAAATGGGCCTATTCTTTTCTTGATCTGTTCTTTTTTCAGATTGAGAATCTAATTTGGCTGTGTAGGTTTAAAAAAAGTTTTTCCCTCAACCTTCTTTTGCTCACAATGGCCTTTTTCTTCATTTGTTTTGTAATTTGGATTGTGAGCTCATGTTTGCCTAGGCTTTATATGTAGAAATTCTATGAGGTCTGGGTGGAATCCTTTATCCTTGATAGAGGATTTGCTTTTGCTTCCTGATCTATGTGGGTAGTATATGTTCAAATCTGTTTAAAAGGAGCTTGGCTCACGCCTGTAATCCCAACACTTTGGGAGGCCGAGGTGGGTGGATCACGAGGTCAGGAGATCGAGACCATCCTGGCTAACACAGTGAAACCCCGTCTGTACTAAAAATACAAAAAAAAATTAGCCGGGCGTGGTGGCAGGCACCTGTAGTCCCAGCTACTCGGGAGGCTGAGGCAGGAGAATGGCCTGAACCCGGGAGGCGGAGCTTGCAGTGAGCCGAGATCTCGTCACTGCACTCCAGCCTGAGCGACAGAGCGAGACTGATCAGCTACAATCATAAATATATAAATAACAATAAAAAGGAAATCTTTTATTATGACATACTGTTTGTTTTTCAGATTTTAAAAAAGACATCCAACTCATAATCACAACAGATTAGAAAGTAGAGATAAGCAAGAGGAAAACTATATAGAAATGAACCAAATTCTGCTTATCTCTGACAAACACACTTAAAGCCTCCCTACACGTTTCCTCAGGTTCCTGTTTTAATGTTGCATGTGTGTACTTTTGAGCCTCTCAAATAGATTGTAAGCCATTTGAGACACCAAAAATCTCATATAGTACTTTATCTTTTAAATAACCATCACAGCCTTAGTACATCACTATTACATCACTAGTATACTACCAGTACATCACTAGTACATCTCACTGTTTGGAAGAAAAATGACAATAATACTATAATACTATAGTTGTTGAAATTAATACATTGAAATTTGCATTTTGAAATGTTCCTACATAGAAAAAATTCTGTCTCTGTGTATTTTAAGATCATAAACTAGTAAGCTTCTCACATATTACAATTCATATACAACATCAATTACAGTGATTTTTTTTTCAGGCATATATGATCTTTATTTGACTTGCCCATACTTCTTAGTGCTGTAGTTATGAGGTATGCTCATGTTATTTATAGAAGACTATTGGCCATCTTCATCCTCTTTTTTAGGGATCACTCCTTCCCCGCAAGGCCTGTGTGCAAGCAGTGTAGAAGGGGAAGTGAGCACAAAAATGAGAGGTAGAAAATATAGGCCGGGCGCGGTGGTTCATGCCTGTAATCACAGCACTAAGGGAGGCCGAGGTGGGCAGATCACAAGGTCAGGAGTTTGAGACCAGCCTGACCAACATGGTGAGACTCCGTCTCTACTAAAAATACAAAAATTAGCTGGGCATGGTGGCGCGCGCCTGTAATCCCAGCTACTCAGTAGACTGAGGCAGGAGAATCACTTGAACCTGGGAGGCAGAGGTTGCAGTAAGCCGAGATCGTGCCACTGCACTACAGCCTGGGTGACAGAGCGAGACTCCGTCTCAAAAAAAAAAAAAAAAGGGAGAAAGGAAATAGAAATAGATACACATAAGAAAGGAAGAGGAGGAAAGGAAGAAATAAACAGGGGGTCTCAAATTTTCAAAACAAAGGAATAAACAAGGGTTCTCAAATCAAATATTTATTTTAGTATTTTAATATTTTAAAATGTTAATATTTATTCAAGTCACCTGGGATATTTGTTTAAAGAGCAGATGTCCAGGTAGAGCCTACAGAGATGATAACTCAATAGGTTTCAGCAGATCCAGGAATTTGGGTGTGTCTTCCCTTTAAGAAACACTGGACTAAGGAGAGCACAAAATTAGAAGGCACACGGTAGGGCCTGGATGCATGCCAGTAACAACTGACACAGGGGCAGCTTCTGCCACAAGATGCTAACCCTAGGTATTTGCAGATCCTCTGAAAGATACTAGTGAATGTCTACTCAACTACATACTACGCACTACATTCTAGTGTATGAAGAAGATTCAAAATCTTCTTCAGGGTTATTCATATGTAAAACAATACTCTGATCAATTATAGTCACCTGAGTCATGAAATGACCTCACAGTGGAGGAAATAAGAAAGGGGCTTCTAAAATGTATCATTAGCACATTCTTTTTTTTGTTTTTTTTGAGATGGAGTCTCCCTCTGTTGCCCAGGCTTGAGTGCGGTGGCGCGATCTTGGCTCACTGCAACCTCCACCTCCTGGGTTCAAGCGATTCTCCTACCTCAGCCTCCCCGAGTAGCTGGGACTACAGGCACGCACCACCAGGCCCAGCTAATTTTTTTCTTTTTGTATTTTTAGTAGAGACGAGGGTTCACCATGTTGGCCAGGCTGATCTCGAACTCTTGATCTCAGGTAATCCGCCCACCTCGGCCTCCCAAAGTGCTGGGATTATAGGCATGAGCCACTGGACCCAGCCAGCACATTCTTAAATGTAGTTCAATAACCCACTTTGGAAAAGAAGTGAATTTTTCCCACACAAGGGATCTAATTTGTTTCACTTACCACAGGGTGACCTGGCTAAGGGAACACTGTCCACTTTTTGCAAATCATGTCTTGGGATGAGGACACTGGCCTTCCTGCACTGTGGAATTCCAAAGGAGTTTCAGCATACTGAGAGGCAACACATACACAAGCTGTGTGCTACAAGAAGTTTGTGGCACAGCTCATTTTTGTAAGTGGACTCAGGACTACTGAAAGAAATCATGGAGTAGGGCTAAAATCAGAAAGGGAAGAGAAAAGAAGTGTCAGGCTGTATGTCTTAACAGGCCCAGGGGAAGGATCTGTATCCTAAAATGACAATAATCAAGGAAGGTCCCAATATGACCAAAGTAAACCTTTGTGTTCACTTAGTATCTCTCTTCTGAATTCCAGAGCACTGTAGGTTTCAATTTCATATATATATTTGAAATATATACATATATATACATACACACACACGTATGTAAAGATTTCGCTCACTTCAAGACTCCAAAGCTAAATTATTCCTAGGTCTCTCCAGATGACTCCTTTGTGGAAAGGGGATGTCGGGTATTCTAAGTGAATTTGAGTAGAGATACAGTGTCTAATTTGCCTTTCCTTAGTTTCTTCACAGAAGCAATTGTCTTTAAGTCTCAAATTACGTGCAGAAATGCACCTGTGGGGAAGAAGGTGGGTTCTTGCCAGTGTATTTGCTTTAGTGAACATCTCCATTCAGGTTTATTGGTGGTTACAGTTACAGTACTTTCAAGTACAAGGGTGTGTAAAGGGTTAAGGTCTGTAAAATGATTGCTGGACAGTAGCCAAGAAACTGTGAAAAGCCATAACTCCTGGGAATCAGCAGGGAGGAGAAGATCTAGTAGTGGGTGCTGCGGAGCACCGACGTCAGGGTTCAAGGTGAGCCAGTGGGAGGAAGATCCGTGCGGGAGGGAGGGTTGGAGGAAGCTGAGGTATCGACATGCATTTACAGCTTCGCTCATACCAGGTTAAGAAGTGCCTTTTCCAGAAACTCAGTAAAGCAACAGGACGTATTCAGGAGCTGTTTCGACCTGCCCACACCCTACCCTGACTTTCCCAGAAAACAGGCAAGCAAGCAAGGGGCAAATGTCACGGCCAAGCCTCCCGCCTACGGCTTCCAGCCTCCTCAGATCCCAGCACACAGCCCCGCCGGACTTCCCCCGGAGCGGTCTCCAAGAGTGGGCACTGCGTGATCTGATTCACTCCAAATCTGGCTGTCCCCCGGGAGTGGGGTTTGGCCGTAGGGGCTCCCCGGCAGCGCCAGGCAGAGTCTGAGCAGCAGCCGCCGCCTGCACGCAGAGTTAGGAGCCAGCCTCCGCCGCCGCCTCCTCCTGCCGGATCAGAGTAGGCAGCACAGCCAGTCCCCATCGCTGTCACGCAGCCAGCAGCGGGCCGCCGCCCCCCCGCGCAGCCCCGGCCCTCACACTGTTATTTGCGTGACTGACCCGAGCCGCGCGGGAGGGGAGGGCTGGCCCGGAGAGGAGCTGGTGGAGAGGAGGAGGCCGGGCCCGCCCGCTCCTTCCCCTCTGGCCGGCTGCGGAAGCCCTCTCCTCCCCATTGGCCACACGCTCGCGTCCATCACTCCCGCGAGGCGCTCGGATTGGCAGAAGGCGCACTTCTGGAGCGAGGAGGGCCGAGTGACTCCGCGGGTCTCCGGCGCCTCCTCCTTCCCTCCACCCCACACTTGAACGTCCACCCACCTCTCCCCACCCCCCACTCCACTGCCCCCGCCCCGCTCGCGGCAGTGTCCTTAGAAGACTCATTGGGCCAGGGGTGCAGCCAGCCGCTTAACGAGCCGCGCCGCCATAGGTCGAGGCCCACGCCCGTCGGAACGATGGGCCTCACCATTGGGTAGCTCCGCTCCGCTCCGCCCCCTCAGCTCCTCACCCTCTCGTCGCCGCCTCCTAGCTCACCTCTTTCTCGGCCCCCTTACCCCGCCCGTCCCCGCCGCATCACCCCTGTCCAGCTGGGCGGGGATTGCTGTACGACTCTGTAAAGTCTGTGAGTCACTGCACAACCCATCAATCCAATTAAATGTCTTGAGCGAGCCGAGCAGGCGGTGCTGCCGCCCGCCGCCGCTCGCCCCGCCGCGGCCGCCCCTGCTCCTGCTTGCAGCGCCCCTCTGATCCATGGCTGTCTGTCTGTACTTGTTACGGTGTAACATCCTCCTCCTCCTTCTCCTCCTCCTCCTCGGGAGCCGCTGCAACTTCCCCTCAGCCAGCCTCCTCCTCTGCCTGGGGACTGCAAAGGCATGGGATAGACCCAGAGCCGCTTCCCTCTGTCTCCCCTCCAGCCCTCGCTCAATTTTCCCCCCTTTAAATTAAAGTCTGTTCCTCGCTCCTCGTCGTTTTAGAGATTTATTGGTTGGTCTATTATTTCCCCTGATTTTATTTTCCCTCTCTGGGGCAGAGATCGTAGGGGCCGGTGGGTTTATTTTAGGGAGGGGGCGCTCCATCACCCCACCCCTCCGTTTCTCCTTCTCCCTTTTCGGCCGTGACTTGATTTCCCCGCTCCTCTGCGCTCCCACCCCTCGAACTCACCGTCCTGTACTCGAGTGACGCACAGACACCCCCCGCCCACAGCCCAGACGCCCCCTCCCTCGCTGCCACCCCGACCCGTCTCGGAGCTGGACTGGGTGCCGACTTCTTCGCAGAAGGGTGAGTGCTGTGCTGGGTTGGGTGAGGAGGATCTGAAAAAATGTGGTGGCCGGTCCACTGTTGGGGAGGGCAGGGATCAGGTTGTGGGCTGCAGGTTCCCGGTCCGGCGTGGATTTAAGGTGGCGACTCCCTCCTTTCCTCCCTCCCTCGCTCCCGCTTCCTCCGCCCCTCAGCTCCTTATTCACCAGCCTTGCTGTATATCTAGGTATTGCCAGACTTCCACCATCGGGGCATTATAACGCTTATAAAACATTTGGTAATGGCATGCTTTCTGTCTTTAGGATGCTTAGAGAGCAGTGATAGCCACCAATGTGATCTGATAGATTCTATCACCTGCAAAAAGTGTAAAAGGGACGATGGGTACGTTTTCTTCTAATTCAAAGTTAAACTTTTATTCAATAAAGGCAAGGCAGAAAGGTATTTTTAATTTTAATGCGTGGCGATAGGGCAGCGATAAAGCAGAGAAAGACAGATTGTCTAGTGGCATTGCTTAGTGTTTTTATTTGAAAATAGTTTTATGGGTTCCCTATTGAAAAAATATCAAGTCCGTATCAAAGGTTATGAAGTCTTTGAACCTGTTGGGGGAAAGCAAGGTAAGATGGAAATCCAGCTTGACACTTCATCTTTAGCTCACCTCTGTTACAGGGAGGCATTACAACACAGAGTTTTAAATTTCTCAGTCACTGGACACAATGGAGCATGTTAAGGATATGAGAGAAATATGGATTATTTCTCTTTTGATATCCATCTTTTGTGTACTTCATTGCTTGTTCAGCAATGTCATACTACAGAATTTTGTAAAATTTTGATTTGGTTTCTTGGTTGTCCATAGCTCAGAAGTACAAATACCTGTCTATATATGCTTTATGAGGATGTTGCCATATGCATCTTTCATATTTTGTTTGAAATAAAAGTAAAAATTATGAGAAATAGTTGCTCAGAGTTGGCTTCTGAGGTTGCTTTTTAGAATTCAGCTGTTTTAAAATGGTATTACTCTTTTTGAGTCAAGTTCTGGGCTAGTTGTCCACAAGATTCAAATGAGGCCAAACCAAACATGTTTTGAAACATTAAAGTACAGGAAAGGCCTCTTAATAGTTCATTCTCTCCTTCTCTTTCAGAGTAACCAGAATAAGTTGTTACTAAATTTAATTTTAAAGAATAGACTGTTCCTGTACCGAAATCTGCCAAGTTGCTACAGAAATATTTCTTTTTAAAGAGCAGAAATGTGTTTATGATCAGCCCAAAGTAGTAAAGATGAAAAGTGACTTAAATGTAAATGCTGTCTTAAAGAAATGCTTGTCATAAGCCCCAAAACCTTCCAGAGTGTTTCAGGAAGACTTACACAAAACCTTTTTGAATTGTTTAGTAAATTTTATCATGTGACCTTTTTTATGAGTGTAAGACTGAATTATTGAAAGACCTCATAGCACAAGGGAGCCATGCTGCCAGAGTTTGAATCTTACCACCATCCCTCACTGGCTGTGTGACCTTGGGGGACGTTTCTAACCTGGCTTTTGTGGGTTTTGTCCTGTAGATGGAAAGAATGACTTCTCAAGGGGTTGTTGTAAGGTTGCATGAGAGTACATGTCACAGAGCACTCCAGGTTAGCTACCCCATCATCACCAGCAGTCTTAGAGAGGTGTCTAGTGTAGTGGTTAAGAGTAGGACCTCACGCTGGTTCATGCCTGTAATCCTAGCACTTTGGGAGGCTGAGGTGGGAGGATGGCTTGAGCTCAGGAATTTGAGACCAACCTGGTCAAGATGGTGAGATCCGGTCTCTACAAAATAATTAAAAAAAAAAAAAAAAAAAAGTGGGGCTTCCAGAACCAGATTCCGTAAGTTTAAACCCCAGCTTTTCCTCATTATCTTTGTGACCTTGGCCAAGTTAGCCTCAGTTTCCTCATCTGTAAAATGGAAATAATAGCACCTACTTCATAGGGTTATTGTGATCGCACAGAATGAGTTAATATATGCAAAGATCTTGAGTAGTCTTTGGTGCATCTTTGCAAGTTTAACTCTTATGTGCTTTGCATATCTTGAAATATGAATATGTTTTTTAGACAATTTTTTGTAAAGATAAATTTATTGTTATCAATAAAATAATCAAAATTTTTATCAATATGCCTAATGTTTTATGAGATTTATACTTTTAATCTAGAGTTTGTATGACTCTTTAAGAAATAGAGCTACTGGACCAGGCACAGTGGCTCATGCCTGTAATCCCAGCACTTAGGGAGGCTGAGGTGGACTTTGAGCCCAGGACTTTGAGACCAGCCTGGGCAACACAGCAAAACCCCGTCTCTACAAAAAATACAAAAATCAGCTGAATGTGGTGGCACATGATTGTAGTCCCAGCTACTGAGCCCTGGAGGTGGAGGCTGCAGTGAGCTGTGATTACGCCACTGCATGCACTCCAGCTTGGGCAACAGAGACCCTGTTTTTTTTTCTTTTTCTTTTTCTTTTTTTCTTTTTTTTTTTTTTTTGGAGACAGAGTCTCTTTCTGTCGCCCAGGCTGGAGTGCAGTGGTGCAGACTTGGCTCATTGCAACCTCTGCCTTCCAGATTCAAGCAATTCTTCTGCCTCAGCCTCCTGAGTAGCTGGGATTACAGGTGTGCGGCACCACGCCCGGCTAATTTTTGTATTTTTAGTAGAGACACAGTTTCACCATGTTGGCCAGGCTGGTCTTGAACTCCTGACCTCAAGTGATCCACCCCTCTTGGCCTCCCAAAGTGCTGGGATTACAGGCATGAGCCACTGTGCTTGGTAAGACCCTGTTTCAAAAAAAAAAAAAAGAAATTTAGCTATTGAATGAATTGAGTTGATCCCCTTTCATTTAAACTTGCATAATAGAATGTACATACCTCTATTAAAGTGTAATACATATCACACATTTGCTGTTATCTGTGGTTTTCCCTCCTGTTAAACAAAGCTCTTTGAGGGTAAGAATAGTATTTCATTTATAATTTAATCTCCAGTGCCCAGTACCTTTTATTTAAAGAAGCTTAATTAATGCATGTGAAATTAATTAAATAATGCTACTCTCATGTTTATAGTAGTTGAGTGACATTATAAGTGATACTTATACAAATATAAGTAATACTATTATTTGTATTATTGAATTGAATTTTCACTTTCTCAATTTTTGCAAATAGAGAATAAATGAGAGGAATTACAGTATAATTTACTCTTCATTATGGAACTATTTTTTATTTTCAAGGTTAAACAGAAAATAGTCTGAAAAGTATGCCTGTCATATCCTTCTTTGATACCTGACATGTCCAGTTTTTAATCATAAAATCTGACTCCCACACTTTCTGTCATTAAGTTGGATGTTGTTAATAATTAATATGAATTATATGAATTAGATTTGGAATGTCCCAAAAATGATGATATGATGTTATTATCTGTTACAGATTAATAATAATAATGTATCAGCCTAATCCTGTGAAATTTAAAATGGCATCATTTCCTTAGGGACCACATCCTTATTCTCTTTCCATTCAAGAGTGAAACTTTCTCTTGAGCAGTCTTAATAAATAATTAGCTATTGAAATAGCTGCACTAAATAGTGTGGCAGGAATCATAAAGGAAGCATATGTAATTAGTAAATAAAACACACTCTAAACTTTACCATACGCTTAATATGGTTACTCAATTGGGGAATATATTTTTCAAAATAAGCAAAGTTCATGGGGCCTACCGCCTGCCTCATTTATAGAATCATTCTATTTTACTTGTCAATAAAATCCAGTCTAATTACTGAGCCCTCTGAAGTTATAAAAAGCCAGAATTATCTTTCATTAGAGATCCTTGGTAATAAAATCTGAATACTAATCTACTCAGAATTGTTACAGTGTTCCATCACATTGTTAAAACTTTTCAAACACATATATGAAATATCTATTACAATGTGGGCAATTTTGTGTATATAAATCTTCGTTTAACCAAATCATCAGTTACCCAGTTCAGTTGAATATATTACATTTTCATTGGCTAAAATAATTAATTTAGAAAACTTGCCCTTTTTTGTTTTGATACATTTAAAGCAGCTAATCTACAGTGAAACTTTAAAAAATAATAATTTATAAGCACTTAGAACCTATGCTTAAGTGTTTGGTTGCAAGATCGAAAGTCTATTTTTCACTTGACACATTTTAGCGTGCCATTTATTCTATAGGTCACACCTCTTTCTTTCTTTCAGCTTTTTTTTTTGTGAGGACATTTGGGTATTTATTAGTGTTTTACAGACATATACAATTTCCGCAGGTTTTTTTTTTAAACAATGTTTGTTGTGTACAATTATTTGGAAAGAAGAGCAAGGAAGGGTAGAAATAACCTTTGAGGCTTGCGATTTCTATCCTTGTCTTCTAACATTAGGAACATGGATAACTATCTATACACTTTGTCAGTAATCAAAAGGAGAAGAAAATAACGTATGCATTATCTTATGGCATAAACTCAGAATTAAGGTCCATGAAGTTCTATACTGAGTGATGCTACTGATTGGCATGTGACCTTGAGCATTACACTTAACCTTTACCACTCTCCATGAGTGAAGGCAGTTACCCTCTGCTCACTCACAGAGGAAGTTGTAGGGGTCAGTTGTAAGTGCTTTTTAAAAGCATTTGAGAAGGACACAATGCAAGCAAATACAAAGTAAACATTAGCATTTATAAATGAATATTTGTTCATCATTATTTAAAAATTGTGACCTTTCAGATTTTTTACCTAATGGGCATTTTTCCTTTTAATTTTATATGTGAAGAGACTTCTTACTAGTATGTTCACAAAAATATATATATGGTACCTTTTAAAGAAGCAATGAACTTTGGTTTAGCTGAATGGGGTTTTAAATGTTGTAACACTGAGATTTTGGTACATCCTGGGTTATAACAGATGTTGATATTTTTGAGAACAAACTTCAGGTATCTTGAGAGTTAATACATTTTATTAAGTTAAAGTTTATAAAACTTATATTTGCATTGCAGGAAAACATGTTCAGACTTAGATTCCATTAGCAGTGTATTTAAATAGAAAAATTAATCATATTATTTACTTTTAAATTTCGAAAGGATTACTTGGCTGTAGGACCCATCTTGTTTTATTTTATATTTTTATTTTTTTGAGAAGAATGGAATCCCTGGAAAGGACCCTTCTTTATACTAACTTTTTTTTTTTTTTACCTTGAATGCAGTGAAATATGCATTATTTCAAAATATAGTGGCTTGGAGGATTTAATTTATTTCAGCTAATTTTGTATTTAGGAAAGCTAGGGAAGGCCTGTGTGGAAAGGCTGCGTTTTAAGAAACTGTGTCCCTAACAATGAGTTAGGAATTATTAAAATTTAAAAGTCAATGTATATAATTAGCATTATATACATTCCTTTGAATTCAGTTTTATGTCTCTGTGATTATTAGCAGAATTGTCACAACCTCATGATGTTACTCACTTTTTTAAGCGAAAATGAAATTCTAGTTTACTCAGAATAACAACTATTAAAACAAATAAGGCATGTAAAGAAATATTTCTTCTAACTGACTTTAAGAAGAGTGAATAGTGATCCTCAAATGTGAGGTTTCTAAGCAGAAAGCAACTTTAAAAAACATATTGTCCTTACTGTTCAGTAGCCAACCCACTGAAACTTAGAATGATCAGTTTTCTTTTTGAATTTAAAGTTCACATTGATGTTTATAATGTGTCGTGTGTTGGTATGTATAACTCTTTGGTATTGAATATTGACCTTTAACATATTAAATAAAATGATCAAACTAGTCTACCTTTTATTTAAATTTCATCTGTTTTTCACACCCTTCTTTTTATTCTTACATTGTATTTCAGTTTTCTTAATATTTCCACGTTTGTCTTTTCTTTTTATGCAGCATCTTCATTTTACTCTATCCTGTCTGCCTCCCAAGAATCATAGGAATTCTTTTTCCTTGATCATAGCAGGTTTTTTTTTTTGTTAGCTCCCTTTGCATTTGCCTCTATATAAGGTATGGAGTAGGAGTTTTTATTTAAACCTAAGACCAAGTTATAGCTTGTGTGAGGTGGTAACAAGGGAAAACTGTAACATATTTATTATTTACTGATTTTCTATTAATCTATTTTATGTGGAGGAGCCCACAGATTTTTTTCTTTTCACATTATCTTGAAATGTTTCATCCAAGCTTTTTTTTTTTCATTCCATGTCTGGTTCCCTGGTGAGCTTTGGAGTTGGTTTCTGCCATGATCATTGCCACCTGACCATGAGGAGGGTGGCTTGCCTGAGAACATCACATTAGCCAGAATGAGCAGCTCCTTTTGTTTTGTTTTGTTTTGCTGTTGGCTCTTTAAAGCCAGGCAGAACATCAGACCATGTCCACTGTGACATTTTCCAAGGTTCACCGTTGTGGAATGATTAATGGTCGTTGGTGAAGTAACCATCAGCTTCATTGTCTTCTATGGCTTCAACTCAAATGAAATGTATCCCTTTGAGTTAACTTTAGTTTTGATTTTAAGGGTTCTTTTTATCCAGAAAATCAGAGTATAAAAAATGTATTTTTAAACAAGAAAGATTTACATAAAAATCCTGTAAGTAAGAGTTTTTGTACGGACCAAACGTCATTGATCTGGAGAAAATATTTAATAGTTTCTCAAAATATCTGACATATTTAGACATCAGTAGTAGAAAAGCTTTAATTAAACAAAAATAAGTCCTCCTTTTGATTTAAAAAGCAAAGTCTATTTTTACTTTTTAAACAATTTGAATGCAAAATTAGATAAACTGAGTTTTGGAGTTGATTAAATAAGATATTTCCCAGAAATGGTACTTTATAAAATCTATGCCTCATGGAAGAAGTTTGATCTTTTTTATACCTATACGTCCCATTTTGGGCTTCTATTCATTTACTCATTCAGTTAATTCAACAGATATTTATTGGGCACTTACTATGGGTCAGCTACTCTTATTAAACACGTATGATATAGCGGGGAAGAAGAGGGATGAATATACTTGCCTTTATGGAAATTCCAAACTATTTTGGGGGTATTTACAGCTTGTTATCTACTATTTGGAGTAGTTATAATGAAACATTGTACAATAATGACCTGAAAAAAATAAGGATTCTTTACATGGATTTTATGCCTGCTGACTTGGTATAAAAGGAATCCTAAATCTTAAAACAAAATTTCATTTAAATGGACAATTTTTATTTGAATTTGAGTTGAAATATTAAAAACAATAATGTCAATAGTTTCCAACAGAAATCATGAATCATCCTCATTTCTGAACCCTGGAAAACCTTACAGTGGACAGAGTCTGAAATTTCTCCTAGGTTTTCTTTATACTTTTAAGTTGTTTTATCCTATTGCTTTGTTTTCTTTGTAATAGAGCCTGAGAAAAAGGGTAACACTGAAAATTACACAATGGAAATGGAGTCGTCTCTGCTATATTGCACAATTGGCAAGAAAATCTTAAGTTTTCTTTGTCTAGTATACATTAAGAACTAATTTTTTGTTTCTATGATTGTACTATGTAATTTCCTAAAGAAACAAATAAATAAAATGCTTAGGGTTCATTTCCACCTCAAATATTAAAGTAGATATACCTAAGTATCTATGCAGTACAAGTAGCATTAATACAGTATAACATATAATGATTTTCATTAATTGTTTCATTTTTATTAATATTTAATACATGTCCCAAGTGCTTGAGGCTATCAGAGACTAATAGTAAGACATGGCATCTGCCTATAATGGTATTCACAGTCCAGTTAGAGACAAAAGAGCTCCATATGAAAATTAAATCATTTATATTAGGCAATATGTAATTTAGCTTAATGGGAAGTCTAGGGTGGACCACTACAGTAAGCCTAGTCTTGCATCAAGTGAACTTACCTTCTAGAAGAAGTTTTAAGTGGCCTTCCTGGGAATCCATCTTTCCTTTTAAGTCTGGGCAAAAATGGTTAGCAGGCTTTCTTTTTGTCCTTGGACACCTAAGGGTAGAATAGTCTCTGCGCTAGCTGTTGCAGTGGCTCAGCAAGAGAGGGGAGGAAAAGGGAATGGAGCACACATTTTACCCATTTATTATTCACTAGCTATCACCTTGGGAAGCAAAAAGTGCACCTGAGAATAGAATATATGGACACAGTATGGATATATTTTAGTTTCTTGAGAATAAAAATTATTCAAGACTGAGCACAGTAGCTCACACGTGTAATCCTAGTGCTTTGGGAGGCTGAGTTGAGAAGATTGCCTGAGGCCTGGAGTACGAGACCAGTCTGGCAACATAGCGAGACCCCTGTCTCTGCACAAAAAAGATTAGCTATAGGTGGTGGTGCACACCTGTGGTCCCAGCTAGCTTCTTGAGGGGCTGAGGCAGAAGGATGGCTTGAGCCCAAGAGGTCAAGGCTGCAGTGAGCTATGATTGAGCCACTGCACTCAAGCCTGGGTGACAGAGTGAGAAGCTGTTTAAAAAAATTATTTCATAGCTTTGAGAAGCCTGATACATCAATATGGGCCCCATGGACAAGGGAAGTTCCTAAAAAAATGGAAGAATCACTGGAAGGGGAATAAAACGTGGGTTGGAGGCTTTTGACAGTTACTGAAGACGCTTTCTTCCTCGGTTTTCCCTAGAGCAGCCCTGCCTACAAGATGGGTGTCCTCCAGACCTAATATAACAAATTTAGGAAGTTTGCATATATTGCTATGATTTATAGATATAATCTCTCTAAATTGTTTTGCTTTGGAATTAGCTGAAGTTCCTGATGTGTGTGTGTGTGTTTAAATTCTCAAATGAAATATTATGTGACTGTGGCTTTTGTTTTCATTTTCTTGGATATTTGAAAATAGTAAGAATCTCTGTTTTTATAGTACAGGTGTTTGTTCATTTGGAGCTAAATCTAAGATAGGATAATACAACGTATGCTTATCTCTTATATTTAAATTAGGGGAAAAAGGCTGGGCGTGGTGGCTCATGCCTGTAATCCCAGCACTTTGGGAGGCCAAGGCTTGCGGATCACCTGAGGTCAGGAGTTCGAGACCAGTCCGGCCAACATGGTGAAACCGCATCTCTACTAAAAATACAAAAACTAGCTGAGCGTGATGGTGCGTGCCTGTAATACCAGCTACTTGGGAGGCTGAGGCAGGGGAATTGCTTGAACCCAGGAGGCAGAGGTTGCAGTGAGCCAAGATCGTGCCACTAGACTCCAGCCTGGGAGACAGAGCGAAATGCCGTCTCAAAAAAATAAATAAATAAATAAATTAGGGGAAAAAAAACCCAAAGTCTCAATGTTTATCTGTTAATAACAGTATTCGGATACTTATGTGGATACTTCTTTTAAAAAAAAAAAAAAGATTATCTGTATGAAAAGTTTCTTTTCCTGAAAACGATTTCTCCTAGAACCATCAATCTATATGATTCAAAAAGCCACCAAAGGTGTTAATTTTGTTAATTATCTAGAAAGTTGTGATGGTTTTGAGGGTGTATACATATGTCACAGCTTATTAAATTGTACATTTTAAATATATGCACTTACTATATATCAATAAAACTTTTAAAAAAGCCAACCAGATTGTAAGGTATATTTTCAGGATAAAATACTTATTATCTTTGGGAGGTCGAGGCAGGCAGATCACCTGAGGTCAGGAGTTCAAGACCAGGCTGGCCAACATGGTGAAACCCCGTCTCTACTAAAAATACAAAAAATTAGCCAGATGTGGTGGCGGGCACCTGTAATCCCAGCTACTTGGGAGGCTGAGGCAGGAGAATTGCTTGAACCCAGGAGGCGGAGGTTGCAGTGAGCCGAGACTGTGCCACTGTGCTCTAGCCTGGGCCACTGACTGAAACTCCGTCTCAGGGAAAAAAAAAAAAAAAAAAAAAAAAAAAAATATATATATATATATATATATATATATATATATTTTTATATTATATATTATATAATATACGATTATATATAATATATATTTTATATATTATATAATATACGATTATATATAATATATATTTTATGTATTATATAATATACGATTATATATAATATATATTTTATATATTATATATACAATTGTATATTATATATATACACACACACATTTCTTATAATAGGTATTTTCCTTTTTTTGAAATGGAGTTTCGCTCTTGTTGCCCAGACTGGAGTACAATGGCGCGATCTTGGCTCACTGCAACCTCCGCCTCCTGGGTTCAAACGGTTCTTCTGCCTCAGCCTCCCGAGTAGCTGGGTTTACAGACACCCACCACCACTCCCGGCTAATTTTTTGTATTTTTAGTAGACACGGGGTTTCACCATGTTGGCCAGGCTAGTCTCGAACTCCTGGCCTCAGCCTCCCAAAGTGCTGGGATTACAGGCGTGAGCCACCATGCCCGGCCAAGAATTATATTTTTAAAGTTTGTTATTTATGTTTTATTTCTTTATTTCATCCACCCTTTATTCACCTATATCTCATACCCCAGAAACACATATTTCAAGTAAGAAAGATAAATAGAATTAAGGAGGGCTTTGTGCCCGTTGAAATTTAGATATAGGACCTTAGAGAGCTTTTTTACCATATGTAAGACTCACTGGAGTATCTTTAAGTAATTTGCCCAAATTTGAATTTGGAGAATTGGAGTTGTGTATTCTTCAAGGAATCCTTTTCTTATAGTTTAACAGATTGTGACTTATCTTTGGCAAGGAGTAAAGAGCATGATTTTAGCGAGTCTTTTTCCTCCTCTTTTCTTTCTTTCTTTTTTTTTTGGAAGAGGTTAAATGGCTTAATGCTTTTTAAATATTCCTTTTTCTCCCCTGCATGTTATACATTAAATTTTGGCATGTTGGGCCATAGACTCTATGAATAGATTTGTTTAGGGAAGAACCAGGTTTGTTCAATTATTCTTGCCTGTATGGTCTTCAGCACAGTACAGATACCTTAATATAAGTTTGTTAATTGGTGGTTTAATGTTAATCAAACATTCCTTATGTTGCCCAGTATATATATCAGGCAAATTTCTGTATGTATAATATCAGGAATTTTTTTTTTTTTTTGAGGTAAGGTCTTGCTCTGTTGCCCAGGCTGGAATGCAGTGGTGTGGTCACTGCCTACTGCAGACTCAACCTCCCAGGCTCAAGCAATCCTCCCACCTCAGCCTCTCCAGTAGCTGGGACTACAAGGTGTGCACCATCACTCTTGGATAATTTTTATTTTATTTTATTTTTTGAGACGAAATTTCATTCTTGTTGCCCAGGCTGGAGTGCAATGGCACAATCTCAGCTCACTGCAACCTCCACCTCCCAGGTTCAAGCGATTCTCCTGCCTCAGCCTCCTGAGTAGCTGGGATTACAGGCACCCACCACCACACCCGGCTAATGTTTTTGTATTTTTAGTAGAGATAGGGTTTCACCATGTTGGCCAGATGATCTCGAACTCTTGACCTTCAGGTGATCCACCTGCCTCAGCCTCCCAAAGTGCTAGGATTACAGGCGTGAACCACCACGCCTGACCAATTTTTAACTTTTTCTTGTAGAGATGGAGTCTCACCAGGTTGTTTAAGCTTTTCTTGAACTCCTGGCCTCAAGCAATCCTCTTGCCTCAGCCTCCCGGAGTGCTGGGATTACAGGTGTGAGCCACAGTGCTGGGCTGAAGCTTCTTTATTGTTGGAATTAATGCCTATGTTAAATTTAGAACATTGGCAAATTTTCATGAATTAAAAAAATAGTCTATAAAAATGATCAGAATTGTGTTTCTGGGGTTGGGGCTACCAGGGCATTAATGAGTGATTTGAAAGCTCTAGCTCTTTTTACAACACTAGCAGGACACATTGGAATCACCTATGTCCAGGCCACAACCCAGAGGTGAGGCCCTGGGTTATTGTAATGTGTAGCCACACTGTGCTCTATGATGCTGTCTCTCATACCGTATTCCCCCATACCCAAGCTTTCTATCATAAAACTTTTCAGACATGTAGAAAACCTAACAGAATAAGTCAACAAACACCCATATTCTCTCTACCCAGATTCAGTAGTTATTAACCTTTTGCTGTATTGGCTTTATGAGTCTGTCCCTCTTTCTCTGTATGAGTACTTTTTTCCTGTACCATGTGAAAGTAAGTTTCAGACATCATGAGTCCTTACCATTAAATACTTCAGAATATATGTTCTGAGAATAAGGACATTTTCTACATAACCACAATGCCATTATCATCCCTAGGAAAATTGGTAATAACTTGGAATGCTTTTCAAAAATTCAGTTCATTAAAGACATATGAATTTATATCCTACTAAAAATTAAATGCATATAAAGTGAGAAGTTTCACAGAATATGGAATTCTGGAAATTTTCTGGTAAAGATATGCATTTCTTCTCTGTGTTTACAAGTGAGGCCACTACTTCAAACATTTTTATGAGGTAAACACATTTTCTATGTTTAGTGAGGTAAAATCTTTTCTAGCTCTCCCAACTCATGATCATAGCAATGAGAAGAAAGAAACATTTCTCAAAGTTCATGCCACAATGTGGTTTAGTGGAAGAAGTTCAGTCTTGAGTCAGAAGGAACAGTGTTGGTTCAAATAGTTGCTCTGCCTGTTCACTGGAGGTGACCTTGCAGAAGTGAAGTTCTTTTATCAGTTAAGATGCTTTTAGAAACTGCCCTCAAGCTCACTGGAATCATCAGGAAATGTATTCTTTCACACAAAAAAATTCAGAGGCAGGGCAGGCTTCAGGGTTGGTCAGTTCTGGAGCTCAGGTTCTGAGTGTCCTTCTGCCTTGCCAGGCTCCTTGTTGGCTCTGACTTTGTTTCACCTCCTTCCTCCAGCTGGTTTATAGCCATATATCACCATATTCAGAAGTCAGAAACCTCTCCACAGGGATGGACCGTCAGTTTTCCTGTCTGATTGGGCATCTCTGCCCACTTCTGGATCAGTAACTGTCTTCAGAGAGCGTTCTGCCCTGGATGGCTTGGACTAACCTGTAACCCTACCCCTAAAGCCAGGATGGCGTTCACTTAGGGAGAGGAAGGGAGGAATGGATGTTGGGTATGTCTCTAAGACTTCATTTTCTTTGCTGTAAAATGGGAACAATAATATCTACCTCTATGCTTATTACTGACATAAAATAAGTAAAACAACAAACACAAAGCTGATATTTAATAAATGTTAATTCCTGTTCTTTCTTCTCTCCTTTCAATCTTATATAAAATCCTATCTTCCACTGATGCTGCCACCCTCCATACTGGTAAGCATTTGTTTTTTTTTGTTTTTTTTTTTTTTGAGACGGAGTCTCACTCGTCGCCCAGGCTGGAGTGCAGTGGCGCCATCTCGGCTCACTGCAAGCTCTGCCTCCCAGGTTCATGCCATTCTCCTGCCTCAGCCTCCCGAGTAGGTGGGACTACAGGCGCCCACCACCAAGCCCAGCTAATTTTTTGTATTTTTAGTAGAGACGGGGTTTCACCGTGTTAGCCAGGATGGTCTCAATCTCCTGACCTTGTGATCCGCCCGCTTTGGCCTCCCAAAGTGCTGGGATTACAGGCGTGAGCCACCGCGCCTGGCCGCTGGTAAGCATTTGTAAGTGACTCTCCCTTGGCTGGTCTCCTACCTGACCTCTCACCTCACTATCTAGGGCATAGCATTTTATGTGAGCTTTGCAAATTGGTCAGACCTTCCATTAACCTATCTTGCCCATCTTATTTTTTTCTTATATATTTCTTTTAAAATTTTTCTGTAATATATCCCTAGAAACATCTTACATAATTTCAACTTCACTTGATATTTTTCCAAAACCGAGGAAGGGAAATTGTTAACAATGTGTACAAGGCCAGGCATGGCAGCATGCACCTGTAGTCCCAGCTACTCTAGAGGCCAAGGCAGGAGGATCACTTGAACCCAGGAGTGTGACATCAACATGGGCAACATAGCAAGACCCCATATTTTAAAAATAACACTGAAAAAACAGTGTGTTGTACATATTTATCAAATGTGAAAAAAAAATCTCTTCAGCTTTGCTGTCCATAAACACAGAGTTGAAATAGATTTCCCCCTTTATGAAAAGAAAACCATGATGACCCATGAAAAGGTAAGCAAAATAAAATGCTGTTTGAAATATAGTAACTTGTTTGTCCAGGATAGACCAGGTCTTTGATATTTTAGGAAAATCTAGACTCACCACAGTAGTGTAGCTGCTCCAGTTTCACAGAATTTCCTTTAGAAAAAAAATCGTGTCTAATTCCAGCCTGGCCAAGATGGTTAAAACCTCGTCTTTACTAAAAATACAAAAATTAGCCAGGCATGGTGGCGGGTGCCTGTAATCTCAGCTACTCGGGAGGCTGAGGCAGAAGAATCACTTGAACCCGGGAGGTGGAGGTTGCGGTGAGCCGAGATCACGCCACTGCACACTTGCCTGGGTGATAGAGCAAGACTCTGTCTCAAAAAAAAAAAAAATTGTGTCTAATTTACCAATAAATCTCTTTTGGATTCTTTGGTCTTGAACCCTCTCATACCTACTGCAAGAGAGAGTCATCTTCCAAAGACATGTTTTCCAATACTCTATGCAGGAACAATGGAAGGTCTTTGTTCAGGCATGCCCTTTTCAAAATAGAGAGAGAAGGACTGTCATATTTTTCTCGCTATGGTATTTCTAAAGCACTTCTGAAACACCTGTGACTTCCTGCAAAATTGCCACAACCCAATTACATGGGATGTTCTTCCCTTTTAAATTTTCTTCCAAAATGACAGGATCACTCTTGAATGAAAGTTATTGATGCCTGTTGACCCCTGTAAGTAGAACGTTTAACTCTGCCATCCTCCATGGCAAGAGAATGGAAGAAGGGTGAAAAGTCTGGTCTCTCTCTTGACTTGGAAGATGCTGAACCCTGGCCTGTTCCTTTCTGTTACTTTTTTTCAGTGTCTTTAATTTTTAGATTTAGTGTTGAAGTAGCTATTGATCTGTTAGGCTCTGTGAATACTGAAAATACTCAGATTTTGGATGGTTCGATCCATAATTCAGAGCTTCTGCTGGCATGAATCTTTTCAGCCAGAGAGATGTTTTTTAAAGGAACTCTTTAAGTGTGTGTTGATGATTCTAACACATTTCAAATTAGGTTCTATAATTGTAATGCTGCACAATGAAAGCAAAACTCTGAGATAAATTATAATTTTATTAAAGAAGCCAGAGAATGGGACATTGTGGCTATAATTTTGTTTAAAAGTGCTGAGTTTTGAGAATATAAAAATTTGAAATTCATATTGCATTCCTTGAAGTGCTATTGGTTATTTTTAAGAAGGATGAAATATGATTATAACTTATGAAGCTTGGTTTCATTTGAGCACATTTTAAATGTTAGTGCCTTGCAGAAAAGTTTTGTGGACAAGATTCCCTTTGCTGTGTAACAAATGCTTTTACTGTTTAGCCAAGGTTTGTTACTAATGGCTCAGAGGCTGAAATGAAAAGTGAAATGTCTGTTGTTTCCCATCTAATAGCTTGATTTTATTTTTATTTCCACTACCCAGTGCTAAAAAAAGAAAGCCAAGATCAAGATCCAAAAGCTCAAACAAACTAACATTTAATTTCCCAACTAGAGTTAAGACTGACCTTGCCGTGATGTGTAAGTCTTGTATGGGAAACGTTTATTCATGGCTGTGCAGTTGACCATACTCATTGCTGGATCAGGGTGTATTCTTGTCTTCAGACAATCAAGCAGGTAAAAACCAGTCGAGACTAAGCAGTTGGACTGACTCAATTTCTCTTTTTCGTCTCTGTTGAGAAATGTTTTAACTGTGTTTCTTGCCCCTACTTCTTGGTCTACCTGAGAGAATGGAACAAAAGTCTAATTCAGTGGATTGGAAAGCAACGAAGAGTCCAGAGTGTATTATCTGCCACTTATTACTGAAGGTTTATACTCCAATGATAGAGCAATCACTAGCGCTTTGTCTTTGTGTTTGCTTCTTTCTTGATTCTGTCATTCCTGTGTACTCTCTTGGAGCTTCTCATGGGCAAGATCTACAACTTCAAGTTGTGTGCGATGGATTTTAAGGGCAAACTGCCATAGTTCCAGGTCATTTATTGTTTTCATTTTTCTCGAGGAATTCTTATTCTGACTGAAAACTGCAGGATGACCAGTGAAAAATTGTTGACCAGCTAAGGAAAATGTATTTACAATAGTTTTTAAAAACTATTTGGAAAAGAGATTATATTTGGAGAAAATTTGTCTGTACTTTGGCTAAGTCCCTAGACATAAGCTTTATTGTGTACCAGGTCATGGATCCATCTTTTCTACCTTAGCATGAAATCCATGTGGTACAAAGACACTCATGTCTTCTCAGCACTGTTGTGTTCCACTACCACTAATTTGACGTTATCACTAGTGTAGTGATTACTGAATGGTAAGTACACTAGATTGACATGGGTCATGAAGATTTGGTTTTATTTTTTGCAGTACTTATGCATCTTAAGAACAATATGATAAAAATGGAAACTTCTTCCACGCGGGCTAATTTAGGGTTATTAATAGAGTTATACAGGCATTTGACCACTCGTTTTTCTGTTTTGATCTTACATGATGATTGGACAGGGAGATGGACAAAGAAGCATTGCATAGAAGAGATCACTTTCATGATGGAGGAGAGGTGCTTGTTACCACTACCTTTTGTTTGTCTGTGCAATCTACAAATCAGTTCATATGGCCTCTGACAGCTGTTCTGGTGACCTAGGTTCACGTATTTTGGAGAAACTGTGACTTTTATTACTGAATAATTATGTGAATGAGGAGTTTTTTTAAAATGGATTTCCCATTTCCTAAAATAGAGGCCTTTTCTTTAAGATTCTTTTGCTTCACTTTATGTTAGTTATTCATACACTTATTGACATTGTTGGTGTGAGAATTACTCTTTTACATTGTTCTTCAGTTCAAGTTGTTGACATTCCAGCTAGCAGTATCCCTACCTCTCACCTTAGGAATACAAAATGAGATGCAGTATGGAATACTTAAATCTTAACTTTTGAATGCTAGATGCAGGTATCAGTGTAAACTTATTACACCATTATATGATGAGGGAAAAAAATAGGCATTTTTAATGACTAGGAAAAAGTTCTTGACAAAGAAAAGTTCTGTTTTGTTTAGTCAGTTACTGAAATGGAACTGAGTCTTTTTTTTTTTTTTTTTTTTTTTTTTGAGTTGGAGTTTCACTCTTGTTGCCCAGGCTGGAGTGCAATGGCCCTATCTCGGATCACTGCAACCTCCATCTCCCGGGTTCAAGCGATTCTCCTGCCACAGCCTCCCAAGTAGCTGGGATTACAGGCATGCACCACCACGCCTGGCTAATTTTATATTTTTAGTAGGGACGGGGTTTCTCCATGTTGGTCAGGCTGGTCTCAAACTCCTGACCTCAGGTGATCCACCCGCTTTTTATTAGGTGTGTCTTTGAAGCTAAAGTGATTCAGTGCTTACAGTCACCTATCAGCGTTCATGTAGTGAGTTCTTGGAACCCTTTGTGCTCCTGGAGAGGCAGTTTATGTAGCAAATGTATAGTAAGCAAGTGTACTATGACTTTTCTAACTATCACACCATTGAGCACATGATGCTTTGATGTACTGGAGTGCAACAAGCAGTTTCGCCATGGGGTGTCAAGTGGGAACTCGGGCCCTTGGTCAACCCAGTTATAAATGTCTATTCTTCACATGTCCTCCTATTTTCTTTGTGTGCGTTTATAATTGCTTTCAGTGATCCTGTCAATTTGACAAACAGAAAAGGTTAGAAAAGTAAAGTCGAAATAGCCAGTTTTAGAATTTTAAGTAAAAGTTGGATAGGGGCAAATATTAAGAATAAGGGTTCCTGTCAATTCAGTTTCTCTTACTATTCCTCTTACTGATTGCCTTGACTGACAAGTTGACTGCTTTACTTTATGTGAGGTTTTATTCTTTTAAAGATAGAGTTCATGAACTTTGTACTGGCTCCAAACGTGTGAAGCTCTGCTCTAATCATTGCTTTGTTCAGTCGATAAAATTCCTGCTCATTTGAAGCATTCCTAACTGAGACTATTAATGCTCCTGCCTGCCGCCTTTTTGCTATCATTGTTTCACATCATCATTGATTCGTGTATTCAGGTGTCTTTCACCACATAAAGGAATGAAGCTGATGACAGCCATTTTCAAGTATAATCTGAAACTACTTCCACATTTTTCTACAAAGGTGTTTGGCATCTGGATTAGCACTTATGTTGGGGAGGAACCCTGGGATAGATAGCTCTTTAGGTTTCTTGACGTGTTTAGGATATGTGGCTAATGTTACTTGCTGGCACCAACCCTGAAAAAGTTGAACTGGTGTCATACTTTTTATGCTCCTGTTATGTCTAACTATAAAATGAAGGAAGTGCTCATGGCACTTCCCCCTTATTTAGTGAGTTCTCCTCCGCAGCTCTCAGAGGAGATGGCCAGGGTCCGGCTGAATGCGCAGTCCATGTTTCTGTTCTTTTCTAGTTCCTGTAATGTAATGTTGCATAAAACTTTCACTCGTTGTCTTCTTTTTTTCTTATGTCCTCTTAAAAATTGAAAAGTAGTATTTTCTATTATCATCACCATTTCTCATACACTGAGAATAAGGACCATCTTGGCTAAGTGTTTGACCTAGGATTATATGTAATGAACTGCAGAGCCAAAAACAGAACTTGGGATTCTTTCTGGGCTTCATTTTATTCCTGAGCCATAGTTTCTCCTTTCTTCAGCTACACTTAAAACAGGACCAAAGAAACTAATTTCCAGGGACCAAGAATATTTCCCACATCTCTTCCATCTCTTCTTCAGTGTTCCAGTGTTAGGATTTACACGAGATTTATTGTCTGAGGTAAAGTTTCATTGCCAGTTATAAACACGATCCGCTCCCATATTATTCCTGATTTGACTGCTGTCCCAGAAGGTGATGGATAGTTGAAGAAAGATTATAATGAAAGCAGCCCCTATTTTCTTTTTTGCCCTCTAAATTTGATTTAACAGGCTGCTTTCTGCCAGGAAATTTCATGAATGGGCAAATGTTAATAAGCCAGATTTTTTTCCTGTTTATAGTAATAAATGTAACAAAATATCTCCCCAAAGTGGATTCAGTTAGACTATGTTAGTACTTGAGTGAGTACTTCCTGAACTTATAGGAGGAAGCAACTGCAACCACTCTGAAAATGAAGTGGTTCCTATAAAACTTGGTTACTGCAGTCTGAATATATTTCATGCTTTGAAATATTTTGTCCATAGTTCTTTTGTTAGTGAATGTAGAGCTTGAGGAGAGTTCTGTAAAAACTAGAATCAACTGTTTTGCTTTCAAAATGCTTTTTAAAAATCAAACTGAGGATAAAGTTGCCGAATGACAGGTTTTCCCCGCTTTCAGAGTAACAAAAGTGAAAGTTGCATTTTGATCAATTTTGCTTAGTCTTCTTAGTGAAATCGTAAGATCCAAAGTACATGCTGTTGTGCACACACCAAGCAGTTAAGCAGTTTTGTTGTTTTAGTGCCGCTGAACGTGAACTGGTGCATGTCCACACATGCCACGCATAAAGAGTCCATTCTTGCTCACGTGCAGACTGAGAAGCCTGGCCATAGAGGTCTTGGGCTCAGTGGAAATTGGCAGCCTCTCTTCTCCTGTAAACAACAGCCTGACGTCACCCCATGCAGTGGTGATAGCAGACCCACTTCAGAGATTCCCAATTGACAGAGCTGTGGAAGGGCTGGCTTTGATCATCTTCAGTCACGCTTGAGTGAATGCAATGCAGAGAAATTTGTTAATGTCAGAAATACTGGAGTAGCCCTTTAAAACTGTTTTTAAAATACTTATCTGTGAATTTTCACATGTAATCCCAACAACAAATCTGTGTGATCAGCAAGAGAATTGTGGCTATTCCTATGTTAGAAATGTGCCAATTCAAGTCCAGAGAATAAAAAAGTTAGTAAATGGTGGTGGAATGACTGAAATTCAGGCCTTCTAAACCCTGCCTTGTCTCTCTTTCCACTATATTAAATAATTTCTGTAGAATAGTAATTGTTAATTGTTCCATTCTGCTATTTCCTCTCCCATCTAAAATGTGTGGGGTGATGATTTATGAGTTTTCTTTTTTTCCCCAGTCAAGACATCTGTGCATTAACATCAGATACACTCTTTCTGCATTTGGGAACTCCTAGACAATAAGGTAACCCACTCCTCTGCTTCTGAGAGAGCCTTTGAAAAATCTAACATAAGCCTACACTCACAACTTAATTGGAAAGATTTATTAACAAGATGATCCTGTTGCTCATTTGGCTTCTGAAAGCTACATAAAATTGAGAGGATGAATCGTCGTAATTCTTTTGTGTTGTTAACTGGAAGAGACAAAACCAACATGAAAGGACTGCTCTATTAGTTAGAAATCAGAATTTTATTGGGGGAGGAGGAGAAAGTTGAATAGCCACTGGTGAAAATATAACTTATTTGTTATATGAAATAGTTGTCTTTTCTCATGTGCCCACTTCTGGTTTATTTTCAGGCAGTTACAAAAAGTAGAAAAAGAACTATTACCTTCCATGATTTATATAGTTGCATATATGATTTGGGAATACTTCAGGCTGTAGGTAGCTCTTGGTTTTCTGTTTGTGACTAAGTTAGTTTTTCAGGGTGACATTAAGAATAGGCAGGAAGAGTGCTTAGATATCTGTGGATTATCCATAGTGAAGTATGTGGACCTTCTCTGCTGAATGCCCGGAACTTGGAGCAGCTCACCTGGGAGGTGTATGTTTAGGGAATACAAATTTATGTTGATTTTAGTTTACCCTAGACTGAAAATGTATTAACATCCTATACATTAAAGCAAATGTAGTTTTAAAAAATAAACGGCTTTTTAAAATGTACTTTGGCAGATAGCAAGCACTCAAAAAAAAGAGTTTTAAATAAAGCTGTGATAATCAGAAGTTAATTATTTAGCAACCTCAGTAAGCTAGCATCTATACAATAGTTGACTAAAATATACCCAAGAGAAAAAGTACATTTGGGCTGGGCGCGGTGGCTCACGCCTGTAATCCTAGCACTTTGGGGGGCCGAAGCAGGAGGATCACCTGAGGTCAGGAGTTCGACACCAGCCTGGCCAACATGGTGAAACCCCGCTTCTACTAAAAATACAAAAATTAGCTGGGCCTGGTGGCGTGTGTCTGTAGTCCCAGCTACTCGGGAGGCTGAGGCAGGAGAATCACTTGAACCTGGGAGGCGGAGGTTGCAGTGAGCCAAGATTGCACCACTGCACTCCAGCCTAGGCGACTGAGCAAGACTTCGTCTCAAAAAAAAAAAAAAAAAAAAATTTTGGGTGAAAGAAATGTATCTTACTGAATAAAGTAAAACAATCTAAAAGGGCTATTTATTTTGCATTTTATTGCATTAAATGGAAAAAATGTTTTGCCTTTAAACGATGATACTAAAATTACAGCAGGCTGAAGGAATAAAGTATATAGAATATTCTTTTTTTTTTTTTTTTTGAGACGGAGTCTCGCTCTGTCACCCAGGCTGGAGTGCAGTGGCGGGATCTCGGCTCACTGCAAGCTCCGCCTCCCGGGTTCACGCCATTCTCCTGCCTCAGCCTCCCAAGTAGCTGGGACTACAGGCGCCCGCCACTACGCCCGGCTAATTTTTTTGTATTTTTAGTAGAGACGGGGTTTCACCGTTTTAGCCGGGATGGTCTCGATCTCCTGACCTCGTGATCCGCCCGCCTCGGCCTCCCAAAGTGCTGGGATTACAGGCGTGAGCCACCGCGCCCGGCCTATAGAATATTCTTAAAGCCTCCATTTATGAAGAAACAAAGAAAACAAGTCACTGCCTTCTTACCATCTTTCTCTTTTTTCTGTGAGTGACAAAGAATAAGGAGCAACTAACAGCTGCCAGCCGAAGCCTCTCACTTCTGTTCTGCAGTTAAAGTCTCAAAGTCTGGGGCTGCTGTGAGCGTGGAGTGGTGCGTGCAGAGAGCGGCCCGTGCAATGCATTGTGCTGGCCTTGCTGGAGCTGCCCATGCAAGGAGCAGCCGTGCCGCACGTAAGCTACTCATGCAGGGAGCAGCCATGCAGGAGCTCAAGCAGAGGGCAGCCCTTGCAGTGCTGTGGGCACCTTGTGGAATGCAGTGCAGAAATCAGCCAGTGCAGCATGCATGCCAGTCCGGGTCTTCCCCAACACTGCCCTTGGGGAAACCCACACCTATTCTTACAGGAATGGCAGCAGGGGGTCTGCCCAAACCAAATTTAAGTTAAAAACAAAACAAAGCAAAACAATTCCTAAAGTGCCCCAGCTTATCATCTAACAGGCAATGGAGTTTCTCAGCACTGCCTGAGGTTGTTTGTAATTGTAAACTAATAGTAGTAAGGGCAGAGGCCAGATGTTAGATAACCGAAGTCAGTGGTAGACCAGCTGGAGAGCCACGCTGGGCTTAGATTTTAACTCTTAAGTTGTCTTGCTGTCCACTCCACACCTAGATATAATATGAGCAGAAAACAAAGAATTTCAATTTTAGTTCTTCGGGAAAACATTAGCTTTTTATTTTAATACTTCAGAGTTTGTTGAAAAAACCGTTTTTGGCAGGTTGGTACAAGGAATAATACCATCTGTATTTGTATGGTGCCTTGCAGTTTGTAAGTGCTCTCATGAGCATTATCCTATTTAACACCCACAGCCACAACCACCTTGTGAGGTATTGTCTCCCATTTTACAAATGAGGAAACAGACTTCTGAGAGTTTACAGCTTGTCCAAGGGCATACAGCTAGTAGTCATTAGAGCCATCCTGCTCCAGTATTCCCTCCACCATGCAACCAGCACTTTGATAGCATCTAGCTTCCTGTCTTCCCTGTCATTCTCATATTTACACAGAAAATCACCGTCTAAAAATCTTCCTCAGTGGCCATTCCATGTTACTCACAATAAGAACATATGTACCGTCAAAGGGTAGCTTCTTGATTGACTTTGAAGTCAATAATTGAATAAAAGAGGAGCCTTGTTATTTCTTACTTAGAACCATGCTGAATGAACCTTAGGGACCATTTGGTTCAAATATGTGTATATATCTAAATCTAGAGTAAAGCCCTTCATAAGGAAAGTGAAACTCCAGTTAATTGCAAAGACTAGGGCCCACTTCCTCAAACTCAGACCATTGTGTTCTTTCTGTTAAAGTACACCTCCTTCAACAGAGGTACAGTTCTTGTCTCAAGAGCTAATTTGACTTGAGATTCTAGCAGATATTCCTGAGTATCTACTCTGTGCAAAGCCCTGTGTGGAACCAGCTCTGGAGGACTTTTGGATCTAGTGGGAGAGACTTAATCCAGGAGAAAATGCACCTAGTGCTAAGTCTTCAGCCATTTAAAAGACTAAGAATGTCATAGATAATCCAAATTTGGTCTTGGTCATCTGGAAACATTTATGAAGAAGCCCTTTCTTATATGTTCTTATATGACCTCCTATTTGTAGAAAAATAGCAACTGTGGCCACTTTGGAACTTTTGGAATAATGCCACCCATCCCTGAGAAGCTGAAGTATAAGATTAAAAGCAAATCAAACTGTGATTGTTAGCACCAAGTTTCTCTTTAGGTCTTGCCCCTAAAAGTTTTAACTTAGAAAATCCCATATTACTCATATCTTATTATAAAAGCTCTGCTAATAACTTTGAACTCCTTAAAATACATTTTCAAAGAGCTGATGGTGAGCAAGCCACATGTTTCATGGCCTTCCCTCAGCACTGATCAGCCGACAACCTGGAGAGCCTTTCTGAATGCACCCCTGATAATTTGGGCTGTCTCCAAGTCAAGATGAATTGATAGGGAATGCAAAATTGATCAGAATAATTACAAGTGCCATTATATGAAAGAGATCACTTTGCCAATGAACACTCACAGAATGCCTTTACAGACCTAATTTGCACCAGAATTAAGTTTGTCTTTCTCAATAGTTGCTTCCCAAACTAAACAAACTGCATTGTATAAGTGGGTCAGTTTTCACAGTACTCTGCTTGAAATATTCAGATATACACAAAGGCAGCTGGATTGTAAATTTCAAGGGCAAACTAGTCTCCAATAAAGCAGGTATGGGAGGAAGCTGTGTTACATTCTTAGAGGGATGAGTTTCTCTTTAACTTATAAAAACGCATTCAGTATCCTGCTTGCTTTGCGTGGATCATACTTAGCTTCCATTTTTGCCTTTTAGTCAACCTCTTTTCATTTACTCAGGTTTCTGCCTCTCAGTCAGCAGTATTTGGCTATAATCAGGTGATTTTGCCCTCAGTTAGTTCTCCAGGGCCTAAGAACTCAATAGTATCGAATGGTTTTGGGTAGGGTATTTTTTTTTTTTTTTTTTGAGACGGAGTTTCGCTCTTGTTGCCCAGGTGCATGCAATGGTGTGATCTCGGCTCACTGCAACCTCCACCTCCCGGTATCAAGCAATTCTCCTGCCTCAGCCTCCCGAGAAGCTGGGATTACAGGCACCCACCACCATGCCCAGCTAATTTTTGTATTTTTAGTAGAGATCAGGCTGGTCTCGAACTCCTGACCTCAGGTGATCTGCCTGCATTGGCCTCCCAAAGTGCTAGGATTACAGGCGTGAACCATGCGCCTGGCCAATTTTGGGTTAGTTTTTAAAAAATAAAGACACTCTATTGATAAAGGATTGTGCAGTACCTAACTACCATAATGTGTCTCACTGGCTTTAAATCAGGCCAGAGACAGAAGTAAAATATTATAAATAGTGCATACATGAACTTTGCCAAAGAAGGTTTGAGGATTCCACCTCCACTTACCATGTTTACCCCAAAATATTTTTTATTTCATTATAGTAGTGAAGATGACAGTTGAATTTCAGCAATAATTTTTTTTTTTTTTTTTTGGACGGAGTTTTGCTCTGTCGCCAGGCTGGAGTGCAGTGGCACGATCTTGGCTCACTGCAACCTCCGCCTCCCAGGTTCAAGTGATTCTCCTGCCTCAGCCTCCCGAGTGTCTGGGACTACAGGCACGTGCCACCATGCCCAGCTAATTTTTATATTTTTAGTAGCGACGGAGTTTCACCATGTTGGCCAGGATGGTCTAGATCTCTTGATTTCATGATCCGCCCACCTTGGCCTCCCAAAGTGCTAGGATTACATGCGTGAGCCACCGCACCCGGCCGGCAATAATCTTTTTATATTTGTAGCTTTTAATGAATTGTTCCAGTTTTCCCTTTTCCATGATAAATGGAGTGTGGTGAGGACAGGGAGGTTCATGAATTTTAGGACAATAATGTGTTTATTATTTATTGGGATTGAAATTTTCAGTTCATCACTTCAGCCCCCAAGTCTTTAGACAAAAACAGGCGTTGCATATATATTTGATTGAAAGCATCAGAAGCCTATGAAAGTAACTTAGTGGAAAATGGGGACTTACTGGCTTACAGGATCTAGGAAAGAATTGGGCCACCAAACTGTGGGAAGAGCAGTAATGCAACTGGCCTCAGTAGGGCCAGAATTATCTCCATCTTTCATCTCTGCCTCTTTCTGCATGTTTATTCCATTCCTTCTCAGAGCAGACATTTCTCCGTATGGCTGGAAACATGGCCACCAGCAATTTATCCTATAGCTTCTGTTACTGAAAAGTTCTGTGACTGCCAAGTTAAAAAAAATTGTAAGCAAGTAACTCATGAGGTGAGGGTCACATAGAAATATGGTGACACGTGTGTTTGCCTATATGACTATAAGTGGCTGGGTGGCTATTTCCCTGGATAAGAGATAGTTGCTGGGCAGAAAATTACCCAGCATGTATGCTCAGTACAGTGTGCCCAACTAGTGCCTTTCAAATGTTTGGACAGAAACCCACAGTAAGAAATGTATTTTACATTGAGACACACATATAGACACAGGTTTGATTGAGAAAAATTTTCTTGAAACAATACTCATCCTTACTATGTACAAGGCATTCTGCTATTTTCTATTATATTCAAAGGTAGTTCATTTTTAAAAAATTCTGACTGTAACTCATCTAAATGATCTCATGACTCAGTGTATAATGATCTGTAGTTTGAAAAATACTGCACAAGACATTAAAAGTATCAGGTAAGTTCATGTGTCAGTAGATATTTGGGTATAGATATTTGTTGAGTCTTGAAGGAATAACTTACATTCTAGAAAGATACTAGGGACTCAAGGGTGACAAATATGTGACGTGAATGTCCTTCCCAGTTCCCACGGTGGAGATGGCAGCAGCTTTCCTACTGAGGAATGTTCTGGAGCCTCTCCTCAGCCCTTTATAAAGTCAAGCAAGTTAGAACAAGTGCCCTGTGCTATCAGCTTCCCTCCTCTTTGTTTTGGATTTACCTTTTGCTGAGAAATAGTGAAATTCTGTGGACCTAGAAAATGTCCGAAAGTGCTTTCAGTTCTCTCTTAAAACAAAACATCAATACAGCTTTCTTGAAAGCTTTATTGTGGCAGTATTCGTGATCATTGTGATATTGTAAAAGGATGGATGATATCTTTACCTATCCAGGAATCAGTTGAAAAACTCTGGCCAGGCGCAGTGGCTCACACGTGTAATCCCAGCACTTTGGGGGGCCGAGGTGGGCAGGTCACAAGGTCAGGAGATCGAGATCATCCTGGCTAACACGATGAAACCCCGTCTCTACTAAAAAATACAAAAAATTAGCCGGGTGTCGTGGCGGGCACCTGTAGTCCCAGGTACTCGGGAGGCTGAGGCAGGAGAATGGCGTGAACCTGGGAGGTGGAGCTTGCAGTGAGTTGAGATCGCGCCACTGCACTCCAGCCTGGGCGACAGAGTGAGACTCCGTCTCAAAAAAAAAAAAAAAAAAAAAGGCGGCGGGGTGGGGAACTCTAAGGTCTCCAGTTTTTAATTTTCTGTTGAAACATTTGAACCTATAACCTTCTGTCTCTTGAAGATTCAGATGGAAACTTAGTAACAGTAGTACAGGATGACTTCTGAATGTGACATGAAAATGCAGAGAAGAGTGGCAGAGTTCCTTGCCATAGTTGGAAGCCCAAAGAGATCCTTAATAACTAATAAGTAAGTAGTAGCAGGGATCTAACTATGAAATGCAAAGCAATACATTTCCTTGAAATGATACTCATCCTCACTATGTGCAAAGCATTCTGCTATTTTCTGTTATATTCAAAGGTAGTTTATATTTTAAAAATGCTGATTGTAGCCCACCTAAATGATTCCGTGACTCATTCTTCTAAAATAAAACTTTTAGAAAAAACTCTATATTAGGAATATAGAGTTAGGGATAGAGAAAGATTTCATAAACAAGACTGACCATTAAGGAAAAGACTGATAAGTTTGACTTCTGTTGACGAGCTTCTATTCACTCAAAGACAGATTGGGAAAAGTATGTAGAACACAAGAGACAAACGACCCATATTCAGAATATATAAATAACTACTGGTGGGAGTGTAGACTGGTACAACCATGTTTACCAGTGTCTCATACAGCTGGAGATAAGATACCCTGTGATCCAGCAGTTTTACTCCTAGGTTTATACCCTAAAGCAGCAGTTCCTCATACCTTTGATCTCACTTGACACTTGATCTCCTCTACACTTTTAAAAATTACTGAGGACCTCAAAGAACTTTTGTTTATATGGATAATATCTGTTGATATCTACCATAGTACAAAATGGAGACATTTAAAAATATTATTCATTTAAAAACCTATTATGTGTTAATATAAATAACAATTTTTGAAAGAAAAATACCATTTTACCAAAACATAAAAAAATTAGTAGAAAGAGTGGCATTGTTTTACAGTTTTGTAAATCAGTTTACTGTCTGGCTTAATAAAAGACAGCTGGATTGTCACATCTGCTTTTGCATTCAAGCAGTTGTGATGTGTTGTTTTGTTTGAAGCATATAAAGAAAATGTGGCCTCACACAGCTATGTAGTTTGGAAAAAGGAGGAGTATTTTCATAACCTTTTAAATAATTGTAGATATTCCTTTTTGATACTTAATTAAAACTTTGACAAATGGTAGTTTGAAAGGTTGGTGGCAGTGTGAAATCTGAATCCATATCAGTGAACTTTTAATATTTATTACATTAAAATATTTGGTTTACCTTGCATGCTGAGTAGGTTTTTACTTATGTATGATTTTGTAATATCATACATTGATTATTTGGAAACATTAGTTTACTGAGTTATGTAGATCTTTCCATTGTTGACACAGTTCATTATACAATATTAAAATATCACATTCTGTAACTTTACCACTGATCTCATTAGGAAAGTGTTTAGTAAAGCTATACTTTCAGGGATCATTTCTATAGCTTTTTACTAAAAAAGTATTTAAGTATTAGGAAACTGTCAAGCTCGTAGTGGCAGACATGTTTTCCAAAATTAATTTTCACTTGAAAGCCTGAATTTCACTGGCACCAACTGTCAGTTGGTTTCCAGCTTTATTTTTTTATTTAACTTTTTAATTTTTTAGATACAGGGACTTGCTCTGTCACCCAGGCTGGAGTGCAGTGGTGTGATCGTAGCTCACTGTAAACCTCAAACTCCTGGGCTCAGCCATCCTTCTGTCTCAGCCTCCTGAGTAGCTGGGACTACAGGCACACGCCATCACATTGAGCTAATTAAAAAAAATTTTTTTTGTAGAGACAGGGTCCCACTATGTTGCCAGGCTGGTCTTGTGCTTCTGACCTCAAGCGATCCTTCTGTGTCAGCCTCCCAAAACACTGGGATTACAAGTGTGAGACACCATATCCAGCCTGTCGGTTATTTTTCTTCAAGTGATAGGTTCACTTGTCTGCCAGATACTCACACTGGAATAACCATAGTTTGTCTGACTGTCATTCCTTCAGGTAGAAATGGTGTTCTGTGATAAAAGCAACTATGTCAGCTCAAAAGCAAACAACCGCCCCAGTGCTTTTTTCCTCCAGGCAAACTTCCTACCTCGGTGTGCGGCAGAAGGGCTTTGTGTGTGCTCTCCCATTTTGTCACACAGAATATTAAAAAGACATATATTCACGGGTAGAGATTTAAGTAATATTTCTTCTGCCTCACCAAGGACATTTTAAAGTGAAACTGGCATATTTTCTTTAGTGTGTAGAGGAGAGAAATACAATGACTGCTAGTACTGCCTTTGTTCATGCCAAGGCACTAGCAGTTCTTCCAGCCCAGATGTCAACAGTGACAGAGGCAAAGAATATCTTAGAACTAGAATGAAAATAGTTTTAACTTTGTGGACTCTCTGAAAGGGTCTGGAGATTCCCAGGGGTCCTGCTCCCCTCCCCACAAGACCACACTTTGGAAGCCCTAGGGCATGCCCAGCTCTTGTACACCGGGAGTATATGCACTCCAACGGGATGGGAAGCAGGGGCCCTGATCCAGGAGGGTGTGTGGCTGGGAGGGAGGGAGTTTTGCAGTACTGACCTGGGTAGGGGCATTTGTTCTAGACGATGTCAATCAGTCATTTATATTTATATACTTTTCTAAAAGTCTGTTATACTTTTAAGGTTTTTTAAAAATTAATTTTCTCACACAGCCTTGACTCTTAAGTTTTGTAAACTGCATTGTTAGCCTCTGGTTTTGTGATGCAGACGGTGTTGAGACGGAAAGAACCATTTCTGATACTTCCCTCTTTATGCTGTATGCAGGATTTATTTGTTGAACCTTTTCTGCTTTTTGGGCTGTGTTTCCTTTGGTTATATTTTAAGTGAGGTAGGAATTTAAGTACTCTTATGTGCAGTTTCCCCCTCATAGTTACTGACATGATTAAGGCAGTGAAAATTATGTAGAGTACTTTTTTTTTTTTTAAGACAGAGTCTTGCTCTGTTTGCCCAGGCTGGAGTGCAGCAGTACAATCTTGACTCACTGCAACCCCTGCCTCCTGGGTTCAAGCAGTTCTCCTGCCTCAGCCTCCCTAGTAGCTGGGATTACAGGTGCCTGCCACCATTCCCAGCTAATTTTTGTATTTTAGTAGGGACGGGGTTTCACCATGTTGGCCAGGCTGGTCTCTAACTCTTGACCTCAAGCAATCCACCTGCCTCAGCCTCTCAAAGTGCTGGGATTACAGGCGTGAGCCACCGCACCCGACTGGAGTACATTTTTAAAAAATCGGCAGCTTTATATTGTGCTTAGTTACTTGAGATTTAGCAACCTTACCATAGAAGCAATTCCCACCATCATTATTTTCTGGAAGGGGAACAAAATGAAGAGTGACGAGTAAGAACGCAAAGTGTAGAATAAAACCATTTCTAACTTGCTTAATAACTTTGCTGTTACTAAGTCATAAAACTATGGTGGCTTTGTAAGTAAAATAAAATATAGTAAGATTTTGGCCCTGCTGTATTAAATGGCTTATGGTCATGCCTTTAGAATTTTAGGAACACATTCGCTTCAGTTGTCTCATTTTCTCTCTTCAACGCTATGAATTAGGCATAACAGGTACTAATACTTCCATTTTATAGATAAGAAGATTGAGGCATAGAAAATATCAGTGACTTACATATAACTAATTCAGTAGCAAAGCCAGAACTAGTCTAGTTCATGACTCTTAGAATTTGCTTTTCCCACAAAGCTGGTTTAATTGTAAGCAATTCAGGATAGCCATCAAAATGAGGACCTTTTTGTCCCTGCCTCGTGGGTCATCATGCAGCAAGCCAAGCTCTCTTGTCTTTGGTCTGCCCTATATATGTGTTGGCATCATCTGCTGTGCTTCTTTACATTCTGAGACTTGAAATGAGAACATTTAGGAGACCACAAAGACTAAATTAAATTTCAGTTTTGTCTGTTAGAAATGGAGTCCGTTGAGGTGTGCATCTCTGCTACTAAGCATAGTTGTCAGCATGAACCCCGGTGCTATAAGTGAGAGGCATGTTAATTCTCCATTTATCAGCTGTCAAGATGACTGGAAAGCGGTGTAGTTGGGCTGTGGATAAAAGCGATTAACTTTGAGATGTACCTGATCTCCCAACAGGAATATCTTCCTGTTCCTTGTCATTGGTTCACCCACTCGGGGCCTGGGTGGTATGCAAGAGTGTATGCAGTAAGAGGAAAGAATTATTCTAGCTTGGTTGCAACAGATTAGCAAAGATTGCCCGGGCTCTGTTGTGTATGTGGGATGGCGTCCTCACAGAACTCACTCTGATTTAAATGGACACGTAAAATCCTTGCAAAAGCAGCTAAGAATATCTGGCAAAAGAATGAGGTAATTAGAAAATAAATTGAGGCTCTTTATATAGTTTGTCCAGGCTAATCTTTTTTAAAAAATAAGATTTACTTTTGTTGATGTTGGTGTCTCTGAATAAATAAAAACGTTTTTGAACATTATAGACCCTGTATTTCACAATACAGAATCCCGATTCAGTAAATACTTTTCTCACTAAATCCTGGCAGGATATTATTTGTAAGGCATAAGGTCTTAATCCAAGTGTTTCACAAGTGAAATATAACAGAAATCTAATAAATGAATCTGCTAATTGCAATTTTCCTGATGCATTTCAAATAGGGCAGTCTCTAATTATAAGCCTCCCCTACATACAAATGGCTGCTGCTCTTGCCCCAGTTTTCCCCATCTAACCAGGCCCAGATGCTGCTGCCACAGAAGGCATTGTCAGTGCTTGTAGAGAATGAGAGGGTCAGAGCAGAGGAAGGAGGAAAAGTTATGGAAACTGTAACCAGGGGAGCAGATCCCAGGAACAGAGCCCATCTGGACCTATTGTGGTGCTTTCCTGCCCTCTTGCTTGCTGTTGGAGTTTTTCTTATTTATCCTTGTCAAGTGCCACTGAACAGAGTAACAAGTTTAGGGTAACAAGCGTCTTCTTTAACATATGTCAAAAAGGTTAAGAGCATGAGCTTTGGAGTCTGACACTTCAGACTTGAAATTGGGCGTTACTACCTCCCAGTGGTGTGACCTTTGGGCAGGTTGGTTCACCTCGCCTGTCAAGTCTATTTTGTCTTCTGTGAATGGGGATGATTGTACCTACCTCCCAGGGTTACTCTAAGGATTAAATGAAGATCTGTATACATACAGTGTACATGACCCCATGCCAAAGACGTACTAAGCTCTTACTAGACAGTAGCTCTTAATGTATATGCAAACTGAAAGTTTTTAAATGATCTATATATCATAAATTATTTTTATGATTTATGTGCTTTATTTCAAATATCAACTAGAACTTTACTCCCTGGAGGCACTGACATTTTGAGAGGAGTGGGACAGTTGGGAACTTTTAGCATGGAGATGTTAGGGAAAAAGGCAGGTCAGGATGGGGAACTCAGGAGATTTATAACATCATATGGACCTGGGAAATGGGGAGGAGAATTCTAAAAAGTGGGAATGGGTGTATTCTTCCTGCAGCTGAACCACTTACTCATTGTTAGAACCCTAAATTCAGGCCTAGACTATTAATACTGTGCATTAAGGGGCCTGCCCTAGTCCCTCAAATGTGAATCTCTAAGGGGTGAGACTCAGAAGCACCTCAGGTAACTGATACACAGCCAGGGTGAGAAGCACTTGAACTATGTTTGAGTTAAGTTTACTAGTGAAGGCTAGCCTGGAAACCTGCCCATTCTGTCTTCTTTTTTTTTTTTTTTTTTTTGAGACGGAGTCTCGCTCTGTCACCCAGGCTGGAGTGCAGTGGCACGACCTCGGCTCACTGCATGCTCTGCCTCCCGGGTTCACGCCATTCTCCTGCCTCAGCCTCCCGAGTAGCTGGGAATACAGGCGCCCGCCACCACGCCTGGCTAATTTTTTTGTATTTTTAGTAGAGACGGGGTTTCACCGTGTTAGCCAGGATGGTCTTGAGCTCCTGACCTCGTGATCCGCCTGCCTCGGCCCCCAAAGTGCTGGGATTGCAGGCGTGAGCCACCGCGCCCGGCCCCATTCTATCTTCTAAACAAGTGCGAACTATACACGGACACACAGACACACAGACACCCACCCACCCACGCACACACACACGAATGTGCATATGCAGTTTTAACTTCACCAGAACAGTCTTTCTTTGATTCAGCAATCATAAGGAGTGCAGAATAAATGCTATTGTCAATGGTGGGGTAAAATTTATTCACAATTAAGTATAAAATTTCCGAGATTTTATGAATGCCAAATAGAGGTACAAATTAGGATGACAGTTCAGAGGAAGGACAAAACATTTCAGTGCTAGCAGGGAAGGCTTTTTGAAGGAAGTACCATTTGAACTGGATCCTAAAGGACAGCTAGGGTTTTGGACCGTAGGGGTGAAGCAGGGGAGAGATATTTCAGAGAGAGGGAATTGCAGGGAAAGACTTGGAAATGGCAAAGCCCAAGCCATATATACAGGAAGTAGTTCCTTGTGCTGGGTGATTGAAGCAGAGAGAATGTTAAGGAAAGAAATTCTAACTAAAAAGCGGGGACAATAGATGGACCAGATGGGAGAGACGTGAAGTTCATGCTAAGGAATATGGCAAGTTAACGTAGGTCTTGAGGAGGGTGATGTGGACAGAGCTGTCTTTTAGGAAGCTGAATGACAGTAAACTGAGGGGAGAGGACTGGAAGCGGATATGTTCTCATGGACATATGTCTTTTCTGAAGAAAAGGGGCTGTGTGAAGGAGTGAGGGAACAGTGTGTGTTAAACAATGAACAATGGTGGTTGGGCTGACATGATGAGAATGGGAAACAGGAGGGGAGGCGGCTGGATCCGAGGGGGAGCTCATTCTTTTACTCCACCCTCTGTTGCATACTCTCTACATTTTATTCCGCAAGATCTATGTTGGCCCATTTCAAACCACTGTTTGGGTTATTTTTAGAGATGCAAAGGCACAGAAAAAAAGCTAGAATATTTTTTGAAAACTACCTTTTTTTTTGGCTGAGAATTTTTTTCTGAAGCTGAGTCTGGAATATTGGAAAAATTGTTTAAGAGAAGATGTTTCAATTGCAACCTTCTCATAACTGCTGATTCCTCCCAGATTACTTCTAAAAACCCAGCAACAGGAAAGACTTCCCTGGAAAACCATCCGCAGCTATTATTTCCCCGAATCTCATTCTCCCTTTGTCAGGCATTCTTTATCTAATGGCCTAGATAAAATGAACTCTTCAGGAGAGTATAGGTGCTTTTCCACTAATAAGCACAGAGAAATACTCTGTTTAGAAATAGGAAGAGATTCATCGGAAGCCAATCCATGTGGCTGCAGGACTCTCATATCCAGAAAGTAGGGAAGGTGTGTAGGTATAGAAGCACCCTGGCTTAGCCCTGGACAGACTCAGAGTCTTGGAAAGGGACAGCGATTTGTGTTATTTCCAGTTAATATAAATGTTAAAAGTGAGAAGAATGGCTACTGTTAGTGCTGCCTTAGAAATGAGACTAATAAGGCAAAACTGTGCATGATAGAAGTCATAATCAGTGAGATTAGGGGGTAGGAAGGTGGCTTTCCCTTAAGAAGTTTCCTCTGCTTTAATAGAGTTGAAAAATTAATATAGATATGAAGACAATAGAAAAACATTAGACATTTTTAATTTGATAAAGGATACCCAATCACAGCCATTGAACTATTTTTATATTTGTCTTTTGCCTTATTCCATGTATGTATGTTTTTATGCAGTTGTAAATAATATACATACAATGCTGTATCCCAGAATAAGCACTTAAAATATAACAGTGATACTTTTGTATGTCGATCTCATTTTTAGAATAAAAATGTAATATTATAAATATTTTATTATATGTATTCATAATTTATCAAGCAGTTCTCTAATACTTGATTATTATTTCTTATTTTTAGGTACTAGAGAAACAATGCATTGTTTATCTTCTACATATGCCTTTTTGCTTTCCTTCCATTACTTCCCTAGAATAGATTCCTAGGAGCATATTTATTGAGTCAAGGGTATGATATCTTTATGGTGCTTGTCCCAGTTCCTTTCTGAAAATGAGTACTTTATCTGCTCAACGCTCTAATGATAATAAACCTAGCAACTATGGAGGTTTCTTATTTTACCACAGTTTTGATTATAGTTTTTAAATCCCAAATTGATAAAAACTATTATTCCCTTAAATTTAACATCACATAAATACATTTACATCATTTAAAAATAAATTCACTTCATGAATGTATAACTATCTAAATAAGCTATATCTTTTTTTATAAAATAAAATATAAAAGCTATATCTTTTATATCTAAATAAGCTATATCTTTTATTTTATTTTATTTTATATACTTATTTTATTTTATATTTATTATATATATATATTTGAAACAAGATCTCCTCCATCTCTCAGGTTGGAGTACAGTATTGTGATCATGGCTCACTGTAGCCTCCACCTCCCCGGCCCAAGCGATCCTCCCACCTCAGCTCCCCAAGTAGTTGGGACCACATGTGCATGCCAGCATGCCAAGCTAACTTTGTTTATTTTTTATAGAGATGAGGTCTCACTATGTTGCCCAGGCTAGTCTTAAACTCCTGGGCTCACGTGATCCTCCTGCCTTGGCCTCCCATTTTATTATATATTTTAAAACTCCACACATTATCTTAGATTCATTATTTCCAGAAAGCTTATATCACTAGTTTGTTAAACCTATAAATCACTATACAATTCTAATTTTCTTTTCTTTATAATATTTTAGGTCAGTCAACCATATTTACATATCTAGTATGTCTCAGAATTTACTTTATAAAATTTGATGTTTGTACACACACATATGTTTCTTTTGTTAATTTTTTTTTTTTTTAAGACAGTCTTACTCTGTCACCCAGGCTGGAGTACAGTGGCCCGATCTCAGCTCACTGCAACCTCTGCCTCCCAGGTTCAAGCGATTCTCATGCCTCAGCCTCCCAAGTAGCTGGGATTACAAGTGTGTGCCACCACGCCTAGCTAATTTTTGTATTTTTACTAGAGACAGGGTTTAGACACATTGGCCAGGCTGGCCTTGAACTCCTGGCCTCAAGTTATCCACCCGCCTTGGCCTCCCAAAGTGCTGGGATTATAGGTGTGAGCCGCTGTGCCCGGCTCTTTTGTTAATTTTTAAAAAGGAACAACCTGATTTTTACTTCAGCCAGTGTATATAGATCTGGAATACTGAAGTACATTTTTCTCCAAGCTGCAAATCTTTCTATGTTTAGATGGGTCTTTCCCAAGGATTCATTTTTCTGTTGTCTGATACATGGGTTTATTAAGACTAAAAGAAACTTTGTGGCCTAGAATAGCTTCCTAACCAGTCGGTCTTTGCCACACTTTTCTTTCCCCTCTAGTCCATCCTATTCATTACTCCTAGATTAATTTTTCTAAAACACTGGTTATTGAAAAACCTCACTGAAAAACCTTAATTGACTCCCCATTTCTAGATGAATTGAGCAGAAGCTTTTCACCTTGGCATTTAACACCTACAACACAACATATTTTTGCAGTCTCATGAGAACCACTGGCAAGGAGATAAAGTGGGTGGCCAAGGCCCCTGGCCCAGAGCCACCTGCTCAGAAACCTCTAGGTGTAGGACCCTCTGGAATCTCTTGTTTTTTAAAGCTCCACAGCTGAAGCACCACTAGCCAGGGGTGGTGAGCTCTGGCACTAGGAACAAGCAGATGTAGACTCCTATCTTGCCTTTACCACTTACTTACAACTCAGTGATTTCCAGCGTGGGTGCAGGCCTCTCGAAGCATAGGCTGCTGCTTTCTGTAAAATGGGGTCAAATGATATCTTGTGAGAAAAATTGCAATTATATGTACAATAATAATTGGTATAGAGTGAGCACTAGACAAATGTTAGGTGCTATTGTTTCACAGTAATAGTAGTAATAAAAGTCACAAGCTTCGTGTTCAGGCAGATGGGGGCTCAAATCACAACTCTGTTCCCCCGCTCTCTAGATCTTACCCAAAATTGCCTAATTCTCTGATTCTCAGTTTCCTCGTCTATGAACAGGATGAATAATGCCTACCTTATTTGATATAAGATAGAAAACATTGGCTGGGCATGGTGGCTGACGCTTGTAATCCCAGCACTTTGGGAGGCCAAGGCAGCAGATCGCTTGAGCTCAGGAGTTCAAGACCGGCCTGGGCAATATGGCAAAACCTTGCTTCTCTATAAAAAAAATACAAAAAATTAGCCAGGCACGGTGGCACACACCTGTGGTCCCAGCTACTTTGGAAGCTGAGGTGGGGGAATCACTTGAGCCCGGGAGGCAGGGATTGCAGTGAGCCGAGATTGCATCACTGCACTCCAGCAGACCCTGTCTCAAAAAAACAAAAAAGAAAGAAAGAAAATATTAGCACATCACTACATAGTAGGCACAAAATCATAGCAAATGTAGTTTTTTTTTTTGTTTGTTTGTTTTTTGAGACAGAGTTTTCACTCTTGTTGCCCAGGCTGGAGGGTAATGGCGCAATCTCCGCTCACTGCAACCTCCGCCTCCCAGGTACAAGCAATTCTCCTGTCTCAGCCTCCCAAGTAGCTCAGATTACAGGCATGTGCCACCATGTCCAGCTAATTTTTTTGTATTTAGTAGAGATGGGGTTTCACCATGTTAGTCAGGCTGGTCTCGAACTCCTGACCTCAGGTGATCCACCCTCCTCGGCCTCACAAAGTGCTGGGATTACAGGCGTGAGCCACTGAGCCCAGCCAGCAAGTGTTTTAATATATGCCAGGGACTGTCCTAAGCTCTTCATGTTTTCACCAGCCCTTCCCTTCAACCCTATGAGGTAATACTGCTATTATTTTACAGGTGAAGAATCTAAGACAGAGAAGTTAAGTGACTTGCTCGAGGTCACGCAGCTGAAAAGCTTCAGACTCTAGAGCCCACTCTTACCTGCCATGCTGTGCTACTTCTCATTATTATAATGCATTACTATTGACTTACTTTCTTTCCCTACTTCCACCCCTATTAACACTAGCTCCCATAAGGCTGTGAGTAATTCTTTATATCCCCTATAGCACCTAGCAATCACTTCATATGGAGAAGACACTGTTAACTCTGTAGACCTTATCATTTGAGAGAGATGCTGGATTCATTTCCCAAAAAGTATGCTGTTTTTAAGGGGTCGTTTCTGAGCTACTTGTCTTCTCCGACCTCTTCTTTATTCTCTCTGCATCATGAGAGTGTCAGTTACCTTCCCTTTTCATGCTGTTACCCTTACTTTTGTGGATTTCACACTTAGTCCTTAAAAGACTGTTTTATTCCGGCTTTCTCCAAAGGAGAAATTTAGGTGTACATCTTCCTGTATTTTATTACTCATATTCTGAAAATTTGGAGATTTAATCAGGATTCCTATCTTCCTGAGTCGTCTAAAATTCTGCATTACAGTTGCGATTATTTTCCTTTGATATTACAATTTTGATTTATGTTTTTTATAACACTTGTATTTTTCCTTAGTACCACATCAATATATATTCATTGTGGAAAACTATGTAAAAATGCAGAAAAGAATACATTAAAAAATCAAAACTCCTGCATTTTACTCCTTACTGATACTCACTTTTAACATTTTGATAAATGTCCTTCTTGTTTTTTCAATGAACACACACACCTTTCATAAAATTAGGATCTAACTGTACATACTATATCTTAATTTTCTTTTATTTTGTGATTTACAAATATTGTTCTTTGACTTATTTAACAAATAATGGAAATGAATGAAAAGGAGATTTTGTATACATTGCTAGCTACCAACAATAGGCATTTATTACTAATGCGTTTCTTAGGACCTAGACAGCTTTTTGTCTGGGATCCATTAAAAAGCCTGTCTTAGCAGTAAGAGTGACTAAAAGAAAATTAGCTCAACAGGGAATTTTGAGGAGGTTCCCACTGTCAACGGCAGGCGCTGGCCTTCACTCTGCCATTTGAGTCCTGCTACTGAAAACAAAGCTGGCTTTGGGCTGCGCACTACTGTATGTGGTATTTGATTCTATATGCCTTGGTTTTCCACATACCTTGCCAAATTGGTTTCCTGACCATGACCTTGTAGTTCAGCATTTCCTCTTCCCTCCACCCGTTTCCTGCCTTTACGTTTGATCGTCAGAATCTTTTTTTCACATGAATCCCATGGTAGTAATGTAGTAGTCATATCTAAAGTCAGGAGACCCCACCCTTGGTCTCCTGAAATTCTTTTGGAAAAGTACACTTTACATGTCTGTACTCCATAACTGTAATATGAAACCACCACACAATATAAAAATGTATTTTCTGTCTTTTTTTTTTATTTTAATTTTTGAGACAGAATATCGCTGTGTGTCCCAGGCCAGAATGCAGTGGCGTGATGTTGGCCCACTGCAAGCTCCATCTACCAGGTTCAAGCGAGTCTCCTGCCTCAGCCTCCTGGGTAGCTGGGATTACAGGCTCCCGCCACCATGCCTGGCTAAGTTTTATATTTTTAGCAGAGAAGGGGTTTTGCCATGTTGGCCAGGCTGGTCTCAAACTCCTAACCTTAGGTGATCCTCCTGCCTCAACTTCTCAAAGTGCTGGGATTACAGGTGTGAGCCACTGCGCCTGGCCTCTATTTTTAATAGAAGATTTTAGAATAGAGAAACATTTTTTCTTCATTAATCCTGGCATGACATTGCCTTAAGGAGTATTTTCACCTCTTACCTGTATGCGTGTGACTCCTACATCTTGTCCAGCCCACACCTCTCCCCTCTGCTTCAGTTCTCTATTTCTGTATACTTTCATGACATCTTCAGCTAAATATAATATTGTCATTTTAACCCAGTCTTTCTTAAATGGACTTCATTATTTTGCCTACAAACCTGCTTCAACTGTTGTCTTCTTCTTTCCTGTGGAACCAAATACTCTTTCAGTCTCCTGGAGTACTGATAAAACAGTAAGGTGGCCAGATACAAAGTAACTATACAGAAGTCAACACCTCTCCGGTACGTCACCAGTGATGAATTTAAAGAAATAAAACTCCAATCACCATAGCAATTAAAATTATAAAATACCCAAGAAAAAAATTAATAATTCTGTAAGACACATATTGCAAAAAATATTTATTGAAGAATTAAATTCATGGAGAAACATATTCCTAGAAGAGAAAATGTTAGTTTTCCCTGAAGGGATCTGTAGATTCAGTGTAATTCCAACCAAAAGTCCCAGTGGAATTTTAATTTGATAAACTTAGTCTGAGGTTCCTCATAATTTGAATGAAGAAGATTGAGAGGAATAGTCCTACCAGGTATAAAAGTATATCTTAAATTTAAACATTATGGCATTAGCACAAGAAGAGACAAACAGATCACTGAAACAGAATAGAATCCAGGAAAAAAAAAAGGACTTAGAACGAAATTTTTTTCTTTTTTTTTCTCTTTTTCTTCTTATAAACCCTGCTCTAGAAAGAACCAAATTTAACATATGATAAATACAGCATTTAAAATCAGAGGGAGGCTGGGTGCCGTGGCTCACGCTTATAATCCCAGCACTTTGGGAGGCCGAGGCAGGTGGGTTACCTGAGGTCAGGAGTTCGAGACCAGCCTGACCAACATGGTGAAAACCCATCTCTACTAAAAATACAAAATTAGCCAGGTGTGGTGGCGCATGCCTGTAATCCCAGCTACTCAGGAGGCTGAGGCAGGAGAATTGCTTGAACCTGGGAGGTGGAGGTTGCAGTGAGCCGAGATCGTGGCATTGCAATCCAACCTAGGCAACAAGAGCAAAACTCCGTCTCAAAAAAATTAAATAAAATAAAGTAAAATAAAACAAAATAATAAAATAAAATCAGAGCGAACAGGAGGGACAGTTGAGTAAATTGGAGAGGACAAAAAGAATATTGCAAAGGCCTTCGGGTGAGAGAGCATATGTGGTGCATCTCTTGGACCAAGAAATTCCTGGGATCTGAGAGCAGGAGTAGGGGCAGTGGAGAGAGAGGATGTTAAAGAGCAGGCAAGGCTAACACCGTATGTGTTCTTCCGAAGAGTTTGGACTTTTATTAAGTGTCTTATTCATCCCCAGCAGCTGAGTGACATGATCAGATCCACATTTGTAGAGGGATTGCGCTGGCTAGCTGGAGTTCTGTTCCAGTGAAATTCAAGCAAGAGAGCATCTCCGCCTGAACTGAAATGAAGCAGTTGGGGTGGTTGGGGTGGAATGGGCAGACCTTGGTGCTTGCAATGTGGTGGGCTTGGAAAGAGGAGGAGAGAAGGATTGTGCCCCAGTTTCTGAGTTGGGAGACTGGATGGATGATGATGATGACTTTCAGTGAGAGAGAAATTGGACCAGGTTTCAGGAGAGGCATGGAGAAGAGAATGAGTTCTGTTTTGGACATGTTGAATTTAAAATACCCATAAGACATCTCAGAAGAGAAGTAGAGTTAGGCATTTGACGTTGTAAATCTGAATGTCATCAAAGATCTGGCTGGAGATAAACTTAAGAGGCATCAGGACATAGCTCACAGTTGACATCATGGGAGCAGATGAGAGTGTACAGGAAGAGCATATAAGCGAACAAGTGAGGACAGCATCGTGAGGAATACCTGAGGGAGAGGGGCCTCCAAAAGAGACTGAGAAGGGGAAAAAGTGGATGGAGACAGCTTGTTAGGAATTTTCACTGCAAAGAAAAGAAAGATGGTGGTATTTAGGAGAATATGTGGAGTTGAACAGTTTTCTGAGTTTCTTTTTTGAAAATGGGGAAGGACATCGACATGTTTAGATATTGATGGGAAGGATCCAGAAGAGAGAAGGGAAATAATTGATAGATCCTGATCTCCAGTGAGGCTGAAAACAAAAGCCCCAGATGGGTTGGGTGCAGAGAAAGTGCATGTGTAGGTGACTGCATTGGGTTGGGATCAAGTTAAGAGAGGCTAATGGCTTCTATTTTCTCTGTGAAGTAGGAGCAGAGTTTTCTGCTGCAAACAAAGCAGCAGAATGAGGAGAATGAGGAGTCTGAGGAAAATGCAGAAAGTTTGAAATAGCTACTGTGGAAAAGGGAGAGAGAGGCAATTAACACAGTACGATAATTTTGGACATATGGAATTTGAATTCCAGAGAGATAACATCTATGTGAGGTGAGGGTTTGGAGCTGAGGCTTGAGTTTAAGATTAGATATGGAGATTTGGGACTGTTAGAAAATTTAAGTTAATGGTTGAATAGAAAATGAACAATTGGCAGGGCAAAGGGAATCAGAGAAAGAAACTCCAGATAAGGAGCAACAGTAGGAGAAAGCTGAAGGGGAACAGCAGGAGAAATAGAAATACCCGGCAAATATGATATCATGGCAACCAAGATAAGGTCATTATCCTTAGCAAACTAACACAGGAACAGAAAACCAAATACTGCATGTTCTCACTTATAAGTGGGAGCTAAATAATGAGAAGACATGAACAGAAAGAGGAGAACAGGAGACACTGGGGCCTACTTAAGGGAGGATGTTGGGAGGAGAGAAAGGTTCAAGTAGAAGGGGTGAGTTAATGAGTGGGGTCACTTTTGTAAAGTAGTGATTCTTGACCTTGGCTCATGTTGGAATCACTTGGGGATCTTTAAGCAAATACCCATGCCTCTGCCAATCCAAGACCAATTAAATTGGAATCTGTGGGTGGGGCCCTGGCATCACTATTTTTCTTTGTACTGCAAACTTCTTTTTAAAAAATATTTTAACTTTTATTTTAGGTTCAGGGGTACATGTGCAGGTTTGTAATATAGGTAAACTTGTGACTTGGGGGCTTAGTATACATGTTATTTCATCACTCCAGTACTAAGCATAGTACCCAATAGGTTTTTATTTTTTTCTGAACCTCTTCTCCTCCAAACCTGCTCCCTCAAGTAGGCCCCAGTGTCTCTTGTTCTCCTATTTCTGTCCATGTCTTCTCATTATTTAGTTCCCACTTATAAGTGAGAACATGCAGTATTTGGTTTTCTGTTCCTGTGTTCGTTTGCTAAGGATAATGACCTCCATGGAACTGGAGGCCATTTTTTTTAATGACTGCATGGTATTTCTTTTTTATGGCTGCATGGTATTCCATCATGTATATATAGCACATTTTCTTTATCCAGTCTACTGTGCATGGGCATTTAGTTTGATTTCATTTCTTTGATATTGTGGATAGTGCTGCAGTGAGCATACGCATGCATGTGTCTTTATGGTAAAATGATTTATATTCCTTTGGGTATATACCCATTAGTGGGATTGCTGGGTCAAATGGTAGTTCTGTTTTTAGTTCTTTGAGGAATCTCCACACTGCTTTCCACAATGACTGAACTAATTTACACTCCCACCAGCAGTGTATAAGCATTCCCCTTTCTCTGTAACCTCACCAGCATCTGCTTTTTCGTTTGTTTTTACTTTTTTATAATAGCCATTCTGACTGGTGTGAGATGATATCTCATCGTGGTTTTGATTTGCATTTCTCTAATGACTAGTGATATTGAGCATTTTTTCATATGCTTGTTGGAACATGTATGTCTTTTGAAAAGTGTCTGTTCATGTTATTTGCCCACTTTTTAATGGGTTTTTTTTTTGCTTGTACGTTCCCTTAAGTTCCTTGTAGATTCTGGGTATCAGACCTTTGTCAGATGTATCATTTGCAAATATTATCTCCCATTCTGTAGGTTGCTTCTACTCTGTTGATAGTTTATTTTGCTGTGCAGGAGTTCTTTAGTTTAATTAGGTCCCATTTATTGACTTTTGCTTTCATTGCAATTGCTTTTGGCATTTTCATCATGAATTCTTTGCCAGTTCCTATGTCCAAAATGGTATATCCCAAGTTATCTTCCAGGGCTTTTATAGTTTCAGGTGTTACATATAGGTCTTTAATCCATCTTGAGTTGATTTTTTTGTACTACAAACTTGTAATTCGTAGCCAGGGTTGAGAATCCCTGCCAGAAAGAGCGGGGGGGGTGGAGAGAGAGAGAGAGAGAGAGAGAGAGTCCCCGATGAAGACCAAGGAGTGATTGGATCTGGCAAGCAGGACATCAGTGGCTTTTGAGGGAGCAGTTTCAGTAAAGTGATGAGACTAGATTCCAATTTATAGCAGGAAGGGCTGGATAAGGATACAGGGTTTTGTGGTCAATGTAAAGTACATGGAGAGAATTGATGCTGCATGGCCCCGATGTTATGAGGTAATATTGTTAACTGCTACGAGTTGGATCTTTTTGAGCTGTGGAACTTTCTGAGACTTGTGGAGAGTGGGGAAGCACTGAAGAGATGCTCTTAGGAATATAAGAAGAGTCTGCAAGGCCACAGTGATGGCCTGGAAGAGTATGAATTGCATTCTGTAATTATGTGGCCCCTATTACCGACTGTTAATGATGTAACACATACAGTGCTGATGCATGTAGTGGAGTTGCTTCTAAGGCCTGAGACAGATTTTGAAGTTAGCATGTAAGGCAAAAATGGCATTGGTCAAAATTGTTCTTATAAATCTCTTAGGAAGGTGCAAGTGGGGACTGCCTTTCCATCTCCACAGGGAGCCAGCTCTCCCTGGAAGCAGCAGAATATTCTTCACTTGAGCACCAGGTGAAATAGTTGACTTGTATACAGCTAATGTTATATGAAAAAATGTGACTCTTTACACCAAAGCCATGCTCAGTTTAATTAAATACTCTCATTAAGAAGAAGTACTTGGGTCATTAATGAGGGATATTTAAGTACGGAAATTAACTGAGGGTACAAAAGAATTAGTTCCCCGTCTCTCTGCTTGTAGGTATGTGATGAATAAAATGAGGAATTGTGTACACTAAGTTGTAATTTTCAGTTTTCTTTTTCTTTTTAAATATCCTATGATCAGTTGACAATCAGTTTTCATTTTTAATTGAGCACATATAATTGAATTTGAGTAAATTAAATGCATGATGATGCAGCTCGCATCACTGCATTTTTTATTTCTCACTTGCCCAAAATTGAGAGAGTATAACATAGTCATTAAGAGGATGGGCCCTGGCTCAGACCACCTGGGTTTCAATCATGTCAACATCACTCACAATATGTGTAACTTTGGTTATGTTACTTAATCTCACTTTTCCTCCAATTTTTCATCTATCAAGTCAGCATGAAAATAGTAGCTACCTCATCTGTTTGTTGTGAGGACCAAGTAAGTTAATACAGGTAAAACACTCAATACTGTCAGAAATTATTATTGTTGTAGTAATGGTGTATGCTGATGCATAAGTGTGATTTGATGTTAGGCTACAACTTATATCACAAGGTCAGGCTTTTACTGGAGCTTAGGCTGTGGCCCAGTATATTATCTTGCCTTTCAAATCAAGGGCCAGATGAAAGAGCTGCTGACAAAGCTCAGATGTTTTACTGCAAAAAGCTGTGGGCGGGGAGGCTTATTTATGACTTTAAAAAAATTGAGCCTGCCCAAAGTGGGGGGTCTCTTTCAAAACTCAGAAAAAAACAAATACACCAATCAAGACACAAAATCATGGTCTTTGGACTAAGATAAATTGTAAATACATTGGGATGTAGTAGATTCTTAGTTAATTAAAGCTTTTTAGATTGTTTCTACCAAAACCTGTGGTGCTCTGTGTGTTAAAGGCAGACTCTTTTGGTGATGTGATATGATAAATTCACCAGATTTTAGGTCTCATGATTTTTTGCAAAGAGAGAGAGAGAGAGACATTTATTTCAAAAGAGCATCCCTATTGAAAAGGGACAATTAAATGAAGTCTAATGATGTGTTAATCATCATTAAAGTTAAAGGATGGTGGCCAGGTGCGGTGGCTTATGCCTGTAATCCCAGCACTTTGGGAGGCCGAGGCAGGTGGATCACTTGAGGTCAGCAGTTCCAGACCAGCCTGGCCAACATGGTAAAACCCCGTCTCTACTAAAAATACAAAAATTAGCCAGGTGTGGTGGTGTGCACCTGTAGTCCCAGCTGCTTGGAAGGCTGAGGCATGAGAATCATTTGAACCTGGGAGACGGAGGTTGCAGTGAGCTGAGATCACACCACTGCATTCCAGCCTGGGCAACAGAGTGAGACGTGGTCTAAAAAAAAAAAAAAAAAAATGGTGAAAATGTAATGGTGAAGTGGGGGGAAAAAAGAAGCTTCATTTTGATAGTGTGGGGGGAAAACAATACATCTAAGATAGGTCAGTTTTGAGTACGAAGCTTTTCATGTTTGGATTTTGCAATAGTCCCATTCAAATTTTTAGTAATAACTGGCATAAGCTTCCCATTACCACTTCTTTGAAGTATACCTGTCATGTTTGTAAAGATTTCTTTTTCAGAATGAAGCTGGCAGCCACGATAAACATGTTCACATTTAGAAATTGTCTATTTGAAAAAGAATTACTACAGTTTTGGTTCAGAAAATAATTAAATTAAGCTTCTTAGTGCTTTGAGACTATGGTACTGTGTAAACTTAGGAATAACATTTAGTTACCACTGAGCTTAATAGTGCCTTGAAGAATTAAAGTTCATTATTCACTACTTTTTTAAAAAGTCAGAACCATGATGAGTTGAATAATAGATGTCTTAAAAGTTAAATTTAGTTTGGTTAGTTCTATGGCTATCCCATAGCATTAGAGTATTAGAATAATTTATGCCTCATAATCATACAGTAGCTAATATTTATTGAGCATTTTTTTTGCCAGAAAAGATTCTAAGGGTTTTACATATATTAACTTATTTAATTATTACACCTCTGTGAAGCAGGTCTTGTTGTTACCCCTTTTTTATAGATGAAGAAACTGAGGCATAGAGAGGTTAAGTCACTTGCCAAAGACTTCATAGCTAGTATACAGCAGCGCCAAGATTTGTATTCATATCAGCCACTGCCAGGGCCTTAACCACCAGGCTAGACTGCCTGTACTTGAATACATAAATTCTGAGTTAGAGTTTAACATCCTTGAATTCTCATATATCTTAATTTTTAAAGAAGTAGGGCAAATTTACAAAATTAACTTGGGTTTATTGTACTAGTTATGCTACCCTGTAGAGAGGTTTCTGTTTCAAAGGTAGAATTCTTGAGAATTTAAATACTTCAGAATATTATGGGCCATTGAAACAAGACTTTGAGATGTGCTGGTTGTACTATTTAGTGTAGTAGACTGACAGGTTGTGTTACATTACCTCTTCTTGTTATCAATCTTGCCTTTGATAATACATGCCAAGTATTTTACTTACTACTCTTCAAATTGATTCTATGTCTGAGGATTTGGGGATAAGCAGTGGGTATGTTTGAGTTTGTAGCAAAGAAGAGATACTGGGTGGTTTTGGACAAAATAATTCCCTTGCGTTTTGGATGCTTTCTCAAGTAGTTTTTCTGACTGGTCAAAATTGACACAACAACCATCTGAACAAGTCTTTATGGCCTTCATTTGTTCCCTCATAGTTCCTCATATACCTTTGCTTTTTGTGCAAATTCAGAAGAGCATTATTTACAAGATACCATTATTTGAGCGGTAGCAAGTTCAGGGATGGGGAAGGTTCCGAAGAGCATCGTTCATTTATTCCGAAGATAAAACAAATTATTTCCTCAGGATGCTTCAGTTGGTTGCTGGTCTAGCCTAGGCCTTTCCCTTAGGTCTTATATCTCTAGAATGAAAAGAGAGGGGAGTTATTCCTATTAGGTCAATTTTATAAATTTTTAGGCTTACATTGCCATATGAAAAGATTAAAATTCTCTTATGTCTTAACCGACTCCAGAGTAAATTTAATTCCTTTGGAAATTATACTGATTTTATGTATGTGCATGTGTGTGGTTTGCATTATGATTTTGTGTGATTATAAAGATACGTTTGTGCAAGAGATTCAAACCATAAAGGCATAACCCCCCTCCCGCAAGCCCTCCACCCAGAATCAACTGGCATCATTTTAATGAATGAGCTTCTAGACCCCACCCTCCCCCAGGGTATATATATATAGAGAGAGAGATAGATAACTTTATATAAATAAAATCATACTATAGATGCTGTTTTGCTTTCTGTTACTTTGAGTCATGGGGATCTTTCCATGTCAGTATAGACTGTCTTTTTAAATGGCAGCATAGTATTCCAATGTGAATGTATAATAATTTATTCAACAAACCAGTATTTCCAGGCATCTGTCTTGTTTTTCATTGTACTCTTGTAGGCATTGTGCTGCTGGGAACATCATTTAAACCTAACATTTTCTCACATTTTTTTCATTTTTCTCCATGGGGTACATTTGTAGGTATGGGCTTGCTGAGTCTAGCAGAACGTACATTACAATATTTTATGATGTTGCCAGTTTGTCCCCCAACGTCTGATTGTTATGTAGTCAGATGTATCTTTCTAGGCAGGCTTTCTCCACCCTAAAATTATAAAAGTGTTCACTCATTGGAGTAGCCAGGGTTCTTGGTTGTAAAAACAGAAACTGGGCCGGGCGCGGTGGCTCACGCTTGTAATCCCAGCACTTTCGGAGGCCAAGGCGGGCGGATCACGAGGTCAGGAGATCGAGTCCATCTGGCTAACACGGTGCAACCCCGTCTCTACTAAAAATACAAAAAAAATTAGCCGGGCACGGTGGCGGGTGCCTGTAGTCCCAGCTACTCGGGAGGCTGAGGCAGGAGAATGGCGTGAATCCGGGAGGCGGAGCTTGCATGAGCCGAGATAGCGCCACTGCACTTCGGCCTGGGCAAAAGAGGAGCGAGACTCCGTCTCAAAAAACAAACAAACAAACAAACAAACAAAAACAGAAACTGATTGTGGTCTATTTAAAAAAACAAAAACAAAAATGGTATCCGGTGCTCCTAGCATTGGCAGGAAGACTAGAAATAAGGTGTTAAGGGAGCTGGGTGCCCTGCATCACAGTAAGGCCACATAGCAGGGATAGGCTGGTGAGACCAACCTTCCCCATCCCTGAACTTGCTGCCGCTCAAATAATATCAGGAATATGTTGTTTTCCCACTTTTCTTCATTGGTTTCCCCTGTAGTGTCTTCATTCTTACATGCATTGTTCCCATGTGGTAGTAAAGACAGCAAGAATCCATAGTCTTACCATTTTAGCATCCCAGAAAGAAAGAAGGCACTTCCCAATATTTTGTGTGGAAATCTTGGTGTGGAATCTCATTGGCCTGTCTTGGGATATGTATGCACCTGTGAACCAACCACTGTGGCAAAGGGGATGAAATGCACTGACTGGCCAGGCCTAGGCCATGTGCCCATCCCTGGTGCCGAGAATTAAGTCATCCAGACTGAGAAAAAAGGGAGAGGTGGTTCTCAAAGAAAAGAATGGTGAGGTTGTGAAAGAAGGGGAATAGATGCAACAAGAGAAATAAATATCCCCTGTGATTATGGTATATATTTTTAATATTTGACTGTATTCTTTTAGGGGAACAAAGTGCCATTTTACAATTTATCATTTCAGAAAATTAAACTTTTTATAAAATCTGTTCTTCATTGTACATGGGATTATTAAAATACCAGTAAGGATTTATTAAAATACCAATAAGGAAAGTAAGCTTCATTCTTTATTTTTCAATCAATTATCTTGAATTAAAGAAGGCTGTGGGGCCGGCTGCGGTGGCTCAAGCCTGTAATCCCAGCACTTTGGGAGGCCGAGGTGAGAGAATCACCTGAGATCAGGAGTTCGAGACCAGCCTGGCTGACATAGTGAAACCCCGTCTTTACTAAAAAATATAAAAATTAACCGGGCATGGTGGCCGGTGCCTGTAATCCCAGCTACTCGAGAGGCTGAGGCAGGAGAATCACTTGAACCCGGGAGGCAGAGGTTGCAGTGAGCTGAGATCACGCCATTGCACTCCAGCCTGGGGGATGAGAGAGACTTCGTCTCGAAAGAAAGAAAGAAAGAAAGAAAGAGAGAGAGAGAGAGAGAGAGAGGGAGAGAGAGAGAGAGAGAGAGAGAGAGAGAAAGAAAGAAAGAAAAGCAAGAAAGCTCTAAAGATGAGTAAAGATTTGCTTATTTTTCATTGTATACGTGGAATATGGATTCTTAAATATGCAGGATTCACACATGGTGAGGGTATACATTTTACTAAAGGACTGTATATTAGTGAAATTTGATATAGTATTCTAGACATGTCTAGAGGGATACATAACAGGCATACACTAGGAAAGCCAAAACTAAAACTAAAAAAAAAAAAAAAAAACCTCAATCACATGGCATAAAAAGTCATTGCTGTGTTTTACAAGACAGTCCTGTAGTCATTCAAAACTGTTTCCCCATTTGAGTCACTAGTTACTCAATATATTTTCTCCCATGAATGTCTGTAATATGTATTTTAGCAAACAGAAGAGTATCAAGAAACAATGTAGTGTAGTGAAACAAACATGGGTTTTGAAGTTAGACAAACTTGGGTTTCAATCTGATGTTTGTTTGTTTTTTTGATATGAGATGAGATCTGTATTAGTCCATTCTCAACGCTGCTGATAAAGACATACCTGAGACTGGGTAATTTATAAAGGAAAGAGGCTTAATTGACTCACAGTTCAGCATGGCTGAGGAGGCCTCAGGAAACTTACAATTATGGCGGACGGGATGCAAACTCGTCCTTCTTCACATGGTGGCAGCAAGGAGAAGTGCGAGCAAAGTGGGAAAAACCCCTTATAAAACCATCAGATCTTGTGAGGACTCACTTCGCTATCATGAGAACAGCATGGGGGGACTGCCTCCATCATCTAGTCACCTCCTACGAGGTCCCTCCCCCAGTGCATGGGGATTACAATTTGGATTACAATTCAAGATGAGATTTGTGTGGGGACCCAGAGCGAGACCTTGTCAGGATCTTACTGTGTTGCCTCTCTGGGCTCAAGCGATCCTGGTACTTCAGCCTCCTGAGCAGTTGGAATTTCAGGGGCACACCACTGTGCCTGGCTTCCAGTCTGATCTTAAAGGATATGACCTTGCATATGTCTCCCCATCTGAAACCTACCTCATGAGTTTAAGGATCAAATGATGTTTTTACGTAACAGTAGTAACTATTACCATTATTATAATAATTTGGAGTTATTACTTGAGGGAAAAGTAACATTTTTAAAGAAAATCGGTTGTTCCAATTAGCATATTCAGAGACGGTTGTATGTGTAGGGGAATTATGATACATTTCCAAATGTGTACTGGGATTTTTTTTTTAATATCTGCAGTTTTGGTATAGCTGTGGTAAGTAAGCCTTTGGGGTGAAAAGGTTGATTTACTAGAGATAGGCTGTGATGTGCCAGCTAGTATTACTCTACAGTGTTCAAGGATCTGTGAGAAGCAATACTTCCTGTACATTTTCAGGAGTAGAAAGGAGCAGTGGTGGCCCAAAGTGCCTGGCCGCTGCACAGTGGTCATGCCCCCTAAAAATTGAATGAGTCTGTAGAGTGAGCCCAATCTAGCCCAGGAGTGTTTGAACTCTGGGTCACACTTTAATTTGATTAACACTTTCACTTATTAATGGTCTTGATTTGTCTTGGCACTTTGCAATTAAATGGTCTATACAAAGACTTTCTCCTTTGGACACAGCGTATATTTGTCGTCTAACTACAGAGTTTAGCATCAAATAATTTTATGACAGACCACATTTGGCATGCCTAGTTATTCAGGGAATTTTCAAAGAACCATAGAGGGACTTTTTAGTCACACATCCTCTCTGTTCTTAGTCATCTACTCCTTTTATGGTAGTCATTAGCCAGTATCTCTCAACCTCTTCTACAATGTTTAACAGTTAGTGTACACTCTCTGTAGCACTGGTTTTTTTTGAGCTCTGTGTACTTAATAATGAGACAGTCAGCATATACTTGTGAAAACATAAACTAAATGTTGGTATATTCTCCGCATGGTTTCTTTTTATAGAACCACAGTTGTTAACACACATTAACTACTTCAAAATCACTAATTAAAACATTTTCTCATCTGTATTTTGGGAGTATTATCTTTTCTCCCCTCCAGTTGTACCACTTAAGTATCATTGGTTACATTCAGAATTAAGGGACAAGAGAAATGAAAGACAGTGTGATTTAGAAGTTTTCCTTTAATGCATAGGAAAACAGACGTTTTCATATTCTAGGTAATCAGAAGTACCTTCTACATTTAACTACTTGACCCTAATGACCTGGTCAAATTCCAGTGTTGCACAATTGCATTGTACCTTCCCTAATACCCAGTGAATTTAATTGTTTGGCTACAAACTATTCCCCTTAACTTTTTAGAACCATTTTGTAGGCTGTGCTCTTATAAAGATATATCAAAAGCCGCACTTGTCACCTTTTCTAAAAATGCAAGTCATTTTCACCCCCTCTCCTTCTAATCCTTCTACTTTCTCCCCATATTTATAAACACATTTCCCAAAAAATATTCAATCTTCTTTTTCATGGATCCAAAAGACATTGGACATATGGCTTGAACACAACACTGGGGTAATAATTAATTAAGGTAAGAAAGCAAGGATTTTGGAAAGTGTGGGTTGATGAGTCAGATAATGGTAGGATTTTTCTCCTGATCTCTGGTAAGGTATTACAAAGTTCTCTCCTAATTGTCTTGCAGGCCCCTGACAGCATATCCTGAATTAAACTTGTTCTGTTTTCCCAGCTTACCCTTCTAAATTCTCTATTTCCTGTCACGGCATCTCTCTCCATCCCTTAATCATCTAAACTGGAATCCCAGCTCTCTATTTCACACCCCATATCCAATCCCCTCGGCCCTTAGGGGAGAGCGGGCAATAGATCCTGGCTGCGCTGGTCACCTGTGGGCTCCAGCAGCAAACAGGTGGGTTCATTTCCTGCAGTATGCTGTACAAATGTTTTATTTTTGTATGCCCTGATGTGAAAAGGTTTGGAAAGTATTCAGGATAGAATTTACACTCGTATGAAGGCTGTGCCAGAAATGACCCCAACTGACTTCTGCTTCATCCTCTCCCTCTCTCCTCAAGTACATTTTATGTTATAACCTCATCAAAAAAAGTCTCAGTATCCTAAATACACACACTTTGCCATTTTATTTCCCCATCCTTAATTACATCATTTTGTGGTTGCTTCTCCCTGTTTCTGCATGGTGAAATTTTATTCCTCCTTTAAGCGTAACCCAAATGTTATCTCTTCCTTGGCCTTAGTAGGGAGAATTAATGGTGTTTTCTTTTGTGATTCCAGAGCTTATGCTTTTAACCATTATGCTATGGTGAGCCAGTAAATCTCTATTTCTCTGGAATTAGGCTACCTGGGTTTAGATCCCAGCTATATAGCAGCTGAATGACTTTGGGTAATTGTGTAAACCTTCAAGTACTCAGTTTTGTTATTTGTAACCTGGATATAACAGTAGTCTCTAACTGTGTCACTAGGATTAAGTGACAGAGAATGTTATTTAGTGCACAGTAAATGTTTTCTTACAATGATTATCTGAATATTTATCAAATATTTGGAAAAAAAAAATCTTCTTGTTGTGTGTCCTGTACTGGGTTGTAACCTCCTTGAGGGAAGGGGCTGTATCTTATTCCTGTATCTTATTCATTTTTGTCCAATATTTATGATAGTGCTTGGCACTATTATTAGTATTAGCATTAAGCATTCTATAGATCTTCCTCTCCACCAGGAAGTATCTCCTTCAAATACCCTCACAACAACTCTATGAGGGAGATACTGTTTCGTCCATTTAACTAAGGCATAGAAAGGTTAAGTACTTTGTCTAAGGCCACAAGCTAGTAAGAATTTGGACCCCAGGCAGCCTGGAACAAATTCCAAGCTATTAATCACCACACTAGGCTACCTCCTAGTAGGTACTTAGTAAATCTCCATTGGAACAAATAGATGAATGAGATTCAGATAAACAGGCAGGTGGGATGGAGTGCTAGGAAATGGTCCTATTGAAAAAGATGTGGGTAAGAAGTGAGGAAAAAATTATCAAGAGCTAGACTAAGTGAGTAAGAGGAAACATTGATAATAGTACTATAGTAACACCAGGGGGTAATCAGTATTAGTGTCCTTTGCAGATACATAAAACTTTATTTTCTGAGTTGGAAAGCTTCTGGATTGCAAAAAGTAGCTTTATGCCTCAAATGAGCTCAGTTTATATCCCAATTAAAATATATTACAATGAGAATTTATTTTTCCACCGTGATAGAGTTACTGGCACTGGTCCTCCCTCCTATTTCAAGTAACAAGAAAACTGGACACAATGTATGAAAGAACTGTTTCCAACACTGGACAACAGGCAGTGCAGACAGGGATCTCTAAGAGAGGGGAACAGAGTCAGTCTTGGGATCACCACAGGTTTCTGAGTGCAGGCACTATGCATCCACCATGTAGCAGAGCTGAGGGAGGAGAGAGATTGGAGGTCAGTGAAGCTGAAAAGACTGGGACTTGTGAGGCAAAGTGCCAGAGAGGAGGGAGCTATGCAGAAAAAGAACTTCACACATCTGCATAGGATCCCTTGAGTTTGTTGCCAGATACTCAGCTATGCATGCCTACAGTTAAACTCCCCATGGCCAGATGTGTTGGTGGTTCCCAGATCACCCTCTGTTTGATGACTTTCTAGGAGGACCCACAGGGCTCAGGATGTACTCCTGGCTAAGATTTGCTACAGTGAAAGGCTACAAAGCAAAAAAACAACAAAGGGAAAAGATGCATGAGATGAAGTTTGGAGGAAGCCAGGCACAACAAGCTTCGAAGAGTCCTCTTCTGGTGGAGCCACACAGGATGCACCTAATTTCCTTAGCAATGAGTTGTGACAACACATGTGAAATGTTGTCTACCAGGAAAGCTCATTAGAGACTCAGTGCCAGGATTTTTATTAGGGGTAGTCACATTCTGCCTGCCACATACCAAAATTCCAGACTTTCACAAAGAAATCAGGTGTTCAGCACAAACCATATTGTTTACACAAATAATTTAGGCACTGTGAGCCACTCTTAACAGGGTGTTCAGAATGATCCTAAAATCCAAGTTCCCAGGTGTTAGCTAGGGGCCAACCTTGTAAGCAGGGCTTTCAAAAGGCAGCATTTGCATCTGCTATGTTAACTTTTTAATACGCTTTGGGCAGAGAACTGTAAGAGATCCCAGAGGACATTTGACAATTTCTGGAGACATTTCTGTTGTCGTAACTGGGAGGTCCACAGACATACATTGGATAGAAGCCAGGAATGCTGCTAAATGCTATGCAGTCCACAGAACAGCCCCCATCCCCTCAACCAAAAATTATGTGGCCCAAAATGTCAGTAGTGTCAAGGTGGAGAAACTCTCGTCTAGACCTACCCTAACAGAATTTAACAACAAGCCTGGAAGGGATCAAGTTGATTTGCAAGTAACTTAAATGCTAGTCAAAACAAAATCAGCGGGTGGGCAGGGTGGCTCACGCCTGTAATCCCAGCACTTTGGGAGGCCAAGGTGGGTGGATCACCTGAGGTCAGGGGTTCAAGACCAGCCTGGCCAACATGGCGAAACCTCATCTCTACTAAAAAATACAAAAAATTAGCCAGGCGTGGTGGTGGGCACCTGTAATCCCAGCAACTTGGGAGGCTGAGCCAGGAGAATTGCTTGAACCCGGGAGGCAGAGGTTGAAGTGAGCCAAGATCACGCCACTGCACTCCAGCCTAGGCAACAGAGCAAGATTCTGTCTCAAAATAATAAATAAATAAATAAAATAAATAAATTATATACCAGGTGAAAATACCCTTCAAAAATGAAGACAAAACAAAGACATTTTCAAATCAAAAGCTATGAGAACACATGGCCAGCAGACCTGCACACCAAGAAATGTAATGGGAAAATGTTCAGGCTGAAGAAAAAGAGATCCCAGATGGGAATTTAGAAATACACAAAACAATAAAGAGCACTGGAGGTGGCAAATATATGGGTAAATACAGGAGACTTCTTTCCCCATTAAAATTTTATAAAAAATCCTTTTAAACAACAATTGACTGTTTAAAGCAAACAGGAGAATATTGTATTGTGGGCCTTATAATCTATGTAGAAGTAAATGTATGAACCAATATAGTACCAAGAATGGCTTTTACAATATATATGAAGTGATCTAATATTATTTGAAAGTACAGGTTGAATATCTCTTATCCAAATTGCTTGGAACCAGAAATGTTTTAGATTTTGGACTTTGGAATGTTTGCAGTATGCTTACTGATTGAGCATCCCTAATCTGAAATCCCAAATGCTCCAATGAACAATTTTTTTGAGCATCATGTCAGGGCTAAAAACTTTTCCAACTACAGAGCATTTTGGATTTCAGATTTTTGGGTTAGGGATCCTAATTCTGTTAAATTAAAAATGCATAGCGTAGTGCCGGGCACAGTGGCTCACGCCTGTAATCCCAGCACTTTGGGAGGCCAAGGCAGGTGGATCACAAGGTCAGGAGTTCAAGGCCAACCTGGCCAACATGGTGAAACCCTGTCTCTACTAAAAATACAAAAATTAGCTGAGCATGGTGGCGTGCACCTGTATTCCCAGCTACTCGAGAGGCTGAGGCAGGAGAATCGCTTGAACCTGGGAGGCGGAGGTTGAAGTGAGCCGAGATTGCTACACTGCACTCGAGCCTGGCAGCAGAGCAAGACTAAGTCTCAATAAAAAAAAAAAAGCATCTTGTAAATACTAATAAAGAAATAAAGAGAAATAGCTAATGTATAAATGGAAAAGATAAAATGAAATAGTAAAATACTCAAAAGAAGGGAGGAAAATGTAGTCAAGAACAGATGGTGGAGGTAAGGAGTAGAATGAAGGTTACCAGAGGCAGGGAAAGGTAAGAAGTAGAATGAAGGTTACCAGAGGCAGGGAAAGGTATGAGGGTGTGTGTGGCGGGGGGAGTTGGGGATGGTTAATGAGTACAAACATATAGTTAGGTAGAATGAATAAGATCTAGTATTTGATAGGACAACAGGTAACAATATATTATATATTTAAAAATAACTAAAAGAATATAATTGAAATGTTCATGACACAAAGAAATGATAAATCCTTGAGGTGATAGATACTCCATTTACCCTGATGTGATTATTACACATTGTATGCCTATATCAGAATATCTCATGTACCGCATATATATATCCACCTACTATGTACCCATAAAAATTAAAAGTTAAAACAAAGAACAGATGGGACAAATAGAAAACAAGTACCAAGATGCTAGACTTGAGCAAATCCATATCAATAATTACATTAAGTGTAAATGGTTTAAACAATCCATGTAAGGGACTCAGAGTGGGGAAAAAAGTGATTCAACTATATACGCTATCTATAAGCAGGGCCTAACTATATGCCATCTATAATTATATGTTATCTGCACTTAAAATATAAAGGCACAGGTTAAAAGGATAAGGAAAAATAAACCATGCAAACACTAATCAGAAGGAAGCTGTAGTGGCTATATCGATATCAAAGTAGATTCAGAACAAGAAATATTGACCAGGCGTGGTGGCTCACGCCTGTAATCCCAGCACTTTGGGAGGCCGAGGCGGGTGGATCACCTGAGGTCAGGAGTTTGAGACCAGCCTGGCCAACATGGTGAAACCCCGTCTCTACTAAAAATACAAAAATTAGCCAGGTGTGGTGGCGGGTGCCTGTAATCCTAGCTACTCAGGAGGCTGAGGCACGAAAATTGCTTGAACCCAGGAGGCGGAGGCTGCAGTGAGCCGAGATTGCACCACTGCACTCCAGCCTGGGCGACAGACTGAGACTTTGTCTTAAAAAAAAAAAAAGAAAAAAAAAAAAAAAAACAAGAAACATTACCAGGGATAAAGAAGACATTTTATAATGATTGTGGTGATTTTAAAATATGTCTTCATATTGTTAGATATACTTTTCTTTAAGAGGTAGAGCCTAATTCTTCTCCTCTTGAATGTTGATTGGACTTTGTGACGCATGAATAGAATATGGTAGAAGAGATAAAAGATATTGTGGCTTCCAACTTAGTTGCTCTCTACTTAGTCATTTGCTCTGAGAGAGGTCAGCTGCTATGGATGAAGAGAGGTTCACATAGTGAGCAACGAAGACCTCCAACCAAGAGCCACGTGTGTGAGCCATCTTGGGAGCATATCCAACAACCCCAGTCAAGCCTTCAGATAACTGCAGCCCCAGCCAACCTGTTAACGGCTACCTCATGGGAGACCCCAGACCAGAACCACCCAACTAAGCTACCCCTGAATTTCTGAATTTCTGATCGGCAGAACCAGTGTTTGTTATTTTAATAAATGTTTATTATTTTAAGCTGCAAAGTTTTAGAATAATTTGTTACCTAGCTTTAGATATCCAATAGAATGATAAAAGGATTGATTCATCAAGAAGATATTCAAATCATGAATCTGTATGCAGTTGACATCTTCAAAATATACTATATAAAACCTGAGAAAACTAAAACCAGAAATAGATCATTCTGCAATTAAGCTGGAAATTTCATTACTCCCAGCCCAGTAATTGATAGTACAAAAATAGACAAAAAATTGGAAAGGAATGGGAAGACTTGAAAAACACTATCAACCAACGTGATTGAATTGATTTTTACGGAATACACTACCCAGTAGTAGGAGAATACGTATTCTTTTCAAGTGCATATGGAGTGTTCACCAAAATATACCATATTCTGGCCTATAGAAAAAGTCTCAGTAAATTTTAAAAGATAGAAATCATGGAGAGTGTTTTCTGATTACAAGAGAAACTAGAAATCAGTAACAAAAATGTACCTGAGAAATTCTCCAAATATGTAGAAATTAAACTTTGTAGTTTAAATATAACACATGGATGGTTTGAAGAAATCACAAAGGAAAATAGAAAATATTTTTAACTGAACGAAATCACAGCATGTCAAAAGTTGTGGGATGCAGTTAAAGCAGTACTTGAGGGAAATTTATAATTTTAAATGCTTATACTAGAAAAGAAAGAAGAGCCAAAATCAATTATTTAAGTTTTTACCTGGAGGAACTAGAAAAAGAAGGGCAAATTAAATCCAAAGTGAGTAGAAGAAAGAAACTAATAAAGAGAAATCTATAAAATAGAAAAAGGGCAGCTAATACTCCCCCAAAAATCTATGAAACAAAAAAATTAGTTCTTTACAAAGAATAATAGAATGGATTAAATGAGTCTGATGCATTTTTGCATCCTTAAAATACAATACACTGTTGACATGACTTTTTGAAAGCCAAAATGCTGAATTCCTCGTTGTTCTTTATTTGAGATATGTGGCCTTGTTCTGAGTATTCAGCCAAAATAAAACTTACTTAAGCAAGTGTCAGTCAGAAGTTTAGTTATGATAAGTTGTATTTATTTTTGTCCAAACATTTCAGAAAGTTTCCTCTGAAAGGTAGTTATGGAGAAATAGTATTTGGGAAAAAACCTTACAATCTATGTGTTCTCTATTTTGTCTTTAATTTTGAACAAAAAAGGTATGTAAAGCAGGTGATGAAAAGTTTGAGATCAAGACCAAATATATGTGTTCCAGAAAAATCCAGTTAAAGATGTTGAAAGACACATATTGGACATTCGTAGATTCCATTCGCAAGAAATGTATTTTCATAATATACAACATTTATGGCGAGGTGTTATTCAGATACTATAGATTATTTTTTTAAATTTTCCAAAAGAAAGAAAACTATGCAAAGACCAAACTATCAACATGTCAATGATCATGTGCAATTTTAATAGTTTATCTCTTCAGTTACTAAACCCATTGATAAGTAATCTGTGCCACTATTTGTAGTTATTCACCGTGACAGAATCTTGTAATAAAGATGAAGTAAATATGTATGTATAAGGAGTAATTTTGTTCTTAATGAAAATGATTTCAACTATTTGGTTTTTTTCAATTTGTAAGATAATAAACTACTTGATTGTTCAGCAAATACTGAGTACAAGCCCAAGGAAAATGTAAAATTAATTAAAATTCTCATAACCACTAGGATATTTAGTAAATTTATGTTGTTTCTTGATGATTCACTATCTGATTATCTAGTTCATAGACTACATGGATTTTCTGTTTGCTTATAAAATCTTAGAATCAAAAATATAGTCCTGCCCCTCATTCAGTTTCCTTTTACTTTTCATCTTTTGAACACTTCACTGATCACGAGCCTTCCAGATACGGGAAGAAATACTTAAAATTGACCCAGTCAGTTCTGCTATATTCTAATGGTGCTTTTAAGAGATTTCTTCATGTTGTAGTGGATGAGAAGTGGGGTGGAGGATGGATATACAATGATAAAACAACTAAGTAACTAATCCTCAATTTTAGGATTATTGGTAGAATTGAATTTCAGATTCTGATTTTTAGCTTCATTTAACCTCTTCGTTTGTAATATGCTTGTCCACCCGCTTCTCAAGAATAGTTTGTTTCTGTTTTTGATTTTCTTCCTTCTGAAGTATGAATTTTCACCCCAGGCAAAAGATGAGAGTTAATAGACTAATAGGGCAGACAAAAGGGAAAACTTTATAAAGATTCATTTTTTCTAAGGGAATTTTGATGGTTTGATTAGATGGGGAACAATGCTAGAAACAAAAGGAGACTTTTGACTGGCCCAGAGGAGAACCAGTTTTAAGGATAGAGGACTATCATTCTTTCTGCCTATTGTACAGTTTTCAGCTACCAGGAATTCTTGAAGTACTGTGAATCCCAGGGATTAAGTAAAGACAGAGTAATAATTACACCCGTTATTGGTGGGAATTGTTTGCACTCTTGTTTCTTTTATGCATGTCTTCCTTCCACATTTTTGGAGTTTACTCTATTTGACAGCTGTGCTATTTGACAGTAGTATTTTTATAGTTCAACATAACTGAATGTAATATAGATGTAACTCTATTTTCTGTAATTTTCTCTTTTTTATTTATTTATTTTGTTTTTATTTATTTGGGGCTGTGTTTATGAAGTAAGAGGAAATAAAACACCAGACAAATTTGAATTCTAAGATTTATTGTTGCAGAGGGTAAGATCTAATGCCATCATAAATAGATATAAAATGAACTGTGACCATCTGCACTCACTCTGCCTTTCTTTTTGATTTGTTTTAGTGAGTGTTTCCCTTTTCTGAATTCAACTTCTCAACTTATTCTTTCCCTCTTTCTTCTTCTTATTCCTAGGTGTTTCTTCCTGGGCTAAAGCAGTACTTAATTATTTCTTCTCAGAACTAGATCTTCCCTGTTTCGTTTTAAAAAAAAATATGACCTGTCTAGAACCTCACTTTTCTTACACGGTTTATTTGGCAGATAACATTTTTTAAAATGAATATTGTGAAATCTGTAAATTTTCTAGTAAAATAATAACTTTCCATCATAGTGGGCACTAAATAAACATATGTTGACTTAATTAAAATGAATTCTTGTACTTAGATTTAATGCAGAATTGAGAAATACCCAGATTATCAGAGTCCCCAGAAAGGGATCAATTAATCCCAGCAGACTAAAGCCAAAGGTCACCATGTTCCCAATGGTTTTGTAATTCTCTAGAGACTGGCAAAAATGAACCCTTGGTTACTAGGTCACATTGCATAAGAAGAGGAGTGTGAACTCTATTCATTCAACAAAATGTATCTAATACCTGGAATAATCTAGGCATTGTGTGGTGTTGGGATATGGTGGTAAATAAGGTAGAAGTTGTCCCTGCCTTCATGAGGTTTGCATTCCAGGTTCCCTGAGAAATCTGATCCTTAGCTAGAGGCAGCCATTTCTCATCTGCTGACTGATTTCTCTTCTCTTTGTTTCTCAAACCATGTCCAGGGGTTTTCTTTGTTAACATTCTGTTATACCATTACCTGGGTACTCCTATCACAATGTCTTATACTGACTAGATGTCTATTTTTCCAGATTATAAGGGACTGTCTTTTTATTTATATTGCTCCAATACCTAACAGAATAATTGGAACATGGTCGGTTTCAAGATATGTTTGTTTACCAAGTTAGTCAAACTAGAACAGTGCTTCGCAGCTTTTTCTGTGTTATGACACACAAAAAATATTGAAGAGAGCAAGCCCTCCTGAGGCACTGGCTTGAGGGTTTCCATTGCTCTGGGCCCTCGGTGGCTGCCTTGCAGATGGAAGGATCAGCATCTCAGTGTACCTGCCACCCATTCATGGTACTTTGCACACCGTGCAGAAGCTCTGCACTGGAGAGTACCATGTGCTATTGGAGGTCTGCGGATCTGGAGGTTATAGTTAGAGAAAATGGAGAAAGAGCAGTGGCCAAGAGCAAGTGTATGGCAATGGGGCTGGAGGGCAGAGTTATTTAAGAATAAAGGCTGAAAAGTAATCTAGGGATTTTAGCCAGTTGTGGAGGAGAATACGTTTTTGTTTTTTTTTTTTTTTCTTTTTTTGAGACAGAGTCTCGCTTGGTTGCCCAGGCTGGAGTGCAGTGGCGCGTTCTTGGCTCACTGCAGCCTCCCAGGCTCAAGCAACCCTCCCACCTCAGCCTTCTTTTATTTTTTGTAGAAATGAGGTTTCGCCATCTTGCCCAGGTTGCTCTAAAAGTCCTGAGCTCAAAAGATCTGCCTGCCTCAGCCTCCCAAAGTACTGGGGTTACAGATGTGAGCCACTGGACCCAGCTGAGAATAAGCTTTGAAAAAATTCCTGCAGGTTAGCTTTGGAAGGTAGGCCTTAGTCTTTGAAAAGAGTGGTAATTTATGGAAAATTTCCTCCTTTCTACTTTCTTATCATCCTGCCCTCTCAAAACACCATGTGCAAAATGCAGCTGGTTTTACAACTCTGTGAATATACTAAAAGCCGTTGAGTTGTACACTTTAAATGGATGAGTTGTATGGTATGTGAATTCTAACTCAATAGATCTGTTATATTTTCCTCCACTGTACTTGAGTTTTTAAAAAATAAATCTGAAGGGAAACAAAAGAAAAATGATTTCTCTATGCAACAGAGAGTCTACTTAGAGGGTTGGAATTACCAAGATGTGAATATTTAAATTATCAATACTTAAACATTTCCAAATCTGAATATTTAGAAATTTGCTTGTTTTTATTGATACCTCATGAGTTTTATAACATTTTATAAATCTCACAGATAGAATTTCATCTTGAGTTATAATCAAGATTCTATTTTATCTTGGTGGAAAAGAGTAAGAGATCTTTATGGCTATAATGTAGATTATTACTTTGATATGAAATCATTAGCCTTAAAATATTTAAACAAAATTAATTACTTGAGTACTTTCAAAGGCTGTTTTGCTAGTGTTCAAATTGTAGCTATAAACAAAGTTATTTTAATACTCCGAATGATGTATTCCCTTTATTTTCATATAAATACTACCTACAAGATTGTAGTATGTGTAAAAGCAGCAAAATCATGAAATGAAATGCATGTATGCCCTTTAAAAATTACCTTTTTTTTTTTTTTTTTTTTTTGAGACAGAGTTTTGCTCTTGTTGCCCAGGCTGGAGTGCAAGGGTGTGATCTCGGCTGACCGCAACCTCTGCCTCCCGGGTTCAAGCAATTCTCCTGCCTCAGCCTCCCAAGTAGCTGGGATTACAGGCATGTGCCATCAAGCCCGGCTGATTTTGTATTTTTAGCAGAGACGGAGTTTCTCCATGTTGGTCAGGCTAGTCTCGAATTCCTGACTTCAGGTGATCTGCCCGCCTCGGCCTCCCAAAGTGCTGGGATTACAGGTGTGAGCTACTGTGCCCAGCCCTCAAAAATTACCTCTTATCATTGATATTTCTATTTTGTAAGTCTGTATCAGTTATCTATTTATTGCTACATAACAAATTATCTCAAATTTAGCAGCTTACAACAACAAGCATTTATTATCTCAGTTTTTCCATGAGTCAAAAATCCAGCTGCAGCGTAGTTGGGTGCCTCTGCCCCACAGTGTCTCAGTGTCAGGCAGGGTCACAGTCGCATATGAAGGCTCAAATAAGGAAAGATTTACTTCCAGGCTCTCTCACATGGTTGGGGGAAGGATTCAGTTCCTTACAGGCTGTTGGAATGAGGACCTCAGTCCCTCATGGGCTGTTGGATGGTGTCCGTATCATAGGAATTTCTGTCTAGAGTAGCTCACAGCATGGCAGCTGGCTTTCACCAGAGCAAGCAAGCAAGAGAGCAAGAAAGGGTAAGGAAGATGGAAGCCACAGTCCTTTTGTAAACCTAATCATGACCTTTACTGCCTCTGTTTGTTAGAAGTGAGTCGCTAGGCCAGCCTACTGTCAAGGAAAAGGGAATTTCCCCAGGGTGTGAATACCTGGAGGCAGGAATCACTGGAGGCCATCTCAGAGGCTGCCTACCACAACGTGTCTCTCAGAAGGTTCTACATAATATATATTTCAACTTAGAATTCATTTTTTACTAAGAATTTTGTGGTATCTCCCGAAAATATTAGTGATACTCAAAGATATAAAGAAAGATTAGGGAACAATGCACTAGCACTATGATCATATAACTTTCTATCTTCACTTGCTTCACCATCCCTGGAGCATTGCCTTTGTCCAAGATGGCTGAACACCCATTAAATCAGCCATTGGAAAGGGAGGGGGGATGGGCACAACCCAAAAGTGACAGCTGTCAATTTAGCTCACTTCAGCTCAAATCCTGTTTGCCAATCACATGGGCACACCCAGCTACAAAAGAGGCTAGGAAATTTAGTCTTTGGTTGGGCAGTCATGGACTCAACTAAAAATTAATTATTGTGGAGGAAAGGGGAGAATATATATGGAAAGCTAGAAGTCTCTGCCCAAGGCTGTCAACAACATCAAAATGGATATCACACAGCCATGCATTAATGCATTTTACCCAGAGGTGACTAAAATCATGTCCCCAGTTCAGAGCCTCTTAGTCTTATTTAGACAGAATTCTTATTAGCTTGGTTATAGGGCTTCCTAAATCGTTACAGATTAAAAGGAAGTGTAGTGAGTGGCAGGCATCTTGACAGCTGCAAAAATTGAGAGCAGAATGCCCCAAAACAAATAAGGATGTACAAAAGGCTGAGGCAAAAGTTAAACTGGCAATTCAGAGGAATCTGATACAGGGGCAAATAGTCCTATGAACTTTAGTGGCCCTGAGGCATTGCCCATTTAACAACATTGCCACATAGTAAAATATTTAGGTTAAGTAATCAAGATCCAGAGTCTTCCACTGTGGTTAAAAGAAAAAACATTTTGACACTCTAAAAGAAGGTAAGCTTCATCAGTTTTCTGGAATTTTCATTTATGTATAATGTTCTATGAAAGTGATTCTGTCAAATAAAGGAGAGGCCCCTCTGCTTGCCATTCTTTTCACCTTCATCTAATTAACACCACATTGTTTGTGTAGGAAAATGCCTTCTGAATTCCATTTTTGGAGTCTAGGATTATATATTATCTCAGAGGGTTTGGCACTAGTACTTTTCCTTGTTTTTGAAGAAAGTACTTATTATATTCACCAATCCCCAAATATTTCAAATTGTAGACACAGAGCAGTTACTCTCCATCCCCACCTCCCTATCCTATAAAGAGTATAGGACTTTCTGGTTGCACAGAAAGTATTATTGTAGGTATAGGATTGTCAAAATTTTCCCATGTTCTCATGCTTTTTAAGCCAACTGGCATACTAGGTAGTATTGCAATCCTGATACATTATTCTTGAATGTTCTTTCCCATTTCTGTATCTGGCAAACCTTTATTTGCTTAAGACGAAGTCCCATTGTAAAATAAGTTGTATTATACATGTAAAGCACTATCAATAAAAGGAAAAATTGACAAATTAGACAGTCAAATTTAAAAGTTTGCTCTAGGAAAGACCATGTTAAGAGGATGAAAATACAAACTACAGACTTGGGGAAAAAATATTTGCAAACCATGTATATGACAACTAAGATATATAAAGAACACTGGAAACTCAACTGTAAAAAAATCATAGAATCAAATTTAAAAATGGGTAAAAGGCATGAAGAAACATTTCACCAAAGAGGATATACAAGTGCAAAAAGATGTTCAACATTATTAGGGAAATGCATTTTAAAACCACAAGATACAAACACACCTCAGAAAGGCTAAAATAAAAAATAGTGAAAACACCAAGTACTGATGAGGATATGAAGAATCTAGTTCACAGGCACATTTGCTGGTGGGAATGTAAAATATTGCAGGCACTCTGAAAAACAGCTCGGCGGTTTCTTTAAAAACTATGCGTGACGCTACCACACGACCCAGCAATTGCACACTTGGGCATTTATTCCAGAGAAACGAAAACTTAAATTCTTACAAAAACCTATATACACAAGTGTTAGTAGCAACTTTATTTGTAATAGCCCCAAACTGTAAACAACCCAGATGTCCTTCAGTGAGTAGGTAGTTAAACAAACTATGGTACTTTCAGCACTACTCAGCAACGAAAAGGAACGGGCTAATGATTCATTCTACAACCTGGACGAATTATGCTGAGTGAAAAAAAGCCAATCCCAAAAGTTTCAGACTGTATGATTCCATGTATGTAACATTTTTGAAATGACAAAAATCATAGAAATGGTGAACAGATTAGTGGTTTCCAGGAGGTCAGGAAGGTGGGGAGTGGGGAGTGCAAGGGAGGGAAGTGGATATGGCTATAAAAAGGCAACACAAGGGATTTGTTTGATGGCAATATTCTGTATCTTGTCTCTATCAATGGCAACATCTTGTGCCATACTTTTGCAAGATAGCACCCTTGGGGGAAACTGGATAAAGGGGACATAGTATCTCTCAGGATTGTGTCTTCCAACTGCATATGAAAATACAGTTATCTCAAAAACAAAGTTTACTTAAAAAATTATGAGCTCCTTAAAACTCCATTGGACTGTGAACTCCTTGAGGGAAAGTATTTTATTTATTCAGCAGCTGATACAGTGCTGACTTGTAGAAGATGTTTGAAAAGTATCTGTGGGTTGCCTTAGGTGAGAGAGGCTAACCATTTGAATGTAGCCATATTAAGCACCCATAACTGACAGTACATCTCCAAATGAAGGGCAACTCTCTGCTGACCCATTCATTTAAAAACTGTCTACTGAGCATCTACTTTATGGTAGGCATTGTTCTGAGTGCTGGTGTCTTAATTCAGGCTGCTGTAACAAATTAGCACAGACTGGATGGCTTAAACAGCAAATATTTCTTATGGTTCTGGAGGCTGGAAGTCTGGGATCAGGGTGCCAACATGGTTGGGCTCTTGGTGAAGGCCCTCTTCGTGGTTATATCATTATATGGCCTTTCCTTGGTTTGAGCACATACACAGAGAGGGAGAGATTCCCTATCTCTTTCTTTTTCTCCAAGGGCACTAACCTCTATCATGGGGACTCCACTCTATGACCTCATCTAAACCTAATTACCTGCCAAAGGCCCCACCTCCAAATACTATCACACTGGGGATTAAGGCTTCAATGATGAATTTGAGAAGGGGACATAAACATTGAGACCGTAGCAGCTAGAAATATAGTAGTGAACAAAATCAGGGGGGAATGCCCTGGCTTTCAGGGACCTTACAGTTTAACTGAACAGAAGACAATGACTATAATACATAAATTATGCAATATGTTAGGAAGTAATAAGTGCTATGGAAAAAAATTTTAAAGCAGTGTTTACGGGTTAAGGATATAGAAAGGCATGCAAGAGTGGGTGGTTGCAGTTTTAAACAGTTTGAAGAATATCATTTGAACAAAGGCTTGAAGAAAGTGAGAGAGAAAACCATGTGGATATATGGGAGAAGAAAGTTCCAGGCAGAAGGAACAGCCATTGTAAAGGCTTTGAGGTAGAAATGTGTCTAGCATGTTCAAAGACTAGTGAGCAGGTAAAGCCAGTGTTGGTGAAACAAGATGTATGAGGGAGAATAGTTTGGTGAGAGGTTAGAGGGACAGTGAGAATATAGAACATTGAGAGCCTTTTGTCTTCTCCTTTAAGTGGAATGATGGGGGCCATTGGAGGATTGGAGGAGTGGAGAGGTGGCATGATCTGACTTCCGTTTGGAAAAGAATCACTATAGCAGGGCGTGGTGGTGGGCACCTGTAATCCCAGCTAACTGGGAGGCTGAGACAGGAGAATTGCTTGAATCCGGGAGGTGGAGGTTGCAGTGAGCCAAGATCATGCCATTGCACTCCAGCCTGGGCAAAAAGAATGAAACTCCCATCTCAAAAAAAAAAAAAAAAAAAAGAAAACAATCACTCTGACTGCTGTGTTGAGAACAGACAGTAGAGGAACAAAGGTGGAAGTAAGGAAGTGTACTTCAGAAACTATTTCAGTATTCAAGGTCCAAGAGGTGATGATGACTGGGACTGGGGTAGTAGCATAGCACTAGAGTTGTGAGAATTTCCTGACAGATTAGATGTAAGAAATCAATGATGGGTCCAAGGCTTTGCAGCTGAGGACTTGGACAAATAGTGTTGCCATTAACTGAGTTGGAAAAAAAACGCAGGGGGATGGCTTTGGGGGGAAGTTGAGGAGTGCATATTGATAAGACATCTATATGGAGATGTTGAATAGGCAGTTGAAGATTTGAGACTGGACTTCAGAGGAGAGGAATACAGGCAGGAGATACAAATTTGGAAGTTGACAATATTTATATGGTATGTAAAGCCGTAAAACTAGATGAGATCTCCAAGGGAGGAGCATATTGAAGAAGCCCAAGGATTGAGCCCCAGTTACCCTTGAGAGTTTTAAAGGCCAAGGAGAGGGAGAAGAACTTACTAAGAGAGACTGAGAGGCGTGGCCAGTGAAAGAGGAAGAAAAATCAGGAGTGTAGGGTCCTGGAAGCCAAGTGAACAGAGTGTTTCCTAGAGGAGGGAGTGGTCACCTGATCAACTGTGTAGGTCAGGTCAGGTAAGGTGTGAGAACTGATCATTGAATTTAGCAATGTGGAGACAACTGGGACCTCCACACATCAGAGGGAAAGAATTTTAGCCATTAAATGAACGTATGGCTCATTACAAGAACATAATTATGTTTTAAAAGATTTGTTTTAAAAAGCTACTTTTCACTTCCTCAAAAAGGTAAGCATAGAATTACAATATGATCCAGCAATTCCACTTCTAGGTATATACCCCAAAGAATTGAAAGCAGAAACTCAGATAATCATATGCCAGTGTTCACAGCAGCATTATTCACAATAGCCAAAAGGTGGAAACAACCTAAATGTCCATCAACAGAGACTGGATAAACAACATGTGGTATGTACATACAATAGAATATTAGCCTTAAAAAAGAATGAAATTCTGATACTGGGTACACTGTGTGTGAACCTGGAAAATAAACTAAGTGAAATAAATCATGCACAAAATAACAGAATTCTACTCACGTCAGGTACCTAAAATAGTCAAATTCATAAAGACAACATAGAATAGCTGAGGAATAGATTAGCCTCCTTACCAGAGGCTGAGGCTAGTAGAGAATGGAGAATCATCATTTAATAGGTATACCATTTCTTCTTGGGGCAATGAAAAAGTTCTGGAAATGGATAATGGTGATGGTTGTGCAATATTGTGAAGGAACTTAATTGTACACTTTAAAAAGGTTAGAATGGTAAATGTAAGTGCCACAATTAATTTTTGTTTTGTTTTGTTTTGTTTGTTTTTTTGAGACGGAGTCTCGCTCTGTCGCCCAGGCTGGAGTGCAGTGGTGTGATCTCGGCTTACTGCAACTTCCGCCTCCCGGGTTCAGGCGATTCTCCTGCCTCAGCCTCCTGAGTAGCTGGGATTACAGATGCACACGGCCACGCCCTGCTAATTTTTTTGTATTTTAGTAGAGACAGGGTTTCACAGTGTTGCCCAGGCTGGTCTCGAACTCCTGAGCTCAGGCAATCTGCCTGCCTCGGCCTCCCAAAGTGCACAATTTTTTTCAAAAAAGCATAGGACGCAGGTAAAACACTATCTCAAGGGAAATTTATAACATATATTAGAATTAAAATCAACAAATAAGCAAAAGAAAAGCTATCTTTTACGTATTGCTGACCTGAAAACTAAGTTTGCTTTAGGCATCATCTATGACTTGGCTTTCCTTGTAGATCCTTTTGTACATGTTTGTTATACTCATTTCTTAAAGGCTCAAGCTTTAGCCATCACAGTTAAAGAAAACGGTATCCCCTTATACAGGTCATCATCAGAAGGGTAGGAGAAAAGTCAGCTACTGCAGAGTGATCCAACTACTTACAATTTTAGTAAGAGTGTATCTTTTAAATAACATATTTTATTTATCTGTATACTCTCATTCAGGAAAACTGTTCTCTCTGTCATATAATGGTTTTTGAAAAGAATGTTCCCTGAATGCACATGTAAATAATTTCTTTGCTAAAACCAGCATTTCTGATAATTCCACAGAACTGATAGTGAGAAAACCTTGAGTACTGGAAGGTTTTGTGGTGCAGCATATTTAATAACTGTGACAACTCAAGAATTTTAAGCAGACTCGCCTCCTTGTCTGGGATCTGTCGGCAGTATTGTGTCTCTACTGGCAAGCCCCTCAATGTACTGTTTCAGCCAAAACCGTGCTAATGATGGTCTACCAAATTTTTACTTGGTATTTTAAAGTCTCAATATTCTCAGGATTTAGAAAATACTTTCCCTCATCCTTTCAAAAGCTGCCACTCTGAAATACATAGGATTTTTTTTAAAAAAGTCTAAAATTGCTTTACAGCCTTGATAAAACAAAGACTGGTGTGTTGATGTGGCTGCTTTTGTATGATTTCCGAGGTGAATTTAGATGACTGGAAGATAGATGGGTGCCAGATGCAGTTTGACATAGATTCAGGCAGCTGCTCCTGGGCTAGGTTTCATTAGCTGGTAAGTGCTCCAGCAGAAGCAGCAGAGCGAGGCCCCAAATGCCAAAATGACAGTGAGAACAGTGGAACAATACAATATTCACCAAGTGATTTTAATCTCGAAGATTAAATGTCACCCAATCAGTTTCCAGGTCTTAAAAAACCAACTTGCATGAAACCATTAGAAGGCCCAAGTCTTTGTTCACCAGAAGAAACAAGTTTTACTCTTTTTGAAGGGGGAGGGTGGTTAGTTTTAAAACACCAAAAAAAAAAAGTTTTAAACCCATGTTGGTAATATACAATTAAAACTCTTGTCAACCCCCAACACCCACACCACAGTAAAAGAAGTTCATTCACTATTGCAACCGGGCAGATAGGCAGATTCCTCAATAAAAGGAACCAATGTTTGTTTGTTTATCTATCTTTCTTAAAATGAAAGTCTTGGATGGGCTTCACAAGCCTCTTCCAGCTTAAATGCCCTCCCTCCCCCACCACGACCACACCCATTCTTCTCCAAAGAAAGACAGAAGTCTTAACACAGAGAGAGCATACTTCTTTGTTTTTGAGACCTTATGGTCTGCATAGCTATTGGCGGGTAAATAAGTACCCAACCACATAATTGTGAACTTAAAAAAAAAAGTTCCTATAAAGGATTTTTGCTCTCACTACTTGTGGTGTCATAAGTAATTGTGAAACTGATTCCAGAATTCTCCATACTTGATTTCAACTCATGTGTTTTCTCAACTGAGAAAGGGGACCTTTATTTAGTGTATTATTTACACTTACTAAACTTATCTTTGCTTTTCTGAAAAGAGTGTAATGATCTAACCCTTCAGTGATGCAACCATTTCATGTGAGGTAATTTTTTTTCACTAAAATTAACCCAAAATAAATAATTGATTGGACATGTACCTATTTGAAAACTGCAAATCTAACCAGTCTCTGCTTTTCTTCTTTAGTTTTAGGAAGCTACTGCATCACAGTAGCTCTGAAGCATTACAGAGTATCTTTTCCCTCTAAATGTGTGTGTGCTCAGCTCTCTTAATAACAATGGGAGTTGTATATGTACTCAAAGAATAGTTTCCATTGCATTTTAGTATTTTTAGTCTTTTGCTTAGTAATAATGTCATAATGCTACTTTTTTTTTTTTTTGTCTACAGAATGGTTAAAGATTTGGAAATAAGCTCTGGTTGAATTAGAAACACTCTATGTTCAAAAGCAAATTATAATGTTAACTAATGGCCATGTGATGCCCTACCAAGTTTGAATATATTCTGGGCCTGAAGATATTGCATACATGCTCTCTGAAAGTTGAATTTTCTTGGGGCAGAGCTACCCATCTCTGAATTTACATTTGAATTACAGGGAATAACATCTCAGGTGCCATGGTTTGACTTCATCTAAATCTTTGAGAAATGTTTCATAGTAATCAAAGCTTCTCTTTCTCTTCTTTTTTCCCTTCCTTCCTTTATGGGTCTAGCACTGACAACTTGACCACATTGACCTAAATATTAAGACCTTTTTTTTGTTTCTCTGTACCCACTACTCACAAGGGCTATGCTAGCAAACCTCGTTGATGAGAGGTGAGTATTGCGTTAATGAAGAGTCGTTAGGTTCAGCACACTCAGTTTGGGTGAACCTAATTAGACTCAGGTTGTATTTCTCTTGAACAGCTTTTAAAAGCCTTTTTTTCTTTTTTTGAGACAGAGTCTCGCTCTGTTGCCCAGGCTGGAGTACAGTGGCACAATTTCGGCTCACTGCAACCCCCATCTCCCAGGTTCAAGTGATTCTCCTGCCTCAGCTTCCCGAGTAGCTGGGATTATAGGCACCCGCCACCACACTTGGCTAAATTTTGTATTTTTAGTAGAAATGAGGTTTCACCATGTTGGCCAGGCTGGTCTCGAACTCCTGTCCTCAAGTGGTCCGTCCGCCTTGGCCTCCCAAAGTGCTGGAATTACAGACGTGAGCCACCCCGCCCAGCCCCTTTCTAGCCTTTCTTTATCCCTGAATTTACATAATTCCTCTGCTCCATTTTGCTTCATTTCTACCAGGTATCTGGTCCTTCTTTATCTTCAAGAGATGTTGTGAGAAGACAGTGAAAAGGGAAAAAGGTGGTGAAAAGAGCATTGGGTTCCAAGTCCAAAGTCCAGAAGGTTGCCTCCCTGCCAGAGCCGGAGCCCTGTCTTCCTCACAGGGTGGCTGGGAGGGGTAAAGGAGCATATGGAGATCCTTGGAGAAAAGCGCTATATGCAGAAGTCCAAGATGCCATTGTGGTTATTACTATTAATTACCAACCAAATCCAAAGCCATTTCAATTGCTAATCATTTGATATTTTAATTCATTTTTTTCTACCTTAAAATTATAAATGTAAGCCACAGTCTCTTACCACTTATGGACTACTAACCACTCTATTAACTCTCCGTGCTGTATCTATTCCCCCAGTTCTCCCATCCTGTTTTATTTGTTGTTGTTGTTGTTGTTTGTTTGTTTGTTTGTTTTTTGAGATGAGATCTTGCTATGCTGCCCAGGCTGCTCTCAAACTCTTGGGCTCAAGTGATCCTCCCTCCTCAGCCTCCCAAATAGCTGGGATTACAGGTGTGCACCACTGCACCCAGCTCATTACTGGCATTTTTTAATGTAGAAAAAAAAAAGTGCTGTAACCCAGTTATAGCAATGAAAGTAGGAAGAAGCATGCTGATTCCTCCTGTTACTTGAGTTATAAAGCCATTGAAGAAAGTAGCTGGTCTTTCCTAGACTTTATTATGTTTTCCCATCAGAATATAACTAAAGCAAAGGGACAAGAGGAGGGAATCTCAGAAAATTAACAATCCAGAGGTTTAACACTCTTAGTAATTTGTGAGAGAGTCTTTTCTTAAGCTTAGCCTAAAGCCTGGCACAGTGGACATTTGGTAAATGTTAGATGAAGAAAAAACAGGGGTATTGGTTTTATATTAAATTTGCAGTGGCAGAGGTACATTTTGAATGCTAGTCAGATGATGAGATTCATTCAATAAAAATATATTTCTCCTATACTCCAGTCTGACCTAATGCCTTAAATGAGTGGAGCTTCATCTAATCTCTCCTGTACAGTGCGCACCACAACGCCTCTGTAAGATTTGTCCCAGTTGGCAGCAGTGACGAGGCCTGCTGGGGACAAACCAGGGAGCTCTCCATCCAGCGCCAGTGACCACCAGCACAGTATTGAATTTGATGAGCATTATGTTATTAAATAATTATTAACAAAAATAGCTACTGTTGTTTATCATTTTCAGAGGCTGCACTAACCTTTCTACATACATTATCTCATTTAATTCTCACAGTAACACCACACTGCAGGTTCTGGGTCTATCCCCTTTTTACAGATGAGGAAATTGAGGCTTAAGCAAGTTGCTGAAAGTCAACCAACCAACACATGGTCAAGCTAGAAGTTGAAACCCTGTCTGTCCCAGGACTGTCTGACTCCACAGTCAGTGTTTGCAGGCATGTCAGAAAATGTTGCCCACAGTTTGCTAAGTTACATGTTAAGTAGTCTCAAAATACTCTTTGTTTTGCTTCTCTGGTTTCTCTGCAAAAGAACTAACAGGTACTAATGGTATAAAATGGTATAAAAGCGGCCAAACTCATAATGAAGACTTTTTTCTTTTTCTTTTTTTTTTTTTTTTACCGTTAATGTAGAAAAGATGATTTCTGATGAAGGGTGCCTTTACTTCAGTCTCATAGCACAGGCTCTCCCTCAGGTGGGAGGGTGAGTCAGAGGCGGATGACTATGCTTTGCTGGAGTTATTTGCAGTGTGTGACAGGGACAGAAAGTGTGAATGCATGCAGCCTCACATCTGATGGGTACATCCCTAAGCTGCACAACTGTGGCAGCCTCAGATGAATCATGGCATTTTAGGATCCGCATGTGTCGTCAACATACGTGGGTTGAATTAGCATGGAAGCATAGTAGTACTCTAGAAACACAAATAAAACACACCATTGAAGTACCTGCAGTTTTTCACATAGAAGCCAAATGCTTGTGAAATCAGTACATTTTGAGCTTTTTGTTTTTAGAGCTAATGCTCTTGTTTACTAGATAAGACCATCTTAGCATTTTCTATTTAAGTGTTTAAAATTCAGTCATAAAATTTCACTCTAAGCTAAAGCTGTTTATAGTAACTTAGGCTGTATGTGGGTGTATTAAGAAGGAAAAATAGAATATATTTCTAAAAAGATATATTAAAGTTTTTCTGGTTCATGCTGCTTGATTGATGATAGATAGATGATTGATTGCTAGATAGATAGATAGATCACCATAAGTTTGTTTCCATCTGAGTTTGTTTTTAGAAATGTGCCTTGGCAAAGAATCTTCTTTAGACAGTTAAGTAAAGTGATATTTACAGTAATATAAATTAGAAAATGAAAACCAGATCTTGAAGTAGAAGATATATAGATTCCAGTCTGGGCTTTGCTGCTTGGTGGTTGTGTCATCTTGAGAAAGTTTTCTCTGAGCCTCGCTCAGTTCCTCAGGTGTAAAACAGAATAGTAGCTGGTGCTTGGGGTCTTGGGGATGGGGAACAAATAAGATGATGATGTCAGCGTGCTTTATAATCTGTAAATGCTATACAGTTTTTTAAAGTACTGTAATTATCCAAGTTTTAAATTATCCACAGCCAGCAGATGGACTGATCTGTCACCATTCTTCATCCATGAAGGTGATAATGTTTATTTTGGTCTCCTAAAAAACACAGGTTTTTTTGGGATTTTTTTGTTTTTTTTTTACACATTTATTGAGCTCTTATGATTTGTGAGGACTTCCTTCACATCAGCAGAATTTATATGTAGATTTATAATGCCTTTGTTTACACAGACTTGTTATTTATATAGCATACCAACTTTCTGTGCATGTGAATTTTATAGACACCTGAAGTTTATCTCTTTAAGTACCTAAACTTGTTTAACATAAGCTTGTTCAATAAAAATCTTTCTTTATATCATGTTTGTTGTTGATGTTATTATTATATTTTTTCCATAGATAGCATTGAGCAATGCTACATTTTCATCATGATTCAGGATCATTTAGATTGCTAAAATATTCTGTGAAATAGATTCCTTTAGGGTAGAGCTAGTAAGGGACATGGTGCTATTTACCATTATTTTAATGGTCCTAGATCAGTAAATTTTTTGAATTATTGAATCAGTGTTGGTTTTTGTTTTTAATTAAAAGAGATGGGGTCTTGCTATGTTGCCCAGGGATGGTCTGGAACCCCTGGGCTCAAGCAGTCCACCCACCTGTGCCTCCCAAAGTGCTGGGATTACAGCCATGAGCCACCATGCCCAGCCAAATCAATGTTTTTATAGTCCCTCCCTTCTATTCTAGTTGTTAGCTGTCTTTTTCTTTTTTCTACTATCATGCACTTGCCTCTTTTAATTCTTTCTCCCTTCTAAATTTCTAAATTTTCATTTACAATCTGTGGTTTGGGAAAAAGGCCAGATATATTTTAATCTTTAAGATTAAATAGGCACTTAGGTAATACATGTTAATGTATGAGGTTTGGTATATGTGCTTTGTTTTATCTTATTTTTGTTGAAGGATTTATTTTTGCTTATTTTATAAGTTCCAAGTAACGAGTTCTCTCTGGATGAATTGTTTTACACACCAACATTTACAGCCTGCATCAATTTCACCAGTTATACTTTTTTTTTTTTTTTGAGACAGAGTCTTGCTCTGTCGCCAAGGCTGGAGTGCAGTGGTGTGATCTCAGCTCACTGCAACCTCTGCCTCCCAGGTTCAAGCGATTCTCCTGCCTCAGCCTCCCGAGTAGCTGGGACTACAGGTGCATGCCACCACGCCCGACTAATTATTTGTATTTTTAGTAGATATGGGGTTTCACCATGTTGGCCAGGCTGGCCTCGAACTCCTGACCTCAAGTGATCCACTGCCTTGGCCTCCTAAAGTGCTGGATTACAAGCATGAGCCACCACGCCTGGCCAATCACCAGTTATACTTATGTAGCTCTTTATTAATTTCAAAGTGCTTGTGTATACTTTGCCTACCTTGATCTCCACAAAATCATGAGAGACAGGCAAGACATATTTCAATATTTTACAGATAAGAAAGCTAAGGCATAGTTGGAGGTTATTCAGTAGATCTTAACTAGGGATTGCAGCTGAATCTCCCAGGGAAGTTTGTTCACCTGTACATACCAGGGTATCCCAATTCCATGGGTCTGGGGCAGAACTCAGGTACGTATATTTTGGAAAAAGATCCCAAATGATTCTAATGTGCATAGCTTTCCCAGACCTTTTTCTCTGTCCCCTCATCCCCCACCTCTGCTCCCACTGAGAACTGCTAGGTTAAAGTTTTTTATCACCAGTAAGTGGTTTATTAAGATGCTTTCACCTGCAGGTTACAGAAAAGCCAACAAACAGTGGCTTAAATCTGATTTTCGGTGGTTCCACAATCAGCTGGTGTGGTGGTCAGAGTAATCCTCCCTGTATGTTACTTTACGTGGTAAAAGAGACTTTGCAAATGTAATTAAGGTTCTTGAAATGGGGAGATCATCATTATCTGGCTGGGCTCCGTGTAATTACAGGGGTCCTTATAAGAGTGGGGCAGGAGCATCAAATGCAGAAGAAGAAGGTGGGATGACAGAAGCAAGGGTTGGAATTATGTGCTCTGAAGATGCAGGAAGGGGTTATGAGCCAAGGAATGAATGCAAGGCAGCCCCTAGAAGCTGGAAAAGACAATGAAGGAGGGCCTCCCCTGAAGCCTCTGGAAGAATGCAGCCCTCTCAAAACCTTGATTTTTAGACTTCTGACCTCCAGAACTATATGAGAATAAATTTGTGTCATTTTCACCCACTAAGGTTATAATTTGTTACAGCAACAATAGGAAACCAGTACAACTGGGAAGTATAAAATGCAGATTCTTAAGCCCCTCCCACAGAGATAAAGTTTGAATAGAGTAGGTGAGGTTTAGGGAGCTGTGTTTAAACTAGTCCTTAGGTGATTTAGTGGCCTGTGGTTTTTGGCCCGTTGGCCCGCATCTACAGAGTTACAAAATAACCACAAGGCCATTTACTGTTTTCCTCAGATGTCTAGAGCTGGGTGGTCCCAGCATGGCAAGGATGGGGGTAGGGGTGTCATCAAGGACCCAGGCCCCACCTGGACCTCTGCTCTACTCCTCTCATTGTGTTGGGCTTTTACCCTATCCCTTATTTTTGTTTTGGGGTTTTTTGTTTGTTTTTTTTTTTTGAGACAAGTTCTCGCTCTGTCACCTACCCTATCCCCTTTTTTTGTTTGTTTTTGGGTTGTTTTTTTTTTTTTTTTTTTGAGACAAGGTCTCACTCTGCCACCCAGGTTGGAGGGCAGTGGTGTGATTATAGCTTACTGCAGCCCCAACCTCCTGGGCTTCCCACCTCAACCTCCCGAGTAGCTGGGACTACAGGTGCACACCACCACACCTGGCTAATTTTTAACAGTTATTTTTAGTAGAGATGAGGTCTTGCTATATTGCCCAGGCTGGTCTTGAACTCCTGGGCTCAAGTGATCCTCCTGCCCTTGGCCTCCCAAAGTGCTGGGATTATGGGCGTGAGCCACCCCACCCGGCCTTACCCTTATTCTTGTTATATCATGGTCACAGACGGCTACCAGAAAGAAGATTCCTTCCCAGAAGTTCCAGCAGACTTCCCTTTACACCTGACTAGCCAGAACTGCAGCACCTGGCCATCTCCAGCTGCACAGGAGGCTGGACAGCAAGAAACCTCACATGGTATCTCAAAACATTATTCTGTCTCCCTTCTCCTCCTGGGAAACACGTGCACCCCTCCAACATCACTTACCTTTCATCTGGCTGTTGTCTCCCTCCTCCAACATGGCTGTTTAGTGTCAGGTCCTTGTACCTTTTAAAATTATCTCAGGCTGGTGGCTCACTCCTGTAATCCCAGCACTTTGGGAGTCCCAAGGCAGGAAGATTGCTTAAAACCAGGAGTTTGAGACCAGTCTGGGCAACATAGCGAGACGCCTGTCTCTATAAAAAATTAAAATAATAAAATGGCTCCTGTCATTTTGGAAAAAAGAAAGCACTTAATTTATTTAATCTTTACAACTCCATGGGATGATTAATTTCCTTTTTTTTTTTTGAGATGGATTCTTACTCTGTTGCCCAGGCTGGAGTGCTGCAACCTCCGCCTCCCGAGTTCCAGTGATTCTCGTGCCTCAGCCTCCCGAGTAGCTGGGATTACAGGCATGTGCCCCCACACCCGGCTAATTTTTTGTATTTTTAGTAGAGACGGGGTTTCACTGTGTTAGCTAGGATGGTCTCAATCTCCTGACCTCGTGATCCACCTGCCTTAGCTTCCCAAAGTGCTGGGATTACAGGCATGAGTCACTGTACCCGGCCTCAAATGTCATTTTCTTATCAAGGTATATTCAACCACCTCTTTACAATTGCAGCCCTGCCCCACACATACACACTCAAGCACACATTACCCATCCTTTTTTCCTACTTTATTTTTCCCATAGCACTTAATCTCTAATATACCATATAATTTACGAATTTATTCCACTTTCTCCCACCATCCTGAATGTAAGATCCGGGAAAACAGGGATTTTGTGTTTTGTTTGCAGCCATATTCCAGCTCCTAAAACTTAGGCTGGGTGCAGTGGCTCATGGCTGTAATCCTAGCACTTTGGAAGGCTGAGGAGGGCGGATCACCTGAGGGCAGGAGTTCGAGACTAGCTTGGCCAACATGGTGAAACTCCGTCCTTACTAAAAATACAAAAATTTGCCTGGCACGATGGTGCACGCCTGTAATCCCAGCTATTCGGAAGGTTGAGGCAGGAGGATCGCTTGAACCCGGGAGGCGGAGGCTACAGTGAGCCAAGATCGTGCCATTGCACTCCAACCTGGATGACAAGAGTGAAACTCCATCTCAAAAAAAAAACAAAAACAAAAACAAAAACAAAAAAAAACACTAGGACATAGTAAGCATTCAATAAATTTTTGTTGGGTTGGACGTGATGGCTCACACCTGTAATCCTGGCACTTTGGGAGGCCGAAGCAAGCAGATCGCTTGAGCCCAGGAGGTTGAGGCTTCAGTGAGCTTGATCATGCCACTGCACTCCAGCCTGAGAGTTAGAATAAGACCCTGTCTCAAATAAATAAATAAATAAATAAATGTTGAATGAACACATTCTTTATGCATGGTTCCGATTAGGTCTATGGGGCAAATTTCTAGAAATGAAATGACCACATTACAGGATATAGAAATTTTAAAAGGTTCTTGATACACATCTCCAAAACCCTCTCTTTCCCAAGGTTAAATCAATTTATACTCACATCAGTAACTGTGAGACAACCTGTCCACTGCACCCTCACATTGTTAACAGCTTTAAAACAACTTTAGCTAGCTTACTATGTAAAAATTACAGTTCTTTTAAATTTGTATTGCTTTTTCATGCATTGCTTCCCTTGATAATGATTAGTTTGGGTCCTTTGCTCATTTATAAAATTTTGTTTTAGTGTTTTCTAATTTAGTATTGATGGTTTTCTAATTGATTCATAAGACCTCTTTAGGTTATAAAGTTACTAAGTCTTTGTTACCTGTGTTGCAGTTATTTTTCCTAGTTTGTCATTTAAAAAAAATTTTTGCTTATGGTGCTTTTTGTTATATAGTTTTTGTTAATGTAGTCAGTTTTATCTTCATGGCTCTTTTGCTTTATGTTTGAAAAGGTCTTATCTACCTCTAAGATAAATTATTCATCTGTAATTTCTTTTAGTTCTCTTATGTTTTTTAATGTTATTCTTTAATCTCTGGTGTTTTATCATATTGTATGAGGCAAGGACCTAATGTTAGTTTTTCCTCCCTAAATAATAAACCATTCATTGCACATGCCTCCCTTACCTCACTTATAAGAATGTGTCTTTAGTGTATACTAAATCTTTTTACTAAAGTCTGTTTCAAGTGTTTCAATTCAGATTCATTTATATTTTTCTTTTGCCAGAATCCAACTCTTAATTATTGTTTTTAAATATATTTTAATATCCTTTTTTAATTTTTATTTCATTTTTTCCTCATTTGTTGGTTTGTCTAAGTAAATGTTAGAATCATTCAGTAAAGTTCAAGAATCAATGGGGAGTTAACTTCCTAAAGTGAAAACCACGTCATGCCATTCTCCCATGGAAGATCTCTTAATGACTTCAGAACATAAAGGCCACACTCAGTGTTGCCTCCAAGACCTTCCTAGACGTGCCCCAGCCAAACTCTCTAGTGTTACGTATTGCTACTCCCTGCCTGAAATTTACACTTCAGATCTGTACCCACATCACATGCTATTTCTCACCTCCCTATCTTTGTTCATCCTGTTCCATCTGCCTTTAATGACCTTGACTAATGACCTTGACTAATTCCTGTTTACCCTAAAATCCACTTCCTGGCCTCATTCCACACTGGCCAGGCTCTGTGGCCACTCCTGCATGTCCATTGTCATCCTGTGCATGTCTCTTACACCCACCACATAACCCATTGCATCACAATGATGAGTTAATCTTCCACCTGAACTGGGTGGGAGCATCTCTTGTTCATTTTGTATTTCTAGGACCTACCATGCTACCTGTCATACAGTAAGTCATGTGGATGGATTAGAGGAGAATATTCGGGACTGGAAATTGGGAGACAGATTGTTGCCATAATCAAAGTGAAAGATAACTAGAGTATTGACTAGGGCAGCGGTGGGAGAAATGGGACATACATGGAAAATAAGAGAGAAGATTGACAGGGCTTTGTATCTGGATGAATGTGAGGGTAAGAGAGATGGAAGATACTTTGAATCTGAGATTTCCAACGGAGACTCCAGGTGGATGTTGTGCCTTAACCGTATTTAGGCATTTGGGAAGTAGGGGGCAATTTAAGGAGAATATGATTAGGACAACTTTAGATGTGCTGTGAGTTGGAGATGCCTTTACGATACCCAGTGGAGATGTCTGATAGGCAACGGGACATGAATAGGTTAATTATATGCTTTTATCATTCAAACTAGGACCTTTTCGAAATTGACACAGGGTGCTATTAATAATTATGCCAGGATAACAAGCATAAACCAGGAATGACCCTTATAAACTGGGTTGCATAGTCTTCCTATATAAACAGGTCACATCTGGAGCTCAGAGAGAAAGGTCTGGAATGAAGTTAATGATTTGTGAGTCATTAGCATGTAGGTGCTCTGAGAATGGGTGAGATTGCCTAGGGAGAGTTTCTAGGATAGGAAGAGAAAAGGGGCAAGACAAAACCATAGGGAATACTAATATTTACATAGTTAATTAGGTAACTGGGATTATTAACTGGGAAATTGTTTTTCGAAACACTTAACATTCCTAAATTTTTCTGAGGATTCTAATATCCTAATCAACCATTCCCATGTCTGCTCCCAACCCGGCCATGAACCATAGCCATCTCCATCCCGCCCCCACCACAGTACTTTACCCCTCTCTGGCCCTCTCTGCAGCCGGAAGTTGTTGTTGTTGTTTTTTAAGTTTAAAACTACAGGTTTATAGGGAGGGCAGAGGAAGAGGAGCCAACAAAGGAAACTACAAGTGGCCAAGGAGACAAGAACCAGGAGACTACAGTTCAACTTGAAGGAAACCTTTCGAGGTGGTCAGTAATGTCAGATGCTACAGAAAGGCTAAGTAGTATGAGGAGCTGAGAAGTGTCCATTGGCCATGCCATTTAGGGGTCACTGTTGCCCGTTTGTGGGATGGTCAGTAGAGTTGTTCTGCAGTAGGCAGAGGAAGCAGGAAGAAAAATAAAGCTGTAGATAGACAGAAGTAGCTACTAGCAGCATTCCTGCAGCATTAAACATGGGGAGGATTGATTCCTATTTTAAAAGTGAAGATAGAATACAGTGAATCTGTAATTTATTGATTGCAACAAGGAGCCAGTAGGAAGGGCAAGGCTGAATGTACAAGAGAGGGAAGAAATACCAATCTTCAGTCATATTGAAGCTTTTTTGCTCAGTCTCATTCCCTTGTCAGGAGCACCTGTGCTGTGTTATAGTTGAATGCCACCAGTCTGTTCTAATAGGTGTCACTTTGACTTTAAAGACTACCATCTAATGTCTTTCTGTTTGGTTGGCTTGGGATCTAGATTGTCCTTCCTCTTTTTCTAAAGACTCAAGATGGGAACCTTTGAAGAGGATATAAATTTGTCTTCTAGTTGCATTGATTTGCTGACCACTGGTAAAGTGCTGATAACCCATCAGTCTAGATATATGGGTTAATGTGATGTATCCTTGTTGATAGAAACATATACTGCACGTGAACCTACTCCTTTAGTACATGTATGTGTGTCTCTCCATGGTGTCATGTGTATTAGGTGGAAAAGTGAGTTTTTACACCAAAACTTGTTTTTATCTTGAGAAGTTCCATTAAGAGAAAGTTGTTAAAATACAAACTGTTCTGTTTTCTGATTTGCTATCTCATAGTAAGCAGTTAGTTGTAAGATTAACTTCCTCAGAGGAAAGAAGGCAAGGACACCAGCAAAAGGAAAAGAAATGTTTAATTGCTCTGCGAAGGCCCCAACATGCTCTGAAAAGTAAAGATTTCAGGCTTAATGTGCATGGAACAAAAGGCCGTTGTGAGCTGTGTACAAGAGTTGGTGAGAGTTTGTATTCTGCCCCTTTTTTCTGTGGGAGTTATTTCCTGTTGTTGACTAGAGTTCTTTATTTAGAACCACCTAGCTTCAGAATGCCTGCTAGCTTGCAGAAAAGTGTGTACTTAAAACATAGGCTTATTTCAAGACAATCTCTTTGAAAAAAAAGTCACACTACACATGCACTGAAACATCATGTTCCCAAATGTCAAGATCCCCAATAAGAAGAGACATAAGAAGGAGCTGCAGTGCGTTTGGTGTAGCACTTGGTGGTCACCTGAACACCTAGTGAAAGATATTTTATGGGGAAACTGTGTTTCTATTTTTTACTTTAAAAAAAAAAACAAACCAAGATTTCACTTTTTAGTGCTGAGTTCTTTGTCATTTTAAGGAAGTAACAAGAAGCCTTCCATATTTTGTGAGGAAGATTTATCCTTGTTAGCATGATAGAAGTTCGCCTGGCAGGTAAGAAATAACACCCAAAACAGGCATTAAACCACTTACTCTCTTATACTTGAGCGATGAGCTGGACTTCCTATTGAAGAACGTTAGGTTGATTTAGCATTATCATTGGATTTTACAGTGTAATATTGAGAGCGAGAAGGATAATAGAACGAATGAGAAGAATAAATTGTTTATTACTGAAATAATAGGGAATAAATGAATGCTTGCAATACAAATATTGTCCAGTATTAACAGGTGCTAGAAGTTGTAGGAAAAAAAATCTTACACGGTTCTACTTCATGGGAACCATAAGGAAGAAAGAAGAGAAAATGTATTTCTTTAACTTACTATATTCTGAAACAATGAAATAATTAGAATACATTTATTTGCTTTTGAGACTTTGATACTTTTTAAAAAGACATCTCCTGTGTGTCTCTCCCTGATTCTATTAACCTCCTCCTGTTACCAGAGGTAACTACTTTCTTGAATTTTTAAATCTATTTTCTATAATTGCATACATATATATATGTAAACTATATATACAGTGTTTTGCATGTTTAAAAATATGTTATATAAATGGTGTTGTATATATTTTATAACTTGCTTTATTTTAGTCAATATTTGTTTTTGAGATAAAGCTTTATATTTTGAGATCAACACACAATACATGGTACCTTTAGTTCTTTTTTTTTTTATTTTAAGTTTTTTTGGCTATAAGTTTATTCAGTGCAAAATAATCCTCTCCAGTTTTACTGAGGTGGCTGACCACGTCCATGACCAAACCCGCCTCTAAACTGGAATTCGGTTGCTGACCCAGCCCCAGCCTCGGCTTTCTTGTTGGCATCAGGGGGCACAGCACTCCGCCTGTAGGTATCTCTGTCTGCTTCCCCTCTTGTGAGTCTTGCAGGTTGCTCACCCCCTAGACCTTTAGGCCGAGGCCTGCCAGCCTCTGGATGACTGTGGTGTAGGGTGGCAGGCACAATCTCCGGGGGCAGATGAAGGTACCAGTAGAAACGTCTCCAGGCAAACTGTTCCTCCATGCAGCCTCAGGACTTGAGAGACTGCATGGCCTTCATGACATGAAGGTTGGGCACCTTCTTGTCTGCCAGCTCTGGGTGCTTAGGCATGTGGACAACCTTCTTTGCCACCATGACTCCCTTCTTAAAAAGGAGTTCATAAACGGGAATCTGGTTCTTCTTAGGCATCAACATCTCCATGGCTGTAGGGTCTGGGGCCAGGGCTGGAAAGACCTTTAGTTCTTTTTAACCACTGTAGTTTTCAAGGGTATCATCTTGAACTTTCAGGTTACTTACAATATTTTGCTATTACAAGCAATACTGCCAAAAAGATTCTTCTCCTATGTCTCCATGGGGATAAAAGCAAGAGTCTCTCTAGATTCTAGACTTAGCCCTTCTCATCCAGAATTCCTTGAGGGAATTAAGCCCCAATCTCTTAAGGTATCTTTGTAGGGTAATGAATTAACTTCTGTAAGTCTGGAATCATTCAAGTGTTGAGCTGGAGCTGGAGATTGATAGCCACTCCTAAGAATGAATGTGCTAATCTCTTCCTAATTCTTGAGTTCAGTTGGGAGGCTTGAAATCAGCCATGGTATGGGTATTTATACCACAGAAATCAGCAAATGCTACAAATAAAAGCTTCCTTCCCTATCCCCCTAGCTGGTTGTTAAACATTTGCTAGCACATCACAGATTTTAACTTTATACCATCCTTGGGAGAACTGAGGAAACAGTCACTTGAATCCTTTTCTGTAGAGCTTATTTTTCTATATGAGAAAGACTGTATGTGGCAGGGTGTGTGCATCTCCAACTTTACTAGACAGTGCCTAATTAGGCTGGGCATGGTGGCTCAGGCTTATAATCCCAGCACTTTGGGAGGCTGAGGCAGGAGGATTACTTGAGCCTAGGAGTTCGAGATCAGCCTAGGCAACATAGTGAGACCCCATCTCTACAAAAACCCATAAAAATTAGCTGGGCATGATGATGTGCACCTGTGGTCCCAGCTATTTGGGAGTCTCAGAGGATCGCTTGAGCCCGGGAGGACAAGGCGCAGTGAGCTGTGTTGGCACCATTGCACTCCAGCCTGGGCAACAGAGCAAGACTGTCACAGAAACAACAAACAAACAAAGAAAATGCCTAATTATCTCCAAAGTGGTCATACCAAATTATATATCCACAAGTTTTATGAGAGTTCCTTTTTATCTGCTTTCTCATCAGTATTTGATATTGGTATACATATAAAACTTTGATTTTTATCAGTTTGATAGCTGTGAAATATCTCTTTATAATTTGCATTTTTCTTTTTTTGTAGAAATGAGGGTCTAGCTATGTTGCCCAGGCTGGTCTTGAACTCCTGGCCTCAAGTGTCCTACCACCTCAGCCTCCCAAAGTGCTGGGATTAGCGGCATGTCCACTGACACAACCTGATTTGCATTTTTCTTTTTACTGATGAAGTTGAGTGCCTATTCCTGTGTTCATTGGACATTTTAGTTTCCTCACCCATTTTTCTATTGGATTTATCTGTCTTTTAAAAGATTGATTCAGAGGAGTTCTTTGTTAATTCTGAATACTAATCTTTTGTTGATTCTATTTCTATGAATCACGTATATCATTTGACAATCTTTAGCTTGCCTTTAACTTGTTTGTAGTGTATTTTATGTAAGAGATGTTTAATTTTAGTGTAATCAAAGCTATTGATATTTTTCTTTATGGTTTGTTCATTGAGTGTTTTGTTTCTTCAATAGTCAGAATCCCTGCAGGAAACAGAATTCTACTGAGATGATTCAACTAAAGAGACACTAGTGAAGGGACATTTTACAGAGATGTGACAAAAGTTGAGGCACAGAAGACAAATAACTGTAGGAAGCTGTTACTATCCTTAAGCCTAAAGGGGAAAGGGGAAGAAATGGTGTTGCTAGAACCTGGTGGGAGTTGGCATCCTGGAGAAGGGGCCACCTGGCAGAAGCTGTAGTTGTGGAGGGATGTGTACTCGCAGGTGAGGGCCCAAAGCAGGAAGGAGCAGGGAAGAAGTACCCCAGCTTCTCCACCTTCTGACCCATTGGTCTCCTTCTGGTACCTTCTTTGTCTGAATCCAGTTGGAAGCTAGTGAGCAAAGGAACTTGGGTGAGGTGGTCCCTAGATGTCAACATTTCAAGGCATGGAGCCAAGCAGAGGCAAGTGGAGAATGAATCTCAGATGAACTACAGTCAGCACATTTTCCTTATCCTAAAGCCATAAACATATTTTCATATATTCTCTCCCAAAAGTTTAAAATTTTGTTTTACCTATTTAGTCTACCTGAAATATATTTTTTTGTAAATATTAGGCACCTAATTTATTTTTCATACAGGTAATCAGGTGGCCCTGAGCTATTTATTTATAATTTTTTTGAGACAGTCTCGCTCTGTCACCTAGGCTGGAGTGCAGTGGTACCAACATAGCTCACTGCCGCCTTGACCTCCTGGACTCAAGCGATCCTCCCACCTCAGCCTCCTGAGAATCTGGAACCACTATGCTCTGCTAAATGTTGGTTTTTTGTTTTGTTTTGTTTTGTTTCTTTTTGAGATGGAGTCTCTCTCTGTTGCCTGGGCTGGAGTGCAGTGGTGCAATCTCGGCTCACTGCAACCTCTGCCTCCCAGGTTCAAGTGATTCTCCTGCCTCAGCCTCCCAAGTAGTTGGGATTACAGGAGCCCGCCACCACGCCTGGCTAATTTTTTTTGTATGTTTAGTAGAGATTGGGTTTCACTATGTTGGCCAGGCTGGTCTCGAACTCCTTACCCCGTGATCCACCCGCCTCGGCCTCCCAGAGTGGTGGGATTACAGGCATGAGCCACCGTGCCCAGCCTGCTCAGCTAATTTTTAAAATTTTTGTAGAGACAGGGTCTCTTCATGTTGCCCAGGCAGGGTTCAAGCGATCCTTCTGCCTCAGCCTCCTGAAGTGCTGCGATTATAGGTGTGAGCCATCGTGCCTGGCCCTGAGCTACTTATTGAATTCTTTCCTTACTGATCTGTAATTTCACTTCAGTCATGTATTACACTTCCATATATATGTGGTTCTGAACTCTCAATTCTGTTCCATTGATCTATTTATCTGTACCTATGTCAACTCTACTCTGCTCTAATTACTAGAGCTTTATAATAAGCTCTGATAGGACATGTCCCCCATCTTGTTCCTTAAGCTTATTACAACTGTGTTTGGCCCTTTTCTATTTCAGATGAATTTTAGGATTCATTTGCCAAGTTCCATTGAAGGAAAATATGGGATTTAAATTTCATGTAATTTGTTGATAAGTTTGGGGGAGAATCTGCATGTATATAGTATTAAGTATTCTTGTCCATTAAATGGTATGGCTCCCCATTAATTTTTATCTTTTCATCTGATGAACTTTTGGAAAGGTGTTTGTCTTCTCACTTTTCATTTTTGGCTGTAATGAGAAAATCGTAATTCTGGAATCTTTATTCTCATTGCTGTTAATTGTTATTAAAACTAAAAGCATGATGTCTCACAGTTTTAAAGGGGCAACAAATCAGAATGGATTGAAAATCAGTATCTGATTAATTAAAAATTTTTTCTACCTTTTTGTAATTTGGGCTTTAGTTTCTTAAAGGAAGCTAAACAGAAATTATGTTGAAATTATCAACATTAGTCCCACAAAAATGATTTTTCCGTAGCCCAGTACTGGATTGTGCTGCACTCTGTGTAAAGAGGCCAAATGAATAGCTCTGCACTCATAGTGAGGGAATCTGGCACTTTTTAAGTGAGATTTTTGACTTGTTGTGACTCTTTCAGATGTATGTTTTCTTTTAAATGAATCATCTTTAAATATATGCATTGTCTGAGCAAGTTCAGGATTGTAAAGTGTACATTTAATTGTAACAGAACAGAACAGCAGTGGGCGTCTGTGCTACAGATGATATTCTTAGGGTATTTGCTGCCATCCACTCTCCTTTCTAAATTTGGTGTTACAGATTCAACTTCTGTTTTTAAAAGGGAAGTTGCAGATAGATCATTCACACTATTATTTTCTCCTTAAAGCTAGCTTCTCTGCCCATGTGAGGAGTTTCCTATAACCTAAACAAGACTTCTCCAAGAAAACCGCTTTGAAACAAATATTACTTAGCAAGATTAAATCTTTTGTTCAATATTTAAAGTATATTTTTGAAAAAACAATTGACTACTTATACAAGTGTACCTAATGTGGTGTTGGTGTCTGAGCTGCTTGCTTTATTTTCTTCCTACTTGACTTTACTCTGCATTTCTGAAATTTTAGATATAAAAATTTAAAAACTAAAAACAAAAAAGAGAAAGAGAACAAAAATTATACATTTTATTTTATTTTCATTCATTCTTTAATTTGTTTTGAGTCAGCTCTGTTGCCTAGGCTGGTGTGCAGTGGTGCGATCTCAGCTCACTGCAACCTCTGCCTCCTGGACTCAAGCAATTCTCATGCCTCAGCCTCCCGAGTAGCTGGGAATACAGGCGTGTGCCACCATGCCCAGCTAATTTTTTTGTATTTTTAGTAGAGACGGGGTTTTGCCATGTTTGCCAGGCTGGTCTCGAACTCCTGGCCGCAAGTGACCTGTCCACCTCAGCCTCCCAAGGTGCTGGGGTTACAGGCATGAACCACCATGCCTGGCTATAAATTTTAAATTGTGTGTGTGTGTGTGTGTGTGTATATATATATATTCCAGTTTAAAGCAAAAGACTAGTATTATTAGACAGGTTGGATAATTTTGAAAACGTCTTGTTTATTCTGGCAACAGGTCTTTAAAAGACAATTCTACATTAGCGACTAAAAGGTAAAGCCTACACAGTCTTGGCAAGTGTTACCTCTCCCCTAGAAAACTAATACAAATTCATGTGGCAAAGGGCTGATTCATTTTTAGTTGTATATTGTGTTTTACACTTAAACTGTATCTTCTGTTCACGTTTATTTTCTAATGATGCCTCATAGCCTAAACTTGGAGGCACTTCCTGGGCACCTATTCACATTAAAGTCTTGATTTTTTTTTTTAACTTCTCTTAAGTAGAATTTTTATAGCTGAGACTTCAAAAAATGGTTTAAATATATTATTTACATTACAAAATTCACCATGCTTAAAAGTCCTCTTTACTTATAAGGCTTAAAGGTACTCAATCCTAGATAGTTTCTACAATAAATATAAGAATATGTAAACCAAAAGATAGAATTTAGTCTAGCCAATCATATAAATTTGCTTGATTTTAAAACATAAAAACATTTAGCATTAGAGTAATACTTTGGAAAAAAAATATTTTTCCTGTCATCACTTTGCCATTTTTTCCTCAGAATTAACAGATAAAATTCTTAACTACTGTCATATTTTTGTATTCCATGAACAAAAGGGTGTGAAGGTGACAGTGTTAAATGCTCATTTGAACCATTCAGGTAGCCATTGGAAAATTTGGATAGATAAGTCTTTTTTTTTTTTTTTTTTTTTGAGACAGAGTTTAACTCTTGTTGCCCAGGCTGGAGTACAATGGCGCGATCTCGGCTTACTGCAACCTCTGCCTCCCGGGTTCAAGAGATTCTCCTGTCTCAGCCTCCTGAGTAGCAGGGATTACAGGCACCCACCACTACGCCTGGCTAATTTTTGCTATTTTTAGTAGAGATGGTTTTTTTTTTTTTTTAATTTATCTTCAGGTTGATGGCCTAAGCATATATTTTGGTTTTCTTCAACCCCTATGTGGCTTTTTTATTTAACCTAAAAATCAAATGCTGCTGTGTTTTAAAATGTTATTTGACTGATACTTTTCATTCTTAAAGTAAGTAGGCAGAGAAGAATCTTCATTAAAAAGTACAGAATGGTGAGATTCTGGCAATAATTTGGTGTTTATCTGCAAGGTTGTTCCCCGTGTAATGATCCTGTTAAAATTAACTCTTAACAGTACATACTTCATGAGAGAAATTTTAGCAGGAAAGATTAACCTCTTGAGTTTTTGAAGCTGGTGTAAGTGCTTCAGCATTCCTCATTGGTCCACTTATTGAGTGATCCCTATTGAATGCCTACTGTGTCAGGCAGTGCTGTAGAGGCTAGAGACAGGGTGGTAAACAAGAATGACTGTGTTATGAACCTTACTGGAAATGAGTGAGGGGCTAGAGGATATGATGAGTTTTATTTCTTTTTTGTTGTGGTGGTTGTGGATTATTAATTCTGTGGGATAAAATATGGTGCTAACAAGGCTAAGCATAGGCAGGATTGGAGTTTTTTGTATAAGAAACAGAATTGTTATTCCATGACCCATGTAGAGAGATGGAGCTAAGCAGCATCCAGTTCCTAGCCCAGCACTACCCTCCTGTTAGTCTCTGCACGTTGACTCTGTATTTCCTGGCTCTGCACCATCTGCTGTTTCTGAGGAGTGTATGCTCTTCTCAAGACGCTCAGCACTCCTGGCTTCCACAGAATGCTTCAGTGAATGTTAGATCCAGACTTTCTTTGACCCTGGAGTCAGCTTGATAAAGAGTTCCATTGGTAGGTCCTTCTCAGATCCTCTGTTTAGTCCTCTATGAAATGTGGGTAGTAGTACCTGCCCTGCCTATGGCACAGGGAAGGTATTATGAAGAGCAAACAAGTGGATCCATATGAAAGCACCTTGTGGCCGGGCGCGGTGGCTCACGCCTGTAATCCCAGCACTTTGGGAGGCCGAGATGGGCAGATCACCTGAAGATGGGAGTTCGAGACCAGCCTGACCAACATGGAGCAACCCCGTCTCTACTAAAAATACAAAATTAACCAGGTGTGGTGGTGCATGCCTGTAATCCCAGCTACTTGGGAGGCTGAGGCAGGAGAATCACTTGAACCCAGGATGCCGGAGGTTGCAGTGAGTCGAGATTGTGCCATTGCACTCCAGCCTGGGCAACAAAGAGCAAGACTACGTCTCAAAAAAAAAAAAAAAAAAAAGCCCCTTGTAAATTGCCTGCTGCTATACAAACTTAGGGGGTAGGGGTATTCCCAGTCTCACAGCTGGGTGACTTGAACCCTAAGGGGTAACAAATCTAGAAGAATATGGATAGAACTGCTCAAGTCCATCTTCTGGACTTAAAAAAATAATTCAAAGAACATATTGAAGAGAGCACATTATCATTATTTGTATTTCTAGTCCTTTCATTTAGAAATATGTGGACATGAACTTGGTTTTATATTCTTCCAGACAAGCTGAGCAGCTTCCAAAGCATTTTATCTCATTTTAGCCCTAAAACTCCTCCATGAGGATATTGACAGTGTAATCACTGTTTCATAGACTCTTAGCTCTAGGGAGGGGCTCTTGAAATCTTTGAGTCCAAGTTCCTTTTTTTGCCAGGTGTCGAAGCAGGCCCAGTGCAGAGGGTCTGATTCGGCCTCCCTGCTCGCTGTGGCTGACGAGCTAGCCCTGAAATCACCTAACTCAACAACCCTGTGCTCTTTTGACGAGAACTGGTGCTGATCCTAAATCCGTGACCAGTCAATTAAGAAACTAAAAAGTCATAGATTTATCATGGTTAAGTAATTAATGTGTACAAGATCTTCAAACTCCTAGTCCAGGACTTTTCCTGTCACCAGGCTGGTTCCTGGGGGCAAGAAAGGTCTGTGCAATTTCTAACATTCATTGAAATTTTCTGTGGAAGCTAGAAGTGTGCTCAGTGCCTTGAGAAGAGTGGGAACTTCTCAAGAATGATGGATGGCTTATAGACAGGAATAAATACATAGTCGATGCGTAGAGGCAATGTGTGTTGTGTAGGGAGCTGGGGATGGGAGATGTTTCTGAGAAGTGACCACCAGTCTTAGTGGAGTAGTGTCCCTACAGGAGGGAACCCTGGAGTTGTCAGAGTCACCAAGAAGGTTCTTTGCATTTTGATAGACTGCACAAGGCTTTTGAAGATTCAGTGGAAAATGGAATAGGAAGGAAGCTGATGCCTAACAGAAGCCATCTTCTCCAGTAATAGTTCGAAGGGACTGACCCCAAGTGCTAGAAAAAAAGGAAATGGTTTTAAAAGCATTTTCTTTAAATATTGCCATGAAGATTGTGTTTCAGGTTTAGATTTACATATTGTCAGATTTTTAAAAGAGAAAAAGGTATATCTTTAACAGACAAGTGAAACCTCCCTCAGAAGGTAAGAAGCAGTCGTTGCAAAGCAGTTCAATGTAACAACATGGAAAGCTTTGCAAAGGGGCCTTCACTGGAGCTGTAGTTCTGCTTTTATGAATTGTGACTTCAGGGAGGAGCAGAAAAAAACCATGACAAAAGCAGGTGGAAGAAGAGATGGAGAAAAGTTTGCAGAAGTAGAGGAGTTCACTTGCTGCTTCAATAGAATTGTTTTAAATTGTTAGTGGCTGAAAAGGACTGAATCTGCCTGTGCCATCTTTGCGAGAGTATTTACTTTTCCAAATCATTGTATCCTCTATTGACTCCTTGCTAATCAGTTAGGTGATGTGACTTCCAGAACTTTATTTTGAAGACTTATTCCAATATTCATTTATCCGAATGATGAGTCCACAGTTAGGATCTCCGTATTTTCCATGAAAAGCTTATTTAGCCTAGCTGGCTCTATACAATTCATTTAATAACTGAAACATTTATCTTTTTTGCCATAAAACCAAGACCAATATTTGCAAGGTATATAGATGGATGATCATTACTGGCATTTCAGGTGGAACCTGAAAGATAAAAATTTAATAAAAGCAAAGGAAAAATGAAATTAAGTTCAAAACCTGTTGTAAAGTCTTTGTTTCTCAGTTTATATACCCAGTTTGCCCCTTGTGTTTTTGGTGTGTGCTAATTAAGTGCCAAAAGTGGCCTTCAGTTAGTGCACTAGTGTACTAGTCTATAAGATGTGAGGGCACAGAAACTTTCAAAGGAGAAGCAGTGAAGTGTAAACTAGTACCCAGAACTACAAAATGATGCCGAGAAGTACTTCTCTGAAATTAAACTCAGGAGCATTTTTAAAATTTACCATCACAGTTCTATACTTATAAAAGAAATGTTTCTTTTCTCCCTAAACAGATATGTTCCTGGTAGTTAAATGTGGATGACTAGCCTAATTTCTTATAACTGTTCTAAAGTTATGTTATATGAAAGTGAGAGGCAGATCTTCTAAATTCTGGATGAGGCCCTCAGAGTAGGATTATTTTAAATGGGATTTTGTTTTGAGACAAGATCTCACCTACATTGGAATGCAGTGGTGTGGTCATTGCTCACTGCAACCTTGAACTCCTGGGCTCAAACAATCCTCCCATCTCAGCCTCCTTAGTAGCTAAGACTATAGGCATGCATCACCATGCAGGGCTGATTTTTTCATTTTTTGTGGCGATGGGGGTGTCGCTATGTTGGCCAGAATGGTCAACTCCTGGCCTCAAGTGATCCTTCTATCTAGGCCTCCCAAATTGCTGGGATTACAGGTGTGAGCCACTGCACCCAGCCCTTAAATGGGCTTTTAAATCTCCCAAAGAGTGAGAACAAAATTTACATATTCACTAAACACTGCTTATTCAATGACATGATTTGAAATAATATTTTATTGAATAAATATTTCAAATCATGTCATTGCATACTGAAGGGAGCTGACTTCAGAAGTGTGGAAAGTGCCTTTCCTTATCCTCATAGACTTGAATTTCTAGGGCTGGGTAGAGATTGCTGTCCTGGCCTATGTGTGGCTCAGCCTTGGGGTAGGGGGTTGCATAAGGGGAGGGAGAGGGTTAACCAGCTGGTGTTAACCACATTGGCAGCTGTTGAAACTGCCAGCTCACTTTAACTTCTTGGTCAAAGATGCCAGATTCTAAAAGTGGGGGAAGTGGGAGCTATTTGTAATGTGTACATTGATAAGATGTTACAGCCTTCAGAGGTATAAAGAGATGGAAACTATTTCACTCCAAAAACGCAGGTTGCTGGTCTCGTTAAGAGCGCAAACCTTTGTTTGAGCAGGTACAGAATACAGACCTTATGGACTTCAGCAGAATCCTGTCTATCCTAGTGACACAAAATTGTCACTTTGACTTAAATCCTGTTATTTTATACAGAAACACTGCATTTGGTGTAATCTATTTGCTAGAAAATATCCAAGTGTCACAAAAGTTCTGCAAGTGTAACTTCCTGCTTACTTTAATTCAAGAATAGCAGTTTAAATTCACAAATAGCAGTTTAAATTCACCTTAAATTCAACAGAGCTAATGCCTCTGGCCTCCTCTACAAAGATATCACAGGAAGAGATTATTGCAGCTTCTATTTCAATGGCTTTTCCTTAAAGTGAGCACTGAAAGTATAAGTGAGTGGGTGGTTAGGAAACTGTTAGTAGTTAATGCCCTCTCTAAACTGCAGAACTCTGGAAATGAAAAATATCTTCGCTTCACAGCAAAATGTTTGAATGTTATGCCACTCAGGCGCAAACTGAGCAAGACCTGCAGAGGGCCGGTGAGCACAGCTTCCATAATATGTCATTTTGAATGCCATTATAATGAGACTTTGCAAAGATATCCACAAATAATTAGCTTTTGGCTTAGGTTATACTGTATAAGACTTTAATTATACTGAGGGTCCAGTAAAAACCTTTTCCATCCTCCTTAAAGATAAAACAAGAAGCGTTGTCTCCTCTATCAACATTTCAGCACAAGTTTAATTTCGATGAGATCATCAATTTGATTGATAACAAATCATTACAGAACAGTTTAAACAAGTCTAAATTTCTCTTGATGTTAACGACTTACAATCGCCTTTATGTTAGGTCTTAAAGCTTTATTATTCTTAAATACAACTAGTATAGTGGACCATTAAACTCCAAAGTGATCTGAAATGATATTGATTGGGGTGGCAGCCAAAATTTTAAGGTGCCTGCCTGCATTGCCTTTTACATCTTGACGCTGAATGCACGTGTAATTTTTAAAATAATCATTAATTTTCCAGTGGAACCATCTATCTGGCCTCTTTCCCTAGTGCTCTTAAATTCTCACCATTTGGGCATACACACATTCTCTTCCAACTAGTATAAATTTCCCTGGTAAATTTAAGTAGTTCCAAGCATAAGCTTACTCCACGGGAGGGAAAGGCTATCAATGTGAAACTTGTGGGCAGAGGACTGCGCCTCCGACCTGGCTGCGTCTCCTAGCTTGGCTTCCCTCCTGCCGGGTCTGCACCGAGCCCCGGCCGGCCCCGAAGGATGCAACTCGTTCGGTCCGGCTCCCAAAGTGCCGTGGACTTGGTGACCCACTTCTCGTGTCGGGCTGAGGCCACGCGGGCAAGGGACTTTTTCTGTCCCCGGCTCACGGCTGGAGCCCCCATCCTGCCGTTCGGACCAGTGCGGGCCTCGGAGGAGTGTCCCGCAGCGGACCCCCGCCCAGGAACCCCTGCAGGCAGCGAGACGGGCGCCCGGGCCAGCTCTCTGCCCCTCGCCCCCCGCGGGGACCCTGCCCGCCCCGCTGACCGGCCCCACGTTGCCAAATAGCTCAAATGCTTGTCATATTTGCGGTCGCGCGGCTCCGCGGGCTGTGCACGCGCTGCACTCGCCGCCGCCTTTGTCACCAGCCGCTTCGTCATTCGCCTGAGCACTTCTAGAGTGTGTAGGGGGCGTTACTAGTGGCAGTGGTGGTCCTCGGGCCGGAGTGTCTCCTTCTGTCTCCCCTCCTCTTTCAGCCCGTCCTTACGAGAAAATCAGGGGCGCGCCGGCCCGGCAGGGAGCTGGGGGCGGCGCTGCCACCAGGCGCCCACTGCGCCCCGCCGCCCCTTCCTGCTCCTCCTGCGGCCGCGGCCGGCCGCGGCCGGCCCCGGCCTTTATCGCGCCTCCCGGGACCGCCGGGGAGAGGCGGGCCGGGGCGGGGCCGGCGGGGGCGGGGTCGGGCGGCCAGGGGCGGGGCCTGCGGCGCCGGGGCCCGGAGCTCGCGGGAGGCTCGCGGGCCGCACGTCACTCCTGCACGGCGAGTGCTGGAGCACGACGTACCGCTCGCTCGGTCAGGGCGCCCCCTCCGCCCGCCTCCTGCTTCCTCCTCCGCTGCCTGCCGCCGCCGCCTCCACCATTGTATAATGCTCGGGGCGCGCAGGCAGAGAACGGCGGAGTCTTAGCTTCAGCCTCGCCTGCTGCCCGCTCCCCGGCGCCACCCTCGGGCCCCTGGAGCGGGGCACTCCGCATGGAGCGGGAGTAGCTGAGGAGTGGGCGGAAACCCCTCCTGATGCGTTAGTTCCCAGGTGGAGCTGCATGTGGTAAGTTCTCCCGGCGTCGGGCTGGAGGGGATCCGCGGGCGCGGGGGGCTCCGGGTGGATGGGGGGCCGGTGTTGGGACTCGGCCAGGGCTGGGAGAGCCCGGAGGGCGGAGGAGGGGCCGGGCGCCGCCGCGGGAGGGAGCCGGGGACGGAGCAGGTACGGGAGGAGCGCTCCCTCCCGCGGCCCCGGTCCGGGCCCCGCGCTCTCGGACCCCCGGCGCCTGCGGGCTGAGCCGCTGGGGGGCAGGGCCGGGGTCAGGAGGGGGTCGGGAGCTCGGAGAGCCGAGCGGCGGGCGGGGGCGCCTGGAGCTGTCGCCTCTACAGCTGGGATGTGTGTGCGCGTTGTGGCGGTTGTGTTGTTGTGAACGTGCGAGACTTTTTTTAAGGCTCGGATTGCTGGCGCGAAGGCTGCTTCACTTTTGAGTTCCGTGGCCGGGTTTGCATCCAACTTACTGTAGTGCGTTTTTGTGAATTTCCCGGTGTTTTTTTTAATAATGTTGAAAACCTTCCTCTCCACCCTCTTTTCTTTCGTCCATGCCCAAATGAATTGATTTGGGATCTACATGTATATTAAACTTAACGTCTCGTTGGTTTTTAAGTTAGAAATCTACAAGTCATCTTCGTGGTAACCGCCTATGACTGAAAGGGAGGGGGCTGAGGGGAGCCAGCTGTCCCAAGCCCTAGACTTTGTACCAGTAAGAGAGGGGGTGTCGTCACAGGGCCACTACATGGACAGAAAATCGTATTTTGTTTTGTTTTCTTGGCTATAAGTTACCTTTAGCAGAAGTGGTAGTAATAGATTGCGATGGGAGTCGAGTTTTAGGTTTAGTTTCTAAGTTTCACGAAAATATCAGGTATAGTTTGCATTGGAATAACTTTTTGCTTGCAAGCCGAGTCGTTTCAGGAGGTAGAAAGTAAGTTTTCACAGACACTGAATGGGGAGGACAGTCAGCAGAGTGAGACAGCCAGCCTCAGACCACAGCAGTTTTTATTTGAATCGAATTGGGCAGCCTCAGTTGGGCTTAGGGTAGAGAGTACATGTTTTCAAGCTTTGTTCATGAAATACGCTTTTTGATTTCCCAATGTATGTTAAGAAATATCCATAATGTGTGTAAAGAGGCTAGAAGTTGTAGTCACCAGGATTCCTGAGGCCCTAAGTGTTCACAGTAGCTTTTTGTAGTTAGAGACTAGTCCCTGACAAGAGTGAAGTGGGCTTTGGGCTTCGCTCCGCCCCTGAAGGACCGTCCACCTGAGAGCGTCTGGGCTGCTTGGCCGATGGGGGTTGGGGGTAGTTGCTCAGCTCAGCAGAAGGCATGTCTCACCCTGGCAGCTCCCATCCCTCCCCCTTTTTATAGCAGTCTATTCTGATATGAGTGTGCTAGGGTGTGCTGTGAAGATGAAAATATCCATCCTAAGATCCCAACTTCTGGAGTGAACAAGAATAGTTTGTTTGTGGATCTCTGCTTTTCTGTTTATTTTTTCAGGGTTTTTTTTCTTTTTATTTAAAAGAGACAAATGTTTAAAAGTTTTCCTTTAGCTTCATTGACTTCTTTAGAGGGGTATTATATGTTAATATAAAATTGTTTATGTCGTTCATTAAGTTTGGAATCCTTTAACAGTTTTTTTTTTTTACTTGTTTCACCCCCTAATTAAAATATACATAACCATGTTGTTCTCAGATGAGAAATCTTATTTTGGATTTGACATCCCCCAACCCCCTTTTTCCTTAACACCCGGCCCTTTTCCTTACTTCATTCAGACAGGTAAGGGAGAGGACTCACATTTTGTAAAGCCAACCAAGTGTATGTGTGACAGGAGGTGTCCTAGGGAACGGTTTTATTGTCAGGCGAATGTCACAGCGTCTTAGGTAACAGCTGCTCAAGCTTGTTTCCCTTGAAGAACTAAGAGAAGGATATTAATTCAGATTTAGAAAATCTTTACACTTCTGTTTGCTGAATTGTCCCTCTTTAAAGCTTTTCTATTTAATTGAGAAGCTAAAATATGAATTTTGCCCAGTTGCTACACACTGAATTATTACTGATAATGAGCCTAGTAAAATAGCACATATTTTGATATTTTAAAACTCATTCAAATTTGTGTGGCGACTGATAGCTTATGGTATCTGCTATTTTAAACAGGGTTCCAATGGCAGAGTAAGTTACAACACTACTTTAGAAAGGCACACACATGCATCACACACAAAAAACATTACAAAACGTATGAAGGCAGTTTGAAGATGTTCGAATGCAAATACATAAAAATTTCTATCAACTTGCAGCATGCTACTTTTATTATCAGTGTCCAATTATACTACAAGTTTACCCTCAGACAAAATATTTTACATTTTAGTAACTAAGAAAGGTGAAAGCTGGAACAGAAACTTTGAGAGGTTTCTTTTGCTGTGGTTTCTTGTTAAAAAGCACAGAAAAAAAAGTATGAAGCTTTATTTTATATTTCACATATATCAACAGAATCAAGACCACTTTGTCAATATTACCTGTGGAAAAAGCTATATATAGATAGGCGTATTTGGGGCCATGAACTTTAATTCACTCATAGAATTTTTAAAGCTTCTTGGCAACAGAAATTTTGTATTCACTGTCATGGCATATCCTATAGGAGATAGCTCTAGTTGCAATAGTTACTTGGTGCGTGAGAGAGAGAGCAAGCGCAGGCGCCGTCTCTGATTACTGAGTCCAAAGATCAGTTGTGTACTGAAGGCACCAGAAGGCAAGCTCCAGTTGACATGAAAATGGCCTCACAATAAGGGTGACACCAGCTCTCATAGGTCTTTCTGTTAATTAATACTGACTAGCAAAACATGAAAATCTAAAAGTGCCATGGCCACTTTATATGCACAACTCATATATTTTGTACATATTGTTAATAATTACTCATTAAGCAATTGGTAGAAAGCCACAAGCCAGGACTCCTGTTTAAGAAATGTGTGGCTATTTCATTTAGTTTTAGTATGTTTGAAGGAAATGGCTACTAATCTAGAAAAAATGATTGTCTCAAATGGCCAGTGCAGTTGATATTAAAGGCAAACTTATGCCCTGTGTGCAGATGCTGGGAAACCCTTATGAACAGAACTGTCCCCTGGAGCGTCCGTCACTCATTGTGTGGAGCAGTGTCTTTCTCCATTAGCACTGTGTGGCAGTTCATTCTTTGTATGAATCTGTGAATGGCATATGTCAGCCCAATAAGACGACATTCCTATTCTGAGTAATAAATAGACTCCTTGTTTTGTTTTTTTTTTCTCGGAGATCACGAGACAAACAAAACATGATTGGCTGTCTAAAAATTTTCTTTGAAATACAAATGAAAATTTTAAAGTAAAATATCACAATATATTTTATAATATATGATTTCTAATAGGACAGAACAGATACTGCCAGTTTGAACAAGCACCACATATAGACAGCGCAAACTCTCTTTTGAAAATTCTGCCCTCTTTGTGGTCTGAGGGATCCCAAAGCTGGAAAGACCCATTTGTCTTTTCTCAGAATCCTCTGTCCCTCATCTGAACTTAATGCTAGGATTCTCTGAAGTAAACCCCACAATTTGATTGATCTATTTTGGAAACCCAAGATCACCTAAGCTGTATTCCGCACCCATTGCAGTTTTCAGCTCAGAATGGAGTTGGCATCTGTGCTCCTGGCCGGCCTATTCTTACACTTGCACACTGTCTGGCCAGAGCTGGCCCTGCCTCCCCACAGGGACAGCAGATCAAGGGGTGAGTGTGCCCGGCCCACCTCCACCCTGAGTAGAGAGTGGACTGAGCTATGCGGAGGCGTGGGGTGGGGGCTGGAGGGAGAAGAGCAGAGGACAGATCTGGAGCTGACTGTGCAACTGCTATAGCAGGTCTGACTAGTTTGAGGTGCCCAAAGGCAGCTTTGTTTCTCTAGTAACTCCAGGTAGCAGCAAACTTCAGTTCTTAAAACTCATTCATGTCTGCCTTACTATCTTTTTTGTCACTTTACAAAAACCTGTAGCTTTGCAGAGTTACTAATTAATTCTAAGCTTTTTTCCTTTAAAAACCTTCCTAGGCAGTTAACTGAAAAGAAGCTAAGCATTCTCTAAGGACTTTCCCATAGAATAGTAAAGGGGAAGGGATTCTGGTTCTTACAGACATGATCTATGTCTATATATTCTGTATATCCATATGCACACTCACTGATGTTTAACAGTGGGCTGAGTGAACCTGTTGAAGAAAAGTAAAATGTACACTTGAATAGACCATGGTCAAAAACACTAAATGATCAAAAGTCTCTTGCTCCAGATCAGCCTTTAGCGCTTTGCTTGCCTCTGCTCCGGCCGGCTGCTTATCATTCCACGCCATGCACTGCAGCTCCTGGGGTTTGGAGCAGGCCTGCTGGTGTACCCCACCCTTGTGTTTAGAAGTATTGCCCAAGTTAAACTCAGAGAATCTGAAAGTCCCAAGGTCATCTCTACACCAGAACAGGTTTGCATAAAATCCTAGTCACGCTAATGAGATATCGAGCTGGCAGCTGCTTTAAACTGATCTTCCCTGTGTGGTTATCCCATTTTATAATAGGTGATACAGATTTGCTTTTCAGATTTCTTTCCTTCTTTGAGGGGACATCTCCCTGCCCATCTGTACCTCTCCTGTGTCTTCCGTGCTATCAGAGAAAACCAATCTGCCTGAGGAATTTGGGTGCTATGATCCAGAGTGGAAGAATTTTTGCTCTGCCTCTCTGCTTGTCAGGAACTTGGTGGTCTTTTCTGAACTTTTTAAGGCAAACTAATTTTTTTAAATAGTTTTACCATGTCCAGAAATATAAAATAAAATACGTTTCACTGGCAGTGATTCTTAGCTCTCTGACAAGTAGTTGGTTTACACATTAAAAATTCAATTCTTCAGGTGGTTCCTGCCTCCTTCTAAAGCTCCAGAAGACAGGTAGAATGAATAGAGTGGCAGGCTGGGGGTGGCAGGCTGGGGAGGTTGAGGAAGGCTTTCCATGAAGACCATTGAAGGTAATTGAAGAATTATGAAGTATTTTCCTTAGAAAATAAATAGTTATTACATTTAGTGTGGTACTCTGATTATTTTTATTGTATTTAAGTGACATAGCTTAAAGTTCAATGAGCCATTCATTATCAATGCACAGAAGTCCTTGGGAAGACAAACATTTTATCTCAAAATAGTCCCAAAGTAGTTATTCTTTAATGGCTGCCATATTTACAAAGTATCATTTACTCCCCTCAAGTTTAGTTGTATCCTCATTGCCTTTTTCTTTCTACAATTATTGTCTGTGTGTGAATTATTCAGGTATATGATACAAAGTTTAAATTGTCTTTGTAAAACCTTATTAGCCTACCTAATTCTTAGAGGCAACCAAATTAAACATTCGGAACATGTAGGTTACTTACATGGGACAGGTATTACATAAAATAGTTATTTCCTTCCATTTGCATGTCTCAAGTATATTTCTATTATCCTGCACCTCAAATTTTTGTACTCATGTCATGTTGTAGAAATGTGATATTGTTCTCTAGGGAATCCAAGTTTAGGCCGTACAATACAATGTTCAGTTTTACACAGTAAGTAAAAGAAACAACATTTCTCAGGTTTTCCTCTTTGGACTGCACGGATAAGTTATAAGATGAAATATGTTCTGTATTTGTAAGGAATATTTTAAGTGATTCTTTGATAGTAATGAAGCATCCAGATTTGAAGGCATGACTAGTTTTTAATTTTTAACTTTTAAGAAAAGCTTCCATTGAAGCATTTCTTGAAGTAGCATACTTTACTTTTATTCCTTAGTTTTATTCAGTGGCAAATAGTTGTCTAATAAAACCTAGAAGGCCACCTTTGGTTTTAACTAAGATGTAATTTTATCTTTCACAGAATTGTTCTAAAACCTTATATTTCCCTGTTTTAGTAAGACTTACATATATCTTGAGTCTTTTTTTTTTTTTTTAAACACAAAAACTGTCACATACTTTTGGCAAAGCCTTTCCTTTCTACTCTAAGTTCCCCACCTCCTTGACATTGTTTATTAAGGGTCTCTAGTGTGAGGGAGAAAAACAGTGTATCTTTAGGGAAAAGATGCTACAGGAGGATTGAAACAGAATCCCATCCAAGCAATTATAAATACAGGAGAAAAAATATTTTCATTATGCCCGAGAATGGGAGGTTGGGCAATGCTGGCTAGTCTTTACTAGTAAAGCACGTAATCTTATGGGAAAAATTGTCAAATCTGAGAGTTCCTTACCCTAATGTTAATGAGGCCTTAGACTCAAAATGCTAAAAACATACTCTGACACCAAATTATTATGAAGTAGTATCACAATTCAAATGATTATAAAATATAGATATGTTTATAGTTTCCAATTTTCAAATGTGGAGACTCATTATAACATTTCATCTATTATGAGCATTATTATTGAACATACAACATCATATAACCTGAACTTATAATTTAAATAGAAAGAATCCCAGCAAGTAGTTACACATAATGATCTCGCTTCATCATCTCCCTAAGGTTAACTGTGTTACATTTTATAATTAAATGGCCCCTCTCCAATGTCCTTTATGAAGGGTTTTCCCAAATAACTGCCTGAAGCAGTATCTGTTCAGTATGGAGATAATTTATAGTTATTAAGAAGTAGTAAGTAGGCCCAGTAAAGGCGTCTATCTATACTGGTAAAAGCTTAGTGCCGAATTTATTGAGACTCATTGTTTTATTGGGAGTCCATGTTGCAAGCCCCACTGGAAATTCTGAACTGTTGGTTTCTCCACGTTCACATCTCATGACTTGGGTGTGTGTTTGTTGTTGTGTGTTTGTTCTCATTTCAGGAATCCTCCAGGGATTTTAACCATGGTTTTTGAAATACCAGTATTAACTTTTATATACAGAGAAACAACCTTTCCTATACACAGTACTTCCAGAGTTTGAACCGTACCATAATTTAATTTATTTTGGCCTTGGCAAAGCTCCCAGCTTGCTTAGCAGTGTCCTGTGGATACCTGAATTTGGAAACAATCTTGAAAATGTGTATACTTTGAGAGAGCTGTAGGTAGAAATTGCAGTGAAGAATGAGACTTTTGCGCTCCTTGCTGCTCGGCTGCGCCCCCTCGTGGCTGGATGTGATGTGCTGTCTTCCAGAATTTAAAGAGTTCCAACTTGAATTGGGCGTGCTTGTTTACATGGAGCACTAATAGCTTTCTTCTGTGTGAAGAAAAAAAAAAAACCCTATCAAATTAATATAATAGTTTTCACTGGGGGTGTGAGTAATTTATTGTGCTCATTTTATATGTTTTAATTTAGAAATATGTATTGGCGTGCTGTGGTTTTTAACTTTTTATTATGGAAAATTCCAAACACATTCAAAAGTAAAAGGAAGAGTACAAAGCACCGCCTTGTACTTATCAGCCAGCCTCAGCAGGTATCAACATTTTGTCAAATCTTGTTTCATCTACATGGCCAGGTTTTGGGTTTTTTTTTGTTTGTTTGTTTTGGAGTATTTTAAAGCAAATTCCAGGCATCAGAGCATATTATGTTTTTGTTAAGTTAAGGTTAGAAACTGTATAATTCTACTCAACCTTTTACTTGAATTAAGTGTGCCATTCCCAAGTAATCCTTTTTCCTTATAAATTAAAAAAAATTCCTTAAAACTGAGAAAACAAAGCATTTTTCTAATTTTTTTTTAAATCAAGTGTACCATACTTTTAGCCAGAATCCTTAGATAAAATAAAACAATTGGCAGCATTCTCATTGTCCTTGGAAGAAGGTAATTGGTGTCCATAGCTTCATAAGAGTTGGGATTAAAACTTAAAATTCCCAGCTGGCAGAGGAACCACTAAGACAGGATATAAGAAACATTTTATACCACTTGACATTTATATTCTAAAAAGCCTATTCTCTTTCCAGATGTGTACTAACAAGGCCATAATTTATTCTAAAGAAATATTTACTTGAAACATTCCCTCCCAGAATTTGACTATGTTTTTGCTTACTAAATGCAGCTGTCAACATTTTTAAAAAATTATTTTACTAGGAGAAAAGTTTATATTTGACAAACCTCCAGTATTGGAAATTGCCTTCAATTTAATAGGAGCATGTAAAAATCTGAGAGGAGAAACTAGAATTTTAAAAATTTGGACTTTAGAAAACAACCCCAAACAGTAAAAGTTGTTTCTTAAATTTACTTGGGGCTTGACTTCCTGTTCGAATTTCAGTGTATCGTCAGGCTTTTTTTTTCTTCTTCTTCTTCTTCACTGTCAAGAAAGCCGGGAGGATTGCTCCTGCAGGTCTTCGTCAAATGCAGGGTCTCATCTTGCACAAACAGCCTAGGCTGCGTTGCCCTGCGGGCCCCCGCGCGGCCGGTGCGCAGCGGGAGAGCCCGGAGGAGGCGCCGGCAGCAAACAGTGGTATCGGGTTACAGGTTCAGAATATCGCTGGAGCACAGGAGACTGGCTTGATCTAGTGACTGGCTTTATAATTACATTGCTGATTTGTTAGGGGAGGCTTTGTCTTACTTACCAATTAGCATGGATGTTACTGCAGGGACCTCAGACATTCTGGATGAGCTTTGGTGTTTTTTTTTTTTTTTTAAAGCATCCCGATCCATAGAACTTCATGAGTTCTGTTACTAATACTCCGCCTTGTCTTTGGGCATCCTTACTTACCCTGTCTGTAAATAAGCCAGAGACGGTCTCTCCCTGTTGGAATTTTTGCCCACTCCCCTGGGCCAGACGCAGTTGTTTTGGGGTCTCAGGTTTGCTTTTGCTGTTTGGATGCCCCAGCACCTTCCCGCACTGTGCTGGAGGGGACAGCCCACATCCCGTGCCTGCTGCAGTGTCAGGACACGCGAGGCCCGGCTGAGGACGCGCCTGTTTCTCTTAGCTTCCTTTCTGATTCTGCCAGTATCATCCACCACTGCAACCTTTTCAGGGCAGCCTCTTTGTTTTCGCTGGTGTGTTTTATTGTTCCTTGGGGGAGGAGGGTGTTAAAAGCCTGGACATGATCAGATTTCTTAGTCCAGTGTGTTGTTTAAGGTGTAATATTTGAAGTGTAGAAAGTTGTCTAAGCAAACAGCTTCCCCCAGTTAGGATCGGGCTTCTCCTTCCTGCTCGGAAGTTGCTGTGTCACACTACGACAGCAGCCTGGAGGCAGGGCTCTGGGGTCCTCAGCGTCCCGCCCTCAGGCTGGTGGGAGGTTCCCTTTTGTCATGAACAGAGGCTCTCCCACTTGGATGCCTCAAAAGCAGGGTCCTAAACGCACTGGGAGACCAGCCTGTGGAGTGAAGAGAAGAGAAACAGCATATTCTGTGTTTCAGAAGTTGTCTCAAAACAATCCTGGCCCTACTTTGAGCCTCTTTTCGGCTCAGAAGTCTGCCACATGCCCAGCTAATTTTACCAGGGGCACCCCTTTCTTCTACCACCACCACCAAAAGACACCAGGAGTATGAATGTGTTTCCACTTAGGGCTGTGGGCTTTGGTGGCACAGTATGTCAGGGGAAGGGAAGGACCGCTGCCAGCCTTCTCATAAGACAATCGCCACACTTCTTTTTTCTTCCAAAGAGGTGGGTACATGAGGGCAGATCACTACTTTGAGTGTTGGCGTTGGGTTAAAGGCCTCATCTTTCTGGTTTTAGCGTTAGCATTGACACCTCTAGACTTGTCAGCAACCAGTGGTCACACCAGCAGCCATATGGGACAGTGTGTCTGATGAGGTTAGGGATACAGCTTGGTGTTTTTTTTGTTTTGTTTTGTTTTGTTTTTTTGGAGACGGAGTTTTACTCTGTCACCCAGGCTGGAGTGCAGTGGCGCGATCTCGGCTCACTGCAAACTCCGCCTCCCGGGTTCACGCCATTCTCCTGCCTCAGCCTCCTGAGTAGCTGGGACTACAGGTACCCGCCACCGCCTGGCTAATTTTTTGTATTTTTAGTAGAGATGGGGTTTCACCGTGTTAGCCAGGGTGGTCTCGATCTCCTGACCTCGTGATCCACCCGCCTCGGCCTTCCAAAGTGCTGGGATTACAGGCGTGAGCCACCTTGCCCTGCGAAGGCATACAGCTTGTTAAAGCTCCCCTTTGAATGAGGAGCCTTTTTCCTGAGAGCTGTTAGCTAGCGTTTTGAAAACGTTCCTGTTGAAGTATAGCGTGCATGTAGAGCCGTGCAGGATCCCGCGTGTGCAGGCCGGTGACTCATCATGAGGCAGGCCCCAGCTGTGCTCTCCACCCAGGTGAGCGGCAGAGCATGGCCAGCTCACCCCACTAGCCGCCCGTACACCACGGCAGACACTGTAGTTCAGTGTTGCCTTGTTACCTGACTTTTAAAACAACATACCACTTAATTGTGAAGCCTGCTGCTCTCCTGAGAAGGGAGCATACAGAATGTGTAGTTGTTGCTGTTTCCCAAAAGGAAATTGGAAAAAGCTCTTGAAAACGTACACAAGGTACAAACCAGTTGGGCTTCTAAGGCGATGCTTTCCTGAGTTCCCCGTCTGTCCCCGCACCAGGTCAGGGTGGTGCCGAGCTGCACAAGCCCCAGGGGTGCAGGACCAGGTGTCTCCACTCAATCTTTGATTCCTTTTTGGTCACAAGACCAGTCACACCTTCCCCAATTATTTCCTCTCTTAAGAATTTAGAACTAAGCTGTGAATTTGACCCCCTTTTAAAGTCATTTTGTGGCATGAATTCTCTTTCTCCAGAGTAGAAAAGTCTATCAGTGAGAGTTTTCCTTCCGCCCGGGCTAATGACAATCATTTGGGATGAATCAAGTTAAAACATAATGCAGAGTTTTACATCTGTGAAGACTTTTGCATCTTTTTTTGACTGGCACAGAGAAACCCAGCAAGCCAGCCTTGGTGGTCTGAGGAGGGCTCCCTGTGCGGCCTCCTACAGCCCCCACACTGCCCCTGCCCCCCCAACCCAGGGTCTGTCGAGGGAACCACCAGGACGCTGTGATGCTGCAGAGGCTGGGGTGAGCCTGCAGGTTAAAGCAGTGGTTTTTGTTGGTGGTGGTAGGATGACAGAAGTGGTAGTTTGGAAAAGTCAATTTAATACTCTCACTTTAAAAAATCATAACATTTACTTTGACAGTTCAAATAACATTAAAGGACAGTAATTTAAAAAAAAAAAGATTTTTAAAAAGATGTAGCTTTTAAATAGTTGAAAAACCTTGAGCTAAAGATAACCTTTTCTGATTCATCTTCAAAAAAATTGTTTGCATTTTTTTTCCAAAATGCAAAATGTAGTAGTGGGAGATGTTACTTACTCTTTTAAACGTAAGTACTGTTTCAGTTCCTTTCTGGGCTTTGGATAAGATCCCACTGCCATCACTTTAAGACCCCAGCAAGGAGAATCTGGGCCCCACTGGGCCAGTAGGATCTGACACATCAGTTTGAGACCCTGAGTTTTGTCATTAAAATTGAGTATAAGACATCTTAACTCTGCGTGCAGTATTTTGTTTTCTAATGTCAGTTGTCAGTTGCTATCACAAAAATGCTGTTCATTCCTTTTTGTCCTGCTAAATTAGACACAAATAAGGAAGGCCTTGGGAATCAAGATTAACTGAATAAAGATATCCTCCGGCCTAAACTTGAAATGGCCTGATGAGGAAAAGAAGAAATGGTAATTCTCAAAGTGAGGTTCCCAGACCAGCATCACCCGAAAGTTTGTTGGAAATGCTGATTTGAGGGCTCCTCCCCAGACATGCTGAAAGAGAAATATGGGAGGTGGGGCCCAACGGCCTGTGCTTATCAGGCCTCCAGGTGAACCTAAGGCTTGTCCGTGGTTGAGAAGTGAAGGATGGGAGAGCCGCTCACAGAAGAGCTTCTCAGCTGGAGCTTTCCTGCCTACTCCATATCTCAGCTGCTGGTGCATTGCGCGACCCTGATCCCGCCTGTAAAACCGTTCAACTCCGAGGTCTGTGCAACCCTCCCATTCCTCAGACCCTCCCTCCCAGACACAGTTCACGCTCAAGGACACACACACACACACCTGGCTCTGTTTTTACAGTGCTGCCCTGGCTGCCCCTTGGTGTCTTTCCTCATTATTTCCACTTACTGTTCGTGTATTCAGTGACCATCTATGGAGCATCTTGTGTTGGAGACTACCTTATGCTGAGGGTACAGAAGTGAACAAAACACACACCGTCTGTGCCCTAGGGGGCTCACTATCTTGAGATGGGAAACAGATATGAAGAGACAATCCCACCTTAAATGTAACTTTCAAATAGGCTACAAATCTATTTCCAGCAGTCTCCCGGCCGCCCCCAGCCCACAGTAATCTCTCAGATTGCTTACTGTGGGAGTCACTCAGATTCTGGAATTGCAAAGCCCCAAAAAGTCAAGTCATTCAGGCTCCTGGTCCTCTGGTCCTTTGACTTTTGAGGACACTTCTAGTGACATTTGTTACTTTTGAGCATCTACCCAGATTGTAGCTTTTGAAGGCAGGGTCCTTCCTAATGAAAAGTTGCACAGTTGAAAACTAGTTTTCATGTACAGAGTTGTGTTTAGTATGAAGTTTCCTGGAAAACTCCAGAAGTTTTCATTTATGTCTCTACCAATGAGTTTTGTTCTTTATGTTTGAAACTTAGTTTGCTGCAGTTAATAGCAGTTAAAATTAATGTTTAGAAAACCAGAATGCTAGGAATTTGTTTCTAAAAAGTTTATTGGGGAGGGAGGTCATTTGATCTCAAACCTCATGTTAAGAGCCAATGACTATTCAGTAGAAAAGTGGCTGGGGTTAGTTTTAGGCCCCTTAGGGTGGGCAGAAGATGGAGGAGCACCCACGTGATTCCTCCACGTGGGAGTCTCCAACCCCGCCCTGGAGCTCAGGGGCACTTTGGGTCTTTAGAAAAATTGGGTAGAAGACATGGGTTTTTTAGGCTTTGGTCTTCACCAGCCAAGGGAGGAGATAAAGTGGAGTGTCAAAGCCCCGGGGTGACCTAGGAAGCCAATGGGTCACAGGCCCCCCTTTCGTGAACTCCAGGCCCCCCCTCCGCAGGAACCACAGCACCCCCTCCCTAGAGTCACCTACACGTCCTTAGCTCCTGCTACTGCTTCATCTTCAAGTTGCAGCCCAGCGAAGCCTTTTTGAAAGGTCCCTTGCCTCTCCAAAGGGTGGTTAAAGAGCTATTGTTATTTTCTTAGAGTGCCTGAGGAAAGAGAGGCTTCTGAGGAGCTAGGAGCTGGGCCGACCCTGACCTTGGCCAGCCTGAGCCAGGCCCAGAAAGGCCTGGAGGGGCTGATGCGCCTGGCTTCTTGCCCTCCGGTTCTTGAGGGCATGTCGTGTCTTTTCTCCTTTAAATTGGGCCCTGCTTAAGGAGGTGGTTGTTACACAAAGCCCTGAGAGTGAGAGTTCCCACTGCCCTCCCCCTCTAGGAGTTGGAGGCCTCTTCTGAATATGCTCATTGTAATGTTACTGCAGTGTGTCAGGCAAACTTAAGGAAAATGACTTCACTTTTTATTATGTTGCATTGTATTCCTTTCTGTAACAGCTTAGATAGAATTAGGATTAAAAATCAAGATTATATGCATTTTACAATCTTACTGGGTGTGTGGAGTCAGTTTTGCCTTATAATACAAAACAGAGAAATGGTGGCAAAACTGCCTTGAGGTACACTTCATCAGGGGTCCGTATTCACACCTCTGAGGTGCATCCAAGATTTGGTGTGTGTGTCTGTTCCTGCTTACAGGTTTTGCTTACCGAGCCCTCTGCCCTCCCCTTCCAGGCAGCATTACAGATGTCTTATCAGGCTTTCTCTAAATCATTAGGATTAGCACACAGCTCTGGCCAGCTGGATCATTCTAATTGGAAATTAGGTGCTTCTCACATTGAAATCCTTCTGAAAATATCTCCAAAGATCTCTTTCAGCTATGGGAATTCTACTAAATGCCTATAATATTTTGCATGGCCTGTATACTTTTTAAATAGGTGAATTCTGTAGATTCAGTGATTATTTCTAGAAAAATGCAGTATTAAAAAAGCCCTGTTGTTTGTTCTAGTAACAAGTCTTTAAAAAGACAATTCTGCATTGATGACTGTAAGAAGAGTCTACACCATCTTCCCTAAATGTTACCTCTCCTCCAGAAAACCGATAAAAATCCACAGTGGCAATAAGCTAGTTTGTTTTCGGTTGTATTTTGTTTTACACTTACGGACAGTGCTTCTCAAGCTTTCTGTGATTAGGGGCTCTCTTGGTTCCCTGGCCCCCCAATCTTTCACAGACTTCAGTAAGACACAATAAAAATAATTATCATAAAATGAAATAAAAATACAAAGTTATGGAAAATAGAAGCCCCATTTTAAAAATTCCATGTACAGACATAACAGTTACTGTGTAAATTTGCTGTAGAAGTTTCTAAATAATAAAATGTCTCTCTCTACATACCTCATCGTGGACCAGTAACAGTTCGCAGACAGGCACCATCTGTGGCCACACTTTGAGAAACACTATTTTAGAGTGTGTATGTATCTGTGTACTCACACATTTAAGTATGTTGCCATGATCACATTATAACATAACATAAATCTTAGAACTTTATATGAGAATTAAATGCACTTAGCTCTTTAGCAAAAGTGAAATTTTTCTATAAGTATTTAAATGCTTAAATTATAAGCAAATACCAATAGCATACCTGTGAATACAGTTATGTTTCAAAACCCAGTTGTCCAGTAGTACCTCTCATGCATGAAGTAGAAAACGTTTTGCAATATGAGATGAAACCACCTCCACTCTGATTCACCTTCAAGTTTAAACAGATACTTTAGATAGGAAATGTTCTATGCAAAGTAAATACACAGATGAGAATTTTAGCACTAAACAGTAGGAAATATGTCTATCACTTGAAGTATTAGACAAACCAACTGTTACTATCATAACCTTTATTGCCCTGAAGAACAATTAATTACTGGACTGGTCATTGTGATTGACATTGACAGCCATTTTTTAAATGTTAACAAAATGAGGGGAAATGTTTCATGCAAGTAACTCCACATTCTTCATAAGTATTAACAAATCTCAAGCCGATTCTGATGTTGATAGGTCGCAGCTTGTTCATCTGTCTCTTCTGGAGACCTCATGAGACATGAGGTAAGACGGTTACCCCAAGTGGCAGGCTCCATGTCTACCTGTATACTGGCCTTGAGGGCAGCATGGCCTGCTTTGTGACAAAGTATGAGAAAGAAGTTCTGTGAAGTTTATATTCCATTTAGCCTTATTTCTTTAGGTCGAGACTTGAAATTCAAAATGGTGATCAGGTGTAGGAGGGGCTATTTAGCCTCTTGAAGGCCAGGGTGTTCATGTGGGACTCCCCACTGGGCCTGGCCAAATGCCTATGACAGTGTAGATGTGGATAAGTTATTAAAGGATTGAATGAGGTGTGATCAATCAGCTGAAGCAGTTCATTAAAAGGTAAGTGGCATTTAGAAGAGAAATTGAATAACTACAAAGCAGTTGCCTGTATATGAAGACATGAGAGTGAGTCACACTGAGGACAGGATTAGCAGGAGTCCCTGAGAGTGCTGTAGCTGGAGGCGGGGACGGTGAGGGAGCAAGCATGGGCCTGGCTTCATTCGAACCACGATCCTGGTCCGAACACCAAAAGACAGGTTTCTTGTTAAATGGTTAGAAAGTGAGATCTTTGAGGCAAAGGCTAATGAACTTGAGATTGTTCTGTTTAGACAGTAGAAGTTCTGAAAGGAGGTTGTGACGATGTCACATGATCTTGGAAAGTTGGAAGGCCCACTCCCCAGAAGGTGACAACCAGTTGATAAAATGTATTCACTAAGGCCAGAGCAAGAGAGGACACAGCCTGGCCTGTGAGCAGCAGGCAAGATGGGGCAGGAGTTCCTGGCTGCAGTTTTAAAATTCAACCCATTACCAGATTCTCAGGGTCTGAGATATGAGGTCATGGTTTCCTCAAAATATGCATGTATCTCTGGAATCACAGGAGGTAGTTTGTTAGGAAATGTCTCGAGTACCCAAACAGCAATGCTTATAATCAGAGCTAATTACTTCAAAATTAATCCAGTTGTCTTCAAACATAACTGTGTGTGGATGAAGTTGAGCCAAGGAAGAACTTAGGCTGGGACATACGCATTCCTCCCCTTGATTCTAAATGAAAAGTGGCGGCGGCTCAGTCACTGTGGTCATTTAACACAGGTGCAGTGCTTCACCACATGTCCCCAACCAGGCAGAAAGACTCCGTGCTTAATGAGGAAGGAAAAGCATTTTGAAAGCACACACAGTTCTACCCAAATTATACATGTTACCTTTCTTTAACTTGGTTCTTTTAATCCTTTAAGAAGTGCTCAAGCTGTAATCTATGACACCTGTATCTGTTTAGGTCATAGCATTGTAAGTGTTTTCTTGGGCTTTAAAAATAAATCTACGTGGGGGAGGGAAATCGAACCTGCATGATAATCTTAGGCATGCGAACACAAGCACATGAGCTGAGAAAGTCAAAATCATGGTTTCCATGGTAATTCTTAACTTGTCTGTGTCGTACACATTTCTCAAGAAATACACTCACCAGACTACCTAGTGATAAAAATTGCTCCACAGGCATACAAAGGTGGATTTTCTAACTCTCTCTTATTGTAAAAGGTCTTCCTTCCTCCCACCCCTAATTAATCCACGTGTACTTGTAAATAACCCTGGGCAGGAAACTGAGGTCCAAGTCCTGCCCTCTAAATCAGTCTCTTTTTTTATGGGAGAAATCAGCTTTCATGTGATTAATGCCATTTCCTCTCTCTCCCCTCTGCAGATATATGTTGGGTAAAGGAGGAAAACGGAAGTTTGATGAGCATGAAGATGGGCTGGAAGGCAAAATCGTGTCTCCCTGTGACGGTCCATCCAAGGTGTCTTACACCTTACAGCGCCAGACTATCTTCAACATTTCCCTTATGAAACTCTATAACCACAGGCCCCTGACAGAGCCCAGCTTGCAAAAGACCGTTTTAATTAACAACATGTTGAGGCGGATCCAGGAGGAACTCAAACAGGAAGGCAGCCTGAGGCCCATGTTCACCCCCTCCTCCCAGCCCACCACCGAGCCCAGCGACAGCTACCGAGAGGCCCCGCCGGCCTTCAGCCACCTGGCGTCCCCGTCCTCCCACCCCTGCGACCTCGGAAGCACTACGCCCCTGGAGGCCTGCCTCACCCCGGCCTCACTGCTCGAGGACGACGATGACACGTTTTGCACCTCCCAGGCCATGCAGCCCACGGCTCCCACCAAACTGTCACCTCCAGCCCTCTTGCCAGAAAAGGACAGTTTCTCCTCTGCCTTGGACGAGATCGAGGAGCTCTGTCCCACATCTACCTCCACAGAGGCGGCCACGGCTGCGACTGACAGTGTGAAAGGGACCTCCAGCGAGGCTGGCACCCAGAAACTCGACGGTCCTCAAGAGAGCCGCGCAGATGACTCAAAACTGATGGACTCTCTGCCTGGGAATTTTGAAATAACGACGTCCACGGGTTTCCTGACAGACTTGACCCTGGATGACATCCTGTTTGCTGACATTGATACGTCCATGTATGATTTTGACCCCTGCACTTCCTCATCAGGGACAGCCTCAAAAATGGCCCCTGTGTCTGCCGACGACCTCCTCAAAACTCTGGCTCCTTACAGCAGTCAGCCTGTCACCCCAAGTCAGCCTTTCAAAATGGACCTCACAGAGCTGGACCACATCATGGAGGTGCTTGTTGGGTCCTAAGACCCAGGGACCCAGCGACTATGCCCACCCAGACCCCAGAGCGTTCCCATAACCCTGACAGTTCTCCACACTGTGCATGCACCCTTGCTTGCCTTTTTCAGAGAAAAAGAAAATTTTACAACAGGATCACACTAGTTTTTGCTTTGAGCAGAGTTGGAGTGCCTTCATCCAAGTATGACCACTTTTAATACACTTTTTTGAGTGGTTCCTCAGAGACCTACTACCCTGGTATAGGAAAGAATCCATTTGAAGACAATGTTGCAATGTTGAATGACAAAAATAAACAGTTCAAGTGAAGCACAAGGATTAAGTTGGAAAAGCTGTAAATTGCATGTGCATATTTGTCTATTTTTTCTATAAGTTTTATTGCAAGAGGTAAAGAAGAAAACTATATATATATATCTTATTTAGATAATCTCAGTACCTTTTCTGGCATTTTTGCCCTGTATAGGTTGACTTGGCAATTCGGCCTTTTTAGAGGCATTAACTACTCCTCGTAAGTGTTGCATTTACATGGCTGTTTAGAAAACTGCTGCCCAAATTTATTTTATATTTTTGTACAGATTCTGCAGTTTATGATATTGTTTTTCTAAAAACAAATGCTGTTTATACATATGAGATAGCTATTTTGATAGGATTTGCTCACATAGTTCCTGCAAACTTCAGATGTACAAGTTGCACTTGTACTTTTATAGAGTTGTAATGTTTTATATGTGTATGGTGCAAGAGAAAATTGGATCAAATCAATCTGCAGTTGATGTCCCCAAATGCAAACACAGGCACACACATGCACACACCCATAAACACACACACAGTGCTTTAAGAAAGGGCCAGGTGATATCACACCCAAATTTCACAAGCACTGACCCCCTGGCACCAACACCCGCCAGTACTGTGACTTCCAAAGCCAGAGCCACATGTGCTCATCAAACTTGCATTAAGCAGTTGGCGGGAGATGGCTGTGGAGCTGGGGGTTTAAGTGATGGTTCTCTTTTGCTCCCTCTTTTGAGGGTAAAGCTACTGTCTTTCTTAAGAGTGTATTTATGCCAAGTTTGCGCTTTTAATTGTTTTTATTTTGTTTTTTAATGAAAACCCAGATCTTTCCTTTTTGGCATAATTTTTATGATGACCTGAAATTTTACATCCGAACAAAATTTTACATCCGAAAAGCAACCAACTTCTTCATGGAACTCAGCCCTGTTGCAATGCTTAGGGCCCTTAAAGAAGAAAATCTCCCCAGAAGGCATCCATCATGTTGCTTAATTGTCTTCTGCAGCTTCCTTTCCCTAGAGCTTTCCCTGTGTTGCTAAGAGCTGAAAATGGCATCTTCGTGATCACCACAGTGAGCTTGGCTCGCCTCGGCCGGCCCGGGATGCACTCTTACAACATGTGTGACTCTTGAACCTGGAGTTCATCACATTACGTCACAGCTTCCCATCTGGTTGCTTTCCTGAGTCAGCTACTTCACACTTGTCAAGGCTGTTTTACCCCAAAACTCAGACAGGACTTTCTATGCATGTTTTCCCTCCTCCCCCCAATTCCCCCCCCCATCACCTTATCTCCCAGGACACACTTGAGAAGTAGCTTTTTATTCCTAGTGGTGTACATTTAATTTTAAAAAGGTTGCAATGTATCATGCTTGTTGCCGAAACTGTTTATGGCCTTCTTGTTTCAGTTTTTTCTTTTCTTCCAATGGTACTTTAGCTGTTGAGTGCAGGTTACAACCTATATTGTTATGCAGATGGCTTCTTTAGGAATAACTTTTATATTTATTTAAAAATTTTTAAATTATGGGATGTTTTGTTGTTGTTGTTGTCTTTGTTGTTGGTCATTTGTCAATATTCAGTCACCAATTCTGCTCACTTCTTGCCATGGATAAAATTGGGTCTTTCTGGCTAATTAAAAAAGACAACTTTATAAAATGGCACTTTAAGCAAGCCATAGTTAGTTTTATTTTTGTAATGCACATGGCAAAGCAAAGACGTTTGTGATGAAGGAACTGCTCATCTAAGCAAAAGATTTGAGTATGATATGATAAAGGCTTTCTACATTCTAATTTACTTTTTCCCCCCACTTGAATGTGTTTTAAAGGCTAATTATCAGCTCAGTAGAGCAGTGAGAAACTGATCAAATTGCACTTGTTCTCCTACAAGCAACCTCCACGCAGACACCTCGTACTGCTACAGGTGTGTCATTTCCTTTAATAGGACCAGGGACCATGTAACTGAGGTGAGGGTTGTAGTAGATGCTTCCAGTGTCAGTATGCCTGTTAATTTTAAGAGCTTCCCTTTCTTGCAGAGAACAAGTCTGCCCAGATTCCATGCTTTCTATAACTGGAGGACCTGGCAAACCTGCCGCATGCTGCACACATCTACCTACGTACACATATACAATAGTATTGATGATTCTGAACAATAACAGGGTAAAACAGTTGGTTTGCCATTGTTAAAAACTGATTTACAGTAACTTACAACAACTGTACTTTTGTTGGATTAGCAAATCATGTGTTTAAACAAATCCCATATGTTGGGCAACAGTTCAAATAAGCACGGAGAAGTGTTGCCCAAACTTGGTTCTCTGACTCTTATGTATTTGTAAGGCTGGGCTTCAAAATCAAAACAAAAACCCCAAAAACAGCAGGCAAATGCTTTTTAACTCTGACACCGTTGCCATAAATCCCTGATACTCAAAGTCTAACAAGAAAGACATGGAAAATTAGCAGCCCATTTTCAGAAAGATCAAAATGATCTAGGGTTCTAATTGCTTTTGCATCCTATTCTTACAAAGTGATGTCCCAACAGGGAACAGTAGGAGCTGGAGTGGGATCTCCAAGTCCCAGTTTGAGTGTGGGATGTGCTTCCAGCAGTGCCTTCCCTTTATGAAAGACATCACATGGCATCCAGGGCCAGGCAGGCAGCTTGAGGTGCCTTTACGAGAAAACCGAGCTGGGGCTGGGAGAGGACAGTTATTGACACTGATGTGCAATGAAGTGACAAGATGAGAGCAGAATCGTAAGAGCTTTGAATTTGAAGTGAGTTTTTTTCCCCCCATAAGTTATTTATTCCTTTTTTCTGTGTAAATATATTTATTTTACTGTGGAGCGCTAACATCTGGATCGTAACATGTGCAGAATGTATGGTAGGAATGTATTCTCTTGTAGGAATGTAAATCTGTATTAAAAGGGGGTCCAAGCCAGGCCCCCAGGTCTTCTCATTGTATGCACAGTCCGCATTCATTTTTACTCTTCTCTAATATGGGTCTATTTGAAATATGCAAAAGGTATGAGGAATGTTTTAATACCTCCAAATTTTTAAGAAAAGCATCAAAGGGTTGATATTTTTTAAAGTTTTTTTAGTAGCACTTTCTCTGGATGACAGAAGGAGCAACCACATGGGCACCCTTGTTCATACCAAAGGGTGAGCAGTGGCCAGAGCCTCCTCTGCACCTCTCGAGTGTCTTTACCAATTGAGCTTTTTATCGCCATAGCCCCTTGGAGTGCCCCAGCTGCCCTGAGGTCAATCAAGGAAAATTTCTTAATGAAATAAGCTCCAAAGAGCCAAAGTATCAACTTACAGATCGTTTTTAAAGCTTAAATTTATGAACCACCTTTGTGGTAAACAATGAATTATGAATACCGCAGGGCAGCCTTCTTAAATGACAAATGTAAAAAAAAAAAAAAAAAAGACTCTACTTCGTGCAGCAATTGCTACTCTATACGAATTGTCTTAATTTGAAAACCTTGCTGTTACAAATTGGACCTTTATACATTTTCTGAAAACAATGAAAAGAGTATATTTAACCTTTTCTGGCTGTAAATGGTTACCTTCCTGTAACTGCCCCGCACCTGGAGGCATGGAGTTGTGTGCATCCTGCTTATGTACAATTGTTTTCAGTGTTTCTAAGAATGAGTCTGAATGGTTCTTGAAAATTAGCCAGGATCAAATGCTATTGCAGACAAAGCCAATAAAAAGTTGGACTTCTTTTGGGGATAACAAGTTTTGGAAGAGAAATGCAGGCCATATGTGCGCATGACCGAGATTTTGAAAAAAGATGTACATAGTGACATGTTTGGTGCATGGTTTTTGAGGAGGGCTTTTGTCAAAAAGGAGGTATAACCTTTCCCCCACAGACCTGAGAGCTGTGCCTTTTCTATGCAATATTACAGACGTTACATCGGAACCCAGATGGCTGTATTCACATGTAGGTTTGGGCTGTAATCTAAACAATTGGACAGATTAAATGTACATGGAAATGAGCAGTCTTACTTTTGTAGTTTTATATTATACAATAAACAGTTAAAAGATGAGAGAGGCATGCTTGCAGTTTTCTTTTGATGGGAGCTCAATCAGCTTATTTGTGACAGTTTGCTCACATTAAGCAAAGTCCAGCAAGAGAGAGCAGCAGGGGGGCCCCGAAGGAGTGCGTGCTGTTGGTCTTCCTGAACCGTCCTGGTCTCAGGAACCACCCTTCTCTCCTGGTTCTCCTCCTGCTTCTTGGACCCTTCTGGACCTCCTTTTTCTCACATCTGTGCCCCAGCTCTCTTTAAAACATTGTCTTTTCCAGGGTTTGGCCCATGACTGCACTTCACTGAGCCTCCATTCCTGCTGCCTCTTGCTTTCCCAAGGTGATCTAATCCACTCAGGACTCTCAAAACTGGTCTCCAGCCCCTGCCTCTCTCCTGAGCTCCAGACTTCAGTATCTACCAAGATTTGCTCCCTCACTCTCAGCGCGTCTAAAGAGCTCTCGTTTCCCCTGGGGGCTGATTCTTCTGTGGGCTCGTTGTCTTCAGCACTCTGCTCCACGCTTGGCTCAGTTGCCCACCCTTGCACCCTGTTCCGCAGTCCCAGCCATGTCATTCCCTCTGCCACCACCTCTCCATCCTCACCATAGCGTCCCCAGCTCGGACCCTTTCTCTCTCCTTGCCTCTGACCGCCGTACCTGTTTCCTGACTAGTCTTCCTGCTGTGATCGTCTCTCTACCATCCCTGATGCTGGAGTTGACATTCTAAAATGCCAGTGGGTCACGTGGTTGTTGCACGTCCTCCAGGTGTACCCACTGATTATACCATCTGGACCCTGCCCCTGCTGTCTTCCAGTGGGGAGTGGGGGAGACCCTGTGCAACCTCCTTGGCCACTGGGCTGTCTTGGATGGAGTCATGGGATCTGGCCTCACCTGGCCTAGGCAGTTTTTTATTTTGGTGTGGTTGGGCCACCACACCACTGGCAAGGGAAAAGGGATGGATGTGTGAGACCTGGGAAGTGAAGGTTCAGCTCAATCAGCAGTGGAATGTGAGGTGGGGTGTGAAGTGCTGGGGAGGTGTTAGGGGCTGAATTGTTTCCCCCAAAAAGGTAGGTTTCAGTACCTCAGAATGTGACTTTAATTTGGAAGTGGGGTCTTTATAGAGGTAATTAGGTTAAAATGAGGTTATTAGTGTGGGCCCTAATTCAGTGGCTAATGTCCTTATAAAAAGATATTTGAACACATACATGCATACATGGAGAAGGCCATGTGACAGTGAAGGCAGAGACTGGGGCGGTGGATCTACAAACCAAGGAGTGCCAAAGATACCAGCAAACCACCAGAAGGCAGGAGAGAGGCATGGGACAGACACTTTCTTACGGCCCTCAAAGCAACCAAGCCTGCTAGCACCTCAATCCTGGACTTCTAGCTCTAGAAAAATAAATTTCTGTTGTTCCAGCCACCCAGTCTGGGACACTTTGTTTCAGCAGCCCTAGCACACTGATGCAGGGGTAGAAGAACAGGGCGAGCACTTTCCAGACACCCGGCGGAGATAAGCACCAGGCAACTAGGACGGAGGGTCCGTTGTTCAGTAGAGTGGTTTGTATCTGGAATTAGGAGCTTCTGCTATTAATTAATGATAAAACTTTGGCAAATCATTCAATCTCTGTATTTATGAGGATGAGATAAAGCGTGGCTCCCAGAGCTCTTTGAAAATGTTGACAGTACAATGAAAATGCAAATTATGAATGTCGTATCTGTCCTCATGCCTAGAGCTGTGCCCAGCATATGGTAGGCACTCAAAATGTTTGTTGAATGAAAAGAAGAAAAAACAATCTTGTAGTTCATCTTTCTTTATAGAATGAGAGAAGCCCAGCACTCAACATCTTTCTTGTCTGGGTCCTGGGTTCACACCACACTCGCCCTCAGGATGTGCTGCTTTGCCAGCACGCACCAGCAGCCTGCCTCCACGTGTCCTTGCTTGCACCTGCCCCTTCTGCTTGTGGAAATTCTGCCCATCATTCCAAGGCCAAACTCAAATGCCTGTCCATGAAACCTCTGCATGCCTGGAGTCAAAACCAGCCTTTTCCTCTTCTGGGCTTTCCCAGAGCTCCATGCCTCCGCAAATGCACTTAGCAAGTCCTGCCGCGTCTTCGGATTAGCTGTGCAGTTTGTTGTCTCTGTACTCCCTGTATCCTTAAGAGCAGCAACCCTGTGTTGTTTATCTTTGACAGAGGTTGGCAAACTGCAGCTTACAGGCCAGATCCTGTCCACTGCCTGCTTTTGTAAGAAAAGCATTGCTGGAACCTGGCCACGCTCGTGTATCTGTGTGTTGCCCTGTCTGCTGTCTTACTACGATGGCAGAGTTGAGTAGTTGCAAAAAGACCACATGGCCCTCAAAGTCTGAACTATTTGCTATTTGGCCCTTTACAGAAAAAGTTTGCCAAATCCTGATCTTTGCAACTCTCCCAATACTGAGAACAGCGTCTGACCATAGATGGGATAGGCTCAGGGCTACATAGACTGGGGACACACACCCCTGGAAAGATGAATACGGTACAGGCGTCAGGGGAGTCCTAAGGGTGCAGAATGCTGGAGGTGGGGTTTCGAGGGCCAGACGGGGCAGAGTAGTCTGGAAAGTTACACAAGAGTGGACATATTCAGAGAGCTTAAGACTTGGGAGGGGCCATAGAGCTAGATCTTCCCACCAAAGGGGCCTTTTTGACAGATGTGCAAACTGAGGCCCAGAGAGGGAAAAGGATTATTGTCTGGGGCAAAATAGTTTATAGCATCAGAGTTCAGTTTGGCTCTGCTACCAGATCTCCCAAGCTTGAATCCTGGCACCTACAATCTTGGGCAAGTTCCTGAGCCTCTCTGTGCCTCAGCTTTCTTAGCTATAAAACGGGGGAAATAATTGAGCTTGTCTCAGGGCATGGTGGGGATCAAATGAGTCAATGTGAAGCACGCTCGAGCATTTCTAGGGCACTGGAAAGTCCACAAATGTCAGTACAGCTAACATGATGGCAGACAAGGCTAAAATCCAGCTCTCCACTCTCAGCGCGGTGTTTTAGGTTAAGCCTCAAAGCACAACTGGGGTATCTTAATGCTGGAGGCATGTTTGCTGGGCAGAACCAAGATTTCCTAATACCTTGCATGTTGTGGTGGTCGGCCACTTACAGAGAACACTGTGCTCTGTGCTTGCATGGCAATATGTGGTCCCAGAATCTCTATTGCCTCTTCCATCTTCGTTTTAATGCCCTTTTGTTCCCCTTGGAGAGGAATATTTGACTGAATCAGGAGTAATAGTTTCCAGGGTTACCACTTACTGAGCACTCACATGTGCCAGACACTGCTATATACTGGTGTGTGTGAGCTCATGAACTCTTTCCAGCACTTTGAGCTTTATCTTACTACCCCCACTTTACAGAAGTGGCAGCCGGCTCAGAGAGGTTAAGCAGCTTGCCAAAGGTCACACAGCTGGCAAGTGGGTAGAGCTGGGATTGGGCCTCTCTGACTCTTAGAACACCTTCCAGCACATGTCTTGTCTTCAGCCTCGAAGCTGAGCAAGGTGTTCGAATCCGATCGTTACCTCTATAACTTCCCTGAACCTTGGACCTCTCTTCTTCATGGGGTGTGGATTTCTCCTGGCACGTGCACAGCATTGCCCTGAGGAACAAGAGGAGGAAGATCTCCTACTGGGGCCAGCAGTAGACCAGGAGTTAGGATAGCTCTCCAGGGCTGAATGCCCCGTCAGTTCTCTTGTCCTGGCTCTGTGTGACCTTGGGCCAGTCACTTCCCCTCTCTGGGACTCAGGAGCAAAAGACAGAAGCAAGACATACATGCCTTCTGCAAGCTCTGGACTATGCTTCTCCCTACAGCACATTGGAAGCATGGAGGTCTCCGCCAGCATCCCTGGACATGCCATCCAGGCCTCGAGGATTTTACAAAAGCTCTCGGGTGGGAGGCGAGCGCTGTTCTATGGTGCCAGCCTTCGAGGCTTCTGGATAGTGCGGCCGTGTACATGATCCTGGAGACACACATGCCCGCATTGTCCTTGGAACTGGAACTGGGAAACCCCACCACAGCAGGCTGGCTGCCCCAGCCCCACAGCCCGCCAGGCGGCCTCCCTCCCTCCCTCCCCTCTCAGGCAGGGCAGCTAAGCTGCCAGCTGCTAGCAAGGCCTATTGTTCAGCAGTGACAAGAAATGGCTGCAGAGCACAGCACCCTCCTGGAGAGAGGCTGGAGGCGGAAGGGGGAGGGTGGGGTGAGCTGGGGAAATGTCCCTGACACCGGCTTCCCTGGGGCGCTGGCCTGCGTGCCCAGGAGGAGTCAGGGACAAACACATCGCTTGTGCGGGGTCTGTCCCCTCCTTCCTTAGGGCCTCACAGACTTCTTTTTCATTTGTCTTCTCGGGACGTGATGATGGGTGGAAGTGTGTGGCCGTGTTTTCGTGGGTCAATGTAGGGAGTCAGGCCTCCTCTAGAAAAAGATTTATGGTCACTTACTTCCCAGCTGATGGCCTGCAAGTAGTGCCAGGTGGCCAAGTGCGTTTGAAAGAGGCTGCTCCTGTCAGTCCAGCCCATGCTCTGAGTGGAATGCACTCCCTGGGCCTGGAGAGGCTCCCGTGGAGCTGAGGGGCCTGACGTTTGTGGGTAGCTTCATGGCGTCTGAGCGCCTCACACACATTTGCTTTTTTTTTTTTTGAGACGAAGTCTCGCTCTGTAACCCAGGCTGGAGTGCAGTGGTGTGATCTTGGTTCACTGCAACCTCCGCCTCCCGGGTCCTGGTTCAAGCAATTCTCCTGCCTCAGCCTCCTGAGTAGCTGAGATTACAGGCATGTACCACCATGCCCAGCTAATTTTTGTATTTTTAGTAGAGACGGGGTTTTACCATGTTGGCCAGGCTGGTCTTGAACTCTTGACCTCGTGATCCGCCCAACTCAGCCTCCCAAAGTGCTAGGATTACAGGCTTGAGCCACCGTGCCTGGCCCATTTGCTTTCTTTGATTCTCATGGCAGTTCTGGAGGAGGTGGCAGGGGAGGGAGGCTCTGCAGACGTGGGGACACTGAGGAGCAGAGGGCATGGGCCACTGAGTACAGAAGTGGCACAGACAGAAGAGCAGGTCCCAGACCCAGGCCCCTCCCTTTATCACCCTCAGGTGGCGGCTTTCGGGCTTAGAAAAAACAGCCAGAAATTTACGAAAAAATCAAGGTCTATAAGTGAGCCATGGAGCCAGAAGCCACATATTCTGTTGGGGCTTTGTAACAGGGGCAGGGTGGGAACTGAAACCATTCTGAGCTTTGATTCTGTCCTTTCTGTCCCTGATACCACCTCTCCTCCCGCTGCCCCAAACACACACACACTCAGCCATAGTGGAGGGGAAGAAGTGATGCAGCTACAGGTGGCCACTGTCTTCCTCAAACATTCCACCTAAGACAGAGTTAGGCACTTCCTGTGTTTCTTCTGCTTTTTTTTTGTTTTTGTTTTTGTTTTTGAGACAGGGTCTCATTCTGTCACCTAATGGCACGATCATAGCTCACTATAGCCTCTAACTCCTGACCTCAGCCATCCTCCCACCTCAGCCTCCCAAAGTGCTAGGACTACAGGCATGAACCACAGCACCCAGCCAGCACTTGCATTAATACAGCTTTGAGACAAACCCTGGGTCCCCTTCCAACCAGACTCTGCCTCTAAGCCTTGCCAATGCAGAAATTCTAGGGCCCCCATGCTCACTGGCATACATGCTGTCTCCCCACAACCGCCCCATCCTCTCTCTCCTTCCTCTCTCCCTGTCTCCCAGTCTCTCTCCCGCTCCTGCCCTCCATCTCTGACTCTGTGTCTCTGGCTCTTACTCCCATCCTCTCCCTTGCAGTGTCTGTCTCTGTCTCTCTTCTGCATTATTACTTGAAAGCAAGCTTTGCTGTGGCAGAGCAGCTGAGTCTGACCTTGGGACCTGGATAACACGGCCAGCCCCCTGCCCTCTTGAGGTCTGGGTTTTCTGGGTCTGACGTGCTGGGCTCCAACTTCTGGGCTTTGAGGCAGGTCTGGTGGGGTTGGGTAGCTCCAGGGCTCAGGTTCATTGAGGTCTGGGGTCCTCAGAGTCACCACAAGAGGGCCCCAGGACCCTTTGGGATGGAGGGGGGTGTCCAGGGCCTCAGTACTGCCCCGAGTACCTGGCTTCCCCATTTGGGGCTGCCTAGCTTGCAGGCTATGAGGTCATTGGGGTTAGAAGTTTTCTATCTCTGTTTTCTGAGTTGCCCAAGAAGCTCTGATTGGACCGTGTGCTGCAGGCATGGAAGGAGATTCTAGGCAGAGAGGCTGCCTGGGCTGGCTGAACCAGTGGGGTGCTGGGCCCTGGGGAAGGTGGGCTCTGAGGAGGCGTCCACTGCCTGGGAGGAGGATGGAAGCCGGTGGTACCAGCAGGGGTGGACAACAGAGTCTGTTTTTTTTTTTTGTTTTTTTTTTTTTTTTAAAGAGAGGGGGTCTCACCGCATTGCCCAGTCTGATCTTGACCTGCTGAACTCAAGCATTCCTCCTGCCTCAGCCTCCTGAGTCGCTGGGATTATAGGCGCCCTCCACTGCACTTCCACTGTCCCCTCTGCCCAGCTGAAAGGCAGCAGAGTCTTCAGTCATTTGTTCTAAGTGGTCTGTAAACAGACTGTGTGGCATGGGCAGGGGCTGCTTGGGGCCCCAAGTGAAGGCTGCGAGCCTGTGCTCAGGGAGATGGGGCCGGGGAGACCACCGGTGGAAAGCTCTTTGCCTTTACAGAAAGTGTGGGCTCTGGGCAGGGCCTTCTCTGGTCTCCCTTTCACAGATCCAAAAAGGGAAACTAAGGCCCTGAAAGGTTAGGCAAATTGTGCAAGGCAGCTGGAACCTGGGAGCTGGGGTCTGAGTGTGCCTGTGGGACTCTGCTCTGCCCTGCTGGACACATTTCCCCGCTGTCCTGGGGACCCGGGCCTCACTGTGGGTTATCGTGGAGATGCCACTATGCAGAAGGCTTAGACATGATCCCTGGCTTTCTCAAGGCTGGCCCAGAGGGGAATCAGGAACCAGGAATACTCTCTGGTCCCCAAACCCTAGTAGTCTGCTACTGTGGCCTGCCAGGCCCCTCAGCTTGGCTACAGGGAAGACAAGATGGTTAAGAGAGGATCTTTGGAAGAGAAAAGGGCTCACTCACACTCACTGAGGCCTATCCCCATGGGTCAAAACAGGCCAGAGGATAGAAAGAACTTGTCTGATGGCCGGTAGCCTCAGGAAGACTGGCTGGGGAGGCTGTGGGTCAGGAGCCCTGTGGCCCATTAGCTCATTTGCCGCTGCGCCCATCACAGCAGATGCACTACCACTTACCTAACTCATAACGCCCTTGGAGCCATTCTTGCCTTTCCCCTTTCCCACCCACACACACCCCATCAGCAATCCTGGTTTATTCTGCCTTCTGAATAGATGCAGGATCCACTGGCATCTCACCATCCCCACTGCCAGTCACCTCTCACCAGGATGATCACCACAGCCTCTGCACTGGCCTCCCTGCTCCCATCGTCGTTTGGATGTCTGTTCTCAAGACAGCACCCAGAGTGATCCTTTAGAAAATGAGTTAGCCGGCCAGGCGCGCTGGATCACTCCTGTAATCCCAGCACTTTGGGAGGCTGAGGCAGGTGGATCGCTTGAGGTGAGGAGTTCGAGACCAGCCTGGCCAACATGGTGAAACCCTGTCTCTACTAAAGATACAAAAATTAGCCAGGCATGGTGGAGAGCGCCTGTAATCCCAGCTACTCGGGAGGCTGAGGCAGGAGAATAGCTTGAACCCAGGAGGCAGAGGTTGCAGTAAGCCGAGATCATGCCACTGCTCTCCATCCTGGGCCACAGAGCGAGACTCCACCTCAAGGAAAAAAAGAAAAAAAAATGAGTTAGCTGTGTGCTTCCAAATAGGAGCACCTGGGGATTTGTGAGGATGCAGAGTCTAATCAGCAGGTCTGGGAGGGGACCAAGAGCCTGTGTGTTTAACAAGCTCTGCGTGTCTGGCGGTGCTGGCCCAGCATCAGGTTATGCTCCCTCTGTGTTCCAAGCACTCCATGGGCTTTTTTGGAGTAAAATCCAAAGTTCTTCTCCTGGCCTCTGTGGCCTCAGCTGCTCGTCCAATCCCACCGCTCCCCTCTCCCCTACTCTTTGTTCCAGCCCCACCAATCTTCTTGCTGTTCCTCAAGCACACTTAGCACGTTCTTGCCTCTTGGCCTTTGCACACACTGTTCCTTCTGCCTGGCACCCTCTCCCTTCTCCCAGGCTGCCTCCCAGGCCTTTCCCGACCGCCCTGCCTAAGGTAGCAGCCTGTCACTCAGTAGCCCTTTCCTCGCCTTCTTTTTCTTCACAGCACGCATCACTTCCTCGCAGTACACCTCTCCGTGTTTATTTGATGATCGTGTCTCCCTCACTGAATTGCAGAGTCTGGGAGGGCTGGAATGTGTGTGTATGTGTGTGGCTCTTTCCCTAGCCTGGCACAGGGCAGACCCTCAGTACTGCCTGCTGAGGAAATGCAAGATCCCGTTACATGCTGGGGCTCCAGGACCGACACAGCAGATCCGGTGCCTGGCCTCTGCGTCATCTACAGCCTTGTTCCCCAGCAGGAGGACAGGCGTGGGGCTGATGAGCGGGAATAGTCATGGTGGATACTTCCTGACCGCTTCCTGTGTCTGCCCTATGCTGAGGGTTTTCTGTGAATTATCTTGTTTAATCTTCATTACAGCCCAGCTAGGTAGGCACTGCCATCATCGCTACCCCTCACTGGAGGGTGGCCTCCTGCTTGCTGTCCCACAGCTCTTCAGGGCTCCCCTGTCTGCCCTGGGATCAGTGGCCTGACCTCCTTGCCCTATCCTGTCCCGAGCCAAGGCACAGGCAACCTGCAGGGAGGAGAAGCATCTAGCGCTCCCCCCTCCACTCCCCTGAGGCTGGGGCGCCACAGCTGTCCCTGGGCAGTGCACTAATCTGGCATCCCACCCAGGGACACTGGAGAGGGTTGGGAGGGCAGGAAGGGGATGTGGAGTACGGATGGCACCCCTGCAGGGAGAAGGTCTGGCAACATCATCCCAGGCCAGGTCATGGATTGAGATGATTTGTGTGCTAGTGTTGGGAGAGATTTTTCCCTTTCCCAGCTGAAGAAATGTTGTGCTCTCGCCTGGCCCCAAGTGGTGCTTTGGGCTCCCTCATGAGCATTCCAGGCCTTTGGCTGGGGAGAAGGGAGAGTTTGCTGGCAGCTGGTGCTGAGGGAGAGGGGTTGCCTCGCTTTGCCCTGAAGGAGATGGAACTAGGCAGCAGTTTTTTTTTTAATTATTTTTTAAATGTTTATTAATAGGCTTTTAAGAAAGAGCATCTTTAGGTTTACAGAAATTTTTTTTTAAGTACAGAATTCTCATATACCCCTTCCCCCAACCCCTCAAGTTTCCTCTGTTATGATTATTTTCATTTGTTTGTTTGTTTTGAGATGGAGTCTTGCTCTGTCACCCAGGCTGGAGTGCAATGGCACTATCTCTGTTCACTGCGACCTCCGCCTCCTGGGTTCAAGTGATTCTCCTGCCTCAGCCTCCCAAGTAGCTGGGATTACAGATGTGCACTACCGTGCCTGGCTAATTTTTTGTATTTTTAGTAGAGACGGGGTTTCACCATGTTGGCCAGGTTGGTCTCAAACTCCTGGCCTTGTGATCCGCCTGCCTGGATCGGCCTCCCAAAGTGCTGGGATTACAGGCGTGAGCCACACTGCCCGGCCCCTAGTTTCCTCTGTTATTAACATTTTGTATTCATGTGTTACATTTGTTACAAGTGATGAGCTAATACTGATACATTATTATTATTGTTGTTGTTATTATTTTGAGACAAGGTCTCACTCTGTTGCCCAGGCTGGAGTGCAGTGGCATGATCACGGCTCACTGCAGCCTCCGTCCCCAGGTTCAAGTGATCCTCCAGCATCTTGATTAGCTGGGACTACAGGTGCTCATGACCACGCCTGGCTAATTTTTCTTATTTTTTGTAAAGCTGAGGGCTTGCTCTGTTGCCCATGCTGGCCTTGAACTCCTGGGCTCAAACTAGCCTCCTGGCTTGGCCTCCCAAAGTGCTTCATGTATTATTATTATTAGCTGAAGTTTATAGTTTATATCAGAGTTCACTTTTAGTGTTGTGAGTGCTGTGGGTTTTGACAAATGTATAATGGCTACCATTATTATAGTGTCATCCAGAGTAGTTTCACTGCTCTAAATATCCCGTGTTCCCACAATTCATCCCTCGCCCCTCCCCAGGAACCCGGGCAACCTCTGATCTTTTCACTGTCTCCACAAGTTTGCCTTTTCCAGAATGTCATATACTGGAATCATATAGTATATAGCCTTTTCAGACTGGCTTCTTTCACTTAGCATTACACATTTAAGGTTCCTTCATGACTTGATAGCTTGATCGTTTTTTAACCGTGAATAATATTTCATTGTCTGGGTGAACCACTATTTATTTAACCTTTACCTGCTGAAGGATATCTTGGTTCAAGTTTTTGCAATTTTTTGAATAAAGGTGCTATAAACATTTATGTGCAGGGGGGACATAAGTTTTCAGTTCATTTGGGTAAATTCCTGAGGGTGATCGCTGGATTATATGTAAGAGTATGTTCAGCTTTGCAAGAAACTCCCAAACTGCCTTCCAATGTGTGTGTATCATTTTGCATTCCCACCAGCAATGAATGAGAATTCTATTGCTCTTCAGCCACTTCAGCATTTGGTGTTGCCAGTGTTTGGGACTTTAGCCATTATAATAGGTGTGTAGTGGTATCTCATTGTTATTCTAATTTGCAACTCCCTAATGACATATTATGTTGAGCATCTTTTCATGTGTTTATTTGCCATCTGTATGCCTTTGGTGAGATGTCTGTTCCGATCTTTGCTCATTTTTAATTGAATTGTTTTCTTATTGTCGAAGGGTTCTTTGTGTACTTTGGATAGCAGTCCTTTATCAGATACGTGTTCTGCTAATATTTTCTCCTAGTCTGTGGCTCGTCTTTTCGTTCTCTCAACAATGTCTTTGGCAGAGAAGTTTTTAATTTTAATGAAACTCAATTTGTCATTTTTTTCTTTTATGTATCATACTTTTGGTGTTGTATTTAAAATGTCATCACCAAATCCAAGGTCACCTAGATTTTCTTCTGTGTTATCTTCTAGAATTTTTATAGTTTTGCTTTTATATTTAGATCTAGAATCTATTTTGAATTTTTTTTTAGGGGTGGAGTCTCACTCTGTGGCCCAGGCTAGAGCACAGTGGTGCAGTCATAACTCACTGCAACCTCGACCTACTGGGCACAAGCAATCCTCTCACCAAGTAACTGGGACTGCAGGTGATCACAACAGCTTTTACAGTACATCTTGAAATGGGGTAGCGTCAGCCCTCTGACTTTGTTTTCTCCTTCAATATTGTGTTAACTGTTCTAGTCTTTTGCCTCTCTACATAAACTTAAGAATTGCTTTGCCAGTTCCACAAAAGAGACAACTGGGAGTTGATTATGATTATATTGAATCTATAGATCAAGCTGGAAAGAACCGATATCTGAACAATATTGAGTCTCACCATCCACGAACATGGAATATCTCTCTATTTATTTAGATCTTTGATTTATTTTACCAGCATTTTATTGTTTTACTCATATAGATTTTGTACATGTTTTGTTAGATTTATACTAGAGTATTTCTTATTTTGAGGTGCTAATGTAAATGGTATTGTCTTTAATTTCAAATTGTAAAACATTCAACATTTTAACATTCCAAACATGAATCAGTTCACAATCTGACCCTCGAAATTTATTTTTCCCACTGAACTTAGACTCTCAACTCCTTCTCTAGCCAGACCTGCCCTCTGAGCTCACTTTTTCCTATGTGTCCCTCACTCAGTGCCCTGTCATTGCACCACCTTTTCTGAGCTGAGACTGCCACTCCAATCTCAGTCCTGCCTCCATTCCTTTGCATTAAATATGCTCAGCACCTCTATCTCTGTATTACGTTGAGCTCTCTGAAATTACTGTTTTTAGACCAAAAAGGGTTAAATATCTAGACTAGATGAGATTCTACTATGTCTCACTCCTTCTCATCCTCCAGTTCTCAGCTGAAATGCTCTCTCCTCAGAGTAGCCTTCTCTGACCACTCATCCCAGCCAGACATATCAGTCTGTTCTTCTCCAGCATTTGTCACTATCTAAAGCAAGGGTGTCTAATCTTTTGGCTTCCCTGGGCCACATGGGAAGAAGGAGAATTGTCTTGGGCCACACATAAAATACACTAATACTAATGATAACTGATGAGCTAAAAAAAAAAAAAAAAAGGAAAAAAAAACTGCTAAAAAAACTCATAATGTTTGGCCAGGCATGGTGGCTCATGCCTATAATTACAGCAATTTGGGAGGCCAAGGTGGGCAGATCGCCTGAGGTCAGGAGTTCGAGACCAGCCTCGCCAACATGGTGAAACCCCGTCTCTACTAAAAATACAAAAAATTAACTGGGTGTGGTGGCACATGCCTGTAATCCCAACTACTCAGGAAGCTGAGGCAGGACAATAACTTGAACCTGGGAGGCGGAGGCTGCAGTGAGCCGAGACCATGCCACTCCACTCCAGCCTGGGTGACAGAGCAAGACTCTGTCTCAGGAAAAAAAAAATCTCATAATGTTTTAAGAAAGTTTACAGATTTGTGCTGGGCTGCATTCAAAGCTGTCCTGGGCTGCACGTGGCCTGCAGGCCACAGGTTGGACAAACTTGATCTAAAGCTATCCCATTTATTCATTTGCTTCCTTGTTTCTTACTGTTTTTCCTCCTCTAGCATATAAACCTCCTGATACCAGGGGTCTTGTCTTGATCAACAAGCCCCTCAGAGACCAGCTGGTCTGGAGACCCCAGATACTTGTCCCACCCTAGGGAAGGGGAAGCACCCCTTCACCCCAAACTTGACTGATGTCATATTTCCAATGAGCTCTGTGTTTAGGAATGAAGCCTAATTTACCTGACATAGAACAATAGGGAAACATGATATTTCTGTCCCTAAATATTGAGGACCAAATTTGTAATTCCGTGATTGTGTGGTTGAATAGTAGCATGGATTGTTCAAATAAGGGATTCTGTTGGATGCAGAGGGGCTGAGTGAGAATGAGCTCTGGCCCAGAGACACCCATTTGTTTCCTTGGCTACCACCTCCTCCAGCCTGTTCTATGCCCAATAACAGAACAGGCTTCCTTACACCCATGGTGCTTCTCCAGCTCTGACTCTGATCTACAACTTCAGTGGCTCCCTATTGCCACAGGAAATATTCATTCCCCTTCCCATACCTTCAAGGCCCTGCTCTCTCCTGCCCCACTGACCCCTCCTGGAGTCGCTGCAAAGAAGTCCCCTTCTTTCCCCTCTGTCCATCCTTTGGAGCTCAGATTAAGCCCCAGCTCCTCCAGGAACATTCCCCATCCTCCTGCAGTATGCCCCCGTGTGCCTCCTGTCAGTGTCCCAGTTAGTCCGCTCAGCTCTCAGGGTTTCTTTGAGAATGTCTGGGGCCTGTTTTAGAGCTCAGGCTCTGGAAGAACAGGAACTGAGTCCAGAGACTGCGCACCAGCTTGTGAGTGTGACTTGTTGAAGTCAAAGGAAGAGAGGCTGACAGGCCTCCCAGCCAGAGAAGAACTTTGTAGAGGAAGTCTCTCCTTCGTGGGGACCAGACTCCCAAGAACATACCAGCTCAGAGAAGTCGGGTGTGGTGCCCTCGAGGGGAATCCATGCAGCAGTTCCTCCCCAGCTTCCTCCCCTCCCCACCCTCAAGTGCGGAGCCAGAACCCAGCTGACTCAAGTGGCAAGAAAAAAATGCCCCCTCCCCACCCCCCCGCCAAGCTGCTGCACATCTGTGCCCAGACAAAGCCAGCTATTAATCCTTGCCTTTGTGTGAGTGTTTGGGTGTTGAATTCCACTTGGATCTGCTGCCTTTTGGAAGGGGAGATTGGAGGGGATTTAGTGAAGACAAAAGGAACCCACTATGGGGAATGGTGGGGGGGGCAGGGGAGCTAAGAAACCCAAGCGCATTCACTCTTAGCCTGGTGAGGGTCCTGGGAGCCCAACTTTAGCTAGAGCTGAGTGGGGCACCTGAATTCCCAGGGTCTGAGTCCCGAAAAGGGGCCACTCCCCGGAATAAAAATACCTGTTTCTCAGGGCCTGACAGCAGCTCAGCTTGCCTTTCACTCCAGATGCTGCCCAGGGCAGTGGCCCCAGCCTAACAGGGCCTGACCCTTTCAGACTGGAGAAGCCCATTGCCCAGGTGAGTCCAAGGGGGACAAGACAGGAGGAAATAGGGACTAGGAAGGAGTCTGGAGCCTCAGAGACTGAGTCCAGATGGAGAGAGAATCTCAAAGCCACCAGAAATCCCCAGCTGAGTCAACAACACAGCAATAAAGCCAGAGGGCCTGTGGCAATGTGGCTGCTCAAGGCCTGGGTTGGGCTCTCGGGAAGAGTTCTTGGGTACCTGGTCAGGCAAAAGTTAAGTGTTCAGGGAAAACAGTCCACACAAATTCTATCTTTGGCTCAAGCATCAAACACATAGAATAGCCCAGAACAGGATGACAGTGTGTGTGTGTGTGTGTGTGTGTGTGTGTGTGTGTGTGTGTGTGTACAGGGTCTTAGAATGGTGGGCAAGTCTGTGGGCAGCACCGCCCCAGCAGGTGTTGTTTGATTAACTTACTTAGCAGAAGCTCTGGTCTAGTTACCAGATTGCTAGGAGAGCAGGCTGGGGTATGAATTGAAACACCCTGATCTGCCCCTCCTACTTTGTTAATTTCATTTAGAAAATGAGATTTCCCCATCTGTGGGTGCTTGATTCTAAAGCTCACCGAGCTGTCAAGTTATACCAAGTACAAGTGACTTCAACTCTATGTGGGTGCGGAGACACACCCCCCAAAGCTTCCTCCCCGTTTTCCCCGTTATCTGAAATGTGTGGTCATGTCATGTCATTCATTCATTAAACAGTTGGCCAAACTACTGCACTGCAGGGCCCAGTTCTGGTTTAGCTGCTGGGCAGCAAATGCAAAATGTGGTTGCCTATTGACACTTGTATTCAACTAAGCTTCTGGGCTTGTTTAACTGTGTTCTAAATGGTGTTTGTACATCCACAGCTATTTTATTCTTTCTCTACCTTAACTCTAAAAATAAAAGAGTAAAGTAGAGGCATTCATTCATTCATGTATCCATTCCTTCAGGAGAGGAGAAGGCAAGGCTGGCTCCAGTCTTCTCCAAACTCTTTCTTGGTCTTTGGGGAAGGGAACTTAGGACTTACAGGTGCTCCACCTGCTGTTGTAAAGGTGCCCTCCTCCCATCACAGTTTCTGAGGACCTGGTCCCAGGCAACCCCACTCTGGAGGGCAAGGGAAGAATAGGAGGGGCCAGTTCCTGCCCCAGGGACTGTGGCCTCCTCTGAGTTAGGAAATGGGCCCAGCTTCTCCAGCTTCCAGATGGGGCTTTTTAGAAGCTCATACAGCCACTTCTGTTCCCGATGTTGTCTGAGGGCCTCTGACTGTTGCTGAGCCACCTCTGTGTGTCTGGGTGGCAGGCCCACTGCTGCGCTGACCAGAGAGCTCTGCACCTAGTGTAGACCCTGCTCTGCACTAAGGAGCCAGAGACCTTGCGGACAGCTTCCCCTCCGGGCTGGCACAGAGAGTCTTGGAGGCATGGAGATGGTCATGGGGATTGAGAGAATTGGTGAGGGTGGTGGTTTAGAATCCCCAAGTCCCACATTGTTGTAACGCACAGAGGGCGACCAACAGTGGCAAGATGAGTTCAGTGCCTTGGGCGTCTCTGCCCTGACACCACAAGTGGACTGTGATAAATGGAATTGGGGTGGGAGGAAGGGTCAAGAGGGGGGCAACAGGACATTATGGGATGGTGTGACAGGGCAAATGGGGAAGAAGCTGGGGTCAGAAACCCTAATCAAGTAACAGGTCCAGGCACGGAGTCCATACCTTCATTCTGGAGTCCGTGGCTCTGGGGCTTGGCTTCACTCTCCACCTACCCTCTGAGGATGGCTGCAGGTGGGCTTGCTACCATCACAGCCCTTGGGTAGGTAAGGGTCTAGCTTCCCAAATTAAACGCAGTCAGGGTGGCATTTACTGAGTGTTACGTGCCAGGCAATGTGCTAAGCCCTTGACATTGTACCATCTCAGTAAAGCCTCATAACCACCCACGAGGTCAATACTGCTATTACTCCCATTTGATAGCTGTGCACACAGAAGCTTAGAGAAGTCAAGGGCCTGAACTAAAGTCACATGGCTACACAGAGCTGGGGCCAGGACTTTGGAACCCAGGCTGCTCTCTACTCAGTTGAAGCTCTCTCAGACCTCTAGATCTTCATCTTCCTCCCCAGCTCCACCTCCTTCAGCCTTTCACAGCCCAGCAGCGTGGAGAAGGCCTGGAAGAGGAGGGAAAAGAAGTCCAGTTTGAGGCTATATTTTGGCTCCTTGGTCAAAGGTGGGGTGTGGAAATGAGGGTGGAGAGTCTGGGGATTTTCTGGAGATTTCACTGCACCAAGATGTTGACTGTCTCCTCCCAGAGGAAAACAGATGAGCAAACTGCTCATTTTTTTAAATTAAATTTTTAAATTTTCATTAATTTTTTTAATTAAAAATAATTTTTTCCTTTTAACAAACACAAATACAGTATATCCTTTGCAGGGAAAAGCTATAAAATACAGAAAGCAAAAATAAAAATATAAAATACCTTTGTAGTACAAAAAGGTGATGACTACTAAAACCTTGCTTTTTTTTTTTTTTTAGACAGGGTCTTACTCTGTCACCCATGCTGGAGTGCAGTGGTACAACCATGGCTCACTGTGACCTTGAACTCCTGGGCTTAAGGATCTTCCTGCCTCAGCCTCCCAAGTAGCTGAGACTACAGGTACGTGCTATCATGCCTGGCTAATTTACAAAAAAAAAAAAAGAAAAGAAAAAAATAATTATAGAGACAGGGTCTCCCTGTCTTGCCCAGGCTGGTCTGGAAGTCCTGGCCCCAAGCAATCTTCCCTCCTTAGCCTCCCGAGTCTTTCCAGGATTACAAGTATGAGCCACCACATCTGGCCTGCATATATTTTTGCAAGCTCTTTCCTAAGTACTGACATATACACGCATATACTTTTCATATTCTTCTAATTTTTTTACTTCTATTTCATGGAAGGACATTATTTTTTTAAAAAGCAAAAATGGTATTATTATTTGGAAACTGCTTCTTTTTTCACTCAATAGTTTATCTGAACATCTTCCCTAATCAGGACATAGTCATCGACTCTATTACATTCAGTGACTGTGTGGCATCCTGTTTTATGGCAGCACCGTAATTCATTGAACTCATCTCCTAATGGTAGATATTTAGGAATTTCCAATTTTCTGTTCCTGCTAAGATGAACAGCTCTAGCTAAATCCCAGTGCATCCTTATAGAATCTTAATGTGAAACTGATGGGTGTAAAGGTGCATGTTGCCCAGCTGCCCTCAGGAGAGATTGTAGCTATTTATTCTCACAGTGTTTGAGACTCGCCACAGCCCCACCCCCAACACACACAAACATGTTGTTGTTATTCCTGGGAATATTCTTTCATTAGAAAAAAAAAGGGTTGACAACTTGATACGTGAAATGCTATCTCATTATTGTTTTATTTAGCATTTCTTTAATTATTAATTGGGGTCAACAGGTTTTCATGTGCCCATTAGCCATTTTTATTTTGTCTTTGTGAATTGCCCATTCATGTCTTTTGTTCATTTCTCTATTGGATATTCTTTCTAACACAGTTGTCTTATTTTAGGTGAGTAATTCTTAGCTCTGGCATATTAGAATCACCTGGAAGACTTTTTAAAACACACATATCACACACACAAGCACACATACACACACCCCACACACAAGGAAAGCAGGCAAGAAAGCATCCCATCTCAAGATAAATATTTGGTGGGGCCTGGGTATGAGTATTTTTTGAAGTGTTCTTGTGCTTCTAATTTGCAGCCGTGGTTGAAAACCACTGTTATACATCAGATTTCTCCCACTGTCTGGCTCCAAATGCTTTCACTGCAGAATCTATTCTCATTTCGTTGACACCCAGTTTTCTCTTGTGAAAAATGGGCAGCAGAACTGCAAAGCAACACAGCACCCCCTCCCAAATTCTGAAAATCCCATGGGGGAGACCGAAGTTTCGGGAAGGAGGGTGAGACAGACGTTGTGGTCAGGCTCTTTGCCAGGTGGATTGGAAAAAATTAAAAGAACTTTCTCAAGCAACGAGACTTGCCCTGTAGACAGTGTGCGCTCTCAGTGGAGGAGGAGAGAGCTGGGGTCTTATGGGACATTTGCTTTTCTATTGCACCCATCTTCAGATACATAGCAATCTTACCCTTCTGAGGACTTTGAGGCTGAAGATTAGCACTTTATCTGAAGCAGTTCATCTCCTTTCATGAGAGACTGGAGAAGTTTGGGCCCAAGGAACTGAGTCCTTCAGGAGAGAACCTGTCAAGGCATCAGAGGGATCACCTGGGGATACAGGGGCTCCTCCACCACCTCTAGCCCTCTTGAGGGATTTATGACATTCTCACACTTACTTGAATTCATTTCTATTAAAATGCACAGGAGCCGCTCCCCTTCCTCTTCACCTCTGTTCCACCTCAGGGCGTGGGGTCCCACCTGGGGGACAGGATGGAATGAAAGGGTCTTTCCAGTGTTCAGTCAGGAAGGTCCCTGGAAACCCCCAGGCTGGCTCAGTGCCCTTCCATGTTGGAGACTGCTGAGGCCTCGTGGAGGATGACAGCAAATTTGGGTCCTCCAGGTGCTGTTGCTCCTGAAGTTGAAAGAATATGGTCAACGGCCTGAATCCTAGTCCACTTGGTGTCAGGTGTGTGGTCCCGGGCCTCAGTTTCTGCATCTGTAAAATGGAGATAGTAATGTTGATATTCAAGGTTATAACAGGACTAAAAACAGAGCACATACAACACTGTAGATGCTTGATTAATGCCAAGGGTGATTTGTGGAGGTCCCTTCATGCCCTCACCCTCTCCAGTCAGGGCTAAGGGCTTTGAGTTTAGCTCCAGACTCTCCATCCTTTCTTTTTTCTTCTGAGATGGAGTTTCACTCTTGTTGCCCAGGCTAGAGTGCAATGGCGCGATCTCGGCTCACTGCAACCTCCTCCGCCTCCCGGGTTCAAGCAATTCTCCTGCCTCAGCCTCCCAAGTAGCTGGGATTACAGGCATGCTCACCATGACCGGCTAATTTTGTTAGAGGTGGGGTTTCACCATATTGATCAGGCTGGTCTCAAACTCCCGACCTCAGGTGATCCACCCGCCTTGGTTTCCCAAAGTGCTGGGATTACAGGCGTGAGCCACTGTGCCCGTTGACTCTCCATCCTTTCATCCCCAAGCCATCCTCCATTATTCTGTTGCTCAGGGGGCACAGGAGGCAACCCCCACCCAACTGGTCCCCCAGCCTCCAGGGCGGTGCAGCACCTATGCCAGAAGCTGTGCCCCTTGGCTGGCATCCTGTATCCTGTCTCCCACCCTTTCCCTGTGAACCCCAAGCAACCTCAACCAGTTCCTCGCTACCCTTGCACTTTCCTGCCCAGACTTGACTTTAGAAATTCTATTGTAAATGTAATTTTTATTGAGCACTTACTCTGTGCCAGGGACCATGTTTTGTATTCATTACCTTATTAATTGCTCACAAAAACCTTTCATTATCCCATTTTACAGACGGGAAAGCCAGACTAGTTAGTGAAACCTGCCCAAAGCTACAGGGCATCAGGGAGCAGAGCTGGGACTCTGACCCCACCCTGCTCTGCTGACCTCCTAGGTGCCAGCTCCCAGGGAACTTAGATTTCAGGGGATGTCTTCTGTCCTTCCCCTGAGCTCCCACTGCGTCCTGCCCCTCTCTCTCTTATACACTTGTCCCACCCTGCCCCACACTGCGATTTTCTGGCTACCTCTTATCTCCATTGACCATGATGAGTTCCTCCAAGGCAGAAAATACGTCTTTGTAGCTTATTCATCTTTGAGTCTGGCACAATGCTTAGAACATTGCAGGTTCTTAAATTATTTTTCTAATTCAAAAGTAACATGTGCTCATTATGGAAAACAGACAAAATAAAGCAGAAACCAAATATCACCTATGAACCCATCACCCAAAGAAAATCATTGTTAATATTTTGACAAACTCTCTTCCAGTCCTTTTTAAAAATATATGTTTCCTTAGGCAAATAATATGTATTTTGCATAAAGTAGGTATCATACAATACCATTTTCTATGCTGCTTTTTACCTCATATCATGAGCAATTCTCCATGTCATTAGAACTGTTTTGAAAATGGGATTTTTTGATGGCTGCAGATTGTTCTCTCATGTGACTGAGCTCTCTTCTTTAAACCCCTCCCACATTGTTAGGTTTTTCCGTTTGTTTGTTTGTTTGTTTTTGAGACAGAGTCTTTCTCCATTGCCCAGGCTGGAGTGCAGTGGCTAGATCTTGGCTCACTGCAACCTCCGCCTCCTGGGTTCAAGCGATTCTCCTGCCTCAGCCTCACAAGTAGCTGGGATTACAGGTGCCACGCCGGGCTAATTTTTTGTATTTTGGGTAGGGATGGGGTTTTGCCATGTTGGCCAGGCTGGTCTCGAACTCCTGACCTCAGGTGATCCACCCACCTCCTTCCAAAGTGCTGGGATTACAGTTGTGAGCCACTGTGCCCAGCCTATTGTTGGTCATTTAAGGCCTCTCTGATTATTCCCATAGAAGAAATTCCTGAAGTAGAATTGTTGGGATAAACAGGCTCTTGACAGCACAATTGGCCCTGAACAAACACCTGCTCTATCAAACCCTCTCCCATCCTCCCCAAGCAGACCAGCCAGAAAGCCCCATCTTCTGGGGCCCTCCTCTCATCCCTAACCCCCAGCCCCCAACCTCTTACAACCCATTCAAAGGCTTAGAAGCAGGTGAGAGGGTCACCTGGAAGATGGGACTTGAGAGACCTGGCCGGCCTATCCCAAATCTCCCCTCGCTCTGATCCGTACTCCACCATCAGAATCATCCCCTTGAGTCAAGGGCAGGGTGATTCAAAGGTTGTTGGCTGCAAAATGGACTTCTGGTGGGAGATATTGTGCAGTGAGCCAACATTCCTTAACACACCACGCTTAGCCCTCCCTGTCACTAGGTTAACAGCAGACACTTGGGTCTCAGGGGATGCGACACATTACAGAGTTATGAATGTGTTAAATTTTATTGTAAATATTATGTAAACATATTTTAAAATATTCTGGAAAAAAGACAAAAAGTTATGGTCACATCTTTTGAATTATTCCACATTTTTCTAGGTGGAATAAGAAGGGACGTAGTTCCTTCCTATGAAATGGGAATAATCTTTAGTGAAGGTTGGAAGTATCTTCAAATGTATCCCAAACCTTCTGGGATAGATTTTCACTCAGCCTATAAATGACGTCCATGAAGCAAGGGTCCACGTTCCTGGCAGAATGCTGGATATGTGAGCCACGCCAGGTGCTGTGAGCCCCTCAGAGACCATTGACAATAGAGGGTCAGAGTGCTTTTCCAGCTCCATTGCCAACAACTTGGGATGTAATCTAAACAGATGCTAAATGGATCAATCCTTTGAGGAAATTTGTGTCAGTTTCCAAGTCACTCCTGGTCATCATCCAGGAAAGACCATTTTTATTAAAGTACCCCAGGGCTGCCTGCAGGAACCATTTTCCCTGTCTCACCAGTCAATAATCAGCAGGACTCCCTGCTATTTCAGGGAACAAAGACAGGGTCGCTGTCCCCGAGAGGCTCAGTCCACCCTCCCGCTCTGTCCACCCTCCAGCGGGGTCTGGGCTCCAGAGCGGAGGTTCTCAAGCTTCCGCAGCGTCAAAACCGCTTGGAGGTCCACGACACCCAGTCTGCTGGTGCAGGGGTTCTCATCCAGAAGATCTTGGGTGGCTACAGGAGCCGCATATTTTTCTACCAAGGTCCCCGGGGATGCGGCTCTTGGCCCCAGGACTGGGCCCAGGAGGTCAGAGAGAGTGACCGTCAGGCGCGGCGCCGCGGGGAGACGGCCCGGGCTCAGATCCCAGGGTGGAGGCGGGGGCGAGCGCCCGGCAGAGGGGACGGGGGGCGCCGAGGGGACCTGGCGCGGCCGCCGGGCCTTGGGAGCGCGACGCGGAAGCCGCCGGAGGCCGGAAGCTGGGGCGCCCCCGAGCGGGCGGGCGGCGGACCTGCGGCTCCGGGCGGTTCGGCAGCGCAGCGCGGCGCGGCCGCCTGCAGGCTCCCAGGCTCGGGTCCAGCCGCCACGACCGGCTCGCGTGGCTCCGGGGGAGCGGCCGAGAGTGAAGCGCGGAGAGGGCGCCTCGGAGGCTGCCGGGGCGGCGGGGCGGTTGTCCTCTGTAGAGGGAGCGGAGCTTCCCCCTGCCCCCAAGAGCACCGGCAGCCCCGGCCCCCCGCATCCTGGCATCCCGGGCCCGGCGGCCAGAGCAGGCCCTGCGCCCCCTCGGCTTTCTGGTCCTCGTGCGTCCCCCGGGGCAGAGGCGCGAGGAGGGACGGCCGGCTGAGGCCTGTCACGCCTTCACTCCCGAGTGTCCAGGCGGACGGGGTCCCTGCCTCTCCAACCCCTCCTCTCCCTTGGCTTCCCCCAGGGCACAGAGCGCTCCTCCTTGTCCACAGGAGACACAAGGCTTCAAACGCACACCCCCACACCCCAATCCTCTCCAAACACACTCAGGGCGCTGGCCACTGGTTCTCCTTCCTCCTTCCTTCCTTCCTTCTTCTGTCTTTTTTTTTTTTTTTTTTTTTTTTTGACAGAGTCTTGCTCTGTCGCCCAGGCTGGAGTGCAGTGGCACGATCTCGGCTCACTGCAACCTCCGCCTCCTGGGTTCAAGCGATTCTCTTGCCTCAGTCTCCCGAGTAGCTGGGATTACAGGCATGCGCCACCACGCCCGGCTAATATTTTTGTATTTTTAGTAGAGACGGAGTTTCACCATGTTGGCCAGGCTGCTCTCAAACTCCTGACCTCAAGTGATCCGCCCGCCTTGGCCTCCCAAAGTGCTGAGATTACAGGCGTGAGCCACCTCGCCTGGCCCTTTTTTTCCTTTTTTTTAAGAAAGGAAGATCTCGCCCCTTGCCCAGGCTGGATTCGAACTCCGGGGCTTAAGCGATCCTTCCGCCTCAGCTTCTCCAGCAGCCAGGACTGCAGGTGCGCACCACCATGCCCGGCGTAGCCACCCGTGTTCTATCCCCAGCACAGCTCCTTAGATGGTGACTTTTAACAGCTCACTTCGCCTCCCTGTCCTCAGTTTCTCCTTCTGGAAAGGAACTGGATTGGATGGGGATGGTTTCTGAGGCTCCTTCCAGCTCAGTTGTCCACCTTAAAGGTGTAAGTGGCAGAGGGTGGAGCGGGTCTGGTTCAGGGAGGAGAGCTGGGAGTAAAGGCAGGCCAGGGGCTGCGAGGTGGGTGGAGGAAAGGAAGACAGGAGGGAGGAGAGCGGGGCATGGAGGATAGCTTTGCCAGCCTAGCCCACCAGTCCCGGCCTCTAAGAGCAGGCTGGCAGAGCCCCAAGAGCCTATACCACGGAAGGGCCCCATGGGAATCCCCTCACTCTCTGGGTGCCTGAGTTTGCAGATATCTGTTTGCCAAAGGATGAGGGAAGGAACAGGAAGGAACGTGCCGGCAGGACTGGAAAATCCAGCTGGGCAGGAGATAGCTGTGGCTGCACCTCGCACTGGAGGCTGAAGCTTTGCTTGGCTCTGCCCCTGTGTCACGTGTCAGGTGAGGCTGCTGGACCCCTGGAAGCCCCGCCAAGGGAAGTGACTACCACCAGGCCGCAAGCTCCTGTGCAGAAGTCTAGCAGCCTTTAGCTTTGGGGCCATACACATGTGCTTCCAAGACGGTAGGCAGATGACGTTCAATTTAAATCCACTTTCCTATACGTTTACTCAATGAGTTCAAAGATGCTTTTCATTTACAAGCTTGGCGGCAGCTTCCAACACATTAACCCAAAGGCCTTCATGTTCTCCCCAGCCAACCCCTTTGTCCCTCTGCAGAAAGGGAACCTCCTGCAAAATGTCCAGATGGTTCAGAGAAGTATATATGACAGGCTGGTTGCAAGTGGCAGGAACGCCCCTCTAAGTAGTTTAAAGACATATGTATGGGTGTGTGTGTGTGTGCACGCGTGTGCATGTATATAATTTATTTTTTGCTCAAATAATTTTGGTAAAGGTAATTAACTAAAGGTAAATAACTAACCTTTACCAAGAGCAGGGATGTGGCTGGGCCCAGAATGCAAGACTCTCCGATAGCAGCTCCCAAGCTTAACAAGTTAAAGACACACTGCAGCTTTTCTCCAAAATTCTAGTTAAAAGCTGAGGCCGTCACCAAACAATTGTTGCCAAGAGCTCAGGATGTTGTGGTTGGAGGGGCCTGCGCCAGAGGTCCACTTCTGAACCAATCAGCAGGGCCCGGGGGCTGGGCCATGTTCTGCTTACCTCACAGCTTCCACACCCACAGGGTTTTGGGAACCGGAGGCAGGCGGACAGCCCCAGGAGTCATAATGAGAAGAAATGCTACCTCGGTACAGTGGACGAACGTGCAAACCACACAGAAAGTTTGAAAAAGGTCTACTGGAGGCTCTGCTTTCTGGTAATGGCTCCAAAATACAAAGGGCCTCACACTCCGGCACTGACGAAGTCCATACGGCTCTTAGGCTGACACCCACCAGCCAGTCAATGGGAGAGCTGGGACCAGAGGGCTGACTTGACCTCTTCAGCAGGAGTGTCCAAGGCCTTTGTGGGCGGTGGTGCAGGTTGTGCGTGTGAATAATGAAGGCAATTCATTATTACTCAGAACACAACACCTTGGCGATCTTTAGAAACATGAGAAACAGAGCTTCCAAGGTACCTGCTCACACGCCTCTCTGGAGGTAATCGCTGTGCCGTGGCTCTTAATGAGCCACTCTCCACATGGCCTGAGGCCTGGCACCGTGGGAATTCCCTCTGTCCCTGAGTCATAGGCCTCTGCTACTGAACTGTAAATAGGGACCGGGTCAATGACAGCGGGACAGCTGGCCCAGGGAGCAGGGTTGGGGTGGGGACTGCTGGGAGGCTGCCCTGTTAATCTCTCTCTACCATACAAGGCACTCCTTGGGTGACCCCCGTGACTGTGATGCAGAACAGGGAAGGAGAGTGGGTGTTAACCTTGAGCCTAAGGCTCCTCCTCCACCTGTGGGACTGTAAGCCACCTCTCCTGGGCTGAGGGCTCTGGAAGGAGGCTTGGCTGCTCCTCAGCACTCGGGGAGCGGTTTTTCAGGCACACACACTTGAGCTCCATGACCTCCCAGATTCCCACCGCCCCTGCTTGACTCTTCCCCTGTCTCCCCTTCCTGAAATGACCCCCTCTGAATTCCTTTGACTGTTCTCTGGTTGTCAGTCTCACAGTGACAGGTGTGTAAAGCATGAGGTGACCTTGGGCAAGTTGTTCAACCTCAGTGTTATCACCTGTAGAACGGAGAAAACAAGACTACATACTTTGGAGGTAAGTGTAGGTTCCAATGAAATAACAGAGCTTGAGGGGTCCTATAGGCACATGGGCCTGGAGCCAGACCCCCTGGGTTCAGATCTGTCTTGCCGTGGGTTTTGGGGCAAGTTCCTTTTCTGTGCCTCAGTTTTATCATCTGTAAAGTGAGATGAGAATAATGGTACCTATTTCTTAGGACTCTTGGGAGAGTCAATGAGCAAATACACAGAAAACACCTTGAACAGGACCTGGCGCTAAGTGCTGGGTTGAGAGCTAGCTATTATTGTTGTTGTCAGAGAGCTTAATGTTGTGCTGTGCATACAGGAAGCTCTCAAGAAATGATAACTCAACAAAAGAAAATAAAACAAAACCCGAACCTGCCTCCTTCAATCGGGCCTTGTTTCCTAAATGAGCCTGAGCTCCTGGGTGAGGTGCGGGCATAGCAAGAGTTTCACACAATTTTGATCCTGTATCCGAAAAGCTGCCAGACACTGTGTTTTTCTTACCCTTCTTTTTGGGGGTGGAGTGAGGATGTCACAAACTCCCTTGGGAAACTGATGAAAGCTACAGACCCTCTCCCCAGAAAGGTGCTTGGAAGCAAATATTCACAAGATGTTGCACACAGTTTCAGGGGGTTCCTGGGCTCCCTGGGAGCCAGGGTGAGAAGCTCCATTTTAGATGGTGCACTGTGCCATGTCTCATTTGTTGGTTTGATCCCAACAAAACACAAGCTAGCCCTGCTCCTTTGCTCATCAGTGGGTTGTACCCCAGCTTCCACCCTGGCTCCGGGGACTCTCCTTGATTCCTCTGCCCGGGCCCTCTGGCTCAGTGCCAGCTCCAAGCTACAAAACTTGGCTGGGAGTTGAATGCAGAATTTGTTCAGCGTTTGAAGGCTAAGAAAGAAAAAGGAGGAAAAAAGTAGACTCGACTTAGAAAAAAATCAGACAAAAGAAATCATCCTCCAAGCCAAGTGCTATAATTCATAGGGCTCATATTTGCTGAGTGAGACTAAATGGTATTTATGGCTAAGCGGCCCTGGATTCACCCTGGGTTGAGTGATCCAGGAGTTGCCCAAAGTCTGGTGGAGAGGGCGGGGTGGGCCTGAGGGCTGGAAGACCAGACAACTTGCACAGGGAGACTTTGTTGCTGTTCATAGATGATGTGGTTTTTCCCCTGCTTAATGTTAAGTGTAGTTTCAGAATTTTGTATGTGTTTCTGGGAAGATGATTCCCTCAAGCAATATTACTTGGGGTAGATGGTATACTTAGAATTGGATTATTAGCCATAGGGCCCATTCATTCATACGCTCATTCATTCAAGGTTTATGAGGTGCCTTCTTTGTATGAGAAGCTGTTCTAGGCACTGGGGATACAGTAGTGATTGTGGCAATAATGGTCGCTGTCCTAATTAAGTTTACAGTGTTGGCAGGAGAGACAGAGAACACAAAATAAACAGTAAATATATATTGGATGATATGGTGTGATAAGAAGAAAAATACAGTAGGCTGGGATCTAGAGAAGGTTGGGGGGCACACTTTCAGTGAATGGTCAGGAAAGGCTTCTTCCAGCAGAGGCTGAAGCGGGGAGGGAGGGAGTTCAGCACAGGTCTGAGAAAGGCCCCTGTGAGGAAGGAGGACCAGGCACCAGGTGACCAATCCTGATGGGGCTGGGATAGCCCAGTAGGAGTGATGACCCACAGGGTCAGTTCCCACTGCTGGGGGTTTCTGGATGACGAGGTTGTTGAGCACCCCCATGCTTATGGATACCATGAGAGGAAGCATAGGGGATAGAGGGACAAGCTAAATGACACTAGGAGGAGACAATCAGATAAATCCAGAATGTGGGACATTCTACAAGACGACTAGCCTGATCTCTTCAAAAAAGCCATGTAATGAAAAATAAAAGTGCAGCCATAAAAAAGAATGAAATCATGTCCTCTGCAGCAACCTAGGAGGAGCTGGAAGCCATAATCTTAAGCAAATTAATGTGAACAGAAAACCAAATACTACATGTTCTCACATAAGTGGGAGCTAAACATTGGGTTCTCATGGACATACATAAAGATGGCAACAATAGATACCAGAGACTACTAGAGAGGAGAGGGAGGGAGAAGGGGAAGGGTTGAAAAACTAACTGTTGCATACTGTGTTCACCAGCTGGGTGGCAGGATCATTTATACCCCAAACCTCAGCATTATACAATATGCCCAGGTAACAAGTCTGTACATGTACCCCCTGAATCTAAAATAAAAGTTGAAATTATAAAGAAAAAGAAAAAGATGGGAGAACTGTTCTAGATGAAAAGAAACATACAACCAAATGAGATGTATTTTCCTTGAGCAACCCCTGGTTTGAACAGGCAAACCAGAAAAGACATTTTAGGGACATTTGGAGGAATTCAAATATAGACTTCATTTCAAATGGGAGTCAGAAATTATGTTTAACTGTCTTAGGTGTGATAACAGTGGTGAGGTTAGATATGGAAAATCATCCCTTTATTTTGGATATGGTGTTGGTGTGTGTGGGTGACATGGGAGAATGTCCATAATTTATTCTAAAAAATTTCAGTAAAATAAACAAGTAAATAAAATCTAAGATATTTGAAGTTAGGGATGGCTCGAGGGAGGAAGATGAGATACCCTAAAGGACACCACTCACCTTCCTGGGCTTGGCCAGGTACCAGATGCTTGACAAACCCAAGGGTGAACACTCTCTGTGAGTTTGGGATGGAACACACAAGCACCTGGCACATAGTACGTGCTTATTAGAAGTTGAATGAATGGATGGATGGATAGTCTTTGTTGGGATTTACTTCCCAGGATGGGCCCTGGCTGATCACTCCCTTTGCACGTGTTCACATCCCACCCATCTTGCAGGCCACCGCAAGACAATTAAAAACATGGGCCCATCATAAGACAATTAAAAATGTGGACAGGTTGCCAAGGGTCACCTTTTATGGACATGCCTATGAGATCCCTCTGAGGTCTCTTTGGGTGATTCTGGGCCACATGGCCGTCTCCCCAAACTGAGCCCCTTCCCAGCCTCCTGACAGGGCTTACTTCTGTAGCCTCATCATTAAGTCAAGAGTAGGTTGCTCATAATCATTTGATAGTGAACAGCTGACCTGACGGTCCCTAATTAGTTCATTGAATCAGGTGCTGCATATTAAATACCCTAATGCCCTAAAAAGCTCCCAACCCAGGCAGTATACAATGTAGATACTCACTAAGATCTTGGTGCCCTAAACAATAACTAACATTTATTGAGCACTGACTATTTCCAAGCATTATGCTAAGTGGTTGTCGATGTTGCAGTCATACCCTATGGAGATTCATGTGCTAAGGGTTTAGTGCTCTGGTCTGAATGTTTGTGTCTCCCTCAAAATTTATATGTTGAAACCAAATCCCCAATGTGGTGGTGTTAAGAGTTGGGGCACCTGGGAGGTGTTAGGCCACGAGGGCAGAGCCCTTGTGAGTGGGATTAGTGCTCCTATAAAAGGGGCCTGGGCGCTTACTTATCTCTCCCTCCAGGTGAGGACGCTGTAGGAAGTCATCTGCGAAGCGGAGAGTGCACCTTTACCAGACGCGGAGTCTGCTGGCGCCTTGATCTCGGACTTTGCAGCTTCCAGAACCGTAAGCAACACATTTCTGTTGTTTATAAATCATCCAGTCTAATGTATTTTGTTATAGCAGTCCAAACAGACGAAGACAATGAGTTATCTCTAACTCCCCTAAGCAGGCTGTTTTGGTATTTTTTACTTTAATTCCTAGCCACATTTTACATACTGGTCTATGGTCTCACAACAGAAGTGGCGGTGCCCTCATTTGAACTCTGGTTGCCACTTTTCTGCCTCTTTTCCAGGAGTGATGCACAGGCCACCTCTTCTGTGACCTCGAGGGCTCAGGATTCCTCATGTCCTGAGGCTGGTGCGTTTGAGGACGTATGGCCTAGGCAAGCCATGAGCTGGCAGGGCCCCAGAGCTGCCTCATGCATAAAACACAGTTCCAGTTATGAGTTTTGTTTTCTACCAAGCCCCGTGTTGAAACAATTATCTAAAATCGCGCATGCCCTTTCTTTCATGATCCTTCAGAAGCACACCACAAGACCATGAAAACTCAGGCAGATTGACAGGTGTGTCGCTTTACGGATGTGCCTGGAAGGACCCTCTCCCCAGAGGTCAGCCCTGCGGAGGTGTATACTGTGGTGGCAGCCACTCCTCTTCAGCAGGGAAAACCATCATGTCTTCAAGCACCTTTGGGTTTCTTGTCAGTCAGTGGGGAAAGGGATTCCCAGCAGGTCCCCAGGAGCATTTGCAGCTCGGACCCATCACCTTTTCTTCTCTTTGCTCTTCTGTTAGTGCTGGGTTGCCGTCCATTTCCCTGTCAGTGGAGGCTGATATTAGATAAATACCGGCTGTCACCGGTGGGCTCGGCCCAGGTTTTCTACCCCTGACTACATCCTTTCAACAGGTGTCTGGTGACACAGAGCCCATGTGGTCCTGTCTGCCTCACAGATGTTAGGTTCCAGCCAAAAAAAAAAAAAAAAACAAACAAAAACCACAACCCTAGGGTGGAAAAGAAGTGTCCAGATTTTACTGAAAATGAGGCTTTCTAGGGCTGCTGACTAAGGCGTTTTCTTTCCAAACATCTGAAACAGCAAACAGATTGTAAATTAAGAGGGAGTTACAAGATAGTAGCTGAAGGGAAGCAATACCTGCCTGTCTTCTGGGTTGTAGCTGTTGCTGCATGGCCAGGACAGCAGTGGCCAGGAAAGGTGATTAAATAGGGTGGGGGAGAAGGGATCACCGTGGAACAGGGGTGCCGAGACAGATATTAGGTTAACGGGAAGTGAGTTCAGGCCTCTTCTTTGAGCCAAGGGAGAACATTTTATCTGACAAGAGCTTGAACTGACCCGTGCCATTCTCTGATTCCCACCCAGATCAAAGTTCAGACTCCCAAGGCAACTCAGCAGAAATAAAGTGAAATAAATTGCAACCCCACTCCCCTGATGCTTCCTAGGACTAAAGTGTTCTATGAGGAGTTGGACAGTCCTTAGGCAAGACTTCTCTCCTCCCACTGAGTAAAAATACTGATTTTGGTAACATGTCTCCATTTAGCTGAGGGTCTCTTTTAAGCTGTGGCTTAAATTTATTTATTTTAAAAAATTGTTGGCTGAGCACAGTGGCTCATGCCTGTAATCCCAGCACTCTGGGAGGCTGAGGCGGGCGGATAACCTGAGATCAGGGGTTCAAGGCCAACCTGGCCAACATGGTGAAACTCCATCTCTACTAAAAAATATAAAAATTAGCTGGATGTGATGGTGCACACCTGTAGTCCCACCTACTTGGGAGGCTGAGGCAGGAGAGTCGTTTGAACCTGGGAGGTGGATGTTGCAGTAAGCCAAGATCACACCACTGCACTCTAGCCTGGGCAACAGAGCAAGACTCCACCTAAAAAAAATTATTTTTATAGAGACAGGGTCTCACTATGTTGCCCAGGCTGGTCTTGAGCTCCTGGCCTTCAGCCATCTTCCTGCATCAGCCTCCCAAAGTGCTGGGATTACAGGTGTGAGCCACCGTGCCCAGGCTATGTGACTTGAACTTATAACAGAAGGAGAGCCCCCAGTGTGGCTTGCTTTGGCAGTAATCCTGCTGGGTTTGGGGGTCCTTGGGCCATGTTGGGAAGCCTGGTCCCAGAGCTACAAAGTCAGAAGCAACTCCACCTACCCTCCCTGCACCACCTCCAGCCCAAACTTGGAAGTCTTGCTTTGGATAACAGAGAAAAATAAAAGGTTGGGGGTGGGGTGCGGTGAGGCTGACAGTGGGTGGGGCAGGTTTCCTTAGGCAGCATGCCTTCAGGTGCTCCTGTGGTATCACACTCGGCAACTGAGAGGCATCTTTACTGATTTCCTCCAACCATCCACTCAGGGCACCCTAGGAGGAATGGTCAGGATGGGTCCTAGGTTCAGGGGTCTCTCCTACAGAGCTGTGTACATACTTTTCAACTAGGGGCTTCCTGGTGCTGTGGGCTGTAGAGCTGTACCCCAGGAGTAGGATCACCCCATATCCAGTTCTTACCTGCTGGTTACACAAGGCAGGGATTGAGGCAAAAGCCAACAGAAACAGATAGCATTTGGCAGAATGAAAACCGAAGGGTTTGGGGGGTTGCTTCAGAGCTTGGAGAACTGAGTCAGTGAGTGATAGAATATGATATTTTGGGGGAAAATTTGGACATTGCTTGAGGTGAGGGTCACAATGTTTGCAGGCAGAAGCAAAGCACAGATTCAGGAAGGGTCCCCGTACATTCCCCTGAGGGGCTCATGCATAAACTGGCTTAGGAAGCAAACAAAATGAAAGTCAGCCCATGCACCAGGCACTGTGCCAGAGGACAGAGGACAAACATGAGCCAGATCCAGTCCCTGCTCTCAAGGAGCTCATGGCCTGAGGGAGAGAGACAAGTAAATCCATCATCAGGAAGCAAGGTGAGAGGTGACATAACAGCCCTCATCCCACTGAGGCTGATGCTCTGTGGCTGTGTTCAGGCTCTGTGATCCTTCAGATCTGGGCTCAAGACTTTTCTGCTTCCTGGCTCTATGACCTTGGGGGAAGTGACATCATGTCCCGTCTTGGTTTCCTTATCAGGAGATGAGTTCAGGTACCTTTTAGGGTTACCGTGAGCATTAAGAGAGAATGTGTGTGAGGCCCAGTACTTGGCACTCAGCAGAGCTCTTAATAAATGTGAAGTAGTTTTATGATGAGCATTACATGATCACAGAGATTTGCCAAGCAATCGCAGAGGCTGGAGAGCCAGCTCTGTCTGTGGAGGTGGCCCAGAAAGGCTCCCTGAGGAAATGAGGCTGGCTGGCTGGTGAGAAAGGCTTTTCCTAAGAGACGATGAGCGTGGGCCAGCCCTCAGTGGGCATTTGGTAACTAGCAAGGAGCTGGTAGGCCAGGTGGGAGCCTCCATGCAGAGAGGACGATCCCAGTGCTGTGGAACCTGCCAAGGAGCTGACTGTCCAGAGAGTAAGGGGGTACCATGAAGGATGCTCAACAGGAAAAGAGCATTCCATTGGCATAGTGGAAGGTTAAATTGGAGGTGGGACGGGCAGAGGAAGGTCAGTGTGAGGCTGTTACAATAATCATGTAAAGATGATGAAGGCTTGAAGAGAGAGGCAATGGATACTTAGGAGGTGTCACTGACAGGATTTCAGGCCAATAGGATGAGGGGTAAGGAAGGGGAGCAGGCTGAGAGTGAACCTGAAGTGTGGCAAATGGAGCAAGGGTGATCCTAAGGCCAGGGGCATGGTGGGGTCGGGTGGAGGGCTGGAAGGCTGTGAGCACAAGCCTTTGTGGTACACATGTTTAATTGCAGGAGTGTCTTGGGGACATCTAGGTGGGGACGGCCATAGGGTTGTCAGAATAGTGGTGCAGGGCTGAGCACAGTGGCTCACGCCTGTAATCCCAGCACTTTGGGAGGCCAATGAGGGCGGATCACTTGAGGCCAGGAGTTTGACACCAGCCTGGCTAACATGGTGAAACCCCATCTCAACCAAAAGTACAAAAATTAGCTGGGCTTGGTAGCACACAGCTGTAGTCCCAGCTACTTGGGAGGCTGACACAGGAGAATTGCTTGAACCCTGGAGGCGGAGGTTGCAGTGAGTCAAGACTGTGCCACTCAACTCCAGCCTGGGCGACAGAGTGAGAGACTGTCTCAAAAAATAAATAAATAAATAAATAAATAAATAAATAAAAAAGGGGGTGGCGCACAGAGCTCAGGGGAGAGGAAAGATGACGATCTCCACTGAGATCATCATTAGCTGTTTTGATCAAGGATTCTGTAGCGGAAACACTGGGTAGGAGATGACAGCAGCCCCTCTTCTAAGGTAGACACAGCGCAGATCACAAAAGATCTCCTTATTTTCCCTCCTTGACCCTTTTGGTCTTCGTGACCCTCCCTAGTCCCTGACCTTCAGGGGAGGGATGGTGAGGCAGGAGAGGAGCATGAGCTCTGGTCAAAAGGAGAGCTGGGAGTGAGCAAGCGAAAGGCTTTGAAGTCACAGTTGACAACAACAGTGACCAGTATTTTGTTCCCTAAATCCTGGTTTTTGAAAACTGAAGGAAGGGAGCAGTTTTTGAAAGAGGTAAATTTAAAATAATAACATTATGTAAAGTGATATGCAGTATTCTCACAGATGGTCCAGGCTGAAAAGATAACTGAAATGATAGATAATTGAAACAAAGCAGATTCCTTAAGGGCAACTTTAAGAAGACAACCATATCCTCCTCCTATCAGCCTCCTATCTGCATCATCAATGACAGAAGACTGATCTGGATGAATGAAGATAAAAAGTTGTTTACTGAGGGCTTTCTATATGCCAGTGATGATATGGATCATCCTCACTTAATCTCCCATCCTGAGTAGATGTCATTTGATCTTCTACTTGTTTTATCATCCTTATGCTTCTTTTGGAGAACTAGTCAGATTTTTTTTTTTTTTTTTTAAAGATGGAATCTCAGCCAGGCACGGTAGCTCACACCTGTAATCCCAGCACTTAGGGAGGCCGAGGCAGGCGGATCATGAGTCAGGAGTTCAAGACCAGCCTGACCACAATGGTGAAACCCTGTCGCTACTAAAAATACAAAAATTAGCTGGGGGTGGTGGCACGCACCTGTAACCCCAGCTACTCTGGAGGCTGAGGCAAGAGAATTGCTTGAACCCAGGAGGTGGAGGTTGCAGTGAACCAAGATCTTGCCGCTGCACTCCAGCCTGGGCAACAGAGTGAGACTCCGTCTCAAAAAAAAAAAAAAAAAAGGAGTCTCACTGTGTTGCTCAGGCTGGTCTCGAACTCCTGGGCTCCAGTGATCCTCCTGCCTCGGCCTTCTGAGTAACCAGGACTACAGGTGTGTGCCACCATGCTGGGCATCACAGAAATGTTCAAGCTGCGTGAGGTTTTGGGGAGCATCTGTAGAAATGCTCAGGATGGCCCATGAGATGCCACAGGTGTAACATGATTGGATTTGGCAAGGCTTCACCTGTTTTTATGACTGGTGGGCAAGATGAAGAAATGTGGGCATCACTGGGTTGAGAAGCCGCACCCAGGGTCTTCCTGGCACACTGGATGTTTTACTGGTCAACATTTTGTGTGAGTGATTTGGATTATGAAGGATGTTTATCAATCTGTGGATGACAGAGCAGAGGAAGGAGGGCAAGTCTGTGTGTTGATGGTACAATGAAGATTTGATGGGATGAACGGGCTGAAACAATGGTCTAAAGCTGACAAAAAATCCTGAAAAAGGATCGATATAAAACCGTGCTTTTAGGCTCAAAAAACTCAGTGACACCAGGAGATGAGAGATGAGAGAAAAAAAATCTGGTTTGACGGCAGTTAGGGGTAAAAGGCTGTTCACACACTGAGCTAAAGAGGCAATATTGTTGCCATAAACGGTAATGCAATTTTAGGCTACATTAAAAGTAGGGTCTGAAATAAACCTGAGCCCCATGCCAGTGAAGAGATGGCCTCTGGCTCTGTCAGGGGAGCACATTTTAAGAGGAACTTTGGCAAACTGGACAATGTCCAGAAAAGAATAATGTGTGTGAGAAAGGCCTGGAAACCATGTCATCACGGGAGGTTTGGTAGGAGGAGGAGCATGGTAGTGATCTTCAGATATTCATGGAAGAGTCTAGGTTCATCCCTGCAGCTTGAGAGAAGGTAACTTGAACCAATGAGCAACCGGTTATGAGAAACCAGGTTTCCGCTCAAGGTCCTAGCAATCTGTGCTGCCAGCCAAGCGTGTGTGTGTGTGTGTGTGTGTGTGTGTGTGTGTGTGTACGTGTGCATTGGAGGTGGGCAAGGAGACTTCCTGGTGAAGTCCTGAGCCCACTCAGTGTCCCTGCAAATGTTCAGGCAAAAGGTGGCCAGCCAGCTATTCAGACGGGGGTTGGGGGTGGGGTGGGGATGCAGGAGGGTATAAACAAAAAAGCCAAGAGTAAGGGAAACTGGGTTCAGGTCCTGCCCCTGGTTATAGATATGTAATGATGTGCCAGTCAGTTTTCTTATTTAGGCTTCCATTTCTTCAGCTATGAGTATTGAGTCATCTTTGGTTTTCAACTTTTGGTAGCAATGGAACGTTTTTATTACATGAAATCTTCTGCAATCACCTTTCCCCTCCCTAAATATATAAGCCCAGTGTGTTATTATTGGACACACCCTGACTGTAGGTGCCAAGGCCTCCTGGCACTGCTGCGGGGCTCCTGGGAGTAGTTGGAAAGCACTGGACCAGCTGATCTTCCAGCCCTAAAATTCTATTCTTTAAGGTTTTCTCCTACCTTAGTTTTTGATTCTATAGACTCCAATCCCTCATTTTATGAAGTACCTGGTGCTTAAAAAAGGGATTTATCGAAGATCTTACAGCTGGTTAGTGACAGGGCTGTATTTAACACACAACTCCCACTCCAATTCAGTGTTCATCTCATCAGGCTGCCCCTACTTCCACCCGGGACTTGTCTTAGCACTTGTTCCTCCATGGTCCCAGGAAATCCTGTACTGCCCTCTATAGATCCTTTCCCTTTTGGAAAAGCATCAAGAAGGCAATAAATCTAGCCTGAGGCATTGCAGCCTGAGAAAATGATCTTGGAATTCATTTCTCTATGCATTAGTTTATCTCAAGGAAGTATGTTTATGAGCTGAGAAATAAAAAATAGGTGTGGCTCAGACTACTGGTTGCCCTATATGATCTCTTCTTCCTTACAACTAGGTTCCCCATCTTTTAGATGGCCACCCAGAATAGAGGTATTTCCCAGCCTCTGTTGCTGCTAGATAGGAACCTGCAATGAAGTTCTGGCCAATAGATTATAACTGGAAATACTGTGTATGCCCTAATGAAAGTATCCTTAATGGGAAGGAGAATCCCTTCTTCACTCTTTCTACCCTGATGGCTGGAATATAGGCATGGAAGGCCATAACCTTAACGGCCACCTTGGACCAGAGGGTAGAAACCATGTGTTGAGAATGATGGAACAAGCTAGTAAGGACTTCAGAAGGTGATCATATGAAGCCCCTTACCAGCCCCAGACTGTTTTCTTCCAGCATTTTACAGGAGGGAAATAAAATTCCACTGTTTAAGCCACCATTACCATTTTCATCTACTCTGTCATTGGTTGTAAGGTAGCATTACTTAGTACGTCGCTAAGAAAAAGAAACTGCTGCCAACTAAAGACAACCCATCCAATTGTATGACACATTCCAATTTCAGAGAAGTTAAAATGTGACAAAAGGATGAGTCTTACTACATGAAATGCAGTATTTTGGGTTTTTGTTACTCACAGCCAAGCCTAATCCTAACTGATTCAATAAACATGAAGGAATGAAAAGATGACAAATTCTACATAAAGAACACAATCATGAAGAGGGAAGAACAAGCTTCTCTATTAAAAAAAAAAAAAAAGACGACTCATAAAAATAGTACTGATGTGACTCAACTTAGGAAAGTTTTCTCCCATGCTTCCCAGTCTGGCTTGGATTAACCTGGGGAATTATGTCTGGCTCTCGGGACTTGGGCATCCAGTGGGATGAAGCTGCGGGATGAATGAGCTGGTTTTAAGACATAGAGGACCCAAAGCTGTTTGCTGAACCCCAGTGTAGGCTTTGGCCTTTTGCGGCTCCTACTACTTAGTTTCTTCCCCTCTTAACTCTGCAGGAACTTCCTGGTTGACTTTAAGACAGATGTGCAGCTGCTGATGACCAAGACAAGCTTGTAAGCGACAGGCTGCCCCTTAGCTGAGATCCCAAGAAGGTGCTCAAAGCTCTTCCTGCCAGCCACTGCTATTGTATAGTTTAAATCTGGTCTGGCACAAAGCTGACCATCTTTTGGTCTTCAGTACTGAAGCATTAACTTTAAGTTATGATGATCCAATATTAATGTACCTGTTATGAAATCATCAAAGACCAATACAACAACAAAAGGAAAGTCTGGCTTATCTAAAAGTGGTTATAAGATGAAATATCTGAGTCATTAAAATAAGCCACTTTCATAACGAAGGCCCACTTAATTTTAAAATGCCAAGTGACTCTATTATTATTTAGTGACCCTTTCTCCTGTGTCTGCTTCTTGAACCTACTGGGACTCCAGGAGCTTTCACGGAGTTCCCTGATGCTATGCTCTGGCTACCGCTCACTGACTGTTTACTCATGTGACAAATGTCTTATTAAATACATCCATTATTTAATACATCAACCTCATGAGGTAGGATCACTCCCATTTTTATGGATAATTCAGGCTCAGAGAAGTTGATTAATTTTCTCTTGGTAACACAGTTAACATGTGGGCTGTGAACTTAGGTTGGTGAAACTTGCCATTATAATTTAGTTGTAATGTACTATAGAAGTAGCCCTTTATGTTTCAATTACTGAAACATGAAAAATTCTGCTAAGGAATTTTCCGAGTCATCTTTTTCCACCCAAAAGGTTTGCTGGACACTAAAAACTTGTGATTATTTTGAAAGAAAGTTTCTCTGAAAAAGACCAAACTTTTTTTTTTTTTTAATAGTTAGGGAAATGGTGGGATATGGACTGGATAGGCATCTTGTCACTCCGTCACTCCAGGCCATACTTACATTACACTCAGGCAAGCGTTCCAATGGCCAGTGTAATCCCCTGGCAACACAGGAATCTGCCAATGACAGAGGTGCAGGAGTTCCACTGGCACATTCCCAGAGTGGATGAGGCCGACTGTCAGCTGACTGCCTGTTCCTGATGCAATGTCATGTGACTTTTTGCTGAAGCAATATCTAATATTCTAAAATTTTTAGACTTTTTCTGCCTACCTTCATTTCACGCTTATATATTCTTGGAAAGAAAAAAAATCCCTACAAATCCCTATTTAACCTTGCCAATACTCTGATGAAGACACATTATAATGAATCATGGGAATTTCTTTACTGATCTCATGTTCTATATAAAAACAAACAGCTCAGCTACTAAAAGTGCTGATCCAATTCTTATAGGCCAGATTCTAATTCTTCCTGGCTTCAACAAAGTAGAAGCCCTACCAAAGATTTTCTCTGGATTGAAATATGTTAATATTCAACAAAACTTCTCATTCAAACTCATTACATTTTTCCTCACATACCAAAGTACAAAGACACCAGGCTAAATTTCTTTTAAATTATTTTATTTTTGTATAAGCTAAAAGGAAATTTACACACTGAAATTTCAAAAGACCTTGGGCATGCACATTAACCTTGTTAGAGGTTCTTCTACATGTCTCTCTTTTTTCCATAGGAATTTCCCCAAACATTTAAAACCCATAGTTTTCACTGTATATACAGCCTAAACCATAGCAATCTATGATTATGTCATTTTACACTGTGCAAAATCCTCAAAAAATAGTGGTACAATAGAACAAAAAAATCAGTAACAAGTAAATTCCATTGTAAGACATTCATATAATTTGGTCCTTCTCTGAATCATACTGATTTTAAACAGACACAATCTCTTTAAACCCCTCCAATCAAGTTCTGACAATGATCCATACCCTATAACAAAAGAGCAATTAAGTACCTTGCAAAAGGTCAAACAGCAATACGCCAGATTGAAAAGATTAAAAAAGCCCCAAAATGTTAACAAAAGCCAGATCTGAAACCCATCATACACAAAATTAAAAAAAAATTAAATGGGGGACTTTGGAGCTTATTTATGATAGCAAAAGTAATTTGACATGTAATATGAAAAATCAAGAGGACAGTCAATGCAATCTGAAAAGACTGAAGGGGATTTCACAGACAGTGAAGATTTGAGTTTTTTTTTTATTTCAAAAGTTTTGTAAGAAGGACACCACCAGTGTATTTCACAAAGACATAAATGTATACACCCCAGCAACACAAAAAGAATAAATCTTCAAAAATGTTTACCCCCGATTATTTACATTTTTCTAATATAAATTTAGGACTTCAGTATGTAAATAAATATACATTACTATGTATACCTTTCTAGTGCGGCTTACCAACAAATCAGCTGAACTTGAATTTTTTTTTTTTTTTTTTTTAATTAGAGCAGGTATGCTTTTGATGGTAGGGAAGGGATGGAAAAAAGGAAAAGCAATAGAAACTGTCCAATTCACATCAGTTATCCGTCTGCTTTTTCTTGAGAGCTTGTGGAAGGTGTTAACGTGGCTGGGAACATCAACACCTTGGCATGCATGAATGTTAAGTCAGGAAGGCCAGCGATCACCTTGATAGCTTCTTCACTTAGGTGCTCTTCTCTTTTCGGTTTCCTACTGACAAATGAAAAAAAGACAAGTGTGTTAATGTGACTTTGCTGTAGGTAAAATGGGAGACAATCCACTCTCAAGGTAGACAGTTAGCAATCTGTGGGGACTTGAGTATTTTTTCCTCTGCTAGTTCCTGAATCTTGTAATACTTTTGTGCAGTATGCTTCCTGTGCCAAATGCCAAATCTCATGAAGAGTGACGTGCGGCCTATTTATGTTCATTAAAGCTAGGCATGCACACACAGATACTCACATGCACACCTAGACAGCTCGTGTACTTTCTAGCCTTTACATTAGGCTAGAAGCATCTACCCAGGCATAATTTTAAAATGTTACTAAACAGAAATATAAATCTGAAGCCTTAGTAACACTCCACCTAACTGGGTTTTTCCCTGCCCCTCCACCCGCTAAAACTACCTCAGCCTGAAACAAAGTGTGCCCAGGGAAAGACTAAGTCATTTTAACCTCAGGCTCTCTTTATCCCCAGTGGGGAATTCCAGGAGAGAAAGCTCTCAGCTCAGAAGACCCAGTCTCAGCCTGTTGGGATACAGACAGCAGGTCCAAAAGCAGCAGCACTAGGGCTGGTTGCTGGTGTTATTATGCACGTACACAGGCAGGACGGAACTCTGGGTGAGGGAAATCTCAAATCCTATGGGTCCTGTAGATGAAGTAGATTTTGCTGCACTGGCCCCCGATATGGGAAATTAGCAGTTTGGTGCCTAACACAGACAAGAAAATGCCTGGTGACCCAGGTCTACTCAGCAGGTGAGCCACAGAAAATGCCAAATGAGCCTCAAATTGGGCACATGATTGCAATTCAAACTTTTTCTGGGATATTAAATATATTAAAGGAGTAGTTATACATATTATTCGCTTTAGACCAAAAATCATTTCAAGTTGTTCATTATAAAAAGCCTAATAATTCTCTTTTATGGTAAAGGATAGCTGGTATTCTTAGATGTGACACAAGGTATTTCTTTGACCTAAATGTTTCCTTTTTCCTTGGATGGGGTGCAGGAAGCCAGGAGGTAAAGCAAGAAAGGAAGGATAGCTACAGGCTTTTTTATTCCTAGGACTTTTCTGTTACCACTTTGAATCCAGACTGAAATAAAAAGATTTTATAGAATGAATGAAAAATCCAACGACTTTTAGGACTAAAGTTTTTCAAAAGGGAAAAAGCATCAGGCATATAGCAGATGAACCAAATACTGCATTCAGTACTAGGTTCTTAGAAGAATGGAATAGCAATCCAACATTTTTTTCTGATGAAAATCTACATTTTTAATTGCACTTAAATAGTGGCAAAACTATTATGTGGACGTTTGATGGGGAACTGGATATCTGCATCATTCCAAAGTAAAACCAGATACATGACAAGTGAAAACCTGGAACTGTATAATGGAAAAGGTCAGTTTCTCACCAATCGTCAATCTCAGCACCACTAACAATGGAGTCAACCAGATGTATGGATCTTCTGATGTGATATAACACCTAGGATGCATTCTAGCCAAAATATTTACCCTGAATTCAGCAAGCCTTTAGATATAATTTCCAATTTACAGGAAAATAGGGAGATAGAGAACACAGCAAATATTACTTGAAGGAAGCAAACAGACAAATCCAGAGCTTTTAGGACATTCTGTAGGACACCTATACTAATCTTTATATAAGCTACTGTTAATAAGAAAACAGAAGGAATGAGGAGATATGCTAGGTTAAAAGGGACTTAAGAGCCCCAACAGCCAGGTACAATAGTCTTCAATTGAATACTGGTTTGTACAAAGCTGAGAAAGGATAGTTGGAGAAATCTGAATATAGCCTAAGTAGATGAAATGAAAACTCACTGAAATGGACAGAGATCACTGACTAAGACTAGGTCAATTTTAGAGGTCAATTCACTATGACCTCTAAAATCTCATTTTTGGTGGAAACCCCCCCCCCCCCCCCATATATGTATTTGCATAGGAAAAGATCTGAAAGAATTACACTAAGGAATTATAGTGATCCTGAATGGTAAGAATGTGATACTTTCATTTTTAATTTTTTTTGGTCCGGATTTCCTAACTTTCTAAAAATATACTTTACTACTTCTATAATGATAAATGGTTATTTAAAACAACAGTGAATAAATGCGCACCTAAATGGACTTTCCCATTTGTGGAGTGCAGTTTGGGTGTAGGAACAGACAGCAAAAAATAAGTTTTTACCTAAGAAACAGTTGGTAAAGATTATTCTAGGGTTTTAAACAATTGCCTTATTTCAGAGGCAATATGAAATTATATTTTAAAATAAAAAGTTTACACAGTTCATAGTTTGTGCATTTATCTGTGGTCATTGTGCATGGGTGTGAGCTAGTCTTCTTAGAATATGGGAAGAAGCAAACACTTAAGGAGAATTTGAAAATAAAAAGTTATATCATGATCATTTCTCAAAGGCAGTGACCTAATTTTGATCTATTCCTCTCTAGTGAAGATTTATCCTTTTTATCAATGGAATATAATTGAGAATATAATTGAGAGTCCAGGAAAAAAACATGATCAATTGTTTTTTAATTTTTGTTTTTGACAAATGTGCCAAAACCTTTCAGTGGGGGAAATCATTTCAACAGTTTTCAGACAACTGGATATCCACCTGCACAAGAATGAATGTGGACTCCTACCTCATACCATATACAGAAATTAATTCAAAATGGATTAAAGACCTAAATGTAAGAGTTGAAATTATAAAACTCTTAGGAGAAAATCTAGGTATAAATCTTTGTGACCATGAATTGGGCAATGATTTCTTAGATATGATACCTAAATCACAAGAAAAATTAGATCTTATCAAAATTAAAAGCTTTTGTGTGTCAAAGAATACTATCAAGATAATGAAAAGACAACCTGCAGAATTGGAAAAGATATCTTCAAATCATTTCTCTGATAAAGGCTTAGTATCCAGAATATACTTAAAAATCTTACAACCTAACAATAAAAAGACAAATTATCCAATTAAAATATAGGCAAATGGCTGGGCACAGTGGCTCATGCCTGTAATCTCAATACTTTGGGAGGCTGAGGAGGGAGATCGCTTGAGCTCAAGAGTTCAAGACCGGCCTGGGGCAACATACTGAGACCTTGTCTCTACTAAAACAAAAACAAAAAAGGCAAAGGATCTGAACAGATATTTCTCCACAGAAGATATACAAATAGTCGATAAACACATGAAAAGATGCTCAACATGATTAGCTATCAGGGAAATGCAAACAAAAATGTCAATGAGATATCACTTCAAACCCACTGGGATGGCTATAACCAAAAAGACCAATAACAAGTGTTGGTAAGAATGTGGAGAACTTGGAATGTATATTACTGGTGGGAATGTAAAATGGTGCCATCACTTTGGAAAAGTTTGGCAGTTCCCCAAAGAAGTTAGAGTTCCTATAAGACCCAGAAATTCCACTCCTAACAGAGTTGGAAACATCTGTCCACACAAAAACGTATACACAAGTGTTCACAGCAGCAACACTACTCATAATAGTCAAAAAGTGAAAACAACCCAATTATCAACTGATTAATGGAAAAGCAAAATGTGCTATTTCCAATGAAATATTATGCAGCCAAAAAACAAATACGGATACATACTACAACATGAATGAACTTGAGAACAGAATGCTAAGCAAAACCGAGACACAAAAGGCTGCAGACTATAGAATTCCATCTATATGAAATAACCAGAAAAGACAAATCTGTAGAGACAGAAAGCAGATTAGTAGTTGCCAGGGCCTGGGGAACGAGAGGGATAAGGAGTGACTGCTAATGGGTACAGGGTTTCTTTTTGGGGTGATAAAAATGTTTTGGAATTAGATAGTGATGATGGTTGCACAACCTTGTGAATATACTAAAAACCAGTGAATTGAACACCTGAATGAATTATAAATTTTTATCTCAATAAAAAGGCCTAAAAAAGAATAAAATTTCTTTGACCTGCATAAACTTCAGTTACAGGTCTATGGCTACTAACTAGCTGTCACTAATTAGTAGTGATTTAGAATAGGAAGTAATTTTCCTCCATATTAGGAAAGTTAGGCAAGAAGATGGAACTATTTTAAAACTAAGAACTTGCACTTCTTTAAAAAACTCAAAGTGAGAAGTCACTTTCACAACTTGTGTTCCAAAAGAGAAGAGCACATATAAATTCCCTGAGACACTCAAAGGCACTTAGTAAAGAGTACTGGATATTGTTTGGTCCATGTCAAATTTCTTCTACCTTGACCACTGTTTAACTCCTTCTTACCCTATAGTCTATCAAAATGCCTTTTCACTTTATCTTCTGCTTATTGGCAATAGCCAAGAAGATTTTGCTGAGCTTTATTTTTTGCAGTTTACTTTATTCAAGAGAAAAATGAAAGAAAACCTAAAAATAAGATACTAAAAATGCTTTCTGAAATTATGCTACCAGCCTGTCTCTGCTCTGTACGATTGAGAATCACTCGTTGGGACATTTTACAGTATTTTAAGACTTGCGGGCATTTGTATTTTTTTACCATTTTCAAATGACATTTCTCAAAACAGAAAATACAAAGTTGGCAACCTGTTCTCTCCAATTTATTTTGTTTTAAATATGATGCTGGACAGGTCCTAGCGAGTAACTCAATACAGAATTAGCAGACATTAACTCCAGGATACATTATTAGTTCATTCCCTATTAGTATAGAACAAGAGAAAAAATGAAAATAGCTTCTTAAAGTGATAGGGCTTGGAAGAGTTCTCTAGATTCAGCATGTTTCAAGGATGAGTTAACGAATTAGGAGAACAAGTTAAGGTGGTTTAGAGCTCCTCCTAATGGCACGAAATGAATTCTCATCATTGGGATTTTCAAAACTTCTATAGTTCTTTGGTCAGTGAGACTGCAGGGGAAACAAAGGAAGGAAAGAGTAGAACTGTCCCAGAAAGGGTTGTCCTAAAAATAGCAGGGGGAAACCCAAACAATAAAAGCATCCTTTTTGGTTTTTAAGTCAAATGTGTGTTAGCTTTTAGTTAACATATACAAATTTCTCATCCATTTTTTTCTATGAGAGGAGTTTCGATTTGAAGAAGTGATTTATTTGGAAAGAAAAAAATTTAAAAAAAGCCACATAGCCACATTTACAAGTAGGTTCATTGAAGAGGAGGCTTTGGCAATGCCAGGTGGCATACTGCAAAGACATGGGGCTATGAGAACAATGGAGAGAACTGGCAGACAAACAAGGATTTACATGCTACAAAGCCATTCTAGGGAAAAGTTAAGGGTAGTCTAATGTATAATAATGTATTTCATAATTATAAATATTAAAGGCAATAAGAAAAATCTGGGGGAATAAAAGCACACAAAGTTTAAAAGACAATATGATAATTCAAGCTAAAGTTAAGAGAGAGAAACATTTATTATTCACAATAAAAAAGGCTTTTTTAAATGGATGTCTTTCTATAGAAGAATCTATTTAAAATATAAACCTGAATTTAACATGTGATTGGGATGTATTTATTCAGGAGAAAGAGCTATAACACTTCTTTTAAAGTAGGCAACTAATAGGTAAATAGTTCCACTTTAAAATGCTGATGCATCACAGATTTGAGACAGCAGAGCTGGCGTGTCAATCAACCAGTATTTGCTTTTGCACTAGTGATTTCCTGGTTCAGAATAGTATCTTCCTGTTAGAAACTGGCTTAGTCTTATGGTTAACAATAACTCAAAGCAATGGATTGTACTAGCCTAATCATATGAAACTAAAGATTCTCTGAATCGCAAACACATGGCCCGAGTGACATTCCGTGCCTTTAGTTCCAACACAGGGAGATGGTAATTGCTCTTCAATAGGCCATGCCTCTGAAGGGGCTTCTAGAAAGCCTGGTAAAGTAAGGCTTTACCTCCCAAATCAGAGGTGCATGTCAATGAAAATTCCAAGAACCATCTTAGCCTGCAAGTAAAAAGATCAGCCTAGGTGACTCCAGGATTACAAAACTGGGTTCTCAAAGATGATCTTCTCAGTAATTATGAAGAGAAAGGGAGAGTGTTTCTATAATGGCTTTATGATCACAATACTTAATCAGAATTAGTCTCTACAAAGTGAGGTGGGGGGGCAGGGGGTGGGGGAAGAAAACCACATCTGTCAGCCTTGGCCAATCTCTTATGAAATAATCCTGTTCTAATAAAGTTCATAATTAAACATAATTTGATAATATTTTCTGGACTTGGGCATCGACTGACTTTTATAAAGCAAGTTGTGATATAATATATTGAAATGCTGTCAACTGACATGCTTTTTCCTTTGGGTCGTTTTATCTCAGAATTCAAAATGTGGGTATAATTGACACTATTTATTTACCTGGTAGATGTGCTTGTCTTCTCTACTGTAGACATGAGTCTTGCAAATGCATCAGTCACTTTGAGGCTTGAGGTGGAGATTTCCAGCTTAGAAGTTGTTAACTCATACAACTCCGGATCCACACCTTATAGTATAAAATGATAGTCAGTGATGGCAGGCTGCAATGGGTTACCCAGTTAGCCACAATCCAAGATGCAAAAGGCAATATTCTGTAAACATCTGAGTGTTTTACAAACAGAACATATCTTTAGAACACTGCAATACTGCATTTATTTTTTACAGTATAAACTCCACTTTTTGGAGTTTTTATAAAACAGGAAAAGACTTTTCAAATTCCATTTTGGAACGAATATATCCTTAAGCTAGCATTTATGCAGCAGATGCTACCCAAATACTTCTAAAATTTCTATCTGCTATAGAAAACTCCCCCAATTTGGATTAGGATGTGATATAAAATTATCAATGTTTTATAAATAGAATGCACATGATGTGACACCCCATTTTTCAATTAACTAATCTCATTTTAAAAATTTTCCTGTTTCCTCACCTCCTTATTTTTTCTCTATTTTCTTCCACAGAAAAAGATTTAGAAGCTACCACAAAGTCTCAAACATGGTAAATGATCTGGTTAGTTTAAATATATCATGACTGGCCAGGCGCGGTGGCTCACGCCTGTAATCCCAGCACTTTGGGAGGCCGAGGCGGGCAGATCACAAAGTCAGGAGATCAAGACCGTCCTGGCTAAAACGGTGAAACCCCGTCTCTACTAAAAATACAAAAAATTAGCCGGGCATGGTGGTGGGCGCCTGTAGTCCCAGCTACTCAGGAGGCTGGGGCAGGAGAATGGCATGAACCCGGAAGGCGGAGCTTGCAGTGAGCCGAGATCACGCCACTGCACTCCAGCCTGGGTGACAGAACAAGACTGCGTCTCAAAAAAAAAAAAAAAAAAAAATCATGACTAAGGACTAATCATAAACATATACCACATAGCTCTTTCTTCAGGTTAGAGGTGGGGAGGGTAAAAGATTTTCAGAAAAGGTGAGTAAAAGTACTACTTTTGAACAAAATGAAAATTCTTGTCTACAGGGTTAATTTCTGTAGTCTCATGTCTGAATCTGGTAGTCATTAGTTCAAATATCTTGTTAGAGTAATTCAAAAGGAAGCTCAGAGGGTTAGATTTATTGCAAAAATTGATTTAAAAAATCTCCCCCATCTGACTGCATTAAAATACATATAACTTTGTGTATTTCTCATGTAATACAGATTTATAGCAATGATGACAACAATAACATTAAAAAGAACAGTTTAAATATTTTAAACTTAAGTTACACTTTGAATAATATTCAGAGTAAAAAAAAAAATTTTTAATCCTACACTCTCCTGGTACCAGCAAATAACTTGAGAAAAAAAGTTCATGAGTTGCCGGGCGTTAACAGCAAAGCAAAATTCTAAGGAAGAATGTCTTAGAGCTTCTGAAATTTTTACTTATTATTTCTTTAAAAAAATGCCCTGTAAGATCAGCAGATCAAGTTATATATAAATAACATATATAAATGCATATATTTAGATTAACAAGTTTTTTTCCTTTTAAGATACTTAACATATTAAAAAATTAAAAAATCAGAAACTGACTTCTATTAACCAACTTTACAGAAGTAAACACAGATCTCAGATGTTTACAGAAATCAGACAAGCAAAAGCGACTTCCACAGTTACGAAGTCTAACAAGGGAGGAAGGCTATAGAAAATGTATATTGACTCTCCCAAGTTCTCAGTATTTCATTAAGGTACGGTTTCAAAATATACTTTAAAAGGACTTTCCTTTGTGTTCCTGTAATAAGAATATGGGTTGCAATTAAAATGTAAAAAATTGTATATGTCTGTAAAGGGACTACATGAGCCCAAAGTACCTCCCTCTCTAAAGGCTAGATTCCAGCAACCACAAAATTTAAGTTGCTGTCTAGTGTATAAGGCAGAATAAATAACTGCATTCTGACTGGCAATAGGTAAGTGCTAGTAAAAACTTAGTTGGGTTTATAAAATACTGGCCACTTGACTGTCAAACAGTAAAGAGGCAGATTAAAAAAAAAGACAACAAAATCACACCCCCAAATAACTACCACCACACCAAAACCCCCCCCAAAACTATGATTAGATTTTTCAAAAACAAGACAACTATTTAATAATTGGAGAGTAATTTTTTTAATGGAAGGTCTTTTTTTTTTTTTTAACAGAGCCTTAATGAGGCATGGTTTAGTTACATAACTAAAGCTAGCCAACCAAGTTCTATGCCAACCTCCTAAGTCTCACACACAAAATAATTAAATAACCGCAAGCTAAGACGAAATGACTTTCCCAGAAACAAGTCAGAAAAAATGCAAGCAAGTGATGAAATGGAATACTAAGGAAGGTGTTGATACCTGTAGCTTGATGGTAACTTTTAACAAAACCCAATAGCAATAAAAAGAAGCCAAAGCAAATATATAGTAATCAAATTTATATAGCATCTAGAGCATATTAATGAAAATATTGAACAAAAATATTTAAAAGGCTCCAAAGTAATGAGAACTGCATTTGACCATGCTGATTTCACTTCCATTACAGCTCTAAGCTTCTGAAACCGCTTGCTCTTCTCGCAGCTGTGTACACTGAGCCTGATTATCAGGTCATTTCTGTACTTCTTTATATAGCCACGTTATTTGTGCTCCTATGAATGGTTTTTAAATGAGTTTGAAATGTAACCAAAAATTAAATTTAAACCAGGTTTTTAGGGATCCAAAAGAAAAACAGTGACCTCATTCAAATTATAATACAGTTTATGACAAAACAAAGCTGAGAGCAAATTTAAAATGGGAGCTTAATAATTCTTGGGAATACAGTAACAAAAAGATATACATGTTTTTGGTTGTCCCTCCTACCCCCCCGTAAGTATTCTAAAATGTCAGACAATTAGCTCACCCAGGTCACTGCACAGATCAAATGTAAATTTAGAAGTAATTTAAGTAAATAGTACAATATCATTTTGAAGTCAAAACCAGACAGATTGGTTTTTTATATGCTTGCAAAATCTTGAAAACAGTAAGAATAACCAGGGGCTTGGATTTGAGGAATCCAGTCATTCTATACCAAATGACCTTGGAACTTCCCTGCAGCAGAATCAGATTTGCATAACCAGATCTCAAGAAGGGCATCCTAGGTCCCAGGTTCACTCTGAGCTGACTGTTAGTCTCCCCCATCCACAGCCCATCATGGCTGCTCAACTGTTGGAAGTGGGTGGTAGCACTATCTAGTGGAATAGCACAAAACCAGTGAATTCTCAGGAACCAGGCTAGTTGTGAATCTGGCCACTAGTGGGGACAGAAAGGGACTCTCACTATGCATTCTGGGCATGGGCATCTCTACGGCACCCCAACAGCTGTCTGGTGATCAATGGACATGATTACCAGATCACCTGTTGGGATGACAGTTATTAATATTGAATAAAATGTAAACATAAAAATGCCATTATAATTTTAATCTTTTATTCAGTTAGAAAGTGACAAAGTACATTAGTCCTTTGGTCAATGAACTGAACTTTTGCAGGGCTGAACATTAACAGGCACTCCAGTAAGTTTTAATCTCTAGCTTTTAGTATCTCATAGCAATTATTTTCTACTATTAACTTTTGTAACATTTTTTTTCCCATGGAAAACTAACAGTATACTTTCTATTTAAGAGCTACATAAAAACAGAAATAGTTCTATGTGGGACTATATACTTAGTGCTAGACTCCAACATTTTGGAACCCAATTATATATTTAGCAGCACTAATAAACAACTAATTGAATGCTGGAATTTGTAAAGGTTATATTATTACAGGCACTACAATGTAAAGTCATCTTTGTATACTAAAATATTCTATCTATCTCTAAACTTGTATTTTTTTCAAATGGCTTTATAGAATATGCTTTTAAAAATAAGCATATAAAATATCACATTTTCCACTTAGAGGAAAAAAAAACCAACAGCCCTGCCTTTAACTGTCTAAGGACATTAGGGATGTTTTATTCCTAGAAACTACTTTCAGCTTTGAATATTAGAAAGTTTTCCTTGAAATACATAAGTCATTTTTTTGTAATCAGATACTAGAAAATAACAACAGATGAAAGAAAAGTATTAAAAAGACATTATAGAGAATACAATCTACTTGTTTCCTTGTTTATAGGAAAGTCAAGTGATGTGGTCATGCTTTTAGTAAATAAACTGGAATTGTGGTTTTAACACTCTGCTGACCTGGGATTGTGGTGCTGCTGCTAGAGCTACTGTCATCCACGGGCCCAAAGAAATCAAGGTTCAGAAGAGTGGAACCTCCACTAGCTTGAAATTCAGTGACCGTGTTGGTAGGCAGCCACACAGAAGGTAAGCCAAGGGAGGAGGGGTTATGTGTAAAAAGGGGTAAGACACACACTTGAACATGCAGGTTATAATTAGTAATCATTACACATTTTAAAAATCAACATTAAAACAATGTGTACAGTATTAGCTTTTCATTACTAAGGACATTTCTAAAATAACAATTTAATTCAATGTACATTTTCTCATGTACAATGTAAAGAATGTAACACTTAGTAAGGTTTTAGGAGTTCAGTTGCTTCAATCAAAACTGGAAGCCATACCAGAAAGACCGAAAGGAATGCGTACCCGTTAAAGGGAAACAATACTTTAATCTCAACCCAACATTAAAAATCACTGTACATGCCCAAATCAATCTTTCATGTTAGTAATATTGGTTTCTAATTAATGCTTTTTAAAAAGTGACAAAGTTGTCAGTTTCAGGACACGCACCAATGTGTTAACTTAGTTTAAAATAAAATAACATAATAAAGAATGTCATAACTACCCTACCCTGATGTGCAACCTCAAGCTGTACTGTTCCCCTTTAACTCTGAAACAGTAATCAGAAATAGTATACATTTTTAAAGAAGTTGTTTGTTAATAAAAAGCATGATGATTTGACTGAAGACACCAGACAACAGCAAAAAGTGCATCCAGGCTTTCCTTCAGCACTATATTAATTCAATTGGATGCTTTCCAGATATCTGATTTGACTGAAGACACCAGACAACAGCAAAAAGTGCATCCAGGCTTTCCTTCAGCACTATATTAATTCAATTGGATGCTTTCCAGATATCCTAGGACCCCACTATAAGGCCAAGCTGATAGTGTTTTTTTACAATGGCAAAATAATTGCCATTTAGACAATGATAGGTGTTTAGACAATGGCTCGAACAACTTAAGCACAAGCAGTAAGAGCAATTACATCTTGGGATCCACTTAAAACTTGTGGTGTCAATACTAGAAACTAACATTGGTGTGTTACTTATTTTAAAGAGCCCACATTACATTACTGAAATAAGTTATTCCTTTTTGAGGATTTTCTTTTAAAGCCATAAGTGAAACCAATTATTTTTAGAACTGCCTACTAACATTTGGAGACACGCTTTAGAAAAGGATCGTGAAATTTATTTTCTATTTGCATATAGGTGCTCTATAAAATATTAAATCTAAAAACTACTTTGAGTCAATAAACATGGATCTATGCACACTGTTTTTGGCTAAATAATTGTGCTTTGTGCTTTGAAGCAGCCTCTAGTCACAAGACTTTGCATCCAAGAAAATTCCAAAAATTAAAACTTACAGAAAAAAATTCAAGGTAAATTGGTCCTAGCTAAAATACCTTTTAAACTACCTAGATATTTGTAAAAAATAAAGAAGCTTACTTTTGACTGAAACTAAAATTTTACCTAACTACTATTACCTATATTTGGACATTAATACTGTTGATAATAGTAACGGCTGGTTTCTTGAGCAATTACTGTTCAGAAAGAAAGCCTGAATTTCCAAAGATAAGAATAAGTTATGTTCAAACAAAAAAGGAAATCAGCAGAGAGAAGTTTGTCTGAACTTTGTAGCTTTCTTAACTCTAGCTCTGGTGCTAGAGGCTCTACGGAGAGACGTACCATCTAAAGGGTTAGTAAGGCCACTGCTACTCCAGTCAAACTGGACGGGTGGTAGAGACTCCTAGAGTTGAAAACCAAAAAATCAAAATTAATCAGTACAGGTTGTAGCAACGTAAAGAATCCTTAAAAAAAAAAATTATAGCAAGACCATTAGGCAACAAAGTACCTAAAGACAAAATTGGGATAATTTACAATTTCAGAAGGTTACCTGCAAATATCAGCACAAACTGAAATTGCAAAATTTACAAACAGTACAGGTTATTGACATTTAAAAAGTTGTATCTGGGAAATGAAATTATCTTTACATTTTTAAACAAATTTATGAACTGATTCTATGTCAAGATTTCAATCTATTCTCAAATCATGATTTCAACTATTGATGTGATTACAATAAAAATTAAAACATGGTATAAAACAAGAAGATTCAAAGTCTAAGGTCTGTCTGGTTCCTTACAATTTTCCAGATTTTGAAAATTATGGGCTAATAAGACATTTTTAAAGTGTTGACTTAAAATATCTATTTTAATCAACTTCTTTCATTTAGAAATTACTTATTAGATACCAGAATTTAATTGTGGGTGTCATCCTTGTACTGGGGCAATGCTAATCTCCTCTGACCTTGCCAAATTTTATAATGTGCTGCTGAAGCGAGCATAGAATTTTAAAAACAATACACTCAAGGGATGCTCAGGCAGGGCACGGTGGCTCACGCCTGTAATCCCAGCACTTTGGGATCCGAGGTGGGCAGATCACGAGGTCAGGAGATCGAGACCATCCTGGCTAACACAGTGAAACCCTGTCTCTACTAAAAATAAAAAAAAATTAGCCAGGCATGGTGGCACACGCCTGTAATCCCAGCTACTTGGGAGGCTGAGGCAGGAGAATTGCTTGAACCCGGGAGGTGGAGGTTGCAGTGAGCCGAGATCGTGCCACTACTGCACTCTAGCCTGGGCGACAGAGTGAGACTGTTTAAAAAAAAAAAAAAAAATTCACTATTCCAGGGGTTTAAATTTCGTAACTGTCAAACATATAAAATAAGCAAATGGTAAATTTAAGATGGAAGGCAGTGCAAACACATTTTTAAAATAAGCATTCACACTTCATTTTAAGAATATTCTTACATGAAAAAATGTTGGTTGTTTTTTTCTTTTCTTTTGGGGATGGTGTTAAAATAACCTGTATTTTATTAGACTTTTGATATCAAAATGTTATCGTCTTTTTTTGGACATCGCTTACCACTACGCTTTATTGTAAGGCAGGCACTGTTAAAACTTTATATTTTTTTCTGCGTAGGTAGGTAAGATCACTTGCTGTTTTTTATAGAAAAGGAGCATGAATCAGTTATTTTTGTAAAGTCTAACTCCATGATATTATAATACGACTGTCTGGATAACTGGGATACCAATGACAGGCAAATTAATTTAAGTATTTAGTCTCCAAAAATCAGGTCCAGCCTGGAGCAAGGTATAAACCAAGTAAAATACTAACATTAGTTAGTGGGTGTAAGGGATGGGATAGGGATGGTTGTGGGGCAGTGACTATTAAGGGTGTTCTTAATGGTGGTGGTGGAAGAGTTTTGTATCTTGACTGGTGGTGGTGGTTACAGGAATCTACCTATGTGATATAATGATATAGAACTATATACACATATTGTACCAATGTCATGTTCCTGGTTTTCACATTATAGCATATTATGTAAGATGTAACCATGGAGGAAACTGGTGAAGGGTACAAGGGACTTCTCTGTACTACAGTTGCAACTTCCTATGAATCTATAATTATTTCAGATAAAAGTTAAAAAACTGCTGAAAACCTAGTTTATAACCTACCTGCACAGCTAATAAATATTTAGAAATATCTTCTTTAGCTGATCATAAAAGGAAACAAACATCTCTAAGCATTCTAGCAGATTCAACTTACTCCACTTCTAGATCAGTGACACCTTTGGGCATATTCAACACTGAATGAATGGACAAAATCTAGGTTTATACAATAACGATTTCTGAATAAATGGAGCAAGTTCTTTCATGAACACATTCTATCTGAATGATGTCAAGTAGCTGGGTGCTTAGAAATATTTCAATGATTTAATGATTTGCTGAAATCTGAGCTGCTCAAACAGGGGTATGGTATTTTGAAGACAGCCAAAATCATAATGAGGTGATAAACACGAATCGACATTTAACGGAAATGAAAAAGGTGAAAAACAGGATACCGAAGCAAAAAAAGACTAAAACTAATGATGTTCACAAGTATACAAGTATGGAAACTCAGAGAAAGCTTGAGAATGAAGCATTTTAAAACCACTTGAAGCAATGTGGTATGAATTATTACTGCAGAGATAAAAGCACTAGGCAAATAAGGTCACAATAAAAAAGAACAAAAACATGGAGACAGGAGGCTTGGATTCCAGTCCTAGCAGTACCACTAATACATGGTTTTGGGTAAATCACTTAGCCTTTCCAATGCTGTAAAAAGTGAGCATGGTGGCCAGGCGCGGTGGCTCACACCTGTAATCCCAACACTTTGGGAGGCCAAGGTGGGTGGATCACTTGAGGTCAGGAGTTTGAGACCAGCCTGGCCAACATGGTGAAACCCCGTCTCTACTAAAAATATAAAAATTAGCCAGGTGTGGTGGCAGGTGCCTGCAATCCCAGCTACTCAGGAGGCTGAGGTAGGAGAATCGCTTGAACCCAGGAGACAGAGGTTGCAGTGACCTGAGACTGCGCCATTGCACTCTAGCCTGGGCAACAGAGCAAAACTCTTGTTTCAAAAACAACAAAAAAAAAGTGAGCATGGAACTACATAATCATTTTTTCTTTTCTAGCTCTAAAATTCTGATTCACAACTAAAATACATCAGGCAGTCTAAGAGAAGTTGCTACCGGTGACTAGATGGATAACTGCCAGTCAGAGTGTTGACCCTACTCAGCAATGAATAAAGTGTAAAGTATTGACCTTACTAAGAGGGAAATCAGTAGTGGCACAATGGTGTGACCTTGAAATTCAGCAGATAAAAATGAAAACACACACACAATCCCAAAAAAGGTAAAATTACTGTTTTCACCCTTAAACTAAGTTAATAAATTTCTAAACAAGAGATGCAATAGTTATAAGATCAATGAATACAAGCCAATTTGGAAGATAAAAACAAACTCAATGGGTACCAAAATTGGGATAGGACAGACAGACCCAAAAGCATGCAGTCATAAGGGGAATTATACAATTGTGCTTGTGCTAAGTTTGAAAGCCACTGTTGCTTCTAGCACTAAAGGCTAGGGGCGTAGGAAGATGTAACTTCCTGCATGGCCAAAAAGTAAAATTACATATATTTACATATATATATATGTTATATATATATATGTATATGTAAATCCATATATATATACATACACACACACACACACGTATTTCATTTGTATGACACACGTGTGTGTGTGTGTGTGTGTGTGTGTGTGTGTGTGTGTGTGTGTAGCATGCCAAAGAAGAGTGGTAAGAAATATTTTCTAGGCCGGGTGCGATGTCTCACGCCTGTAATCCCAGCACTTTGGGAGGCTGAGGTGGGCAGATCACTTGAGGTCAGGAGTTGGAGACCAGCCTGGCCAACATGGTGAAACCCTGTCTCTACTAAAAATACGAAAATTAGTCTGGTGGTGTGGTGTGTGCCTGTAGTCCCAGCTACGTGGGAGGCTGAGGCAGGAGAATCACTTGAACCCGGGAGGTGGAGGTTGCAGTGAGCTGAAACCATGCCACTGCACTCCAGCCTGGGTGACAGAGCAAGACTCTACCTCCAAAAAAAATATATACACACACACACACACACACACACACACACACACACACATATACACACATACATATATATATAAAATTTTCTGTAAAGAGACTCTTTAGAAAATGTACTTCAGATGTTTGTTAAATTTTTTTTTTCGAGGCAGGGTTTTACTCTGTTGCCTAGGCTGGAGTGCACTGGTGTGAACATGGCTCACTGCAGCCTCAAGCTTCTGAGCTCAAGTGATTTTCCCACCTCAGCCTCCTTAGAGGCTGGGACTACAGGCTCATGCCATCATGCCTGGCTAATTTTTGTAGAGGCAGGGTTTTGCCACGTTGGTTAGGCTGGTCTCGAACTCCTGGGCTCAAGCAATCCACCTGCCTTGGCATCCCAAAGTGCTGAGATTACAGGCATGAGCCACCAAGCCTGCTCTGTTAAATATTTTAACCTGAGTCAGAGGTATGGAGTCAAGCAAGGACCATACAATTCTGTGATGGAGGTCAGGCATCTTAGCACAAAATTCTAAACATGTTTTTCATTAGGTCATCTGGACTACTTTTTTGTCAAGTCCATAGTGAAATTATAAAAGAAACATGATAAGCTATGACTAAAATGAAATACACAGTAAGATCAAATCAGCTAGAGGAAAAAATTACAGGCAACAGCTAACTGATACAATAAGCAATAGTTTATGGGGTTGTAAGGTGGAAGTGGTTAGATGGAGGAGGAAGCAAGCAAAACTAGCAACAAATGGTCTCAATAAGTACAGCTCCATTTTCAGTGAATGTACCAAGTATGAATGTACCAAGTAGTTACTCAAAATACTTTCCTAATACCTAACACTGTAGGAATAAGAATGCAGATGGAGGCAGAAATAAAAATGTGCCGTGGGAAAGGTAATTCTGAAATATGCATAGACAGGGCAGACCTGGGATAGCAGTTTATAGCCAGAGGGCGTATCAGGGCAGCAAAATTAAGGTAACTAAGAACAGATTCTACCTACGGAGACATTCTGCCCAAGCCACTTTGTCTGCTGCCCAACCATCAAGGCCAGGCATTGTAAACATCAAGGTCCTCTGGCCCACTAATTCAGTGCTAGTAATAAGCTGGCTTCAAAGTAACATTTAAGCTATGCCCAAGTATAAAACACAGTGGTACACAGCAGTAATATTAGATGTTTCTTGAAACACACCTAAAATGGCAGGACCTATGCTTTACACATTTTCTAAAGTATGTTCTTCAAAACACTAGTTCTGCAGGTGCTACCACTCCCCTCTCCTCTGATCTCTGCAATAAAAGGTCCTGTGGCCAAGTAAATTTGAGAAATGAATTAAAATTAAGGCCATTCATTGCAGGACTCTTCAATGTCCTTAATGTGTGTTGTGATCTCTAAGGGTGGTTATGGGGGTATGATATGAAGTATTTCCCAAACTTACTTTACCCTGGAACCCTTCAGTGGACCACCTCTGGGGATTAATGTTCAATGGGAACACATTTTGGGAAAGGCTGTCCAAGCATACACTTTTTGTGTTAGATACAATTAAAAATGACATCTAAGGTTAAGAAATGACAAAACATGGCAAGAATATGTTTTAGAAATGGTAATGTTCACTTAAAAATACTAATCTTCTAAAACTATAATATTTAACCAGCACTGAGTCAGTTTGTAACTTGATATGGAAAGAGTAAGCAAGCCCAAATGGCCCATTTTACCCGAACAAAAAGTGAGAGAAGACTTTATATTAACATATTAGTCTGAAAAAAAATTTGTGCTTAAGTGTGCCAAGGAGGTAAAGGATAAGAAAGGCAAGACAGTTTTCTGGCTGCGTGTGATGGCTCACACCTGTAATCCCAGCACTTTGGGAAGCCAAGGTGGGTGGATCACCTGTCATAAGTTCAATACCAGCCTGGCCAACATGGTGAAACCCCATCTCTACTAAAAACACAAAAATTAGCTGGGCACGTTGGCACACACCTGTAGTCCCAGCTACTCGGGAGGCTGAGGCAGGAGAATCGCTTGAACCCAGGAGGCAGAGGTTATAGTGAGCCGAGATCATACCACTGCACTCCAGCCTGGGAGACACAGCAAGACTCCATCTCCAAAAAAAAAGAGTTTTCTATTTTCCTAATCCATAGATTGTTTAGTTAAAGGTCACATCATTTTCGAGTTAAATAACCATTTTGCTTAAATTCTAAAAACAAGTTTAAGGCAATGGACATATCTAACCTTTACTGCTTTATAAAATTTCACAGGATTCCAGAAAAAATACACATACAATAGCAGACTTATAGAGTTGGTATAAATACAGTGTTTCCTTTTTTCTTTTCTTTTTTTTTTTTTTTAAACCCAGCACTTACCAGATTTGTGTCAGTAATTATGATCACACAATATTCAAACTGTAAGGGACTTTAGAGATACCTGTTTTAAACCCTTCAATTTATAGATAAAGAGACTAAGGCCTGGATAGTTTTAAGAACTTACCCATAATCACCCATTTCTCAAATTGTGCTTTTCTGTTTTTGAAAATTAAAGACAATTTGTTCATTGTATTCCAAGGGATGTTAATTAATCAAAATCATGTCCATCATTAAATCAAGCTTTACAAATATTTTTAAAACAGTCATAAATGAAGGAAAAAGGCAGTATGTGTGGATATATGTGTATATACACGCATAAACATATTTATACACATATAGATATTTTTACCTGGAACTGATCAGATGTACATGTGTTCATATCTGGTGACATGGTGGCTGTCTGACCGATGGAAGCTATTTTTTCTGCAGCAGAAAGTGGTTTCAGTGGTTCCTTGGTGGGCTCTAACATACCCTGAAAAAGGAATATTAGCCTTTAATGGGGATGGGGGTGCACAGCCCATAAACTTAAGTTAATCTATCAGAAAGAAGAAGGTAAAAAACAGGTCACTTGGAAAGTACTGAAGACAAAAAGGAACTAGTCTTTTTTTTTTTTTAAGAGACAAGGTCTCACTAGTTGCCCAGGCTGGCCTCAATCTCCCTGGCTTAAGGGATCCTCTTGCCTCAAGCTGATGCCACCACACCCAGCTATTCTTAAATTTTATTTACTGAAAATCCTATAGCACTATAATGAGAACCATTTCACAATAATACCTTTAGAATCAAAAGTTTTTAAAGCAAGACTTTGTATTTTAAATCAGAGGTTTTAAAGTACAGAATTATTACTGTCACATGAAAGCAGAAGCACCAACTCGGGATGGGTGGGGGGAGACAACAATATGTCACATCTAACCTCTAAAAATCCAACACTAATGACACTAAAATTGTAAGAAACGGCACCCTTTGTACACATTACCCCATGGTGAGAAGTGAGAGCTGATTGTAAAACACGCCATATAATATGACATCTATATCCTTCAGTGTAAACTTAATATTTGATCCTGATCTCTATGACAGCACTGGAGACTTAGTTCCTTGGACAGGCAAAGCAGATATATACAGCCTTTTTAGAGAGGAAGAACATCTTACAGGTTCCACAGGGTTTGTTACAAATCTAATACACCTTTTTTTTTTTTTTTTGAGACAGAGTTTTGCTCCTGTTGCCCAGGATGGAGTGCAATGGTGTGATCTCAGCTCACTGCAACCTCTACCCACCAGGTTCAAGCGATTCTCCTGCCTCAGCCTCCCGAGTAGCTAAGATTACAGGTGTCCACCACCATGCCTGACTAATTTTTTGTATTTTTTTTAGTAGAGATGGGGTTTCTCCACATTGGCCAGGCTGGTCTCGAACTCCTGACCTCAGGTGATCCACCCGTCTTGGCCTCCCAAAGTGCTAGGATTACAGGCGTGAGCCACCACGCCCGGCCTAATATGCTTTTTGAGTAAGAAAAATAGATGTTCAGTATGGCTATAGAAATAAAGAGGAAAAAAATCAGTATTTTTCATCAACACTCTACCAAACTCAAAATGGGCCATAATCTAGGCCTGAAAAAAGTCAAACTGTTACATGTTTTAAAATAATATCTGAAAAGCTTTTGAATGTTTTTCAAAGGTTACATCCTAGACAAAATCACCCTTAACTGGGCCAAAAAAACAAAAACAAAAACAAAACCTCAAAGCTGCTAAGTCTTTAATGTTAGAATCTGTAAATTTCTAAAATTTTCAGGAGAATCCCTGCCTCCTCCCTTCCCCAATAAAATAGGTGTAAACTAACTAAAACAGTTTGCAGAATCAATTCTTAACAGTAGCACATCTGAAAGGCTTTAACCGAGCAGCTAGAAAAATGAAATAAGTTCATGGTCTAACTCAATACCATATGTATTATACAGGCTCTCTGGTGTGCCCTTATGCAGAGACGATACATTTGGCAAACAATTACTAGTTTCAGCCAAGTTTGTTAATTTGAACGATCACTTTAAGCAGTGGTTCTCAAATTGTGATCCCCAATCAGCAGCTTCTGTGTCACCTTGGAACTTGTCAGACGTGCAAATTCTTGAGCCTACCTCAGAAATACTGAAAAAGAAACAGGGGGGTGGGGGGCGGTGCTCAACAATTTGTGTTTTAACAAGTCTTCCAAGTGATTCTTATATACATTAAAGTTTGAGAACCAGTGGCTTAAATGATCACTTCAGGTACTATTTCTCCGGGTGAGATCAAAAGATTATTGAACATCTCAAATGTGTAAGGTACCATGGGTAAATTTAGCTATAATTAAAACTTGATATTAAAAAAAAGTTTCTAAATGAAAGATATCACAAAGATGGGGGAGGGCGAGATACATTTAAATTCATTAAATAAACTTTGGAATTAAAGCTTATAGAAATAGTAGCCATAGGTATGAGCTGACAGATGTGAAAAACTGGAAAAAAGGTGGGGGGGGGGGGGAGGGGAGGAAAGAAGTGGGAAAAAAAGTCCATAGAAATAGTAAAAATATTACTAATAAAGGTTGAAAAATAAAGCATAAGCTTTAGCCTCTAACTTCTCACAAACCTCACAGAACTGGCTAATGGGCTGAGGCTACGCATAAGCATTAAGTAGGTCACTGCCCCTAATATGCTGAATGAAAGTGCCTACAAATTAAACTCCTAGTTCCATAACATCAACAACCTCTGGATTGCTACTCCTTGAGAAAAAGAGAAATCCAAATAACCAAAAAGTTAAAGAAATGTCCAGCATTATATTTACCTACAACAGAAAACAATGTGGGGATCATCAAAATGTTTTTAAAGTACACGATAACCATTTACAAAGGAGTAAACAGATTTTAAAAAAACCAAAACTCTAGAAAATCCCACAAAACAAATCAAAATGTTCCAATTCAAAATCAATAATTAGTGCTTATTCATGGAGAAAGTTTGTAGATTTAAAGGTCAAGTTCCACAGCAAATTGTCACATGCACATAATGGATTGTATAAATTCTATACCAAAGATTCCTTCATTATTTTTTCCTTATTTCCAATTTAACGGTTATAGTAATGCTTTTAGTTTGATGGGGCATTTTTATTCATCGATAAAAATACACACCAAAAAACACAAACATCAAACTTTAAAATGTGACTGAGTCTTGAGAAGGAACAGAATGAAAATGTCTCAGTTTTCCGGGACTACCTGGCATATCTGAAAAAACAAAATTCAACACATTTAAAACATTAATGGAAAAACTAAGAACCCATTATGAGTCCTGGCTCATTTTCATTTCATTATAATTTGGTGTTTCTAAGCTTTTATGTACATCTATAGCCTCAATATTGCATTTAAAATTAATAACTGGATTAAAATAAATGATATCTTTAGGCCTTCTGATACTTCAGCTTTTTCTTTAAAGCAAGTTTAGAAAAGAAAAAGAATCCTCCAAAGGTGCATTTTACAGTTATATATGCTAATATTACTAAGATAAAAATTTTCAATCTAAAAACAGTATCTGTAATTAATGAAATATTTTAAAAGTCCTGTGATCAATATTTGATGGGATTTATGAGATCAAAAAAGATCTATTTATACCCTTCAGATTCCAACACTAAATGTCTCTTATATAGCATGACATAGAAGTGTATTTTAAGATGATTTTACAGAATAGATGCAGTAATGATAAATACATGCAGAGAGATTTTTGTACTTACCAATCCTGCTGCATACATGGGCACTATAACAGGCTGCTTCTTATTGCCCGTGAAGAGCTACACACACGTTAGACAGAAAGAACATATATTTAGAGAATAATCTATCATACAATGAAATAGTTTCCAAATATGCTTGAGATGTGTTATTACATATATTGGGAATGATAAATTGATGAAACTTAAAAATTGCCCATATGGGTTATTTTATCTCCCAGTCCAATTCCTTCATTTTATATTTAAGAAAAACTACTAAAACAATTTTTTCTAAAAATAAGTATTGATTAGAGAAAAATTTAGGTAGACTGATGTTTAAAAGTCAGCACATTCAATATAAGTGAACATTTAAACCAAATATTTATTTTCTGAGGAACTAGCTTACCACAGCTTAAACAGAAGTATGACAGAATTTTAAAACATCCACAGGTTGATTAAAAGATTTTTCAAGGTACTAACAAACTCACAATGTTTCGGGTGTCTATTCCCAAGGAGGACAAAAGCTTCTTGTTGCTATGGGAGCCGCCCCACTGGTATCTCAAGCCATGTGCATCATGGATATCCTGTAGCTCAGTCCACACATCTAGCAATTCCCTGCAAAGGCCATGATGAAGCCATCAACAACAGGTTACTCAATAACTTTCACCATGAGTTCTACTTATAATATGGCTGTGACATAACACACATTCCATTTACTCTTGGGTCCAACGTAAGTGTATAACTATTTGAATGAAATCAAGAGCCAATACTTATAGTCACTAGAAAAATAACTAAGGCTGGGTGCGGTGGCTCACGCCTGTAATCCCAGCAATTTGGGAGGCCGAGGCAGGCGGATCACCTGAGGTCAGCAGTTCTAGACCAGCCTGGCCAACATGGTGAAACCCCATCTCTACTAAAAAATACAAAAAATTAGCCAGGCATGGTGCTGGGTGCCTGTAATCCCAGCTACTCGGGAGGCTGAGGCAGGAGAACTGCTTGAACCCAGGAGGCAGAGGTTGCAGTGAGCTGAGATCACTCCAGCCTGGGCAACAGAGCGAGACTGTCTCAAAGAAAAAAAGGTATTTCACTGTGAAATTTCAGAATATCAGCAACAAACAGATCTTAAACTATAAATTGAATGTGAGAGTAGAGTAAAAATTTGCCTCCCATCTACCTTTTTTCTCAGAAGGCTATTGGAGGATATGCTCCACCAAAATGGGATCTAAGTGAAGGGAAGTCCCGAGGCAATGTATGTGTAAGCCCAGACTGAAACCATTCTAGATGGGAGCAGAATGATAAGGTGTTGGATCACAAGTGTATGAACAAGCTCTTAAAGGGTAGGGAAACATTAATGAAAAAGAGAAGTCCAGGAAGAAGTTGTACTATAAAGAAAACAGTGGCTTGAGTCAACAATACATACGTGATTATAATAATGAAAATGCCAAATAAGAAATTAACCAAAAACTGATATATGGGGAAGATGAGGGGAGGAGAATAGCAGAGGTAAAATCTAAATTTTCAGTTTTCATTCTAAGAAGTCAAAAAATAATATATAACATCAACTGATTATTGATTTAGAAATATAAAAAGAAATAGCTCAAAAGTAAAAAGGCAGGGAGTTTAGGTTTTGACACAATGTTTTTGAGCCTTAATTTTTTTTTTTTTGGAGATAGAGCCTTGTTCTGTCACTGAGGCTGGAGTGCAGTGATCTTGGCTCACTGCAACCTCCGTCTTCTGGGTTCCAGCGATTCTTGTGCCTCAACCTCAATCCCAAGTAGCTGGGATTACAGGCATGTGCCACCATACCCTGCTAATTTTCTGTATTTTTAGTAGAGACAGGGTTTCACCATGTTGGCTAGGCTGGTCTCAAACTCCTGACCTCAGGTGATCCACTGCGCCTGGCCTGAACCTTAATGTTTTAAGATAAACTTATAAATTAGAACTACTAAAAATAACAAAAACACATGCTATCTAAAAACAGTCTCCTACTTACCCACTTTCAGGTAAGGCCTCTCTCGTTTTTATTGGCAAAGTGCTTGTTTCCAGCAAGTGCTTCAGGGAAGTAACTTCCTCTTCAGCATCAGGGACAAGTATGGAAGGAAAACATGCTTCGAAAATTCGCTCCAGGCGGTTTAATAAAGCTGTCTGCATCAAAACACCCCCCAAAAGTTTATTTTCATTTAATTTTGATAATATCATAGTTATAGCATTAAAATGCAAACACACGCACACCCTGTCCACTACTGTGAGAGAGGAAGAGAACCATCAGAAAACACTGAGTGAAAAGAACACAACTACTCATGAAACAATCACTCTAAATGATTAATTTAAATGATGATGATGAGCTACGTAGCTGGCAATTAAAAGCAACATGCCAAGCAATATACCTGCTACTTTACATGCATTATCTTAATCTATTACAAAATTCTACAAAAAAGAAATTACCCAATTGTACAGTGAGAAAGCAATCTCAATGTCTGAATAATCTGCCCAAAGCAAAACCAAAAAAACCCAGAGAGCATTTATATTCTTTCCACCACACTGGAATGTCTCTTACTACCACTCATCTACTCTAGATTTAGGAACAATAAGATTGGATGCTTGTGGGAAGTATTATGCTATTATAGCTAAACAATCTTTTTTTGAACATAAACATGAATTTTGATAGCCTTTTGGAAATATCTTTGCTGCTAACAGTACAAACCAAAGTAGCAAAGAATGTCTCAATTTTTACTGATAAAAAATTCGAAAGCTCATTCATCATTTTGGTGATATGCATTATCTTTTAGAAATTCCATTTCTCTACTCGTCTTTGTTGCATGTATATTTTTGAATAGAATACTACACTACCTCTCTCCCAAGTAAAGCCTGCATATTCCCCAGAGTATTTCCACCAAGAACAAACAGATACATTTCTTGGCTTTTTTTTTTTAAAGTATTTTTATTAACTAAAACTTGCTGGATTTAGATCAACTTAGTTTTGGTACCACTAGGTTTACTATACATGTGCAACCTACAATAACATTCATTCCTATTTTCCTAACTATTTCAGATACATGTAATATATTTTCCAACTTAGCCCAATTTACCATTTAAACATCAACTGGGAATACAAATTGTTATTAAGTTAAAGCCTGTTGTAAGATTAAGTTTACTATTGAATTGACACAGACTGTAAAAGCAAAATGCCACATCATGGTGGTACTTCCTGCCAAGTAACAAAAACAAGTTGATGCTTGATTTCTGTTTTGTAGTGTAGTGAGCACCCAGGAAAATTAAAAAAAAAAATTTCATAACATTTTCTGAACCCAAATCTCTTTTGGAAGCTGTATCAGAGCAAAAACTTAACACTGCATAATTAGTCTTAGGGTACTCTTTTGTAATTCTACAAAAGTTATTCTCACATCATAATTATATTCATGTGTGTGATATTGGAAAAGGTTCTCACTATCAATTATGAACCCTAAGTAAAGGGTAGCCTCAAGATCCCAAGGCCTGTGAAACTTGAGTGCATCAAGGGGCCCTTGCTCTCACTTGCCTCAACAGAGAGAACGGACAGACATTATTTTCAAAGGGATCAGATAACCACCTAATTGGATACATGATTGGCTCCTCCTGGGCAGGGAAGGTAAACAAAAAACTAACATGGCCAAATTTTATTTCTCTGTAAATTAAATCTTTCTTGTATCCTCTTTGTTATCTTTTTAATGGGATAGGAAAAAAATGTTTACCACAGGAAGAAAGAAATGACCCTAAAACACATCCAACCACTTGGGCAATGTTACACATAACTGCCAGGTGTCAAGACACCAGTAAAATTCTCAAATGAGTGGAATGAAGCTGAGGCAAAAAAGGATGTAAGTTGAATGGAAATTTCTAAAGAAAGTTTCATATATGTTTAGGATCAGATATTACATTAGATTGCTTCAAATCTTACGTTGAATAAGATAGAGCAGGAGATTAGCAATCTTTTCTATAGAGAGCCAGACAGTAAATATGTTAGGCCTTGTAGGCCATATGTAAAGGAATAAGCATGGGTATGTTCCAGTGAAACTTATTTACAAAAACAGGCAGTAGATTTGTCCTGTGGGTCATGGTTTGCCCCTTGAGGTAGAGCAGTAAATAATAAATAACCAGAATCCACTAACAGCATTGCCCAACACAGGGAGGGAAACTCCTCAACAATTCAGCAACTAATAGAATGAACAAAGGCTTTTTTTTTTTTTTTTTTTGAGATAGAGTCTCGCTCTGTCACCCAGGTTGGAGTTTAGTGGTGCAATCTCGGCTCACTGCAAGCTCTGCCTCCCAGGTTCACGTCATTCTCCTGCCTCAGCCTCCCGAGTAGCTGGGACTACAGGTGCCCACCACCGCGCCCAGCTAATTTTTTGTATTTTTAGTAGACGGTGTTTCACCATGTTAGCCAGGATGGTCTCCATCTCCTGACCTCGTGATCCACCCACCTCGGTCTCCCAAAGTGCTGGGGTTACAGGTGTGAGCCACTGCGCCCAGCCCAAATATTTTTATTAAATTTACTCTGACATTTTATTTTTAAAAGTGTATCAATTTCCAGCCAGGTGCAGTGTCTCACGCCTGTAATCCCAGCACTTTGGGAAGCCGAGGCGGGTGGATTGCTTGAGCTCAGGAGTTTGAAACCAGCCTGGCCAACATGGTGAAACCCCGTCTCTACTAAAAATACAAAAATTAGCAGGGCATGGTGGCGCACGCCTGTAGTCCCAGCTACTCAGGAGGTTGAGGCATGAGAATCACTTGAACCAGGAGAGGTGGAGGTGGCAGTGAGCTGAGATCATGCCACTGTAGTCCAGCCTGGGTGACAGAGCAAGACTTGGTCTTAAAAAAAAAAAAAAAGTGTATCAATTTCCATAAGACCAGTTTGGTGGTAAGGGCATCCTGTAATGAGTTTCTCACCACTATCTTGTTTTGGGTAATAAATAAGGCCAAATTTAACTTACTACTAGTTAATTCCAGTAAGTAAATGACTGGTATAATAACACTTCAATAGAGGGCTATAGATCCAGGGGCCAAGACTCCAGTTTCTGCATTTATTTATTTTATTTTTTATTTTTTATTTTTTTGAGATGGAGTCTTACTCTGTCACCGAGGCTGGAGTGCAGTGGTGCGATCTCGGCTCACTGCAACCTTGGCCTCTCAGGTTCAAGCGATTCTGCTGCCTTAGCCTCCCAAGTAACTGGGATTATAGGCGTCTACCACCATTTCTGCCCAGTTTCTGCATTTATAATCTGGAGATATCAGGGTCTATCTACCTCACGAGGTGGATGATAATTCAGAGGATTAAATATTTGGCACCGAGGGTGTCAGAGGTGGCAGCTTTTATCATTACTACTGTTATTATACAAATGATACATACAGACACAGGGGGCTTGCCAGGGAATGAAATAAATGAATGGCAAAACTAGAATCAAAGCTCACTAAGAATGTTTCTCTACCATGATTTAGCATTCTAAATCACTATGAAAATACTTATCTCAATTTATCAATTTCTACCATATTATGATATAACAAGAAATTAAATAATCTAAGCATTCTGCATCCTTCCCAAGGTCATCCTATTGAGTTGGGGGAAAAAAAAGTACCTAGTTTTTAAGAGTATCTATTTTTAAGAGTCTCTTATATAAATGAAACCTGCTATAGTTACTCCTTGTAGAGTTTAAATTTTGGATATTGGTGGTTGGCTTACAGGCATTATGACTTAAATCTTGATTGCATTATGAAACACAAAATGTATAAACCACACATTAGGCATTAAGAATACTTTGCTTCTCAGCTGGGCGCGGTGGCTCATGCCTGTAATTCCAGCACTTTGGGAGGCCGAGGCAGGCAGATCACAAGGTCAGGAGTTCGAGACCAGCCTGACCAACATTGTGAAACCGTGTCTCTACTAAAAGTACAAAAAAATTAGCTGGGCGTGGTGGCTGGTGCCTGTAATCCCAGCTACTTGGGGAGGCCCAGGCAAAGAGAATCACTTGAACCTGGGAGGCAGAGGTGCAAGACTCCATCTCAAAAAGAGTACTTTGCTTTCCAAGAAGCACAATAAAGTTAAACATTCAAAAATGTGATGTAACATAGTCCAAATAACTTGGTAAGTAGAACAGTTACAAGAATATAACTAATGTAATACTCAGAAGAAGAGAAGTTAAAATAACCTACCACAAGAACAGTTTCTCTTATGACCAGACAGGTTTTTTTCAGGAAATAGATTTTCCCAAACAGATTGTGATCAGACACTAATTTTTTAAAGAAATCATTGCTATTTTGAACATAAAATTTGAGCACTTGGGATAAAAGGTGTATCAAAACTGTGAGAGTGGCAAAGGTTTCAAATTTGTTTTTCAAAAATTTTTTGGGGGTACATATATTATTTTCATCTGTTTTACAATACAATCATCCTCTCAACATCAGCCAAGGATAGTTTAACATATGCAAATAAATCAGTAGTAAAATTCAGTATCACATCAAAACTCTAGTTAAAGTAAAATATTAAACTTGGATTTCTTCTTATGAGTACAAAGGAACTTTGCTTATATTACTCTGCTTATGTGAACTCCTATTTCAATACAGAGTATATGCAGCCATAATGGGAAATCTACTGGTTTTGATTAGGTGGGGGCACAACACAAATCTTCAAACTCCCTGTAGCAGATTAATGCAGAAAAAGGTTGCATCAAACAGTGACATTTACTAACATATTACAGTACGTGTGGACTTGAATTAGATGTAAAATTCCAAAAAATAGATACTTTATTATTTAGAATTGGTGAAGTGACACTGGCTGAGCTCTAGTTTCCTTAGGCACGTAAGGCAGTATAAGTAAAGCAAACAATATCATTTTAACCCAGTTCAGGAAAGTGGGAGCCTAAATTCAGCAAAAGATCAAAAGATGTACTCTGAAACCTACTCAGAAGCTGCAAAAGCTTGCTATCATGTAACATAATTTTCATTTAATGCTCACATAGTGCCCACCATGTGGCAGACATTATTCTAAATGCTTTACAAAGTTTAGCTCATTTAAGTTTCAAAAGAACCATATGAGGGAGGTAATAATATCATCTCCATTTCCTGGATGAGAAAAGCAGAGCAGAAAGAGGTTAACTTCCCTGTGGTCACATGAATATTAAGTGGAGAGGCTGAGTTCCTACCCAGGAAGTATAGTTTCAGTGTAGGTGCTCTTAACCACTATATTATGTTGTCATCAAAGCAGTTCTAAGTTCAATTTCTAAAAATTGCAAGAGCTTTGAGGGCAGGGACTATGTCTTTTTCTTGAATTTCCAGTACCTGGGTTCCTGCACATAGTTGGTATTAATGTGCACCAGATTAAAAAAAAAAAAAAAAGCACTTCGCCTTCATTTAGGACTGCAGGGGGCATAATTGTTCTACTTATAAAAGTATATCTTACTGTAAGCCATCTAAATCATTTTTATACACAGGTTGGGCATATTTAAATAATTACAAGACATAAAATAGCCAAATCTTGTCTCCCATATACCATATTATGCTTGACGCTCTACATGTATTACTCCATGAATCTTCTAAAAGAAACTCCAGAAGTATTACTGTCTTCATATTACAGATGAAGAAACTATAGTTCAGGAAGATTCAGGTAAGTACCATAGCCTTACTGGTGGTATAGTACACAGCAGATATTTGATCCAAAGTCTGACTCCAAAGCCTACATTCTTTTCACTAAATCATGTTTTTCCCCACATTTTGTGGTCTTTCAAACATTTCTAGCCATAATTAGATAAGGGATTTACCTGTTAAATGGTGCGGTGATAACTATGCTTAAAGCAAATGATTTCATCTAACACTACAATTCATTGTTTTCAACAAAGTTAGTTGTTAATTCTTACTAAAGAGTCAGTGCTGCATTCTGAATATGAAGGTAACAAATAAATGCACACTTAGCATACTAAATATTTAGCTGATGTTACAATACTAAACGTCAAATCAAAATAATAGTTACAGCAATTACTTGATTTTTTTTTTCTTTTTAAGAGATGGTCTCACTCGCTCATTCAGGCTTCAGCGCAGTGGTGCCATCACAGCTCACTGCAGCCTTGAACTTCTGGGCTCGAGTGATCCTGTCACAACCTCCTGGGTAGCTAGGACCACAGGTGAACACCACCAGGCCTGGCTAATTTTTATTTTTTATTTTTTGTAGAGATGGCGTCTCACTATGTTGCCAAGGCTGGTCTTGAACTCCTCCTTTCAAGCAATCCTCCTGCCTTGGCCTCCCAAAGCACTAGGATTTCACATGTGGGCCACCACACCCAGCCCCAATTACTTGAATTTTAAATGCCATCATCTTCAAAGTATAAAGAGGAAAAACAGTCCTTGGTTTTCCCTTGAATATGGAATAAACTGATGACTGGCTAGCTGAATACCAGTTTATGTGACTCAGTCACACCTTTTCATTCACAGAAGTACCAACTTCTAAGCCTGGCAAACAGCACATCTGGCTATTAAACATTTTAAAAACTGGGGCTCTGATAAATGTAGGATTAAAAATCAAATGCTATTCAAGGCAGGTACCATACCCTCCTTTTTCATTTTCTCTATTAATGTCCAATGCTATGAAGCCAAGTAGAGGAGCTATGCTACTTACACAGAAGTATACTTGTGCTTAGACTAGTTCATACCTATCAAAAACCATTCTGAATGGAAACTAGCCCAAAGCAGGAGCTTTCGCTCTCAGAATAGCCTGACAGGTTGAGTATACTAACAAGAGCCAGAACTAGGGGGTACTCCCACACAAATTCTGATTTGCCTCCCTATTACTTTCTTTTTTTTCCTCCCCCAAGATGGAGTTTCGCTCTGTCACTCAGGATGGAGTGCAGTGGTACGATCTCGGGTCACTGCAACCTTCGTCTCCTGGGTTCAAGTGATTCTCCTGCCTCAGCCTCCCGAATAGCTCAAATTACAGCCGCACACCACCATGCCTAGCTAACTTTTGTAGTTTTAGTAGAGATGGGGTTTCACCATGTTGGCCAGGCTGGTCTCAAACTCCTGACCTCAAGTGATCCATCCGCCTTGGCCTCCCAAAGTGCTGGGATTACAGGCATGAGCCACCATGCCCGGCCCCTCCCTATTACTTCCTGTTAACCAAAAAACACATTTTATGGAGAAAGGGCTCAGGAAAGTCGTATGCATCCTTGGCTACACCACATCTTCAAAGGTACATTTGCTTTTTTAGCTTTTCCCTCTTTCCCAATTTTCTCATTTCTTGTATATTCATTTTCCTATCAGGGTCCTTCATTACCTTGAATGTCTTTATAATTATTATTATTTTTTAAACCAGATTTGGTTTCTGGAAAAGCAAAAAATGATTACCCAATGGTTTAATTCATCAGTGGGGCAAAGCTTCATGTATGAATTGACAACTTTTACTCATTCCTAGTTCTGTCATGTCTTTATGTCTCGGGGTAGTGGAAGAAAGTCCCAGGGTATATAAGCAGCCATTTCACTTTATCCACTGGTGCAAGTAAGCCATTTAATCTAATGCAGAGCTTCTCGACTGGCACGTTTTAGTCACAAACAGGTTCCAGTCTTCCATAAATCCTGAAAGCTATATATGGATGTAAGGTGTTCCCTCTTGTGATGGTTAAATTTATGTGTCAACTTGACTGGGCCATGGGGTGCCCAGACATTTGGTCAAACATTATTCTGGGGCGGAGCATGGTGGCTCATGCCTATAATCCCAGCACTCTAGGAGGCAGAGGCAGGCAGATTGCTTGAGCCCAGGAGTTGGAGACCATCTGGGCAACATGGCAAAATCCCATTTCTATAAAAAATACAAAAATTAGCCAGGTGTGGTCGCACACACCTGTAGTCTCAGCTACTAGAGAGGCTGAGGTGGGAGGACTGCTTGAAACCAAGAGGTGAAGGCTGCAGTGAGCAGAGACCATGCCACTACACTCCAGGCTGGGCAACGGAATGGGACCCTGTCTCAAAAACAAACCAAAGAACGCGAAAACATGTTATTCTGGGAGTACCTGTGAGGGTGTTTCTAGATGAGATTAAGATTTGAATTGGTAATCTGACTAAAGCAGATTGCCCTCCCTAATGTGGGTAGGCCTCATCCAATCAGCTGAAGACCTGAATAGAACAAAAATGCTAAGGAACTTCTGCCTGATTTTGAGTTGGTACTTCAGTTGGACTTGAGCTAAAAAATCAGCTCTTCTTAGATCTTAAGCCTGCTGGCTCCTGGGCTGGAACTTACACCACTGCTCTCCTGGTTCTTAGGGCTTTGGACTCAGACTGGAACTACACCATCAGCTCTTGGGTCTCCAGCTTATGCACTGTGGCTTTTGGAACTTCTCAATTTCCAATAATCAATCTCTCTCTCTCTACTACCTCCACTTCTACTTCCCCTCCCCATCCTTCCCTCCCTAACCTCCACACATACCCTATTGGTTCTGTTTATCTGGAGAACTCTAATACACCTCTATTTTATAAATGACTACATCTGGGCATAAAGAGATTAAGTGTATTGCAAGTCTCATTTAGCTTTCCAGAGAGGTGTACACAGGACCCCAGACTCTGGTTCTTATGCCATTCAAATGCCTATCTCCTTTAAAGGACAGCAGGTCCTTGAATAATGTCATTTTGTTGTAATGTTGATGAGAAAAACAACTGATTCCTGGCTGCAGCCACTACCTGTGTGGAGTTTGCACATTTTCCGTATGTCCACCTGGGTTTTTTTTCTGGGTATGCCAGTTTCCTTATAGATCCTAAAGATGTGTACATTAGATTGTCTAAATTGTTCCAGTCTGAGTAAGTGCTGGTATGTGTGTGTGAGTGTGCCCTGCAATGGAATGGCATTCAGGCCAGGAATAGTTTCAGCCTTGTACCCTGAGCTGGAGGGATAGGCTTCGGCCACTGATGACCCTGAGCTGGAATAAGTAGATTGCAAAAAGAATAAATTACAAAGTAAACATTCGTGAAGTCTACAATAATCATACAAATGCACAGCAATAAATTATGCAGTATGAAAGTGCCCAGTGAGCCTGCCAGATTTGTGATTGTTTTTGAATTGTATGGTGGTAGGAGGTGCTCCTTAGATCATTTTTGCTTTGCAAACGTTTATCCCTTGATTTTACCCAGCACCACTATGAGTGATGTCACTCACTGATTCACCAAAAACTGGGTAAGTAATTATGTTTCTTGTTCTTTGTAATCTTTCTTAAATGTGAGCATAGCTCACATTTATTTCAATGTTTAATATTAGAAGTGCTTTGTGTCTTTATTTAGAGGTTCAGTGATGTTTCTGTGACCAGAAAGATGCCATAGAAACTTAACTCTTGTTTATATCAGTTAGCCTATGGTAAAATTGGTTTTGTTATATGTCCTTTCACTTAAAGTTGCAGTTTCCAAGACCCTATCAAGGATATTAAGTAATGACTTAAGTATTTTATATTTAAGGTAACTCTTGATATTCCTTCAACTTATTTCCAGTTAGTTTTCCTTTCTTGCTTAGGGACAGGAGTTGATTAATATCAATAGTTTTAATATTGATAACATTAGGTTTCACACTCAAGTAGAAGTTTAGAAGAAACATTAAAATCCACTGGGTAATTTAATCTTCCATTTAAGAGGATATCTTATGCTGCAGCACCATTAAATATTAAGTAAGCTATCAAGTACAATCTACAACTGTATACTTACCAATCCCCAATTTCAAGCTGTATAAAGAGTGACCAGCTGTAATATTCACCAGATCTAAACATGATTTTTCCCTTCTGTACAGTTTCTGAATAAATCTAATAAAGCATTTCTATTTTGAAATTAAACACCAGATAGTCAAATTTTCTGAGGAAAAAATAGCAAAAGGAAATTCTATCGAAATAGTTAAATAAGGAAAGATCTATAAGGAAAGCTAAAGTCTTACATCTTAATTCTCTTATTTTGTTGCTTACTTCTGTTTTCAGTTGTATGTTCCAGTGTTCACAGGATGGAAAACCTGCATAAATATTAGCTAGATGACTAAATAAGTGAAGATGAAAAGGTAGGACTGGTTATATTCAGTTTAAGAACACTGAGTTTCTATGCCTGTAATCACAGCTACTTGGGAGGCTGAGGCACGAGACTCGCTTGAACTCAGGAGGCATAGGCTGCAGTGAGCCGAGATTGCACCTGCACTCCAGCCTGGGCGACAGAGCAAGATTCCGTCTCAAAAACAAAACAAACCAGTAACTTAATCTTGAACTAACACAAGCCAAGGTATTAGTAATTCTCTTCTTTTTGGTGGCACTTGACTTTCAAAGCTCTCAAAACAAATCTTCAGCTAACAGCATTTTCCCTGTAGCATTATCAATTGGATGTCTAATAAAAAATAACTCATAGCCTCCTTTTCTATACCCAATTAATATAAACAGATTACTTACCAATTACCTAAATTTCTAAATGATATCCAGAACAATATTTTAAAATTTTACAAAAGCTCAGGGGTAAATGCAGTGCTTATGACATTCATTACCTCTTTTATCATGTAGCTATCAAACAAGGCATTTTGGTTATTTCAATCAAGATTTCTTTCTGAAACAAAAAAGTTAAAAAAAAATTTCCTGGCTTCCCAGGACAGAAAAAAAAATTGTTAAAATAACACTCATAAAAAAGGACTGCTTTGAAATGTAAGGAAGGTTTTGTTGTTGTTGTTGCATTTTGTTGTTTTAAATCTTTAGCCAAAAAGTGAAGACCTCGTTCTCATTCGTATAATGGAGATACCACTACTTACCTTCTCTACAATTTATACAAATGTTAACAAAAGAATGAAATATACTAAACTTCAGGTTCTCAGAAAAAATTATTCACCGAAGGGACAAGATATCTATTTCTCAATAATGTTCATATATGGCTTTTACATCAAAGCTTGAACCCTCTGAGACTGGCTGGACCCACAGCTGAGAATTAGACTACGAACATTTTTTTAATTTTGCAAGAATTCTTGCTTGACTTTTCGCTACCTAAGTAACAAATTATTGCACTAACCCCAACGAAGACATATTTATTAACATTTTAAGATATCTTTTTGGTGGGCTAAAAACAGGAAAGTGCTAAGAAATGGGGACCTGGACAATGTCACATACCAAATAGTGAAAAGTGGAAGAAATCTGAAATGACCAACTATACCATTTGTCTGACTTCACAAAACAAAGATTTGTTTTCCATGCTTGTTTAATCAAACAAATTAAATCAAATTGCCATGTTTGTTTAATTAAGCTCTGAATTCTAAAACACGTTCTGTCAAAGCAAAATTCGGACAAAACCACTTGATGGCATTTTGTTCAGGACACTTGTGGCATCCGGGTAAGATTGAACAGAAATAAATCATTTCAACTTTTACCACTAAAAAACTTAATGCTTACTGTTATTAATATGTGAGGAGGCTAGGCACGGTGGCTCACGCCTGTAATCCCAGCACTTTGGGAGGCCGAGCCGGGTGGATCACCTGAGGTCAGGAGTTCGAGACCAGCCTGGCCAATATGGTGACACTTCATCTCCAATAAAAGTACAAAAATTAGCCGGGCGTGGTGGCATGGGCCTGTAGTCCCAGCTACTAGGGAGGCTGAGGCAGGAGAACTGCTTGAACCCGGGAGGCGGAGGCTGCAGTGAGCTGAGATCGTGCCACTGCACTCCAGCCTGGGTGACAGAGCAAGATTCTGTCTCCAAAAAAAAAAAAAAAGTGAGGAATTCGTGCTGTTCCAAACACTGTCCGGAGCAACTAGGGAAAACATTTTAAGAAAAATACTAATAAATCTAATCCTCTCCAAAAGGGCTAAATTAATGCACTCTTCTAGCAGAATCTGAAGCCCAAGAAATAAAGTGCCAGCCGCAATTCTCTTTCACAACAGCAGGGTAAGAACGAGAGTCTTTGTTCAATCTTTCTCCACTTCTGACTCAGTCACTTACTCAGCAGGGTTTATCCATTTCACTACTTCAACTTTCTTCCCAAACTTCTTCTGGCCTCCTCCAGCAGTTTCTCTTTCCCAACATCCAAATTCTGTTCATTTTCCATAACCCATTAGCAAAAATAGAAGCATGAGGCCTTAGCCAAACAAATCCAAGAAAGTCTTGTGTGTGTGTGTGTGTGTGTGTGTGTGTGTGTGTGTGTGTGTGACAGTCTCTCTCTGTAGCCTAGCCTGAAATGCAGTGGTGTGATCTCGGCTCACTGCAACCTCCACCTGCTGGGTTCAAGTTATTCTCCTGTCTCAGCCTCCTGAGTAGCTGGGATTACAGATGCACGTCACCACGCCCAGCTAATTTTTGTATTTTTAGTAGAGACAGGGTCTCACCATGTTGGCCAGGCAGGGCTAGAACTCCTGACCTCAAGTGATCCACCCACTTCAGCCTCCCAAAGTGCTGTGATTACAGGCATGAGCCACTGCACCTGGTCTCAGAAACTCTTAATGCATCTTGCCCCATCTATAGTTTGTTTTATTTTTATAAAAAAAAGAATCATACTATAAAATTCTTATTTTCTAGCAGATTATTTCACTCATTTTAAAATTTCCTTTTATATTCACAAAAGTTCTTTGAAGTAGGTATTACCTTCTTTGTATATACAGCTGAATTCAGAAGTAACCTATCCAAAAATCATAAGGCTTTTTAAGAGGCTGGGTCAAAATTCAAACTCAGATCTGTCAGATTCCATGAAGCCCATACGCTTTATTATCTCCTATATCCAGTTATCAAATTATACATAAATAACTTCAATCAACTTGTATGATGCAAGAAATTCCTACTTGAGTGGTCACACTTTAAAAAATTCATTATCTGATGATGTTAAAAGTTCTAAGGCTACAAATTAAAGATCACCCAATACCAGTGTCACCCTATCCTCTAGTGAGATGAAACTAAATAGGGAAAGGGTTAGGTCAAAAGCAACAGTCCTCATTTAGCATCATAATTAGTTCACTTCTTGTTTAAAATGGCAAGGTTCTGCCTAAATAATGAACTGCTCAATAGGAATAATACACATTAGCTAAACCATGTAATAACTGAATTAGCAAATTAAACTACTTTGACACAAAAGCCAACTAAAAAGCGATTAGCTATGCACACCAACTGGTAATACCATAATTTCTCTAATATCTTACTGTCTCAAAGTTATCAAGGCAATGAAATATAAGTATTTCAATTACAAAGACTTTGGAAAGATTTCCAGTTGAAAATGGTTTTCTTAGCAGAAGATAACTGGAGAAATAAAGTTTGTAGATTCTGAGTTTATTAACAGTATATTTAAAATAAGCTTGTGGATCAGGTGTTAGTTACATATATCAATTGTCAGTATAAGGCAGTGAGGTTCAAGGGAGTGCCCTCTTCCACACCCCTGGAGTTGAAAAAAGGTAAAGTTTAGCACAGAGTAGAACTCTGGACTGGGGAACAACCTAGATATCAAGCTACACCTCTAGGGGCTACTTTAGGTCAAAGTGAATCTTAATGAATCTTTTCTGAAAGAGTCTGAATCAAAAAAGGATAATGTATAGGAGGTAAGGGGTAAAAATATTCTCCCTGACACACCTACTCTCTAGGAAGAGCTAACAAGTACATTTGTAAGAAAGTATAGGCAAATAAATACAACTACAATAAGTGAACCTATAGTTATTTCTTATTTTAGGACTAAACCTTAATTCATCTCATACCCTCACCCCAAGTCTTTTAGCAGCTGCTAAATTATGAGGAAAAAGAAAAACTTGCTTTTTTCTAGTTGTTTTTCTGTTCTTCAATTCACTATAGCCTTTGGCACAGAATGAGGTTTCAAATTCTGCTTGTTCTCTCCTGGAATCAAAACCGTACTTGAATTTCCTAGGTCTTTGATGGAAAAAATTAACATTCTATTCTTAAGCTTAAAAAAAAAAAGATCCAAATCTCAGTTTAACCTTCTTTTAAAATCACTGTAAAGGGTAATACTGAAGGATTGACTGGAACCGTCAATTAGGTAATAAGTGTGGGTTTTTTTTTTTTTTTTTAACATATATGGTATTTATAGTCACCAAAAAATCCAAGTTGATGAGTATCTGTAAATATTAACGAAACTCATTGAGATAAAGAAAAATCTTACTGCGCTTTACTATAGGACTATTTGTAGTTTCCCAAAGGGTTGTGAAAAATGTAACCAACCCACAAATCAGACAGGCATTATACATCATAACGAGACTCCTTTAACAAGTACTCAGTTGAAAAAATATTTTTTGAAAAGCTGAAATTAGAAGCCTCCACAACAATTAATACATCATACAAAATAGAGAAAATTAGTAAATACCTGAACTGAAGTGGCTGATTCCTGTAAATGGCCACTAGCAACTGCTCCTTTGGAAGTTGCTGAAGGTACACTGTGCGTTTTGGGGGTTCCTGGAGTATCAATATTTTCATCTGTCCTATGTGACTGCCAGGCTTCCTTTCGATGATGAGATTCAGTAGCCTGCTGGTCTCCAAAAGCAGCCCAAGAACAACTATCTTTTTGTTCATCCTCAAAAGCATTCCAATCTACAACTTGGCTAGGACCAGCTGAACTGAAGTCTGCAAAATCATCAGAGTCTTGAAAACCATTGCAGTCATCCTGAATATTTGGCACAGAATCAAAATGTCCAATCTCACCTTCTTGCCCATTTTTAAGTTTTGCAACAGGTTCAGTGCCTGTTCCACTAGATTTTCTTGCCAATTGACATTCTTCTGATAAATTATCAGAAGTCTGTTTTAGGTCTGACTTTGTTAATATTGTCTCCTCTTGGCAAGAAACAGCATTTATATCCCCAAATTCTCCAAAGTCATCACCTGGTTCACTAAAATGTGGAAAGTGCTCTGAAGACTCTTCAAAAGTGGCATCACTCATTGAATCTTGAGTACCAGTAACAAAAGGTGGAGTTGAGCCACTGGCAGAGCCAAAGTCACCAAAATCACCAAAATCATCTTCATTGATATCATTGCAAGTCACAAAGTCATTACTACTATCACCATTTTTTACACTTAAAGAATCATCCAAATCATTTTCTTCTGTGGGGTCAATGTTTGGGCTTTGGAAATTAGTAAACTTTCTACTTTCTTCTTTGGGAGAACCAACTTCATCATCAGAAGTTTTAACAGAATCCATGCATAGGTGAGCACATTTAGAAGTAAGTAAGTCAAGTTTTTCTTCAGTTTTACATTGTTCTCTCCTAATGGCTTCTGAATTATCAGCTGAGTCTACCAAACTCCAAGCCTTTGACTGAACACCTGACTGTAAAAATTCATCCTGTTGCAGTGTTGGAAGGCCTTGTTTTTCAACACTGAAACCTCTGTTAGTCACTATGCTTATTTCTGAAACACAAACCTGATCCTCTCCATCAGTGTCTCCTTTGTTATCCAAGCTTCTACCCAAAGCCACTTCTTTTACAGAATTCAGTTCATTGACTCTATTAATTTTATTGTTTTCCCGAATGGTTAGTGCTTCTCTATCATTTAAAACTGCACATTCTATTTCTTCTAATTGTATCCTTTCCTTTTTGGAAAATGTGGCAAAATCTGCAAATTCCTCAGCAGGACTAGGTACAGAGTCTAAATTATACTCAGTGCTATGAGTGCTAAGAGGCTTCCGTCCCTTTGAATCAGCTACATTGTCCAGATCATCTGTTCCCTGAGGATTTACAGTTTCCAACACTGCAAACCCATTTGTTAGAATCTCCAGACAAGGAGGCTTTTCACCATTGCAGCTCTCTAACTGCTTGTTTTGATGAACAACATTCATATTAGTTCTAAAATCTCCTGGAGAGAAACTTTCAAGTGTTCCAACATTCTGTCTCTGCTCCACTACTTTATTTAAATTTCCTGGTCTTTCCATGCCATCAATGGAAGTAGCTAACATTTCAGATGAAATTATTTCTTTGCTGGTGGTAGAAAGTAAAACATCAGACTGTCCTTTCACAGGAGCAGAAAGTTCAGCAGTGATGTCCTTATCATTACCATTTTTAATGGACTTAAAGCTTGTAAGGCTATCTACATTTTCTGAGAATTCATGAATTGGCATAAAATGGTTTGAAGGTACAAACTCTTCCTTGGGACGAGTATAATCTGGTGTATCGAAATCAACAAACCCTACACCAGAAGGGCTAACTTCTGAAAACCCACCAAATTCCCCAAATTCATCATCATCATCATCCTCTGCTCCATTGTCTAATGGTGGTGGGGATGAAGAGTACATTCGAATGATGTCTGGCTCCATTGTTCAGTTGCTTTCAAATAATTAATTTACACCTGTAAAAAAGAAAAAAAGAATTTTTGGAGGGGACAGATTACATAGAACAAGATCTTTCAAAATTCTCTCAAAGCTACTTTAAAACAATGCAAATTTACAATGCTCTATTTTGTCTCCTTTTTTCCTTGACCATGTCCTGCATGATGTTTTGTATCTTTTAATCTATTTTTCTCTTAGGTGCAATTACTTTACACAGCTATAGTGCACTGGAAAAAAAAAAAGTTCTCTTAGACTACATGTTACCAAGAGCACTGGTAGTACATTAATGAAATGTGGGGATTCCAGATAATTCTGAATATACACTTACAAAAGTACAGCTACAAAATTCTCTCCTGGGGTAAGTGCTTATTCTGTTAAGTTCTCCTTCAATTCATTAAGGATTCAGTGCTTGCCTTATGGATTTGTATGAGTTCTTTATATTAATAAAGGCATCAAAATTTTATCAGTAATAATTGTTACAAATATTTTCTTCACTTGGCTTTTCAATGTTTATTTCTGACCCAAGTTAATTTTTAAATACTTAATAATTTGAAATAGTTTAAGACTCAAAAAAAGTTGGAAATACAAGAGTTCTTGTGTATATTCCACTTAGCTTCTCCCAATGGTAATATAGTAATAAGGTAATAACCATAACACATGGTCAAACCAGGAAACTGACATCAGTACAATACTATTAACTCAGGTACAGACCTTGTTTGGATTTCACCAGTTGTGTGTGTGTGTGTGTGTGTGTGTGTGTGTGTGTGTGTGTGTGTGTGTGTGTGCATGCGTACAGTTCTAAAAATTTTATATGTGTGGATTAGAGTGACCATCACTACAATCAGGATAAGAACTGTTCTATCAACACAAAAAAAACTCCCTCATGTTACCTCTTAATAGTCACACTCTTCCCTAAACCCTAATCCTCGATCTATTCTACATCATTATAATTTGTTACATCAAGAATGTTATATATAAATAGAATCACACAATACATAACCCTTTGAAGCTGGCTTTTTCCCTCAGCCTAATAATGCCCTTGAGAGCTATCCATGTTGCTGCATTTGTCAACAGTTCATTCCTTTTCTTTTTCTTTTTTCAGAGACAGGGTCTCACTATGTTGCCCAGGCTGGTTTCTTGGGCTGAGCAATCCTCCTGCCTCAGCCTCCTGGGTAGCTGAGACTACAGGTGCACATCACCACTCCTGGGTCTGACTCTTTTTCATTGCTAACTAGCATTCCATTGTATAGATGTACCACAGGTTGTCTACCCATTCACTCCATATAGGATATGTGGGTTGTTTCCAGTATTTTCCTATTACAAATAAAACTGCTATGAACATTCATGTACAGATTACTATGTGAACCCATGTTTTCATTTCTCTAAAATATATAAACCCAGGAGTGTGAATGCTGCGTCATGTAGCATGCTCAACTTTATAAGAAACTGCCAAGCTGTTTTCCCAAGTTAATTTTAGGAAGTCAAATCAATTGATTTTTTCACGAAGATGAAGAAAGTTTTATGCAACTTTCTTCATTATTTTGCTGTCATATAAAAGTTAATAAATATTCACTTTTATTTTCTTCTACTTTTAGGGAATAAAAAACATTTAATTTTAACACATCTAGAACTTATTTTGGTGTATGATGTAAAGCAAAAATGTAAGGTGAATTTTTTTTTTCTCAACAGCCAAGCAATGGTCTTAATCCCTTTTGTTGAATAATCCTTCCCATACTAATTAATTTGTAATAGCTTCTTTTTAATACATTTAATTCTTAAATGAAACCTGAGTTATTCTATTCCTCTGTGCTGAGGAGTCAAAAGTTCCACAGGTCAGATTTAACATTACAAGCAAAGGGACCACCTATAATCCCAGCACTTTGGGAGGCTGAGGTGGGCAGATTGCTTGAGGTCAGGAGTTCAAGACCAGCCTGGCCAACACGGTGAAACCCCACCTCTACTAAAAATAAAAAAATTAGCCGGGCGTGGTGGTGCACATCTGTAATATCAGCTACTTAGGAAGCTGAGGCAGGAGAATCACTTGAACCCAGGAGGTGGAGATTGCAATGAGGCGAGATCGTGCCACAGCACTCCAGCCTGAGTGACAGAGTGAGACTCGGTTTCAAAAAAAAAAAAAAAAAAAAAAAAAAAAAAGGGAGGACTAACAGCCAAAGTCCTAGAATAAAACCAGCACATAAATAATAAACAGATACTTCTTACAACTCACAGCTGCCCAGTTAGATACATGAGGAAAATGTTTACTACAAAATTCAACCAGTTTTGCAAGCTAGACTTCTCTCAGAATAAAATTTCCTAAGATCTTCCACAGTTTTAGAGTGAAGGTACCGTAGAAACCACATAGTTTAATTTAGAGGTGAGGAAAATGAAGCCAACTAGTGAGTAACTTTCCCAAAGTTCATTCAGACAGCTGCTTAGTGGAGAATGGCTTCAGAATTTTGAAAAGGATCTTTGAGGTTAACGACTGGTCAGTCACTCAGAGTTACCAGGAAGAAATGAGCAAGTCACAAGAAAAGGAAAAGGCTCCATTGTAATATATCTACTTCAAATTATCTTTCTTACGAAATTAGCACCATAAAGAAGGAAATAACTGCTTTGCTCTGCCATACTCTTCTTTCCTGCTGCTGATTTAAATAGAAAAAAAAAAGTACAAGATACACACAAATCCTATTTTGTTCCCTTGCCTAGTGTCCTGATAACCCCTTCTAATTAGTGTACGAGGTAATCTGACCTCTAACTATGTCCCTCTAATTATGAAGTTCCTATTATTTAAAATCACTTTGCGATTGTTAATGAGAATGTGGGGAAAGGAACCCTTGCACACATGCACATTGCTTGTGAGTGTAAATTGTTACAAGCCTTCCAGAAGGCAATATGGTTGTACTATGCAAACTCCTTTTAAGGAAATCTAAAACAAAATGCTGCAAAGGGATTATTTAGGCAAGTTATACTATATCCCTACAATAGCATATTATACAGCCATTAACTACAGGATTCCTTTTTCTAAAGTTTTTTTTTTTTTTTTTTTTTTTTTTTTCTTTTTTTGAGACGGAGTCTCGCTCTGTCGCCCAGGCCTGACTGCGGACTGCAGTGGCGCAATCTCGGCTCACTGCAAGCTCCGCTTCCCGGGTTCACGCCATTCTCCTGCCTCAGCCTCCCGAGTAGCTGGGACTACAGGCGCCCGCCACCGCGCCCGGCTAATTTTTTGTATTTTTAGTAGAGACGGGGTTTCACCTTGTTAGCCAGGATGGTCTCGATCTCCTGACCTCATGATCCACCCGCCTCGGCCTCCCAAAGTGCTGGGATTACAGGCGTGAGCCACCGCGCCCGGCCCTTTTTCTAAAGTTTAAAAGCAGCCGGGCGCAGTGGCTCACACCTGTAATCCCAGCACTTTGGGGGGCTGAGGAGGGTGAATTACTTGAGCCCAGGAGTTCGATCAAGACCAGCCTTGGGCAACATGATGTAACCCTGTCTTTACAAAAAAAACAAAATATTAGCCAGGCATGGTGGCATGCACCTGTAGTCCAGCTACTTGGGAGGCTAAGGTGGGAGGATTGCTTGGGTCCAGGAAGTCAAGGCTGCAGTGAGCTGTGATCACACCACTGTACTACTCCAGCCTGGGTGACAGAGTGAGACCCTGTCTCAAAAACATTAAATAAAAATAAAATTTAAAAGCATTAATAAAGATAGTGACATGTCAAAAGAATACAAAAGCTACCTTGAAAGGGCTGCTACTAACTAAATCAGGAACAATTTGAGCACTGAAATAAAGATAATAATGGATTATAACCCAATAAATAAAATAATAAACTGAGTCCTCACAGATATAAACATGTAAGTAAATAAACTGCAAGTTAGATGAGGAACTGGATATTTGCATAGTTTCAAAGTACTTCCCCACAATATACTTAATTACAAAGGGAAAAAGTATAAGTTTACAGTGTGAAGCCTGACACTACCTTAATCAGGTGATCAACATGAACATTATCAGTAATGGGAACACTGAAATCATGCACCACCTGATGAGATGCAATGAGAATACAGGATCACTTCTGGGATATCCTGTCAAAAATACAACACCTGACTTCAGGAGGAAATTTCAGGGAAATTCAAACTGAGAGACAGCCTACAAAATTACTGGCCTGTAATCTTCAAAAGTATCAAGCTCATGAAAGTCAAGGAAAGACTGAAAACCTGTTTCAGATTGAAGAAGAAGAATAAAGAGACATGAGAAGTAAACGCAGCACTTGGTCTCCTTCCTATAAAGGTTGCTACTGGGATGATTGTGAGTCATCTACTTTAACAGAGTCCAAAAGATTCACTATAGCAGCAATGTATCAAGGTTAATTTCTTGATTGTGATGGTAGTATGTATGTATGTATGTATGTATTTTTTTGAGACAGAGTCTAGCTCTGTCGCCCAGGCTGGAGTGCAGTGGCACGATCTCGGCTCACTGCAAGCTCCGCCTCCCGGGTTCACGCCATTCTCCTGCCTCAGCCTCCCAAGCAGCTGGGACTACAGGGGCCTGCCACCACGCCTGGCTAATTTTTTTTTTTTTTTGGATTTTTTTTTTTAGTAGAGACGGGGTTTCACTGTGTTAGCCAGGATGGTCTCGATCTCCTGACCTCGTGATCTGCCCGCCTTGGCCTCCCAAAGTGCTGGGATCACAGGCGTGAGCCACCATGCCCAGCCTTGTGATGGTAGTACTGTAGTCATGCATGAGAATGTCCTTGGTTGTAGGAGATACACACTAAACTATTTGGTAGTGATGGGGCATCAGGCTGGCAGTCTTAAATTGTCCCAGAAAAAAAATTTATTTGTATTGACATTGCAACTTTTTATGTTTGTGATTGTTTCAAAATGGAAAAAAAAAAGCATTCAAAGAGATTTATATGCCTACATTTAAATATGTGTATTTTAGAATAAATGTGTTACTTATACAATTCTAGCTAAGTAAACACTGTTAAAATCTGATATTGGAGTCCTTAATTAAATTCCTCACCCAATTTAGACTTTGGCATATATTAGACAATTTGAATAATCCTTTACTTGAAGCCTCAAATTTGACAGTATTAAACTGCTTTATGCCCCGTTTGCTAGAGACTGTTCCTTAGTTTTACATGCTCATAACACCTTTTAAAAAACTGTGGTAAAATAGACATAATATAAAATTTACCATGACAATGTTGGTACATTACTGTTAACATTATTGTTCGCAGACTTTGTTAAATTGTTACCATTAAAAAAAAAAGGGCTGGGTGCAGTGGCTCACGCCTGTAATCCCAGCGCTTTGGGAGGCCGAGGTGGGAGGATCACTTGAGGTCAGGAGTTTGAGACCAGCCTGGCCAACATGGTGAAACCCCATCTCTACTAAAAATACAAAAATTAGCCAGGCGTGGTGGCGGGTGCCTGTAATCCCAGCTACTTGGGAGGATGAAGCAGGAGAATTGCTTGAACCCGGGAGGCAGAGGTTGCAGTGAGACGAGATCGTGCCACTGCACTCCAGTCTGGGTGACAGAGTGAGACTCCATCCCATTAAAAAAACAAAACGAAACAAAACAAAAAAAAACTTGCGTTTGTGTTTGTGTATAGTTCTGCTCAATTTTATCCTCTATTCAGATTTGTGTAACTACCACCACTATCAAGACACAGAACTGCCCCCACTCCACCTCCATCCCTGTCCCCTTGCAACCACTAATCTGTTCTCCATCGCCACAATTTTGTCCTTTGAAAGGATATTATGTATGCAACCCTTTGAGGCTGAATTTTTTTCACTCAGTGTAATGTCCTCGAGGTCCATTCTGGTTGCTGCCTGTAACAATAGGTCAGGTCTTTTTTTTTTTTTTTTTTTTTTTTTTTTTTTTTTTTTTTTTTACTGCTGGTGGCATTCCATTGTACAGATATACCAGTTTGTTTAACTGTTCACCTGCTGAAGGACATTTTGGTTGTTTCCAGTATCTTACTATTATAAACTGCATATGTATAGTGTGTGTGTACATACATAAACACTAATAGTATAAACAGTATATACATAATAATAGTATATATAAATAGTATGTATAATAAGGATGCTAGGAACTTCCATATACAGGTTTTTGTGGGCATGTAAGTTTTCATTTATCTAGGATAAATGCTCAAGAGTGTGACTGCTGGGTATCATGGTAAGTACATGTTTAGTTATGTAAAAAACTGCCAAACTCTTTTCCAGAGTAGCTGTACCATTTTACATGCTCATAATACCTTACTTTCAAAGAACTATGTGTGATGGCTTTTTTTTCCTAGCCTAATCTGTGATTAACCTATTGCTTTTTTCCAAAACTTTTACTCTTTAAAAATGAAATAATTTATTGGTTCACAACCTATTCCAAACTCAGACATTAATGCAAATACAAAGATCTGAATCAGAAACTCTGTAACCAAAGCAACAACTCCGCAAGTTTTTCTTCCTGTCATACCTTTGCAAGGTACTCTATTTTCCATTATAGGTGAGACAGGCTTTATTGGCCTTCTAGAGTAAAAACATTTTCATATTTCTCAAAAAGGGGTCACCAATTGATGGCGAGAACTTGCGCTGCTGCATGATCCCCTGCAGCAGGTATTGGCTCTGACCCAACTTACCCTTTAGAAACCTAAGAGAGTGCCACTGCTTCTAAGTGTCCTTGAACCAATCAGTGTAGGGGAGACTCAAAACTTTCCAGAAAATTCCTGTGTCTAGGCCAACTCTACTTAAAAGAAGTTTCATGTTAATTGAAGTATTACTTGTATAATGAATTTACAAATAAAGTTTCATTTCTATAATCCACTTTAACACATAAAATATGGGCTTTAAATAGCTGTTCCTGCTCAACAGGGGAAAAAAAGGATAGATAAGCTACTTTAGTACTGTGTCTGGCACACAACAAACAGAACAAATGTTTCTTCATCCTTCGTAATGGACTACTTTCTCCATCCACACCACAAGGAGTCCCAAATAGTCATCTAATTTCTTTATAACCTGTACAAACAAGCAAGCATGTGTGTGTGTGCATGCATGTGTGTAACTTGCCATTTTTATGTCTACTTATTCTAAGACCTGTTAGAGGGGAGCAAATAAATAATGCCGCTATTGTCTTGCAAGCCACTGTATACAAAAACAGTTGACAGGAGGGTCTCATAATTGGGTAGCAAACAGGATATCCTAGTAGTCAGAGCATAGAGATAGAGAATTTGGGTGGGCTTCCTGTACTTTGGAGATTTATCTATGAGAAATCACATCCTTATCAGGAGATTAGGGGACAATATAGGTGAATAAAAATAATTAATAGAAGTGCAAACTGAAGCCGACTTTCAGGGCTACGAACCAGGAAAATCAGAGGGTTTTGGGTTTGGGAATTCTGGCATAGAAGGTCCAATATAAAGGGGTCAGGGAAACAGTTTAGAAGCCCAATAGCAGTCAGCAATGGAACCTAAGCCCCAAGCCAGATTAGTAGCCAGGATGGCAGGGCATACAACAGGTGAAGGTGATTCTGTATTAATCTTCCACCAAAAGAGAAGCTGCACTTGCTTATGGAATTCTAACCTCTAGTCTGAAATGGTCATGGAAAAGAAGAGATGATGAGTCTGTAAGTTGTAAGCTCTGGGGTCAAAAGGCAAGATGGGCTTGAGAAGGCAGAAGGAAGGAATGGGGCCAACAACTGTCTGAGACTATTTGGCCATTTAAAAATAGTTTCTCAAGAAAAACAAAGTTGGAGGACTTAAACTACCTGATATCAAGACTTGCTTTAAAGTCACATGGTCTTGTGATAAAGATGCCACTGCAGTGTGGTGGGGAAAGGATAGACTCTTCAACAAATGATGCTGGATTAACTGGATAACCACACAGGCAGGAAAAAAAATATCTGATTCTAACATCTTATACAGAAATAAGCTCCAGATAGTTCATGGGCCTACATGTGAAAGGTGAAGCAATCAGCCTTCCAGAAGATAACAGAAGAGATTATTTGTATGACCTTAGGAAAGGCATAAATGTTTTAAACAAGAAACAGAAACACTGATTACAGAAAAGATTGATATATTGGACTGCATTAAAATTTAAAACTTCTCTTCATCAAAAGAATACCATAGAGTGAAAAACCAAGAAAGCCATTGCCTGGGAGAAGATATGTGCAAAACATGTAACTGTCAAAGAACTCATATCCAGAATATGGAAAGAATTCCTACAAGTCAATGTGGAACAATCCAACAGAAAAATGGCCAAAATATTTGAACAGGTATTTCACAAGACAGGATATCCAAATAGCCAACAGCATATAAAAAGTCATCAGGGAAAAATGTACATTAAAACAACAATAAAATACCACTATACATCTACCAGAATGACTAAAATTAAAATTATTCTCTCCACAGCCACTTTTGGTAAGGATGTGGAGAAACTGTGATTCCCACACTTTACTGGTGGAAGTATAAACTGGTACAGATATTCGGAAAACTGTTTGATAATATGTACTAAAACTATACCAGACCTTCAGTACCTGGCACATTCTGTGCACTAAGTAAATGATCAACTACCATTATATTTTAACTTTCACCAACTCTGTGGCTAAAATAATAACCTATCTGTAACAAAACCTAAGTCAATGTTTGCTTAGTTGGCACAAACATTCATATGACTCTATATTTTAAAAGGTCACTGAAAGAATAAGTCACTTAAGAAAAATATGCATAACCACACTAAAGATACATGAAGTTGACTTTATTGCCAGTTTTTCTAACCAATCCCTAGAAAATATAAAACTTGACTTATATAACTATATAATTTCATAGGCTTGGGGGCATGGGGGCGGGGGGATGCTGATAACAAACTAAATCTGAAGCCCAAGGTTGAAGGACTGAGATCATAACCTCTAAACAAGCTCAAGGGTCCAGTGACCAGTCTGTTAAAAGATGGAAGTTTTGAAGTGAAATAGAAAAATGCAACCCGGAAGTTCTCACTGGTATCTTGAAGTAAACTGCCTGTAGCTCCTATTTGGTTAGATGAACAACCACAAGAATTTAGAAGGTGCTTGGTTGGGATGGAAAAGATTCATCACATGTGGGAAATATATAGGGTATTCCCTACGTATTCCTCTAAGGAATAGTTAATCCCTGGTACCCTCCTACCCCCAACATCCACACACAGTATCATGCACCCTAAAGGTCCATGGGCTCACATTTGAGGGGGGTGGAGTGTCTCTAAGTAAGAGGCCCTCTAGCAATCTTTCCAGAATCAAACATCGAGAGTTCTTTCCAGACAAGTTAAAAACATACAGCACACACTGCTCAACTGGGAGAAACTCCCATCCTTTACAGGGTACCAGCCCAGCTGTATCAATGTGTACATCATCTTTCAAGGACAGATAAACTGACCTAGATTATACAACCCAGCTTCACTCTAAACTTATTTTTATAGGGACCAGGATGGAGGGTGAAGGAAAAGATATTGTAGAAAGAAGGATGGTGATAAAAGGGAGAAGAAAAACAACTGTATCTGAAATATGCTAATGACTTCAATAGTATCAATGACATTAGCAAAGTATATTTAATGGATGACAAAAAATAATCACCATCTTTTTACCACAATATGTCTGAGGTTTATAATTAGTCACTTGGGTGAGTGAAGGAAAAAACAAAAAAGAAAAACCGTATTTTCTTTAGAAAAATGAATGAAAATGTCACGTAAGCATTAACAACATCAATTTACATTACAAGTGTTGCCTGGTGTACAGTAGTTCAAATTCTTCCAAATCTTTATAATATCCTTATGGAAATTTTAAGGTCATATCAAAATGTACTGTCAATGAATTTGCCCAGCCTACATTTCTGCTTGAGTCATAAAGAAGTAGAAAAGAGCCCTTCTTCTGAACCACATGAAGATTTGGGTTTTAGTTAACTTTTTGGTTTTCAATATATTTAGAGTGCTATGATATCACAGTTGTTTTCACAGCTCTAAATTTTAAAATCTACAGAAATAATTGTTTTTTCTTTTTGGGTGTTTTTTCTTTTGTTCTTAGCATATTAGCACAACAGAAATTAATACAGGCAGAGCCTCTAATTAACTTGCCAGCCTAAAAACAAAAACCCAAGATATCAGACACCAACTGTATGTCACTGAGTCACCAACTGCATAATATGTTATTTAAGATGACATTTGTTAAATAAATAGTATCTTCCACGTGTTTTCACTCCATGTTTACACCAATGTCATTATTAATACTTATTGAGTGCTTACTATGGGCCAATATTATGTGAAGAGAACTCGTGAGTTATCTCAATTATCTCCTCATACTATCATATGAGGTGGAAATGCTTCATTTTAAAGATGAAGAAATAAAAGCTCAAAGAGGTTAAGTAATCCTACAAGGTAGCATAACTAGTAAGTGGTGAATTAATCACAAGTTAATCAAACATTTTATAAGTGTCTTAAAATATTAGACGTGATTGACGGCAAATATTACAATTATAAAAATTCTTACAAAAAGGCTTCTGAGTGGTTCAGAAAAAGGTTTCTGAAACCTCCAAGTAACTTGGAAGGGGAAAGATTTTTACAAGACAAGAAAGTACAGTATAACCAACAAAAATGCCAAGCAGCAAATATCTTGTTTCAGTATTAGTGTATATAGTACAAAATATGAGCAAACAATGAAAATGAGCAGCAAAATACCTTTATACTGAAGTTGATCACCCTAAAAAAGCCACACTGTCAATAGTGACAACAAAAAATTTTGTCTTTCTAGTTTTGATGTCAATACAATTGACACATAAAAGTAAAAATATATATATAATGTCAGTTACATGAGCTGCAACACACGTTCACTTTTCAAGTGCTACTTACCTTGTTAAACAGCAATGAGTTATTTGAGAGAAGTTGGTTTTCAAAAATTCCCATGAAAAATTTTTTCTTCTACCGAACATTTTAACCTTCTACACAAATTCATAATAACATATTTTATTTGCATTTGGATAGTTTCATGTAATAATTAAACAAGATAAAAATATTAGAGATTGTTGTACCTTTAACTCATCATATCAGCTGACCATATTTGAGAGTTTACTAGCTATTTTTCCCAAAAGGTACTTCAACATAAAATTGAATACATAACATTGGATAACTATTGATAACAAGGGCAACAAAATGGAAGCATCCACGAGGATGGATGGATTAGCCCTTGGAAAACATTTTTTTTGCCCTAGAACTCTCAGCTTCTATTATATAGATGCAGAATAAATTAGTCACTCTAATTCTCTACTCTCATATCCCTGAAACTCTGCAATGAAAATAGAATCTGAAAGGCAGAAACTGCTTTGATTTCATGTCCCTTCACTAAAATCTTGCTTACATCCACAATCTTGTCTACAGATAATCCCTGGACCTTCTGTTTTTCTTCTCAACTGCTTGCTCAGGGGCTTTTAAAAATTTTCCATCACTATTGATCCTTTCCTATAAACGTTCAGCCTCTTCCATACTCAAAACAAATCAGAACAAAACAAAACAAAACAGAATCCTCTCTTCTGTGCGCCCTAGCTCTTCTCCTCCTCACCACCAAGCTTCTTGAAAGAGATGTGCCTATTCACTCTCTCGACTTCCTAACTTCCCACTCACTCCTCAACTCAACACAATCTGGCTTCCATGCTACCGCTCTACCGAAACTGCTCTTTCAAGAGTTACTTTATTTGAGCTCAAATGACTGTAAATGTTGTGTAGGCATAGACCTCTGTTGTTTACCATTGCATCCTCAGAGCCTGGCTCACAGCAGGAACTAAATATATTATCATCATTCTTGCTGGGGCATTTATTCTACTAACCACTCTTGAATTGTGCTCCAACTCACGCACACTCCAATTAGATTTCTATAACCACACCTCTGGTCTCTTAGTGCTTCACCAAATAAGTTATGAAATATCCAAATGTAATCAAGGTAAATAAGTGGGATTTGAAATGTGGCCTGAAATGTGATGAATGTGGGACAAACAACCCAATCATTTGTGCTGCAACATGTCTAAAGAGAAAGTATGTTAAGAGGGGCAGTACATTATATGCAAGCTGCAAAAAACCCTAGCTAAATGACAAAAATTTGTAGTGAGTTTTTAGACCTGCTATCATGAATATTTGCTTTGATTTGAGACAATTCCTCAGCATAAGCAGAGGTGTCAGTGAGTGTCGCCAGAGCATAATGCTACACTCTGGATAGTCCAACTAATTTCTTTTTCTTGTTCTCTGCTCCCCAGGACTTTAATACTTCATGAAAATTTTCCCACAGAAGATTTTGCAATCAGCTGACATGAACAGCAGACATGCTTTAAAGTAAGTTTCTTGCTGTAAAGTTTTAAATTAGCATTTTGGTCAAGACTAAGTTAAACCTCAAGTGACTAGTGTATACTGAGAAAAAAAATCCCCAGAAAAACAAAGTAACAAACTACTGTGTGGACTTTCAAAATGAAAAAATACCACTCTAGTCTGTAACCTAAAAACGTAACTGTGGCAGCTGCCATTCCTCTGACAGTGCTGCTTTCTACATCACAAACACCCACCATGAGAGCAACTCACCTCTTACAGAAAGAAGCATTTACTAAAGGTTATAAAACTGCAACCAAGTGCAGTTAGAGTTCAATTATCTGAGCCACTAAGAAAGTAAGCAACGATGTCCTACATAATCTACAACTCACAAATTTGGCCTTAAAATATGACCTAAGTAACAGCAGATTTACCTCACAAATTAAGTCTTTGCCAGGTGCTATTAATTTTACTTTAATTTGTTTTCTTACCACCCATCAATTAAGAGAAAAAGATGACCTGGAGGCAATGAAGTGACAGAAGGAAACAAAACAATTAACCAAACTTAAAGACAGTCATAAATGATCCACAGATAATAGCACACATGATATTTTTCAGGGAATTATTATAAAACAAACTTCATATATCTGAAAAATCAAATATAAACACATTCCAAAATAGTGCTCAAGAGTGTATGCGTGTGGAGTGTACACAGGTAATGCCACAAATGGGTCTACCGATACTAATAACTGCACAAAAACTATGGAAGGAATTCCATGGAGAACAAATTCCTAGCTGGTTGACCTTTTTTAATGATGGTTTTGCTTGGTTTAAAGTTTTACTTTTTCCTGAGAGGTAGAAAGGCTAAAGGATAAAAGAAAAAAATATATAACATTTATTTGCAGGGTACCCAATACATCTGGTTAGAAACAACTTGAGAATTGGCCCGTCATATAAAGCAGAATTTTTCACACATTTTTCCCCTATGACTCACAGAAGAAATACATTTTACATGATGACCCAACATACATTTTAAAAAAAAAAGTTTCGCCAAACAGTATTTACCCTTACTCTCTATGTACTCTGATTTTTAGTTCTATTTCATTTTTTCTTAAAAGCTGGTCATGACCCTCTTAAATTGATTTTACAAACCAGAAATAGGTTTTAATATAAAGTATAAAAAAGTATTCTTTCCATCTCATCCAATTCCTCCAAATCCAATTACTGCTTCTAGCATACAAGAGGAGGGAACAGGGCTTCTTTTAAAACAAAGACTTCCTCCCTGATCTGGTGCTTACAAAGACAAAATGCATTCTTAAATTACATTATTTCAACGAACCAAGTATTTGATAAAATGAAAGTGTTCTTTTTCTCTTTACAGAATTGTGTATAAAAGTAATAAACGAAAATTACTATTTATTTTTCAAATTCATACTACCTTCAATCTAGGAAGCATGCTACTTTAAGGATAACATTTTAAAAAACATACAAACATAACATAAAACTGGAACACTTTGGCAAATTTTAACAATTTTCACTTTCAGAAAGCATTTAGCAATTGTTTAAGTTTGCAAACATTAACTTTTCTGGTCCAGTATCTACAATGTAAAAGTTCTCTAAAAGATACTATTGGTAGGAGTATATATTGGCTCACACACCCTATTGCAGTTTAGTAGCATACGAAACATTTTAATGAATTCTTTTTAAAATTTTTAATTTTTTAAACTTTTATTTTAGGTTCAGGGGTACATGTGCAGGTTTGTTACATAGGTAAATTGAGTGTCACGGGGGTTTGGTGTCCAAATTATTTCATCACCCAGGTAATAAGCATAGTACCCGACAGGTGGTTTTTCCATCCTCACCCTCTTCCCTCCTTCCACCTTCAAGTAGGCTCTGGTGTCTGTTGTTTCCATTCTTTTGACTAAGCAATTTCATCTGCAAGGATGTATTCTACAGAGGCATTCATGCAAATATACAAAGATATTTCCACAAAGTATTGATTCCAGTATTGTTTGTTCAATTTTTTAAAAAGCAGCTGAAAACAGTCTATTAATAAGGAAGTGTGTAAATAAAAAGTGCAGCCATTAAAAAAGAGAAAGCTATATTACTAATAGGGCAAAGTGTCTAAAATACATTTTTAAGTGAAAAAGCATTTCTGAAAAGCATTCTTCTTCTTCTTCTTTTTTTTTTTTTTTTTTTTTTTTGAGACAGAGTCTCCTTCTTTTCCCAGGCTGCAGTACAGTGGTGCAATCATGGCTCACTGCTGCCTCTGCCTCCTGGGTTCAAGCAATCCTCCCACTTCAGCCACCCAAATAACTGGGACTACAGGTGTACACCACCATGCCCAGCTAATTTTTAAATTTTTTGTAGAGACAGTGTTTCGCCATGTTGCCCAGGCTGGTCTCAACCTCCTGAGCTCAAGCAATTGACTTACCTTGGGCTCCCAAAGTGCTGGGATTACAGGTTTGAGTCACCACGCCCTGCTGGCAATTCTCTTTTGATTCTCCTACTTATATTCTATCCCTTATCCTTCAATGAATCTGATTGCCCTGGCTTCTCTATATTCTTTTTTTTTTTTTTTTTTTTTTTAAGATGGAGTCTCGCTCTGCTCTGTCGCCCAGGCTGGAGTGCAGTGGCGCGATCACTACAACCTCCACCTCCCAGGTTCAGGCGATTCTCCCACCTCAACCTCCTGAGCAATAGCTGGGATTACAGGCCTGTGCTACCATGCCCATCTAATTTTTTATTTTTATTAGAGATGCGGTTTCACCATGTTGGCCAGGCTGGTCTCAAACTTCTTGACCTCAGGTGATCTACCCACTTTGGCCTCCCGAAGGGCTGGGATTACAGGCGTGAGCCACCATGCTCAGCCGCTTCCCTATATTCTTATCACTGAGAAATCTCATCCCCCTTTTGTTTTTATCTGTTCATAATGCTCAAACCTTACCTATATGTCTGACCTCCTGATCTGCCTACCCAAATGCCTTTTTAAAATCTCTCTACCTGGATGTCTCAGATGTATCTCCTATTCTCCAATTCCACGACTGAATTCAACCTCTACTCAAAAGGTGAACAGAAACCACTTGTTCCTACACTATATTCTAAATTCTAAGTCTAGAAATCTGAGTGTTACCCCAACCGCTCCCCCTCTACCACAAATTAAATCAATCAAGTTTCTCCCTCCTTAATATCTCTTACTGTATTTGTTTTAACATCCCACAACCTATACCTTGTCAGGGCCTCATTATTTTTGGCCAGGATTACTGCAGTCTACTTAAAACTCCTTATCTTAGCCAACATGGCTAAGATACTCCCTCTTTGTTCCAGCCAGACAAAATTACCTCTGGATTCTCCACTGGCATGGTTACCTCTAAGTTGTCACACGTCATTTCTTCTAATGTATTGTTCTTATATGTCCAAAGAACCCACTGACTAAGCCTTCAAAATTCTATTCAGGCATGAAGTTTTCTATCAAGGCTGGAGAACTGAGATCACCTATATTTACTAAGTTACTATGTGATAGGTACTGTGCAAGGTACTTATTCATACACCAGTTTATTCATACATTCAGTTTAATCACAAAAACCCATTTTACAGAGGAAGAAACAAGTCACATAATCTGTTCACGGTCCCACAAAGAATAAGTAAGGAAAGTGGGACTCAAAGCCAGTGTTCTTTTCGTTGTATCAGGTTTCTTGTCTGAATTAATCCTCCTTTATATCTATTTCCTATTACATTTAACAAAGCAAATCACATTTGTTTCCATGTTTTTTTCCCCTAATAGGTTCTCAACCTTAGCTTTCTATTAACTTTTTTCTCTAATAGAATGGGTAGACCCAAACATCTTTTTTAAAAGTTTCGAAGATGATACTAAATGGGTTAGTTAAGGTTGAAAACCTTTGTGTTAAGTTCCCAGAGTACAGGAATGCCAATGGACTTTATAACTCCAGGGATGACATAAATGTTTCTAAACTGAACTGCTAAACTCATTGATATAGGTAAATCACTGCAATAGTACTTTTTCCTACAAAAATGTTTTCTCTTATGATTTGGTTGTATAAATATTTTAAAGTTGTGTTGTACACATTTATCTGAGACTAGCACTAAGAAACTTAACATTCTTAAGATTTCAAAAACAAGGAGTTTACAATATTAAATCGTCAATACTCTTCTTAAAAATGAAACTTGAAAAATTTACTTAAAAGGATCAAAGTTAAAGCACTGTGACAATTTTTGAAACAACACATAAGTATTTGAGACAGCTCTAGATTTGGGAAATTCCATTTTGGAAATATTACTACTTTCTACTTAACCAGAAAGTTTATGAAATCATTTGTTTATTCCTTTTTGAAGCTTCACTTATAATTAGTATATAATTTAAATGTTATGGAATTCTCAGAAAAAAAAAAAAAACAAGCTTAAAGAATTAAACACAGTTTCACTTGCAGATGAACATAAAGAAATGCTTATGTGAACAGCAACACCAACAACAAAAAACTTCCCTACTTCCAGAAACCAGGGTCACTGCTAATCTGATTAAAATCTGAACTTTTTAGTTACGTGTAACACTTGCCCTGTGCTTTGTGTAAACTTATGAAACCTAATGAGACAGAAAACTATCATCCGCTGGCACAGAATCTGAAATATGGAAAAGAAGAGGAAGTGGTAACTTGGTAACTTAACTATAAGTAAGAAGTGATGAATACTCAAATATTCTGTTTGGGCTTCAGGCGAGAGAAAATATGAATTTTTGATATCTGAAACTCTTAGTAATTTTTTTTTGAATGAAGATATTATCAAAAAATAGTAAAAAGTATAAAAAGAGTTCAGTGTAAAAAGAGTTAAATTATCTCTTAATAAGTTCATTGCTTTTTATAAATAGCCACTAAAAACAAAAGCCTTAAGAAAATAAATCAATGCTTCAGATTTTGAGTGTCACTGTAGCAGAAGTATTTTAGCTGCAAATACTCCAGGTCAACATTTTTGCATCCACATAATAAACAAGATGAGAGATGATAAACCACAGCAAAACTGAAAATACTACAAAACTTAAGCAATCACCAAGAAGAAAACACCAAAAACCTCACTTGGGAGGGTGGCTAAGGCAGAAACACTATTCATTTCAACCATTTAAAAAACTGTGGCCTCACTAAAATGTAAGAAAATATTAAAAATCCTACTCCTAGGAGTTTTGCTTTGAAAAGTATCACATGTCACTTAGAATGATTTAAAGAATAACAAGTGGTAAATAATTCATTAATCACTTAGGAAGGATCACTTTTATTACCTAAATACAGAATTGTTAATTTTATATAACATAAAAATTGAATCTGTTAGCAATATAGAATTTTCATATTTATTAAGTTTATTGTTAGGTATTTTACCTTTTTCTGCTCATGTAAATGGTAGTCTTCACTTCCACCCTAACTGGCAAGCATTATTTACATAAACAAAAGCTCTTGGTGGTTATATAGTATACCATCACATCACTAGCAAATCGGGGTAGACTTACCTTTTCCTTTCCAAGTCTCATAACAATGGTGATAGGCAGGAATCTAATATTCACTCTTAATTAAGATATTGATTTCTGAGTTGAGGTGTATGTTTTTATTGTCTTACAGAATTATTCAGTAATTCTTATTTTAAGTTGCTTTGTTAAAAAATCACAAATGGGGTTTTAAATGCCTTTTCAATATTTATGAAGATAATTATGTAAGTTTTCCTTAGATTTTTGTTTGTTTGTTTGTTTTTTGGAGGCAGGGTCTCACTCACTCTGTTGAACAGGCTGGAGTGCAGTGGTGTGATCTCAGCTCACTGCAGCCTCGACCTCCTGAGCTCAAGTGATCCTTTCATTTCAGCTTCCTGAGTAGCTGGGACTACAGGTGCCTGCCACCATATCTGGCTAATTTTTTATATTTTTTATAGAGATGGGGTTTTGTCATGTTGCCCAGGCTGGTCTCAAACTCTGGAGCTCAAGCAATCCACCCACCTTGGCCTCTCAAAGTGCTGGGATTACAGGCATGAGCCACCACACCTGGCCTAGATCTATTAATACAGCAGAAACATCAATACCTATTCATAATTGTCTTCAGCTTGTTTGATAGTTAGGAAGCCCAGTTTATTTTCTGCAGGAAAAAGGTAAATGTTTCCAAAGAATCAAATAAGCATTACGTAAGATTATCTACTTAATTACACATATGTCAAACGGTATGTATTTAAACTTATTTGATCTTACTCCTTGCCTTCATTTTTACACAAAGTGGGCTACAAAATAAATTTTCCCATAGGTATTAAACACACTCAAATTAGTAATACAAGTTTATCTAGGTTTCATCCTTACTCAATTTTCCCAAAACAATTTCATCTACCTAAGGCTTTTATTAATAATTACCATATTCTTGGACTCTCAGATTCATCTTTACAGCCTAGCCAAGCCAGTTCCCTGCTTAGACCTCTCCACTTGATTCCACAAAGATCTCAAACTGAGCTTAACAAGAACAGAGCTCAAGCTCTCTTCCCTTAAAGCTGGTCATGTTCCAGGGCTCTCTAACCCAGTTACCATACCAGAAACTTAAGATCCCCTTTGACAAAGCTCCTTATCCTTTAATATCTGTAACAAATGATTTCACCTCACAAATCCCTCAATTCTGGAATATCTACCTCTTTTCACCTCTGACTCCACTCTGGTCCAGAATGCCATTATCATCTAAACTAATCTCCCTAAGTAGTATTTGATCATGCCCAACCCAAGTAATCTTTTTAAAAGTCAAATTTGATCATGCCAATCCTCTTCTTGTGATAAAGATTTTTTTAAAAAAATTTTTAACAAAGACTTTAAACCATTCCTCTCTCTCCAGCCTTACTCCTCCTTTCCCTTATTGTTTTCAATGCTCTAGGCTAGGCCTTCTTCCAGTTTCTGAAAGGTAGATAATTAACATTCCCTTGTGCCACAGGGTCTTTGCACTTACAGTCCCAGTGCCTAAGACATTCCCACACATCCTTCAATTTTTAGGTGAAAGATCAATTCCTCAGGTAAGTTTCCTAACACCCTCCCTCAAGTCCTCCTACACATATTTCTTTCAGAGCATAAGAACCATAGTAAGTTATAGTTTGTGATCAAACACTTGTAACTTGAAAAATTACCGTGCAACCCATGTATACTACGAAAAATATATTGAGAGGTTTAAATGTAATATGTAATTTTAAAAAATCTATGTATTCCTTTCTATAAGAGTTAAGTTAATCTTATATTTTTTCTCTAAATAAAAAGTGTCATTTCTAGAGCTGGGCTGTCCAACTGACAACAATTAAGCCATATATGCAATTAAAAATCTTCTAGTAGCCACATTTAAAAAGAAACAGATGAAATTTTATCTAACCCAAAGTATCCACAATATTATTTTAACATGTGACCAATGTAAAATATTACTGATATATTTCACATTAGTTTTTAAAATCTGCTGTGTATTTTACACTGAAATCACATCTTAATTTGGGCTAGTTTCATTTCAAGTGACACATTTGGCTAGTGGCTACTGTATTAGACAAGATAGTTCTAGAAGATAGTACTGTATTTTTTTATACTTAAATAGCTTGCTAACAGAATAGGTTAACTTAAAAAGAGCATGGCATTAAGCAAGATTAATCTTATATCAAATAAAGGCATATCTCAGGTTTAAATCATTCAAAAATTTTAAATTATGCAAACATTCCACACTGCTGAAAAGCCTAAATTCAAAATAAAAATTCCAGTAATTTAAAAACTGCATATTACTGATCATCTGAGGAAATAAGGGAGATGGGGACCCAACCACTGCTGGTAGGAGTGATTTTATTATAACCTCTTAGAAAGTAACAGGCTTTCCCTCTGACTTAATAACTCTACTTCTAAGATTTGATCCTATGAAAATAATCAACAATAAGGTCAAAGAATTATGTACAAACTTTTTCACCAAGATGCTCTTCTATGATGGTAAAATCTGGAAAACCCACATTAGTGGGAAATAGCAGAGATAACTTGAAAATGGCATTCTACACAGTCATTAAAAAGCATGGTTTTTTTCATTTTGTGGTGTTTTTTTTTTTTTTTTTTTTGAGATGAAGTCTCACTCTGTCACCCAGACTGGAGTGCAGTGGTGTGATCTAGGCTCACTGCAATCTCCACCTCCCGGGTTCAAGCAATTCTCTTGCCTCAGCCTCCCGAGTAGCTGGGATTACAAGTGCCTGACACCACGCCTGGCTAATTTTTGTATTTTTAGTAGAGACGGGGTTTTACCATGTTGGCCAGGCTGGTCTCAAACTCCTGACCTCAAGTGATACTCCCGCCTCGGCCTCCCAAAGTGCTGGGATTACAGGTGTGAGCCACCACACCCAGCCAAAAAGCATGTTTTAAGGAAAATTTAGTAACATGGAGAAATGCTCACAATTTAATAAGTAAAAGAAAGATCAACGCAATATGATTCATATGTATATGTATGACATGCTCACATATCCACAGTAAAAATAAAACAGGAAGAAAACCAAAATATTAACAGTTTTCTTTTTGTAGTATGATGACCAGTGATATTTTTCTTCTATTATCCCTCTTAACATGTATTTATTGAGTGTTACTTTGTGCCAGGCATTAAAACAGAAGGGTTCCTGCCATCATGGGCACACCCATTTTCTTTCTACTTTTTTTCCACATTTTCCCAAATTTTCTATAATAAGCACATTATTTTTTCATAATTTTAATAACTGGAAAAACATAATATGATGTAGATAATGATTTGGGTAAATCAGTTGCCAGGGGACATTTTTGGGTGAACTGGGGAAGAATCTGAATATGGCCTTGAATATTAGTTTAGATGACTAAACTGACTTAAAACAAAAAAAACTACAAAACACTACAACAAGTCTTCATTTTGGTAAAAAGTACACATATATATTAAAATGTGTAGGAAAATATGCATTATTATATAAACTGTAACAGTGAGGGATTTGCTTTTTTTTGTTGTTGTTGAGACGGAGCCTCACTCTGTTGTCCAGGCTGGGGTGCAATGGCATGATCTTGGCTCACTGCAACCTCCACCTCTCAGGTTCAAGTGATTCTCCTGTCTCAGTCTCCTCAGTAGCCAGGATTACAGGCGGCCGCCACCATGCCTGGCTAATTTTTCTATATTTTTAGAAGAGACGGGGTTTCACCATGTTGGCCAGGCTGGTCTCCAACTCCAAACCTCAAGTGATATGCCCGCCTTGGCCTCCCAAGGTGCTGGGATTACATGCGTGAGCCACTGCGCCTGGCTGAGGGATTTTTTTAAAGTAATTTTTCCAGCCTGGGCAACATAACAAGGCCCTGTCTCTACTACTAATAAAAACAATTAGCCAGGCATGGTGGTGTGCGCCCGTGGTCCCAGCTATTTAGGAGGCTGAGGCAGGAAGACTGCCTGAGCCCAGGAGGTCTGTGCTGCAGTGAGCCATGATCACTCCACTGTACTCCAGCCTGGGTGACACAGTGAGACTCTGTCTCAAAAAAAAAAAAAAGTGATTTGTTTTTTTTTGCTTGTCTATTTTCTATGATGCTCCTGTATGCCTCTGCAATAAGACTATTTTAAAAAATTTAAATATGTATACACCCACTATTTACTGAGCATCTATTACATACAAAACTGTGGTAGAACTGAGTAAAAGGAGTCACAACCTTAAAGAAACTTACAGCTAATTAAGGAGAATAATACAAGAGAACAGCAAAAATAATGCAAGATAGAATATAAACATCACTGAAGTAAAATGTGGCTACCAAGATTCTAAGAAAAAGATCACACTTGATTGGGAAGAGAAGGAATGGTGAAAAAAAAAAAACTTCAAAAAGGAGAAAATTTGAAATAGGAAGGATTTAATTGACAGAGGAAATGGTAGTCATTAAAGATAAAGCATGGGGCCCCTATCAAGGAACAGTAAGACACATAATAAAATATGGTTAGAACACAGGATATATGAAGGGTACAGGCAGTAAGCTGGAAACATAGGTTGCAAGGGCCTTGAATTTTCAGAAGGGAGTGCCTCTGTAAGCTTTCTGAGTTTAAAAATGAGGGAATTATTGCAGATTCCAATTCAAGAAACTGTCCTACCACTTCTCATCTCTACTGCTACCATCTTGGTTCATGCCACTACCATCTCTTCTTAACTCTACCAGCACAATTCTCTCCTGACTCTGCTTCTATTCTTACATTCCACTCCTATAGTCTATTTTCTATATAACAGCTAGACAGATCCTTTTACAACATAAATTATCTTACACCTTTACTCAAAAATCCTGCAATGACTTACCATCTCCCACAGTAAAAAGCCTAAGTCATTAGAATTTCTGTAAGGACCCTAAAACACTGCCCCTCTCACCCTCTAACTCTGATCACAATTTGTACTACTCTTCTACTTGTTCACCCTATTCTATCCACCCCAGACTTCTCTGCCACAATTTCTTGACTATTCCAGGCATACTTCTGTCTCTACCACTCTTCTTATTTGCTTCCCCTTCTTCAGGTTTAAGCCTTCTCTGACTCCACTCTATATAAAACAGCAAGCCCCACCAACCTCCCTTACTACTGGCTCAAAGCAAAAAATTCACCACTCCCTATCCCCCAAAACTGATTCCATTTTTCTGATGATACTTAACATCATCTGCCATTATTGCTATTGCTTATTTTATTGCTATTTGCTTATTTGTCCCAAATATGTACACAAATGTGTGAGTACATACATATATACATAAAGAAACTGAAGCTGTAGGAGGGCAGATTTTTTTTCTTGTTTGCTCATTTCAGTATCCCCAGCACCTAGAACAGGGCCGGACAAATAGCAGGTGCTCAATAGATACTTGTTTTATGAATGAAAGGAAGAAGATAACATGCATGGTGTCAGTAGATATTTAATTGAAATGGTTTATGGTATACTGTAAATATTTACATAAATAGAACCTACAGTAAATTAATTCTCATTTACTGTGTAATTTTCCGATGGGAATTATTCACAAATACAGTGCTAGTAAATTAACCTTTAATTAATTAGCAATCTATCTTTGCAAGGTTTATCTTCAAGTTAGCTATTTGGAACAAGGGTGACAGTGACTGACAACCATAGGATGGAGTCTTAAATCATTATTTCCCTCTTCTTCTCAATTATCCCAAATCAATAAGCAGTGATTCCCCACCTCCTTTCTTCCTCCCCACTTAGTTCTGACCTTTTCCCTTTTCTTGGGAATAGGTCTAATCCACAGACCTATGAGCCCCTACCCTAGAAGGGAAAGGCCAGAAATAGACACTAGGAGTGTGACAAAGGGCTGTTAAATGGTTGCCAGCAATAGGGAAGAGTCCAGGCAAGGGAAGTTAATGCAGAGGAATCTGGAGAGGCAAACAATTCTTAATTAAAAACATTTTTTTAACTTAGAAGCTCCTTGTATTTTAAAAGAAAGTCAACACAAAATAATACTAACTCCTTTCCTGTCCTTTTTTTAAATATACAATGCTGAAAGAAGAGTGATACTTTATATATGTTTTAAAGTTAAATACCTAAACTTTTAATTTCTTTTTTTTTTTTTGAGATGATGTTTTGCTCTTGTTGCCCAGGCTGGAGTGCACTGGCATGATCTCAGCTCACTGCAACCTCCGCCTCCCGGGTTCAAGCGATTCCCCTGCCTCAGTCTCCCGAATAGCTGGGATTATAGGCATGTGCCACCACACCCGGCTAATTTTGTATTTTCAGTAGAGACGGGGTTTCTCCATGTTGGTCAGGCTGGTTTTGAACTCCCGACCTCAGGTGATCTGCCCACCCCGGTCTCCCAAAGTGCTGGGATTACAGGTGTGAGCCACCATGCCCGGCCTTTAAACTTTTAATTTCATTGTGAAGAACTTCATGCAAACCTTAGGGAGAAAAAAGCCATAATGAATGAGCCAGTAACCATCACCCAGGTGTGTTAAATCTTAATCTCTTAACAAGTCAACTTCGGATTTTTTTTAAGGATATAAAGATATGTTTGTAAACCCATGGGCCCCTCCTAGATCCTTCATCCCTCTCAAGTTCTCCAAAGGTCACTTTTAGTCTGACTTGGTGTTTATCATTCCCATGCATGTTGTTATACTTTTGCTACATATTGCACAAATCACAGACAATACATAGTATAGTTTTGCATGAGACTATATAAATGGTCTAGCAAACGGATCTGTCACTTAACAGCTGTTTGACCTAAGGCAAGTTACTTAGTATCTGTGTGCCTCAGTTTCCTCTCTGAAAAATGAGGGATACTACTACTTACTGCCTTACAGGTTGTTGTGTGGATTGAGTTAGTACACTGTATATAAAGCATTTAGAAAACTATCTTGCTCATAGGAAGCAATATATATGAGCAACATATATACTGCTCATGTGTTAGCAATTATCATATAAAGCTGCAAAAGAACTTGTGACTATATCTGATATATGCACAAACTGAGAAAATGATTAGCAAAATGAGATATGTAAAATCCATACAATGCCAGATTTTCAAAATAGTGTAAAAACTAAAAATACTTATAAAGTTCCGGCTAGAAAGGTTCACTATTCTACTTAAAAAGGAATTGAAAGTGCTAAGAATAGAGGGAAAAACCTTTATTTTTTAATCTACAAAGTGTAGGTAACATTAAATTAGAATATAAACATTTTATTTAAATAATTTATGATGATTAAAAAATATCTAAATACTTAGCGGCCTCCTTTTATGAGATTTGGGGGAAGGGTTGGGAGAGAAGGGGCAATCCCTTAATGAGAAGCTATTCAAAGACTTTGCCTGCTGAGGAAAGCACTTTAGATTTCACACAAAATAAAACATTATTTGGTACTCAAATGTCACTACATTTCTGAACTAGTTTTTCACTAAATGTAAGCAGAACAAATGAAAATGTAAAATGATGTTTTATGATATGATTCACCCACACTATACAATTTTCATAACGAAAACTGGATTCGGCAAGATGTATCAAGGCTATTAAGGACATATTATCCTTGTTGTGATACGGGATTATTTTTTAACAGTCTCTAGGTCAAAAGATCAGCAAACATTAAAACTTAAATGCCCTACATATTATGTGAATTGTAGTGGATTTTTTTCCAGAGGTTTTTGAAGATTTAAAAATATATGTGTACTTTGAAGATCAACTGATATATCTAATTTAATCCACGGAGGAACAACTAGAGCTAATGAATATCTGCTAGGTGCCATTTACTGGGCTAGATGTTTTACACAAGATCTGTCTTTTAATCCATGTGAAATATCTTTATGAACAAAATTTAGGAGACTACCACAGATACTTTGTTTAAACAAATATACCTCTGCGAAGTGTTAAAAATGACTACTAAAAAAGCCAACATTTAAACTGGTAAAGCATATAAAATGTACGTGACTGTGTTAATTATATTAACATAATAATGTTGAAACATTTGTTGTCCCTAGAGTTTAGCATATATTTTAATGTCTAAGAGGTTAACTGAAAGCAACAATTAAGTGTAGCATCAAAGATAAACTCTGTGTCTCCCCTCCACCAAATAAAATCCTCGGAATAGGAGGTGGAAGGAAGACTTACACTGTAGGAAAAGTTGAAAACCAAAGTTCTACTTTACTTCTCCTAAAGTGAGAACTTTGAAACGGAACCATTACTTTTGTTTCATCCCCCCGCCCAGTAAAAAATTTACATGTATGAGTCAGTTCTTCCCTCGGCCCCAACAGAAAAGATTCAGTATAACCAAGCTATAACTTGCACAAAGCAACAAGGAAAAAAAAACCTTGCTATCCCCATTACTTTCCTAATAGAGCAAGGACCCTACCACCCCTCACTCCATACTCTGCCTCTGCCCCAAGCAAGACGCAGCACCTGCCAAACCAGGCACTTAAGGAATATGGTCCAACTTTTCAAACGCAAACTGGAGAGGAGACGCAGATAATTTCTTGAAGAGTGCAAGAAGACAGCAGAAAAGGTACTCTGAGGAAGGGATGCGTGAGCTTTGGGGCTGTCCCCTCTGCCTGTTGGAGGATTCCAAATTCGCTTGCTTCAGAGACCCTTGGAAGCAGCACACTCAGGTCGCGGCCAGCCTCGGGCCTCGGTGAAGGAGGCAGTGTTTACACCTGTCACGAGGGAGGGGGAAGGAGAGCGAAGAAGCCCAAGCAAAGCCCCAAACTTCTGAACAGCTCCCTGGAGAACGCAGCCAGCGCGGAGCTTTGGGAGGTGGAAGCAAAGGGGCAGGGAGAGCCGGCGGTGGCCGGGGAGGGAAGGACTCCCACTTACCCGGCCGGTGCCCGGGATGGCGAGGAGGGGGCCGTGCGCTTCGGGCGCCACCAGCGGCGTTCCCGCACTCGCCGCAGAAGAGAGCAGAGCCGGGAGCCCGCAGGCCCGCAGAGCCAGCTCCGTCCTCACAGCTCCCGGCTCCGCGGCGGGCAGATGCTCCCGGCCCGGGTGAGGGTCTGGCTGCTGGGCCGGGCCTGGTCCCCGCACCCTCTTTCCCCGGCGCAGCTAGGGGAGCGGAGCGGCGGCGCTTACCTGGCTCCTTCGGGGCGGCTGCGATGGGCATGGCTCAGGGGCCCGGGGAGGAACTGACTCCCCGGGGAAGGACCGTCTATTCCGACGCGGAACTGGTGAGAGCGGAAGGCCGGCTGCTCACAGCCCTGTCAGCGCAGCAGCACCATGGACGCCCACCCGGAGTTTCACCGCTGCCGCGGGACCCCCATCCCACTACCCTCCGCCCTCTTCCGCCGCCGCCGCCGCCTCCTCCACCTCCTCCGCGGAGACCCCCCGCCCACTCCACACACTCTCCCATCATGCAGCGGGGGAACCGCTGCCGCCGACACGTCACTTCCGGGCGCAGGTGGCTAGGTCGGGACCGGGCGCTGGTGGGTGCTGTGGGGTGGGGGAGGACACTCCAGGGGAATTGGTGTCACAGAACGCTTATCCCTGCGCAGGCGCTGTCGTGCAGAGCGCCGACCGCCATTTTGGGTGCGGGCAAGCTGCCCTTTCCTTTTACTTCCTTGCGAGTCATAGAGCTGTAGGGGGATAGACGTCTTCCCGCACTCAGGCGCCGGTTGAGGCTGCGCTCCTGGCGAAGGACAGGTGCTCCTTTCAGCCGGTTAACGTTCAGCTCAAGACCGGATTAAGTCTCTTGCTCTCCAAATAAAATTGTAAAGGTTTGGAAATATAGAACCACATTTTTACCAAAAACCTACTAGAGAGCATTCGTCAGCTTGCCCTTTTCGCCCCGAAAAACGACTTTTTCATTCACAGCCTGTCTCTTCCTCTTTTTAAATTTATGCCGACAGAGGAAGAAGCTGATATTTAACAAATAACAAGAGGTTGCGATAAATAGAATTTAAGGTGGGAAAGCAGCCGCCAAACTGACAAATCGTCTTCGAGACCGACAAGAAAATAGTAGTCCGGAATTTGGCTAATGGATGGAGAAGGTGGTCGTTTTTCATAGACCCTTACGGAGAATATCTAGTGAAGCTAAAGAGATCACCATAAACTTATGCATTCAAACGCATTTCTGGAACAGAGGTCGTAACCGATTTTGTTTCCATCATCAGTCCTGAACAGTTGATTATTTATATAATCAACTGTTATTTATATAAAGGTAATAAAAATATTACCTTTCCTCCTCCTTTACAATGAATATCTGTTAGAACACCTGCCAGTGTAACAATCAGACTACAAGGCTACAGGATTATGATTACTGTCTCGGATGATGAGCCCGGGGTCCTACAAATCATGACCCCCGCCGGCCCCTCATTCTGCCCATATTTGCCAAACGTCTGCATCAGTAATTTGAATAATTTAAAATAGTTCCAAAACAGCAAAGCTCAGCAGTTACGCAAAGAAACAAGAATGGAAAACATCCCCTCAGGCACAGAGAAGTGTCCACCCCTTTGGGTGGAGGAATTATACAAATCAGGAGAAAGATAAGGACAATAGCAGTTCATCACGATTTATCCCGCCTCTGCAATGTTCTAGACAAATTAACTCGGAGCGCTCCAATGGACCCGCATTTGTCTCTTTACTATTCAATCGCTGTAAGATATACGGAGACTGCATCACTTTAAATGGGAGTATCAATTGCTTTGTGGTTATGCTGGATTTTGTGTTATTGCTCAGTCACTAAAGTAAGAAAAATCTATATGGCTTGTCAAATTTATGCCTATTGTATTTCGCCCCCTGCTGGTTTAGCTCGTGTGCAAGCTTGAATTTGTGTGTGTGTAGAAACTAGAAATTGATTTTAAACGAACACATGCTTGTTTTCATTTTACAGCTCTACTAAACAGAAATATCAAAATAAGAACATATGACTAGACCTTAAAGCAGACCCTACACTAAGAACATGTTTAAACTAAATGAATTTAAACTGCACTCCAGCCTGCGCGACAGAGTGAAACCCTGTCTAAAAAAAAATTAAATTAAATTGCACACCCCCCATCAGCTTACAATTTTGTAATAGGGAAATTGAGTACCTATTTGGCCAACTAACTTGTAATTGGTAATCTTACATGTAATTCCGAAGACAGTGCCCTAATGCTCATGACATTTTATTACAAAGGGAAAGTATTTGAGTGTTTTTAAGGTGATAAATCTGTGGGAAATATAAAGTCCATTTCATTTGGAGTCAATGATAGTATTGTTTTTATTTACCTTTTAAAAATTATGGCCATAACTGCATTACCTAAGATTTGGCATCAAGAAAAGAAGAAGAAAAAAATTACCAGTTAACATTTGTTGTATTTACTTCTAGTTTTTTTTTCCTGTGCGTACTTTTTACAAACTTGTAATCATAATTTAAGTAGATTTTGTGTCCCTTTTGTGTTGTAAGCATTTCCACCCATCGTTTAATGTAAAACCTTAATTTTAATTGGCTGCTTAGTAGTCAATGGAATGACCACTATATGGATAGTTTTCAGTATTATAAAATAATACTTAGATGAACATTTTGTGTGTGTGGCTTTGTTCAATTTTAGAATTTTTTTTCTCAGTATAAAAGTTACTAAGCGAAAAGGCAATGAATGTTTTATTGGTAATTTATCATCTCATATTATTTTCCAAGAGACTGCTAATTTAGAATGCCACCAGCAATATATGAGTGCACTAATTTTACCACCTCCTTACCAACCAGCAGTGAATGATAATTAAGAGGGGAAAAAAAGATGGAAAGAATAAAAAGTGAAAACAGTTTAATTCATTTTATATTGTGTAAGAAATTAACAGACAAGCAAGAACAAAACCTCAGCAATGTGTTGGTGTTCTGGAAAAGCAATATGCGTAGAACCTGGGTCTATGACCAGTTCTGTTGTCACTATGATTTTGTATAAGTTACTCAACCTCTCTTGACCTCAGTCTCCTTATATAACAAATGAGAGAATACAGTCAGATCACAGGTTCTCAACCCTCTTAGGACAAATAATGTTTTGGCACATGTATCTCTTTAAGAATACGGTAAAAGCTTTGGCTCTTTCTATAGAAAAATGCTTGTATCCACAGACACTCAAATTTCTCATCCTAAAGCTCATTCACAGAAGAGGGTCTTTGAACCACAGCTTAAGAAATATGCACCAGATAATCGCCAAGGTCCTTTCTGTATCTAAACATTTACTTAAAATTTTATTTATTTATTTATTTATTTATATTTTTATTTTTTTGAGACAGGTTCTCCCTCCATTGCGCAGGCTGGAGTGCAGTGGTGCCATCACGGCTCACTGCAGACTCAACCTCCTGGGCTCAAGGGATCCTCCTACCTCAGCCTCCGAAGTAGCTGGGACTGCAGGTGCATGTCATCACGCTCAGCTAATTTTTTTATTTTTTGTAGAGATGGGGTCTCACTATGTTGCCCAGGTTGGTCTCAAACTCTTGGGCTCAAGCAATTCACCCACCCTGGCTTCCCAAAACGCTGGGATTACAGGTATTATGTCACCACTACCTCTTGAAATATGTCCTTCATACAGTTCTATAAAAATAGGTTATTAGGCTGGGCATGATGGGTGACGCCTGTAATCCCAGCACTTTGGGAGGCCGAGGTGGGCAGATCACTTGAGCCCAGGAGTTCAAGACCAGCCTGGGTAACATGGTGAAACTCCATCTTTACAAAAAATTAGCCAGGTGAGGTGGCATGCTCCTGTAGTCCCAGCTACTCGGGAGGCTGAGGTAGGAGGATCACCTGAGCCCATGAGGTCAAGAATGCAGTGAGTTGTGATTGCGCCACTGCACTCCACCCTGGCTGACAGAGCAAGACCCCTTCTCAATAATAATAATAATAATAATAATAATGAGCGACTTTCCCAAAGTGTGATGAGCAACAGAGATTTTGTTTCTTAATCATTCCCACTGATCTTTCTTGGATTTGCTTATCAAATTTATTGCATAAATAATAAAAATTACAATTTGGTGTTATAGTACTTCCTGGAGTACTGGATATCTAGAACTTTATGGACATATTCAATGTATCAGGGAAAATATTGAATATTTCAATATTTAATATGTCTTAACCTGTTAAGACAGTATTAATTTTATCCATAAAATTGGAGAGGTAGGGAAGAAACTGCTGTTTGACTACATTATTTCTAAAGGTGCTGAAACTTTTTCAGCAAATTTTTTAAAGGCTCAAATTCTGTATATAAAGTTCTAACAAATTTTATAGAACTTTCCAACGAAAAACTTTTGAAGGATGGGCTTCTGGTAGTGGTAATTGACCTGAATACGTAACATTTAAATCAAAGACCTCAAACTAATTTCCTAGATTTATCTAGACATATTCTTTTGCTACATGAGGACCAGCGTTCCACCCCCTTTGGAGGATTTGACAACAAGGTGCCATCTTGGAAGCAGAGAACAGCACGCACCAAACAACCAAATCTCTTGGCACCTTGATCTTGCACTTCACAGCCCCAAGGACTGAACCTGTACCCACTCATGGGCTTACCACATATGGAGCAATATAGATGGAGTGTTCTCCTGAAGGGAGCTGCAGCCCAACCTTCTTCTTTATTCTAGTCTTCAAGCCTCTCTTTTGGCTCTGAGCAAAGCTTTGAAGGGCTCATTATGTGCTATAATGGTTCCACTATCAACCTGCTATGTTGTGAAATTCAGCCTGATCACCTGGAGAAAACATGACCTTTCTGAGCAACTTGTCTCTCAGGAGAAAAGTCTCCTTTATTTTGAAGGAGATTGGCCTCAGGGCACTGTGGAAGTGATAACTCTATTTCTACTTTTGTCCCTTATTTCAAGGTGAAGAGAAGTGGAAACCTTGCAGTGAGTCATGACAAAAATATATAAAGTAAAACATTAAAATTAATTTCACCTGTTTCTTTTTACTTTTTAAAACTAGCTACTAGAAAATTTTAAATCACAATGTGGCTCACATTATATTTCTATTGTACAATGCTGAACCTTTGTTTAAAACCTACATCTGTCTTTAAATTTGTGTAGTCATAGGATCCAGGGAAATACAATAGAAATAGTTTTCATGCAATTTTAACAGTTGCATGAAGGCAGAGACTTCTGTCTGCTTTATTCATTTCTATATTCCCAACTTCAAGAAAGTGGCCTGGTACATGGTTGATGGCGATACATATTTATTCAGTAAATGACATTCCATTGAATGAGTGGCGTGGGTAGTTCTAGAAAAAAAAATTTAATGTATTTCTGTTTTTTTTGTTTGTTTGTTTGTTTGTTTGTTTGTTTTTTGAGATGGAGTCTCTCTCTTGTTGCCCAGGCTGGAGTGCAGTGGCGCAATCTTGGCTGACTGCAACCTCCACTTCCTGGGTTCAAGCGATTCTCCTGCCTCAGCGTCCCTAGTAGCTGGAATTACGGGTGTGCGCCACCTTGGCCAGCTAATTTTTGTATTTTTAGTACAGACGAGGTTTCACCATGTTGGCCGGTCTGGTCTTGAACTCTGGACCTCAGGTGATCCGCTTGCCTTGGCCTCCCAAAGTGCTGGGATTACAAGCATGAGCCACCACGCCCAGCTGAAAAATTTAATGTATTTTTAATAGCTTTCTTGAGGCTTTGCTATTTATCATGTCTTTCAATTGTTTTATAGTTATACAGGTGTAATATCAATTTATGATCCTATCCTTGATTATTATTTTTGTAATTTTTCTTTTTAAATTAATTAACAATTTACTGAACACCTTTATGCACTCAGCTTCCTCTATTTCTGTGCTGAGGGACTGTAAAGAAACAGGCTTTGGTTCCTGCCCAGAAACAGGAGTTAACAGTCTAGTTGGGGAGACAAGACTGATATACCTGAAACAATTGTCACCTTGAAACTTCTGATTCTATCAAATGGAGAATAATTAAGTGCTGAAGCTGCATAGGATTGACAATAAAAGTAACAAGTTCAAAGAAGAGGAAGATCTGCTGGAATAGTTTGAGAAATGCTTCATTTCAGATATGTGTTTGCCCCAGTGTATCCAATTGTTCTGCTGAGGAGTACTTCTCCAGCTCCTTGAGGCCCCATGCATTAGGCCCTCCCCTTCCCAAAAACCAGCCCTTCCTCTCTGCGGGGGTCCCAGAGGGAGCTTCTCTCAACCCTATAGCTGTTCCAGTAAAGTATGGTTTGTCCAGGCACTGTTCTCATGCTGCAAGTCTTGAATGATCTCAGATGTCTTTGGAGGCTAGGATCTTGTATATAAAGAATTTAGGGATAATCCTCTCATTGTTATTTCTCAGGAGCCCACCACTTTCACTTCAAAGTCTTTAACATGTTCCATGTACCCCTAGCTCCAAAGCTACTCTCCTGGCTATCTCTTCTTCGAGTCTTCATTCAAGTGGCCCCATGAAGAGCACCAGTGGAACTTCCCATTGCCCTTTGGGAACTCCAACCAGATCAATGCCGTGAACCCAGAAGCTGCTCCTGGCCCTGAGATGATGCTCCTTCAAGACTGTCCCAAGCCTGGGCAACACAGGGAGACCCCATCTCTACAAATAATAAAAAAAATTAGCCGGGTGTATTGGCGCACACCTGTGGTCCCAGCTACTTGGGAGGCTGAAGTAAGAGGATCACTTGGGCCTGGGAGGTTGAGGCTGCAGTGAGAAGTGACTGAGCCACTGCACTCTAGCCTGGGGGACACAGTGAGACCCTGTCTCAAAAAAAGACAGTCCCCCACACTTCTCTATTGCAGCCAGGCCTGGGATGCTGACATTGTGCTGTCAGAAAGAGGCAGCTTGGTACATGAACAGGATCAGCTTCAAAGTGGGATCGGCCCAGATATGAACGTTAGCAACATCATAGAACCTTGCAGAGAACTTTCCTCAGCTGCAAAAATCAAGAAAATGTTCCCACCCCACAGAGTTGCTATCCAGCTGAAATGAATTAATGTATGTAAAAGATTCCTACATTGAGCCCAGTATTAGTCTCTTAATGGAAAACCCTACTGTCACCAAATTGACCTTTCCCCCAGACCAAAGATTCTCAAATGGGGCAATGTTGACACAAGCCCCTCCCCACCAACCTGGTGACATTTACCTATGTCTGGAGACACCATTAGTTGTCACAACTGATGTGGGGCTACAACTGGCATCTAGTAGGTAGAGGCTAGGAATATCCCTAAACATCCTACATTACAGATGAAAGCCCCCCAAAATGCAGAATTATCCAACCCAAAATATCAGTCGTGCCAAGTTTGAGAATGAACTTGTTTCAGAACACCCTTAAGCTGCCAATTGCCACTGATACTGCCTCAGAGAATTCTGTCTACTGGGGCTGCTAATTCTGAGTCCCTCAAGTGTCTGCCGCTGCTCCCCTGAACACACGGTCACACTGGCTTTCCAGAGATTGTCAATGCCGAACTCCCTGATGACATTTTGGACCTCTGGTGTGCTAGAGCTGAGACAGAGACGATAATTCTGGTGCTCTAGTCTGTGCCCATATTGAGTGCACCAGACTCTAAGTTCTTGTAGCTCTGTAGGGCCCATGAAATAAGTGTTGCTGTATTGTGTTGTTTTTCTTATTAGGAAATCAGAGCAGTCCTTACCCGGAACTGAGCAGGAGAGACCTGTGCAGAGGCTGTGCTGGGAGCTTGCCCTGGGGTATAGGAGGGTCTTGTTCTCAGATCCCAGTCAGAATCAGAGTGGGTGGGCACTTTGCTTCCCTTCATAAATACCATCAAGAGGAGCATCTGTCCTCTCAGGTGAGGGATTCAGCCCAAAGCCAAGGGCTCAGAGGCAGACAACATCTTAGGGGGCTGGTTAACACATCTCTCTACTACACTTTTGGTTCCACTGTGACCCTGTCTTAGACTATTTTGCCTCATCCAGCCTGGCAGGTATTATTTTTGCTTTGCTGCCTCCCTCCCCAACCCCCACTAAAAGACAAAGACAATTGAACACAGCGAGCCTCCTGATGTGATGCAATGTAAAGTACACAGATACAGAACTACACAGTATTCTTGCCAAACATATTTATCCTGGAATCTAAATAAGCCTTTAAATTCAGCTTCTAGTTTACAGGAAATACTGGAGGAACCAGTTAAATGGCACTATAAGGAAACAAGCATGCACATCTAGCATATGGATTATTTTACAAGACAGATAACTTTGTCTCTTCAAAAGTAATATTCTAGATTAAAAGAGACTTTAGAGGATTAATGACCAAGTGAAATGCATGGTTCTTGATTGAATTCTTATTTGAATAAACTAAGCCATTTCTAAAAGATATTTTGGAGATAGTTGAGGAAGCCTGAATATGGCCTGGCATTAAATATTCAGGGAATTATTGTCAATTTTTAAAGATAGAATAATGAAATTATAGAGATATAAGAGAATGTCCTTAGTTTTTGCAGATGGCCAAAATGTCATGATGTCTGTAACTGAATAGAAAAGTGCATAAAGCACATGCAAAACCCTTACCTGTACCTGATATTAGGCTACAAGCTCCTGGAGGACAGGGAATACCTTTTTCATCTTTATGCCCCCACAGCACCTGGGATAAGTCTTGACCTACTCGTTAATGCTTGTTAAGTGGTTAAATAATAAGCTAATAGCCAAAAGAAAATAAATGCCCCCTTGAAACCCTGTTTCAGAACACCCTGAAGCTGCCAGCTGCCACTGATATTGCCTCAGGTAATTCTGTCTACTGGGGTTGCTAATTCTGGGTCCCTCCAGGGTCTGCTGCTGCTCTCCAAAACTTAAAATCACTTGGGGGAGCCGCATTGTCAAACTAGCTTTCAAGAGATTTTCAATGCTGAACTCCCTGCTGACATTTTGGACCTCTGGTGTGCTAGAGCTGACAGAGACAATAATTCTGGTGCTCTGGCCTCTGAGCCCATATTAAACATTCAGGGAATTATTGTCAATTTTTTTTAAGATAGAATAATGAAATTATGGATATGTAAGATAATGCCCTTACTTTTTGCAGATGTCATGATGTCCGTAACTTATTTTAAGATAGTTCAGGAAAAATACTCCATGTACATAAAGAAAGCATGCCAAAATGCCAGCAATTATTAAATCAAATCTGGGTTGTGAAAATATTGTACCATTCTTTCTACTTTTTTCCACTTTGAATATATTCATAATGAAAAAGAAAATTTTAAAACACCTTAGTATGCAGATGAGATCTGGATTTATTTATTTCCAAATTACTGCATTCCCTAGGCTATCATTGTCAAATACACATTTCTGATCCTGGAACAGATCTTGTTAACAATGATCTTGAAAAGGATTTTAAAGATGTAGAAAGGAGAAAACCAGCAAGTACTGCAACTTCTGAATCAATTGTAATTAGTTTAAACCCTCTAATGTGCACAAATACAGTAGAATTACAACTCTGCTCAGCAAGGAGCAGTTCTAACGCAGTGTTAGCAAGAGAATGGCAGGAATTATATCATCATGAGTAGCGTGCTATTCAAGTGGCAGTGCCAGCTAAAGTCCTCTCTATGACTTTCCAATACTGTTCCCTCTGCTTTGAACGCTCTTCTTCCTTCTAACAGTGGACAATTGTCTTTTTGTTGTTGTCATTAATGGCTCAGCATCTAAACTCATTTCCTAGATTTCAGTAAATCTCCAACTTATGAGTCTAGGTAGGAGGGAAAGACTTCATCTGAGTATAAAAGCTGAAAATGCCAGTGTAGGGAATTAAAGATAGCTGCTTTTTTTTTTTTTTTTTTTTTGCCATTCCTTGCATTGTGAAATGGAGCTTGTCTTTCTTCTTGAGTGTGTGCTAGCCTGTGACTTGGTTTGACCACTAGAATGGGTAGAAGTGATGCTCTGTAACTTCCCAGGCTGAGCATTAAGAGATCTGAAGCTTCTCATCTTGTTGCTTGGGATGCTTCCTCTTGGAAGGGAGATATTTTGTAAAATGTACAACTATCTTCAGGGCACCATGCTGTGGAAGCCCAATCTATATGAAGAGGCCCCATGGGAGAACTGACCTGCTCTGACTGAGCTCACAGACGACAGCCAGCTATGTGAGCAAACTGTCTTGAACATCCCAGGCAGAAAAGCCTTCAGATGATTGATGACCCAGCAGATACCACTTGGAGCAGAAGAACTGTCCAGTTGAGCCAAGTCAACCTACAGAATATTGGGGTATAATTATGGTTATTGATGTTTTAAACCACTAAGGTGGTTTGTTGTGCAGTAATTGATATTGAAAACAGGGATACCTATTTTCCTAGCTTCCTTTGCAGCTGGGTGCAGTCCTGTGACCTAGGCTGGCCTGATCAGATGTCTCTGTCCCAGACTTTGTTTTGGGAGCCAGTGGCACTTAGAAGCAAGAACTACAGATAATTTTTCTCTGATGGTGATGTTAGCAGCTGCAGCAAGACTAAACTTCTGGGACACCAGGTGCTAGTTGCTGCTTAATGTCTATGGGTAGTGGTACTGGCAATGTCAGCTTCAGCAGTATCCTCACTAGACCAGTTTTCTGGCATGATTTTGAGAGATATTTCTGGCTATGTGGACTCTGAGTCCGGTTCTTGAGTAATCCAGGAAATTCTGTGAGCTACCTAACAACATTTTAATAAGTTTCTTTTCTGCTTAATCAGCCAATGCTGATTTCTGTTGCTGGTGACTAAGAACTCTGATGGATACAGCTGCCTCCTGTTTTTTCCTTAAGATAAAATTCAAAGCTCAAGAGTTACTCCTCCTGGAAGCCTTCACTGACATCCTATCTCCACTCTCCATCCCCAAATTTGTTGCTCCTCTTCTAGCCTCTGCAGTGCCTTGTGTGTGTCTATAATATTGTGTTTATCATATCCATTGGAATTTCTAATTTCCTAAACTGCCTGCTCCACGAAATTGATGACTTTAAAGGAAGGAACTGTATTTTAACTTCTATTTCTAGTGCCTAGGGTAGTGCTCATCTAACATTTATCAGGTGAATGCATAATTGAATAAATGAAATTGATGGTATGAAATTTAGTATGTTCCTAACAGCAACATAAATATACATCATTTCAAAGTTTCTTTACAATTTAGATTCTTGTCATAATAGAACATTGATAAGGTTCTACTAACAATAAAAATAGAGCAAATTACAGAATATTACATTTGTAAAACACCACTCTAAATTCTCTGGATATTACTGATATCCATAATCTTAATGAATTTCTTCTCAACCTAGTAATGGTTCCCCTTTAATGCACTGCCAGAACATTTTTCATTGTAATGCCAATGAATACTTTTACCCTTTCTGATGTAAAAATGTTGAAAGAGTGGGTTTTAAAAATCCATTTAAATGATATTCCCTAGAGTACTTTAACTATTTGGAAGAAGAGTTGTGTAAGAAAAATCACTTTAGAAGTAAAGACATGATAGATACACATCATCATGCTTTTAGCCCTGTGATTTAGTGAAGTCATTTCATTTAGTGAAGTCATGCTCTCATTTGAGAAGAGCATGGAGTTAAAGGTGAATGAAAATATTTGTCTCCCTCTCCCTCTCCCTCTCCCTCTCCCTCTCCCTCTCCCTCTCCCTCTCCCCACGGTCTCCCTCTCATGCGGAGCCGAAGCTGGACTGTACTGCTGCCATCTCGGCTCACTGCAACCTCCCTGCCTGATTCTCCTGCCTCAGTCTGCCGAATGCCTGCGATTGCAGGCACGCGCCGCCACGCCTGACTGGTTTTGGTGGAGACGGGGTTTCGCTGTGTTGGCCGGGCCGGTCTCCAGCCCCTAACCGCGAGTGATCCGCCAACCTCGGCCTCCCGAGGTGCCGGGATTGCAGACGGAGTCTCGTTCACTCAGTGCTCAATGGTGCCCAGGCTGGAGTGCAGTGGCGTGATCTCGGCTCACTACAACCTACACCTCCCAGCCGCCTGCCTTGGCCTCCCAAAGTGCCGAGATTGCAGCCTCTGCCCGGCCGCCACCCCGTCTGGGAAGTGAGGAGTGTCTCTGCCTGGCCGCCCATCGTCTGGGATGTGAGGAGCCCCTCTGCCTGGCTGCCCAGTCTGGAAAGTGAGGAGCGTCTCTGCCCGGCCGCCATCCCATCTAGGAAGTGAGGAGCGCCTCTTCCCAGCCGCCATCACATCTAGGAAGTGAAGAGCCTCTCTGCCCGGCCGCCCATCGTCTGAGATGTGGGGAGCGCCTCTGCCCCGCCGCCCCATCTGGGATGTGAGGAGCGCCTCTGCCCGGCCGAGACCCCGTCTGGGAGGTGAGGAGCGTCTCTGCCCGGCCGCCCCGTCTGAGAAGTGAGGAGACCCTCTGCCTGGCAACCACCCCGTCTGAGAAGTGAGGAGCCCCTCCGCCCGGCAGCTGCCCCGTCTGAGAAGTGAGGAGCCTCTCCGCCCGGCAGCCACCCCATCTGGGAAGTGAGGAGCATCTCCGCCCGGCAGCCACCCCGTCCGGGAGGGAGGTGGGGGGGGTCAGCCCCCGGCCCGGCCAGCCGCCCCATCCGGGAGGGAGGTGGGGGGGTCAGCCCCCCGCCCGGCCAGCCGCCAAGTCCGGGAGGGAGGAGGGGGGATCAGCCCCCCGCCCGGTCAGCCGTCCTGTCCGTGAGGGAGGAGGGAGGTCAGCCCTCCGCCCGCCAGCCGCCCCGTCTGGGAGTTTGAGGGCGCCTCTGCCCGGCCGCCCTACTGGGAAGTGAGGAGCCCCTCTGCCCGGCCAGCCGCCCCGTCCGGGAGGGAGGTGGGGGGGTCGGCCCCCCGCCCGGCCAGCCGCCCCATCCGGGAGGGAGGTGGGGGGGTAAGCCCCCCGCCCGGCCAGCCGCCCTGTCCAGGAGGGAGGTGGGGGTGTCAGCCCCACGCCCGGCCAGCCGCCTCGTCCGGGAGGGAGGTGGGGGGGTCAGCCCCCCACCCGCACAGCCGCCCCGTCCGGGAGGGAGGTGGGGGGGGTCAGCCCCCTGCCCGGCCAGTGGCCCCGTCCGGGAGGTGAGGGGCGCCTCTGCCCGGCCGCCCCTACTGGGAAGTGAGGAGCCCCTCTGCCCGGCCAGCCGCCCCGTCCGGGAGGGAGGTGGGGGGGTCAGCCCCCCCGCCCGGCCAGCCGCCCCGTCCGGGAGGTGAGGGGCGCCTCTGCCCGGCCGCCCCTACTGGGAAGTGAGGAGCCCCTCTGCCCGGCCAGCCGCCCTGTCCGGGAGGGAGGTGGGGGTGTCAGCCCCCCGCCCGGCCAGCTGCCCCGTCCGGGAGGGAGGTGGGGGGGGGCCAGCCCCCACCGCCCAGCCAGCCGCCCCGTCCGGGAGGTGAGGGGCGCCTCTGCCCAGCCACCACCCCGTCTGGGAGGTGTGCCCAACAGCTCATTGAGAACGGGCCAGGATGACAATGGCGGCTTTGTGGAATAGAAAGGCGGGAAAGGCGGGGAAAAGATTGAGAAATCGGATGGTTGCCGTGTCTGTGTAGAAAGAAGTAGACATGGGAGACTTTTCATTTTGTTCTGCACTAAGAAAAATTCCTCTGTCTTGGGATCCTGTTGATCTGTGACCTTACCCCCAACCCTGTGCTCTCTGAAACATGTGCTGTGTCCACTCAGGGTTAAATGGATTAAGGGCGGTGCAAGATGTGCTTTGTTAAACAGATGCTTGAAGGCAGCATGCTCGTTAAGAGTCATCACCAATCCCTAATCTCAAGTAATCAGGGACACAAACACTGCGGAAGGCCGCAGGGTCCTCTGCCTAGGAAAACCAGAGACCTTTGTTCACTTGTTTATCTGCTGACCTTCCCTCCACTATTGTCCCATGACCCTGCCAAATCCCCCTCTGTGAGAAACACCCAAGAATTATCAATAAAAAAATAAATTTAAAAAAAAAAAAAAAAAAGAAAATATTTGTCTAATCAAAAATCCAGCTACTAAATCAGGCTCCATTCATTGCATCAGGTCTCCAGGCATGGGGTATTGGCAGTTATGACATTTAGAGTTCCATGGGTGATGGTGACATGTACCAAAAGTTGAAAACTATTAAGACAAGGGGGCATTTATTTTCTTTTGGCTATTAATGTATTATTTAACCACTTAATAAGCATTAATGAGTAGGTTAAGGCTTGATCCCAGATGCTGTGGGGGCATAAAGATGAAAAAGATATCCTCTGTCCTCCATGAGTTTGCAGCCTAGTATCAGATACAGGCAAAGATTTTGCATGTGCTTTAGGCACTTTTCTGTATGTCCTATACTTCATTAAAACAATTATTGAAAAATAATTGTCTCTACCTTATGGATTTATATGAGGTCTAGGTGAGATGATGTAAATAAAGTGTTGAACACAAGGCGTGAGACATAATAAATACCAGCAAATGTTAGCTTTTGCTGCTGTGGTGGTGGTAATTGCATGTGCTGTATCTCTACTGGGTAAGAGGCCCATTCTCCTTTGGCTACATCAGCTGCATGGTTGGAGATAGATAAGTCATGCCAAGAGATGATGGCACACCTCTGAATACTGTGTCCCTCTTGTAACTCCTGAGCACAGGTTCAAGTGAATCAGTGTTTCAGGTGTTGCAAGGCCCCTCCTCACTGTGGTTCACAAAGCAGTTCCTAGAGTGGGATGAGGCAGAGTTGAATCTTGGGTTGTACTTGGGTGCAAAAGGGAACCTGTTAAAATCCATATATTAAGGAATTGGGGTTGATGGTTCTTAAGCTTTTGTGACCTTACTATAATACTTTTATCCTTCCATCAGCATTATACACATATGATGCTCAAATGTTTGTTGAATGAGCACATATGTCTCAAAAACATCAGTAGTTTTAAGTCTGTGTTGCCTTAAAGTCTATGTGTACATCCTGAACAATTTGAGTGCTGATCTTACCAACGCACCTGCTGAGAGAATTCATGTTATCCATTTTTGGTAACATTCAACCTAGAGAGGTGCTCCTGCAGCTCACTCTTGCCAGCTCCATCACAGATCAGCAATCTAGATTAGCCACACAGATTCCAAATCTTTCAGCCATATAGGGCAGCCCCTCTCTGGTAGGGTGTCTCAAGCCTCCCTTTGTTGAACTTGGTCTGTGGATCACTTCCAGACATGCTGGCCACCTTGCCATCTGTCAGGTTCGTTCATTTTTGCCAGTGCATCCTCCCCCAAATTCAACCTCAAAACAGCTTCCAGAGTGACCTATCTATATTACAAATCTAATTTTGCCATTTATTACCAAAAATATTTCACTAGTTTTGCCCAGCCTGCCTACATAATAAAAACAGAACTCTTTCACTTAGTAAACAAGATCTTTCATAATTTGCCATCAGTTTCCTATTGTGCTACTTCTTCATATGCACTCAATTACTTGAAGCTCCCTAAACATTTCTCAAGCATGCATTCATTTCCCACTTGATCCCCTCTGTCTAGAACACCCTTCTACCTAGTTAATGACTACAAGTCCTAGAAGACTTGCTCAGACGTCACCTTTGGGAAGATGTTTTGACTTGCTGGCCTGAGAATGCCCTTTTTCTTTTTCTTTTTTTTTTTTTTTTTTTTTTTGAGACGGAGTCTCGCTCTGTCGCCCAGGCTGGAGTGCAGTGGTGTGATCTCCGCTCACTGCTAGCTCCGCCTCCCGGGTTCACGCCATTCTCCTGCCGCAGCCTCCCGAGTAGCTGGGACTACAGGTGCCCACCACCACGCCTGGCTAATCTTTTGTGTTTTTAGTAGAGACGGGGTTTCACCGTGTTAGCCAGGATGGTCTCGATCTCCTAACCTCATGATCCGAGAATGCCCTTTTTCTTACTCCAGGGCATACTGGAGCAGGAAACACTCATCATATGGCACCATATCAGTTAAGGTCCTTGAGCGTAAATAAAGGTGGGATCCAGGAATATGGGATATTGATGTTAACCTGATCAAAATTAAACACATATGTTGGTAAGGTCCTGGAAACAATGAGTTTACAACAGTGCTGCTCAGACTTTAATGTCACTTGGGGATCTTGTTAAAATGCAGAGCCTGATTCAGTTGGTCTCGGGTGGGACCTAAGATTCTGCATTTCTAACAAGCACCCAGGTATTGGCAATGGTGCTGGTTTGAGGGCACACCCTTAAGAGCAAGAGGTTACATCAAGTAAAGGGCACTCTCCTACGTACTGAGAATTCTAAGAAGTCTAACACATAATCATTCCTGACAAGAAGCTCTGGGTCTAGCTGGGGAGCTAGGACACACACATAAAAAGACAAACAAGGGTCAGATAGTATCATAACATCCTACTTCTCTTTTTAAGGTGTAAGGATCATTACTGCTGACTTTGCCATCTCTTTCATCTTAGTATAAGGTGTTAACATGCACTAAGGGATCAAACCATACAAATCCAGAGACATTTAAGATTACATATGTGGGCCAGGTGTGGTGGCTCATGCCTGTAATTCCAGCAGTTTGGGAGGCTGAGGCGGGCGGATTACTTAAAGCCAGGAGTTCAAGACCAGCCTGGCCAATATGGCAAGACCCCATCTTTACAAAAATTAGCTAGGCATTGTGGCGCACACTTGTAATCCCGCTACTCGGGAGGCTCAAGCAGGAGATCACTTGAATCTGGGAGGTGGAGGTTGCAGTGAGCCAAGATTGCACCACACCACTATACTTCAGCCTGGGTGACAGAGTGAGACCCTGTCTTAAAAACAAACAAACAGTAACAAAAAAAGAAAAAATTACATATATGCATAGAACAATGGAGCCATTCATTTAAATTTTTCAGAGTTCATTATGCATTATAAGGAAGTTCTGAAAATATCTATGACAATAACCACCTTAAACAATTTCAGCACCTGTGCACACAGAGCAAATACAAGAATATTCATTATAGCTCTGTTTTTAACAGCAACATAGTGGAAATAATCCAGCTGTTCACCTGTAGGGAGATGGGTAAATAAAATGTGGTAACTCACACTTAACATAAATGAAATAGATCTGCATGAATAGACATAGATAAGTTTCAAAAATGTTGATTGAAAAAGAAAGCAAGTTCCTAAAAGATACACATAACATCAAAGTCTTGATTTAAATTTAAACATAAAACACTATGTATGCTATTTTACAGCATAAAAGCGTGCATGGGAAATATCATATACTAAACTTCAGGATAACAGAGATCTCTGGCAAGGGACTTAAGGGTTAGGAAACTGGTCTTATCTCTGGGAATAGAGATAAAGGGAAGGGTTAAAGTTGATTAATGGACGAGAATCGGGCTCCATGCCCTCCATCCTGCTGAGTATGGGTGGAAGAGAGATCTGTGATCCCACCCAACTCTGTCCTCCAGGTTGGGTGTTTGCCAAAGATGGATAGCCTCTATTTTCCCCGCGAGTGCTTTGTTTGGATCAGTGTTCCAGGTGACACAAGGCCCTTCCTCCCCTGTAGCTCCCAAAGGAGTTCCTGGAGTGGGCTGAGGCAAGGCTGAATTTTGGGTTGTACTAAGGTATAAAAGAGAACTGATTAAATCCATGCACTAAGGAACTCGAGGTGGCGGTTCTCAGCTCCTGGCTGGTGAGCCTTCTCCTTACTTTTTATCATGAGGTTCATATAAATAGCAAAGGCATGTTTTAAAATTCTGAATCTGACATATTTTTATCCCCACAAAAATCTATTTGTATTTTTTAGTTTTATATTACATAATTAAAAATAGAAATTAAATTATAAAAATGCAAAAAGCCAAGAAATGTATTTTCTCAGATAATAGATTATAATATAAAACAATACAAAAAAGGGAAAAATGTCTCCTACCCCAAATACACAATTCCACCTTCTCAGCCATTACCAATGTTAGCATCTTGATAACATAAAAATTCCTGTGGTGTATTTTTTTAAGGTATGAAATGGGTGTCTCCCTATGCTGTCCAGGCTAGAGTGCAGTGGCCAATCCCAGCTCACTGCAGCCTCAAACTCCTGGGCTCAAGGGATACTCCTACTTAGCCTGCCAAGTAGCTGGGATTACAGATGCACGCTACTGAGCCCAGCTACTTGTGTGTGCGTGTGTATTTATAGACTTTTTTTGCCTATATAAACATATATAAACATTTTTAACATTAAAAGTAAGTAATACTATTAATATTACTTCATGACTTGCTTTTTTTCTATTGGACAGATGTTAGGTATCTTTTTCCATGTAAGTACTATAAATGAAAACCGATTGAAGCCTCTTTAGTGGCTGTATTGTATTTAATTGAATGGAAATACCTAATTAATGTAACTAGTCTCCTATTGAGGCATATTTACGTGTCAATTTTAGATATAATAAATAGCATTGCAACATTTACACCAGTGCACGTTTGAGGATGTGTGCCGCCACTACCTAAAATGGAAATTACAAGATCAAAGGATGTGAATATTTTGGATGATCTACACTTGAAGTTCTTAAAACTAGGTGGAATAAATTGCCTTGTGACTGTCAGACTATAAAGTCAGTACACTATGGATTAAAGCAGAAATTCATGAAGCCATCCTCAAAAGAGTTGGAATAGATCTTAATATGATTAAAGACACAAACGTATCACACTGAGCGATATGTCACTCAGAAAAGGGTTCGTCAACAATGGAAGCATGAAAAACAGAGAGTAAGAGAAGCAAACACAGCATGACCTTGTCCAAGGAAGAGAAAAATGTGGCTCTCAACCATGTGATTAAACTGGTCTTTTTTATTATTATTATTATTATTATTATTATTTTACAGTGGAGAAGGAAGCATCAAACTTTTATAGCTTGACGACACTTCAACTGACTCTTCCCACACACTAAGCTACCTTCTGAAGATTATTCCTCTTACTCTCTGTTTTCCATGCTTCCATTGCTGATCAACCATTTTCTGAGTGATATATCGCTCAGTGTGGTATGTTTGTATGTTTAATCATATTAAGACCTATTCTGACTCTTTTGAGGATGGCTTCATGTATATCTGCTTTAACCCATAGTGTACTGATTTTATAGTCCGACACTCATAAGGCAATTTATTCCACCTAGTGTAAGTACAGTTCTATGGTAAGGAACAGTTAGAAGTGAACTATGTAGGGCTCCATGTATACACAGGTATATAGCTCCTAAATGTAATGTTGAGTGGAAAAGTTGCTAAAGGGTACACACACTATGATACTTTATATATAATGCCTGAAAACCTGCAATATCATTGATCACTCAGGGATATTTATGTATTTTATCAAAGCATGAAGACATACCTGAAAATGATAAACATAAAATTCAGGATGATGGTTTTCATTGGCAGTGGATCAAAGAGGGAAGTGTAATCACAGAAAGGTTACACAAGAGGCTTTATAAAGTTTTACATGTTTAGACTTGATGGTAGATACATGGATGTTCCTCGTATTACTCTCTGGGCCTTTTTGCTCTTTTGAATGTTTTCATAAAGAAAGAATAAACAATAAGAAGGTTTAGTCTGGCAGGAGCATAGGATGTGAGGCGGCCATTGGAAGAGGTATGGTAGAGCGGGGCAGGGTCAGCTCAGAAGGACCGTGCAGTAGCTTTGCACCTGAAGATCCCGAGAGGCCCCTGAGGAGGTTTAGCGGTGGTGTGGAGACTGTCTTGGAGGCGGGGTGACGAGTCAGATGGATGCTGCACGACTCAAGTGGGAGACAACAGTGAGTGGGCTACACTCGGAATACAGAAGAAAGGACAGAGTGAAACTGTCAGCTCATGTTGCCTCAGTGCTTCCTCCTTTCTTTCTCAGGCTCCTTTGCCAAGTGGCTTCTGGAGAACTTCCGCTAATGGGAGGCACTGTGAGAGGATGGAGCGGGGAACGAAGAAGCCTGGGTATTCCTTCCTCTCCCCATTTCTCTGCTTCCAGTGGCCTCTCCAACAGGGACTGTGCCTCCTTCACATCCACCTCCCGTGAGACAGCTCCTCTGCCGGTGCAGCCAGTTCTCACCAGGGAGCCCTGGCTTCTGGGCACGGGTAATAAGTTTGTCCCATCAGCCTAGAGCAGGTGACAACTTCCAATTGTTGCTGATGCCTGGGTCACATCATTGACCCCTGCTCTGCATCTCAGCTCTTCCAACACCCTGGTAGCTGGTTCTCTGTGTTAAATCTCCCGTTGATCTCTGTCTGGACCCTGACTGAGACATACACTTTTTGGATGCTTTATATTTTGTCTTCTGTGGGAAACAGAGGCATGGTGGCTAAATGAGCAGGGCTGTGGCCTCACAAGTACTAAGGCAGCTAGAGGCTACTAGAGGCACCTGAAGCTCTGACTGAGGTACTTTCTTCACAAATGGTGGAAACTCCTGAGAAGACATGGCTTCTTCCATGGATATCAATGACTGCCATCAGGCCAGCCAGGCAGACTCAGTCATCAATTGGGCCCACCATTAAAATCAGCTTTCCTGTTTGAGGAGACGCTAATTCTTCTTTGGAAGGACACAGCAGCAGTGGGGAATCAGGGTGAGGACTAAAGCTTTTACAAAGCAGTTACTTTTTATGATTGGTCTCTATCATTTATTTATTTTTGAGACAGAGTCTTACTCTGTCACTCACTGCACCTCTGCTTCCTGGGTTCATACGATTCTCCTGCCTCCTGAGTAGCTGGGATTACAGATGTGCCCGGCGAATTTCTGTATTTTTAGTAGAGATAGGGTTTTACCATGTTGGCCAGGCTGGTCTGGAACTCCTGACCTCAAGTGATCCGCCTGCCTTGGCCTCTCAAAGTGCTGGGATCACAGGCGTGAGCCACCACACCCGGCCTGATCTCTACTATTTTTAAAAATTATTTTTGTGGTTACAAATTAAAACACATTTATTTACGCCTTTTGGAAAATATAGAAAATATATTTAAATTAGAAACAACAACAGAACTCTCCAGGAGTTTATCTCCCCTTATGAAGGGAATCAGTTTACATTAAATGAAATCTGTGAAACAAATAACTCGGATCTAAAATATTTTGCTTATTCCATCTTCTGTTGTAAGTCATCTGTTTTTGCTTATAAGGAAGCTGAAGTGAGAACCTAATGAACTAAACAAAAAGCTTTTGACAGCTGACTATTGGAATGGGGTGAAGGTCTCGAATGAGGATAAACATGTGTGCTGATATCCATCAAGATACAGATTTCTCTGTTGTCATTAATTATGAAGGGATAAGGACACCATTGTTGTCAAATTGTTTTTCTGCAGGGCCTTATCCATGTAAAATGTAAACCTGTTACATCTGCATGAATTGAAAGGCTTGTGATAAAGGCTTAGCCAGTCATGAAAGGTAATTTTAGCAGATGGTAATGGCTCAAAAATTACCTCTTATTAGTCACATGAAGATATATACATATTAAGTTCAAAGCATTTTTCTTCTTCTTTCCCTCCTTTCCCTGAGTTTCTCTTCTTTAAGACCATACTATGTGACCTCTGGTGTTTTAGGCAGCAAACACCAGCTCAATTATTTTCCTTTTGCAGTGGCTTTAAAATAAAGTTCTTCTGACAGTTTATAAACCTAATATTCGATGAGAAGTTTTGTTTCTTCCACAGTGGCTAAAAAAAATATTCCAAGCTGAAAAACTGGCTTTAGAAAGTGGTGATCACACCAAAATACTCCCATGATTTTCAGGGTAGCCAGTAGGATGTCCCCGAAGTAGTTCCTCTCCCCACAGCACCTGCTCTCTCTGTCTCTCTTGCCCTTTCTTTTCCCTTCCTCATTCTTTCTTCCAAGCCTGCCTTCTCCCAGCCTCCCTGCACCTGAACTGGCTCTGGTTCTCCTACTCCTCCACGTCCACCGTTAGACTCACCCAGTGTGTATACTCAATCCAAACCAGCAAGGCAAGTAGCTCGGACCTTAGCCAAGTCAGACTACCTGTTTTTCTGCAGGCATACTCTTGGTGGGGGTGGGTCTCAGGACATCTATATAGTTTTTATTTTGTTTTATTTTATAAAAAATGGATTCATCTCTCTCCAGACATAGTGTTGGGAAAATTACTTGGGAAAAAAGAATGCTCATGGACATTTCCCCCTATTAATTCACGCAGTGCATTCCTCTTCTTTTTTATGGCTGCATAGTATTCCTTAATGGGGTCAACCACAATTTTTTTTTTGAGGTGGAGTCTCGCTCTGTTGCCCAGGCTGGAGTGCAGTGGCGAGATCTTGGCTCATCGCAAGCTCCGCCTCCCGGGTTCACGCCATTCTCCTGCCTCAGCCTCCCCAGTAGCTGGGACTACAGGTGCCCGCCACCACGCCCAGCTAATTTTTGTATTTTTAGTAGAGACGAGGTTTCACTGTGTTAGCCAGGATGGTGTCGATCTCCTCACTCATGATCTGCCTGCCTCGGCCTCCCAAAGTGTTGGGATTACAGGCGTGAGCCACCGTGCCCGGCCCACAATTTTGTTTTTTTAGCTAATCCCCATGTTGATTAACAGTAAGGCTTCTCTACTGTGTTTTGCTATGACAATAATGCCAGGATTTCTCTGTGAATTTGTCTGGAGAGTTGGGTAGAAAGTGAAAGGAAAGGTGCGTAGTAAGTTTGAAGCATGTCAAAAGGTGGGCAAGTATGGTTTTGGCTGTGATGATGATTTTGGCTGGTCAGAGGGCACCTGCAGAGTATAGCTAAATTCCTTGAAGATGGGGTGGGGGCGAAGGAGGAAGGAAGTAGAAAGGGCAGCTGAGGGGATAGGACAATGCCTGGATGGATGAGCAAGCTTTGTACTTGCCACCATCCCACTCCTTATTAGGCAACCAGTGCTATCTCTCAACTACCAAAGTGGGGTTAGAGAGGCCCAAAGTTAACTCATCTTTTCCCAGTCTAATACTTTAACTGCTGGCTCTTCTGTGCCTTAGTTTGGGAAGGCAGACTGAGATCAGCTTGTGGAAGGTCTTTAGTTCCCTACCAAGGGCTCTACAGCAATAGGGAAGACAGTTAGTGGACTGTGCTTGAGTTGAGACTTCAGTTCTCAGCTCAAAAGTTTGCTTTGCAGTCAGGAGTGGTGGCTCACACCTGTAATCCCAGCACTTTAGGAGGCTGAGGAGGGTGGATCACCTGAGGTCAGGAGTTCGAGACCAGCCTGCCCAGCATGGCAAAACCCCGTCTCTACTAAAAATACAAAAAATTAGCCAGGAGTGGTGGTGGGTGCCTGTAATCCCAGCTATTCAGGAGCTGGGGCAGGAGAATCGCTTGAACCCGGGAGGCGGAGGTTGCAGTAAGCTGAGATCATGCCACTGCACTGCAGCCTGGGTGACAAGAGCAAAACTCCATCTCCACAAAAAAAAAAAACCCAGAAAGTTTGCTTGCAACAACTCAAGTGTTCTTGGGAGATAAACAGCACAGAAAAGCCAACCTTGAGAAAGAACATAATATATCACCTATCTGGTTGTGCTTCAACCTAATTGTGTATCTTTATCTCCCAGGGTAGCTCCATTCTATTCATTGAACTCTGTCGATATTCTTTATGCTCTTTAACTGTCTATGACTATGTCCCCATAGCACCCCCATCCTCATAGCCCTGCTGGCTCCTTTGCCTCCCGTTTACTGTGCACATTCATAATGCACACTTGTAGCATCCAGCATGGCTTCTAAACACAAATATAACTTGTCCTCCAAGCTTGACTTCCTCTAAAGCATTTAAACCTTATGGTTACATTTTTTTTCTTCTTCATAGAATCTTTCAGTCATCATTTACTTGGAAACACTTGTTTCCTACAAGGCTCATTTTGCAAACAGCAAAGCAACTCCAATAATTGTAGCAATATGTAATCTGATATAATATGTATGTATTAAACTACATGTTTATCTGCAGTCTAACACCGGCCCCCAAATAACAAAATGCTGCAAATTTTAAAATTTTGCAGAGTACATTTGAGTCTCAAATTTATGAATTCCATTTTCTTTGCAGGGATGACGAAAGCGGAAGGCTTTTATTCCCCTTCCTTCTATTGTTGCTCACCTTTCAGTCAAAGCATGGGTCTGCTTCCCAAACTTCCTCCTTCCTTCTCCGTTCCTGGGTTTCCCTTGGAGCAACTCGCCACAGGGCCTCTGTTTGGCCTGGGCCTTTCCAGGATGCGTTACTTAGTCTTGGTTCTCAGGATCAGGTGAGGGCAACTCTCCTCTATGCTTAGCAGCCTGCCCAGCTGCTGCCATTTGCAGAAAGCTTGAACCCAAGGAGAAGCCCTTTACGATCTGGAAGAAGGTGCCATCAACATTGGTACCTTTGCTTCTCGCATCAGCACCTGACATGTCTCCTCCTGAAACTTTTTTCCTGCCTGTCTCTAGAGAACCATCTCCTTTTTTGCCAGGGCTTTCAGCCTTCATTTCTCCAGGAAGTGATTTTCTCAGTCTCTCCACAAAAACCTAGGAGGAAAGAAACTGGCATTTCATCCGTAATTGGCCATGGTGTGGTATCAAAAGGCAGTGGGAATATGAATAAGCTTTTTACATGGTTGACACAAATATGTCTTCCAACAAAAACCAGCTCCTGCCAACACTGGAATAGGTAGTGATATAGTTTGGATAGGTATTCCCTCTAAATCTCTGTTGAAATGTGATCCCCAGTGTTGGAGGTAGGGCCTGCAGGGAGGTGTTTGGATCATAGAGGCAGATCCCTTATGAAGGGCTTGGTGACCCCCCACCTTGCTCCACCCACTCCCCCTCGCCCACCTCCCCTACTTCCCCAGTAATGGGTAATGAGTGAGTTCTTGCTCTATTAGTTCACACGAGAGCTGATTGTTTATAAAAACCAGGCATCTCGTTCCCTCCTTGCTCCCTCTCTCACCATGTAACATGCCGCTCTCGCTTTGCCTTCCCACTGAAAGATTCCTGAGGTCTCTCCAGAAGCCGAGCAGATGCTGGTGCCATGCTTGTACAGCCAAATAAACCTCCTTTCTTTATAACTACCCAGTCTCAGGTATTCCTTTACAGCAATGCAAAACAGGCTAATAGAGGAAGAAAGCTGACTTTGTTTTGAGTAATCAGTGATGGGATTACACAGAAAGTCCACGTGTCAAGGAATGACTTCGAGTTATCTTCCTGGAAATGACTTAGAGTATCTTCCTGGAAATGAAGATCAATATACTTTATTCATGGTGTGTATGGATGGGGACTTGTGTATGTGTGAGTTCCTTCCTTTATAAAGGAGCTAGTTTCTGAAATTGAGAGGGCCAGGTTCCCAGGGGATAATTAGGATTTTAACAGCTTGCTGTGAGCGGAAAATTTCACTTCTCTATGTGTTGAAAAGTAAGTGCATGCTAATGGTTATCCATGCCATTAGTTAGTCTGCCAAAGATTTCTATCAGACTTAGACATTCAGATAGATGTTCCAACAAGCACTACAATCAGCAGATACCTGTAAAGACTTCTGGAGCAAATTAGTCTGTACCTGATGCATTATCTAAGCACGTTTGCTTTTCAGATTCATAAGTTTTTCTTATTGCTGTCAGAGTAGCATTTTATTTCTCTTGACTTTCTATTGAATTCTTTAAGGTGGCTGTTCCAAACCCTTTTTATCTGTAAACTAAAAATAAAATTCTAAGGCCCCCAACCATCTGAATGCACTCCCTCCTTTCAGCTAGAGCACTTCAAAGTTAACCTGAAAGACTGATACAGGCCATGATGGGAAAGTGGGGGTCAGACATGCCTCATGATGCCCTCCTCCCTTTTGGAATTCAGGAAAAGCCAACCAGCATTTAACATCAACACAGACCTTAAGTCTGATGAGGAACATTTACAGTCTATTCTCTCTGAAGCCTGCTACCTGGAGGTTTCATCTGCAGGACAAAACCTTGGTCTCCACAACCCCTTCCCTTAACCCAGACATTCCTTTCTACTGATAATAACTCTTTCAACCAATTGCCAACCAGAATATGCTTAAATCTACCTATGACCTGGAAGCCCCCACTTTGAGTTGTCCTGCCCCTTCAGATTGAACCAATGTAAATCTTACATGTATTGATCGATGTATTGTGTCTCCCTAAATTGTATAAAAGCAAGCTGTATCCAGACCACCTTGGGCACATGTCATCAAAGCATCCTGAGGCTGTGTCACAGATGCGTCCTCAGCCTTGGCAAAATAAACTTTCTAAACTAATTGAGACCTGTCTCAGATACTTTTGGGTTCACACATCCTTCCCAAAGAAGTTCTGACCCACTCCATCTTTCATAGATGACTTCTGCACCTAATTTACTGAAAAGATCAAGGGCTCAGCTCTCCTCTCCACTGTCTTAATTTTGCTTGGATCATCATTTATCACTTGCTTTTTCCTTCATTCTTCCTCCCTATTTCCAGAGAAGTCACATGCTATCTTTGTTCTCAAAGCTAACCTTATCTGGGTTTCTTGATTTTACCAGTACTTCTTTGCCTCCACCTCCATCTACCAGTATTTTCCTCCTTCTGGCATGTTCAGGTTGCCATTCTCTAGCTCCTTGAAAATATACCCTAACTTCCCGACTGCAAAAGCCTGAACCATGCATGACACTGCTTCCCTATCAGATTGCTAACCTGTCTTTTTCCTTCCCTTTACAAACAAATTTCTGGCAAGTGGAGGCTATCATGAGCTTCTCCGCTTTCTTTATATGCTTTATACTTGTCAAATCCTGGCAATCTGGAACCATCACACTTTTTAAAAATTAAAACTGGCCTCTTGAGCCAAGCACGGTGGCACACACCCATAGTCCCAGCTGCTTGGGTGGCTAAGGTAGTAGGACTGCTTGAGCCCAGGAGTTTGAGGTTGTCATGAGCTATGATAACACCTGTGAATAGCCACTGCACTCCAGCCCAGGCAACGTAGCAAACCTCATCTGAAAAAAAAGAAAAGGCCGGGCACAGTGGCTCACGCCTGTAATCACAGCATTTTGGAAGGCTGACGTGGGCAGATCATGAGGTCAAGAGATCGAGACCATCCTGGCCAACATGGTGAAATCCGCTCTCTACTAAAAATACAAAAATTAGCTGAGCGTGGTGGTGTGTGCCTGTAGTTGGGAGGCTGAGGCAGGAGAATCGCTTGAACCTGGGAGGCAGAGGGTGCAGTGAGTCAAGATCGTGCCATTGCACTCTAGCCTGGGCAACAGAGTGAGACTCCATCTCAAGAAAACAAACAAACAAATAAACAAAAAACCAACCTGGCCTCTCAAAAGGTGTCACTGAATTCAGTGAACTAATGAACTGTTCAAACCCCAGATCCAAAGACCTCCTCCTGCTGCTCTCTGTAACACTCAACAATTCTGACTGGGCCATGCTTGGAAAAGAGGGACAGTGAGCGAGACTAGGGAATAAGGGCAGATAAGTGAATTAAATGGATTCCAGAAGGGAAGGGAAGTTTTTGCAAGCAGCCATTGAAAAGGTTAAGCTGAGTCAAACACTCCAGGGTCTTGGGCTTTGTTCTTTTTTTGTGGAAGGGGATGGGATAGAGTTGCCTCCTAAGCCCTACTGTCAGAACCAGGGCAGTGGGTCCTGTGTATTCTGGTGGGTTTGGGCACAGCACTGCCTGAGCAGATAATGGCCATGTGGTTTTTGTTTTGGGGAAAGGACTTAGACAGATACTCAGAGCCCACAGAGAGGTTTCTCTTTACTTTATGGACTTAGGCATATTGACAATGCTCACCCCAAGCTTCTCTAAAGAACTCAAGTTATTCCAGATCCAAGACTATACCCAGGGGAAGATAACATTGGATGACCTCTCTTTCTTCAGATTCTTACCGTGGTTTTCATAACAACATACTGTTCCTCCCTCTCTGGCCTTTGTCTCTCACTGGCTCATCTGTTGTTGCATGAGCTGCAAAAGCAGAAACATCCCAAGGTTCCCCTCCAGCGGATTCCTCTTCTCTCAGTGTATCTACCTTTGATTTATCATCCATTCCCATGCTTTCTAAAAGCTTGATGAAGCTGCCTCTTCTACAGTATAACCAAAAGTACACTAGGTTCTAGGAGGCACACTTTATTTTGGATAATTTTGAAAGCTGTGCAAACCTGCATCAAACTGCCCCACACTAACTCACTAATTTGGAAGGGTGGCCACATTCACACATATTAGAAATTACATGATCAGTTCCTACAGAAACAGTAGTGCCCATTCCATAGGTCCCCTGCTGTTGCTACGTTCTTTTGTTGTTCAGCCTACCTCCATGACCTTTAACTTAAGGACAAGTTTCCTAGTCCCATACCAGAGGGCCTATTCGTTTGAGAGGAGCAAGATGCATTAATATGTAATAATAGCTGATGAGGCCATGTTGAAGGAATGATGGCATAAGAAAATTCCATTTGGCTACCACCGCAGTAATAACTGCTTAAGGGAAGAATGACCAATAAAAGCTAAAAGAACAATGAGAAACAGGATATTTATGCCATCTCAAAGTATCTCCCAATAAGATACTTATTTAAAAAGTAAAAACAGTAATTTTCAGTGGGGAAATCTAGCAGATACCACCTCAACCAAGTGATCAAAGGGAACATTAGCATTAACGGGACAAATAGGTATCATGTGCCTCTTGACATGAAGCACCGAGAAGACCACAGCATGGCTTCTGAATATTCCTGAACAAAAACGCATACTTTGAATCGAATCACAAGAAAACATCAGACAAATCCAAACTGAGCATCATTCTACAAAACAATTAGCTTGTACTCTTATAAACATGTTAAGATCATGAAAGACAAGAAAGAAGAATTGTTTCAAATTAAGGGAGATTAAAGAAACATGACAATTAAATGTGACATATGATTCTGAACTGGATCCAGGACCACAAAAAGGACACTAGTGGGCAATTGGCAAAATCTGAATAAAGTTTGTAGATTACACTATTGTTTCAGTATCAATTTCTGGATTTGGCAGTTGTATTACGGTTATGTAAAAGAATGTTCCCGTTTTTAAAAAAATATACACCGAAATATTTAGAGAAAAAGGGACCACATATCTGTAATGTATTTGCAAATATTTCAGAAAAAATTGTGTATTTGTAGAGAGAGAGAATAATAAAGCAAGTGTGATAAAGTATTAACTTTCAGGGAATTTGAAAAGAGTATATGAGAAAGAGTTTTCTCATATAACACTAACTAATATTTCCTTCCAGAGGGAATGCAGTATGGCAGCATTATCTTTGAAACAAATTAAGAAGATTGTAACAAATAACAGACAAATACTTCTACACATATATTTTCCATGGGCAATAAATAGATAAGTATAGAATTATGAAAAATATGCCTCGATGATGCTTTTTAAAATTTCTCAAGGTTCACTGGTTTGTTTTTCTTATTAAAATATACTTCATTATCACTACTATCTGTCCTGGGAAAAACAAACCCTGAGGTTTGAGTTTCCTCCTTTAGCCAATTGAGTGATATCGAGAGAAAACGTGGATTGAGGTCAACCTGTTTGAGTCAACAGAGAGTTCTGTAGTATATCTGTTTATTTTACTAATTTATACATATTCTAGGTCATAATCAAGATACTCATCAAATATTTTCTATCAAAGTTTTATATCCCAAACAGGTTGTTTGATGATTTATCTGGCTACCATAGGAAATTTGAAGAAATAACAAATCGTGTAACAGAAATAGACATGCAATAGAGAGGACATAAAAGATACAGCTTGACCCTAGGTTTTTCCCTTAGAATAATTCCTTCCATAAATAAGATTTTATTTTTACATATAGATTCGTCCTATAACAGGTCTTGGATCATAAAGTCAATGACATAGTTGAAAAAATCCAGACCACACATTTTTGTGGTCTTTTGCCACCCTAGATCACACACAAAAAAACATTCTCCAAGTGAATGCTCAGGACAGATTATGAGGCTCTTAAATAAAGAAATTGACTGAAGCTTAGAATGTAAAGCACACAACTATTTGCAGCAGCAATAGTCTTTCAAAAATGACTAAGCAAACTTTTAAATATAAGGTATATAAAATGGACTATTAAGGATAGTTTTCCAAACTATATCTAGAAATACAGGAAAGTATGTGTTACCTCATAATAAAGTTAAACAAATATTATTTCTGAGTTCTATAAACACTGTAGGAGGTTATAGTTTTATTTGGTTCCCTTAAGTTAAAAACTCTGCTTTTACATAAATTCCTCCAAATTCTTAGCTACTCTCAGATTTTTTTTTTTTTTTTTTTTGAGACAGAGTCTCGCTCTGTCACCCAGGATGGAGTGCAGTGGCATGATCTCAGCTTACTGCAACATCCGCCTCCTGGGTTCAAGTGATTCTCCTGCCTCAGCTTCCTGAGTAGCTGGGATTACAGGCACACACCACCAGGCCCGGCTAAGTTTTGCATTTTTAGTAGAGACAGGGTCTCACCATGTTGGCCAGGCTGGTCTTGAACTCCTGGCCTCAGATGATCAGAACACTAATATTTACTGAAGACAATGGATACTTACCAAGGATTCACTAAGTGGTCTTCAAAGCATTTTATATGTATAAACTCTTTTAATCTTCACATTAAGATTATGTAGTGGGTACTCTTATTATCTTCAAATTAAAGATGAGGAAACAAGTTTAGAGAAGTTAAAAATACTGGTTGAAGTCCTACTGTTAGCAACGGTAGAGTCGCAATTTAGATAGTGGCTGTCTGATTCTAGAGCTCACACACTTAACGTCTGTGCCATGTATATAATTACTATAGATTGCTTAGGTAATCAGCCACCTGTCTGGGAAGCTCAGCTCTCCGAAAATTTCTCAGTGATATCACATTATATGCATATAACCAGGTGGCTCTGGCTGAGAATAGATATAGAGTTTGTAAACAGTTTTAAACAAGGGTAGGGAAGAGATTAATACATCGTACCTACATCCTATTCTTTGTCCTTCCCTGGATACATGGGAAGCCTACACTTCCTAGCTCTCTTGCAGTTAGGCAAGGCCACGTGACTAGCTGTAGCCAATAAAATGTGAGCAGAAATGACTTGCATCACTTCCCACATAAAACATGTAAGGGTCAGTGTGGCCCCTCCATGTTCTCTCTTTCTCTTTAAGGTGACCATGAAGTCCACAAGTTGAAATGTCAGAGCCACAGTTTAGAAATAACCCAGACCTGGAGTCGCTGACTGCATGAAGGACAGATTCCCGGAAGAATCACTCCATCCCTGTTGGATTTTGTGTGAACAAGAAACAAATCTGTTAAATTAAGCCACTAAACTGCTGGGGTTTACTTATGACCATAACCTAGCCTGCCCTATGTAGGCTACAGCGGCTTAAATGCCTGCAGGGGTCTGACCAGCAGTTGAAATGAAATGAATGAAGTAGCTGGGCATGAGTGTAAGAGAAAATACCCAGGCTGGAAGGGTGACTATGTTACATGGGAGATGCATGTCCCATTAGGGGAGAAGAGCTGCTACTCAGAGCTAGTTCATGATTTTACGAAATGATTTGGAGCCAGCATTGCAAGATCTTAACTGGAGATTTTTTTTTTTTCAAGAAAATCTGGAAATACAGATTTTGATGTGAAATTCCCAATTTTTAAATGTTGGTAGCTAATATAGATTAACAAAACAAAACAAAAAGAAAAGAAAAACAGACATCCTTGCTATTTCCCAAACATCATAGGCATTGTTTCTGCCTCTTGCTGTGCCTCCTGCCTGGAATACTCTTCCCCTCTATGCCCACAAGCCTTACTTCTTCTTCTGCTCAGGTGTTTTCCCAAATGTCACCTTCTCAGGGAGGCCTTTCCTAATTACTCTTTTAAAAATTGCAACACCTCCTTCTTTCCACCTTGTACTCTCTCTCCTTCCCTGCTTTTCAATTTTTCTCTATACTACTTATCATCCTGTAGAATAATAGAATTTTAAAAATTATTGGCTGACTGCCCATATCCTCCCATTATACTCAAAGTATATAAGGGTGAGGATTTTTCCCTGTTTTGTTCACTGTTTTTGCCAAGTGCCTACAGAGGGACCTGGCACACAGTAAGTGCTCAACAAGTATTTGTTAAGTAAATGAATTTTTAAAACATCCCACCCTGGGGGTCAGAAAAAGCGCATCTGGAATGTTGATTCGATGTGTGGACCATTACTTCACAACTCGGGTTTCAGTCCCTCACTGAGCAGCCCTTGGAAATTAGTGCCATTTAGAGTGGCAAGCAGTTTCCTGCCTCCCATGAAGTTGATGTTTGATTGATTTTGCTCTGGGAAATGGATCACAGTGGGCTTTAAGAAAACTCTTGTAAATTCTAGGGGGCCTCATGCCTGCCTGTGTGCTCACAGAATACTGTGACAGCAGTCTACTATTGATTTTGTCTCTACTGTACATCCTAGATTTGTTCATACCCAAATTTTTGTCTCAGTCCTGCCCTGTGAACCAGTCCTGGTCTTTAGAACATGAGCCAAAATGCATTCCCCTTTGCTCATTAAGTTGGTTTGAATTGAGTTTCTGTCACTGTGGATGGAGTTCTGATCAGTAGAATGTGACTCCCGACTGGCTGTTTTCTGTTTCTGAGTCATAGTTTCCTCACATAGAAAAAGGAGGGTGTAAGATTAAATAAGCACGAAAGTCTTTTCCGGGATTCTAACATTTTGGGATTCTAACACATTTAAGCCCCCCAACCCCATCCCCACCCCTTCAATGGAGGCTAAACATTTTTGACTTTAGATAAACTTGGTTCCCTGGAGCCACGTGGTACTCTCTGGCCTTGGTATCACCAACCCCTCTGACTTATGATGTCTACTGCTCCTACCTCCTTTGGGGGTTGACTGCTCTTGCTATATGTTCGGGCCCTGCTCTTATTGCCAGAGCTGCTTGTATTTTACTTGTAGCAACTTCAGATATAGCCTCCAATATATTTTTCTTCTCTCTGACCTCAACTCCTTTTTGCCTTTCATTTGTCTCCCCGCACCCCCGCCCTTGGTCCCTGCCTTGCTAAAGTCATATCAATCTGCAGCATCAAGACATTTTTAGGTCTTTCAGTCTAGGACCCTCTCATGTCTTCCTTTCTCAGACTTTTCCCATTTTTCTCGGGCATGAGTAAGAATCTTACTTTATCAGCTCAAGTCAGAAAGCAACATTACCTTATTTTCTTTAAATCAGAATAGAATCTGACTTCAGTCTCCTGTTGGTAGGCCTGGAGGGAAATGTAATTTCAGTCACTGTTAGGGATTCCTCCCCTTACCCCTGAGTCAAACAAAGGTCCTGGGGACTTCATCTAAAACCAATCATTTGGAGGAGTCCCTCCAGCTCAGGGCATGCTGATTACTGTGGACGTGCTCATTTTTCTAGCCCACATGGTAGCTGCTGGGCCCTACTTGGCCATGAAAATAATGACAACGATTAACGTTTATGGAATGTTACTAACGTGCCAGGGACTTGGTAGTGCTTTACATAAATAGTTTTATATGAGGCAACTACTCTTTGATCTAGAACATTCTTTTCCCAGATAACTTATGGTTCTCCCTCATCTTCCTCAAGGCTTTGCCTAGATATTACCTTCTCAATGAGCATATCCTGACCACCAGTATCTGTGCCCCTCCCTTTCTAATTCTGCTTTTCCCAGCTCTACTTTGTTTCCATAACCCTTATCATCGTCCAGCATACCATGCTGTGTGATTTACCTACTAATAGAGTCTTTCATCTGCCCCCCTCCCCCCACCACTAGAATGTAAGTTCTGTAAGGGTAGGACCTCCAGTTTTTTAATTCTTTCTTTCAACTCCTAGAATAGTACCCAGTATATAGTTCAATAATTTTTTTTTTTTTTTGAGACAGAGTCTCACCCTATTACCCAGGCTGGAGTGCAATGGCGCAGTCTCGGCTCACTGCAACCTCCGTCTCCTGGGTTCAAGTGATTCTCCTGCCTCAGGCTCCCGAGTAGCTGGCATTAGAGGCGCGCACCACTGCGCCTGGCTAATTTTTTGTATCTTTAGTAGAGACGGGGTTTCACTATGTTGGCCAGGCTGGTCTCGAACTCCTGACTTCGTGATCCGCCTGCCTCAGCCTCCCAAAGTGCTGGGATTACAGGCATAAGCCACTGCGCCCAGCCCTAAACATTTGTAGAATAATAGTCCTAGTTTTACAGATGAGGAAACAGGCAATAAAGGGAAGTAACTACCCCATGTCACACAGCCAGCAAGTGGCAGAGTTTGGGTTCAAACTCAGCCCATCTGATTTCTTTTTAGGACTGCATTCTTTCTGTGAACTGGCTATCCTCACACTTAGACCTGGCTGCCCAGGGCACATCCTATAGCCACTCCTCCCAGAGGCCCTGCCGTATCCCTGGGGCACTGGGAGGACACAGAGCATAGGTCCCAATCCTCAGTGAACCCATGAATCTTCCCCCTCTTTCAGCTCAACCCCCATTCTTTCCCCAAATACTCCCCACTTCCAGAATATCTAATATTATATCCTCAATTAGATTAAACTCTTATTTATACCACGAAAAGAGTTTATCTTTTAAGAAACCCCTCCTGAGACCAAGAAATAGAAGGGCTACTTAGAATGAGGAGGTGGGATATCTGGAAAACAAAGCAGAAGTAGCTCGGAGTGTCTCTCTGTGTGTGTGTGAGAGAGAGAGAGAGAGAGAGAGAGTGTGTGAGCATGTGTGTGAGTATGTGTGAGAGTGTGTGTGTCAGTGAGTGTGTGTGTGAGTGTGTGTGTGAGAGTGTGTGTGTGATGAGCACTCCAGGCTCCCTTTCCCAAACCAGCTGAAAGATCCCCTTTTTCTCTTCTTTAAAACAGTTCTGAAATCTAGCCATGCCACCAATACCTGCAGAAACATTCTGGATGGAACAGGCTTGCCCAGACCCTCCTCTCCAGAAGGCAAGTATGGAAAGGCCGTCCTCCTGTACGGACTGTTCCCTGCACTGCTTCCTCAATACATCCGGCATAGCATTTGATTAAAGCCTCCTGGGAAAATGACTCCTTCACATTTGGTGAGAAAATAGTTTTTCCTTTGTGCTCCCCAACCGCTGTTCACTGCATCAGGGATGAAAGAGTGCAGTGATCTTTTCAAACAAGGGAGCATCGAGCCTTTTGCAAAGACCATAATAATAATAAGTGGAGAGGTGCAGAAATTTCTTCTCTGCCTGAGTCAGCACCTCACCCATCATGCAGGGCTGCATGGACAGTGCTCACACTGTGAGCCCATCATTTTTCTGCTGTTTGAGAGAAAGCTGTGTTTTCAAAGTGCAGTCTCCCCTTTGGGACCCAACCCCTCTGATGATGTGCACAAAAATAATAATATTAATAAAGATGCTATTCTTTTCTCCTTTTTCCCTCCCCACCCCTTCCCTTCTAGAAAATCAATGCTTGTAAATATTGTGGGGAGGGGAGGCAGAGCATTGCCTTAATTCTAGCCAGCTGACAAGACCTTGGCACTTATCTGAAAGGGCATCTGTACCATATGGCCAGGCTAGAGGGGATGCATTTCCAACCTCAAACATTTCCTGTCTTTCTAGTGACTTCCTATCTCTCTGTGATTGACAAGTATTTTTAGATGCTGGGGATTGATTTTAAAAACCAAACCTCATTGTGATCCTTTCACAGCTGGGCCCTTTATGTTCCATCTCTGAGTGAGTGGCAGCAAGGACCAGTGCGATCAAAAAGGAGAAAGTGGAATGCGACATCACCCCCAAGGAGAGGAAGACCATGGGCCAAGAGCTTCAGGGTGACCCAGTCATAGGCCCGGGAGAGACAGATCTGCACTAGATGCTGTGCAGAGCCCTGACACCCAGAGCAGGCAGGTCTGAGGAACCCGGGAAGGGTCTCTTTTACTGGCCTCCCTTTTCTATTGGTGTAAATTGGGATGCCTGGTGGGGAAATCCCCTGACAGATTTGCCCTAGGCGAACCATGTATTCTTGCACCTTGGTGTTCTCATTTGTAAAAGGGAGGGGTATCTAATAGGTACCTCTGAAATGCTATGGCTTTGTGGCTGCTGTGAGGCAGAAGAAGCCATGTCTCATGAAGCTGAGCTGTCACGTAGGGCTCCCAGAGGTGGCCACACCGCTGTCTCTGGACGTCCTTAACTGTCAGAGTTACCTAGAGGGCTTGCTAAAGCACAGGCTGCTGGGCCTCACACCCAGCGCCTTTCAAACCTGAGAATGTGTTACCTGTTCCTAGATGCTGCTGCTGCGATGAGTCTGGGGATCAGGTGTTCAGAACCGCTGCTCGAGTGGTCCACTGCCCAGTGGGAGGAAGTGCTCTGAGGTGTAGATCTCCTGCGTGGATCACAGCCAGCCAGGCTTGCAGCCTTCAGGATGCCTCACTCTCCCTCCCACCTGCCGGGTCAGCCTAGGGGAGGGGCCAGGATAACTCAAAGTTAACTCGTGATAAAATACCCCCTATTCCTGAATGGACCTGGGTCTGGGGCCCTGTCTAGGGAGCTCCTTTCATTTTGAGTGTCCCCATCCTGGGATGACAAGGGCTTTCCTATCTGAAAGAGGGCAGCTTCGCTTATGCTGGTCTCCAACGTCAGGGAGGGTGTCTCTTTGGCCTTAGTGTTCCTGGTGCTAGCAAAATGCTTGCCTCTGGGTCAGGGCCCAGTCAATGTCCCACAAACTAAGAGCCTCAATATTTGTGCAAGAGCTAGTGAAAGATAATGACAGAAAGTGATGGAATGAGTTTTAAGCATGTTCAGTCCAACAGTCACACTGACCGTTGTTTCTGAAAGCAAGCGAACCTCCTGAAGCTGAGCGACACTGATTTTCTCCCCTGTGAAACTACAAGACTTCATAAACGCGAAAGCGTCAGACGCCCGAGGGCTGCAGGAGCAAAAGTCAGCCAGCAGGGGGAGCTCTACCTTTGCACCTTGGCTCAGCCCCAAGGAGGGCATCCCCAGTCCCTCTAATAAAAAATAAAATAAAATAAAATAAAATAAAATAAAAGCAAACAACTCCTGTTATACTGCAAGATGCAGCGAATCTTTTTAGAAACAAGATGAGATAATAGGTAAAGAATACACAAAAAATTCCCAAGCTGAACGAAATCCTTCTATTTGTGCAGCAGTCATAGACACAGCCTAGCGAGTCCACAGCTGACTGCTCCAGCAGATAACGGCTCTCCCTTCCAGGAAGTATCCCAGCTCAGAGACTCACCCAGTGTAGAAAAGGAAGTCATTCCAGGGATACAGAAAGAGCAGCAGAGGCTCCGAGATAGATAGAAGGTGTCTGGGGGGAAAGAGAGAGACTAGGATGATTGGAAAGGAGGATTCTTCTCCCTGATCCATTCCTCGAGCTGTGAAGACAGACTGGGAGACAGTACTCAAGGCAGGGCCTGAGGACAGTCACCCTAGTTGTGAGGTCATCTACCCTTGCATACTCAGTGTTCCACTGGCAATAGATTTCTGCCCACCCTTCAAAAATTAAGAAGAAGCAAAACTGGCACTGCTCCAATCCCACCATCCCATCGGTAGGAGAGGCCTTCTGGCTGGGTCCCTAAGGATGTCTCTGGGCTTGTACTGTTCCATTTCCACACTCTCTCAAAGTTCCTCTAGTGAGCCTAGCGGTCACCATCAGGCATGATGAGGATGTAGGACAACTTCAAAGGGTGCAGCTGGCAATCAGCCCACAGGGAGCAAGAGTAGACCTTCATTAGCCACATGTTCTGTCACCTGCACTGGCAACTTGACAGAGAATTGAAATCTTAGCATCATTATATGGCGCCTTTCTCTAAAGCACTTCCTCGAGCTTTCTACTACCCATACTCCAAAACTGGTCCACTTCCTATATTGTCAATCTGCTTGAGTTAGTGTCATCATTCACAAAGTCATGGAAAAAGTCACTTTCTAGTTATTTTTTCACTGTTTTGCTACTGTCCACAGTCACCCAGTCAAGAAATCCTGATCATTCTGCCTCTTAAATAATGTGTCTTCTCTCCTTCATGGTATCTAGTCAGGACTCATCTGGAGGACTACCAACCTCTGTCTTCTCTAGTTCCATCCTCAACGCTGATTCCAGATCATCTAAAATTCATGTCTGATCATGTAGTTGCCCTGCTCAAAAGCCATTGTCAGTTCCCCAGTGCCTGCAGAGCATAAGGCTGCATTGCGTTCAGGAATGGCATAGGGTACAAATAAATAAATGAGTGAATTAATAAAAACACACAGATAGAAAAGAGGAATTGAGAATAAGAGAGTTTTTTTTAAAAAAATTCCAGTCATTTGAGAGATCACCATTGTGATCCTGTAAGCCTTACCATGCCCTCGAGTTGAATTCTAATCAACACAAGGGAATAAAAATTATATTCATACATTTTATTCCACTATTTACTTAGAAAACTTCATGCCACCCCAGCCAGTTATCCGTCTCATTTCCCTTATAGGTTCAAAAGCACTTTGTACTGCTTCCCTAAGATTTGCACTAATGAGAAATGAGGTGCCACATGGTCAGTCTCATGCGGCATACCAGATTGTCCCCAGAGGTTCTTTCTGTAGTTAGCCGGGTGAACACGTTTAACACATTTTCTTTTAGCCAGAAGTGGGGAAATGTTTCCTCTCCGTATACATGACCTTGCCATGTACTCACCTTAGAAAAATATCTTTTTCTGAATGCACACAATGTTTGGCTTCTTATAAAACCGCAGCTCCTGCAATTTCATCCTTAATATCTGCAGCTTGAGGGTGGTAGGTCCTTGCCGTTGCACTTGACAGGAGCTGACAAGTAGACACTTGTGGAGTCCCTGATGCTGTGACTGGCCTGTTTCGGGGATGAGGCAAGGAGGAGCTCGTTTTGTATTTATGCACCCAGGCAACCTTTGTGTTTACTGTCTCTTTGGTCAGCTTCCAAACTAGCAGCACCGCACCCGTTAACACAGGCTCCACGGCCAGTTGCAGATGGGCTGGCCTGCCAGCTGTGAGGAATTGTTACTTTTAGCTTGAGCAATTGGTGGTTTCATGTGAGGAGCAGCTTTACAATCACACATCAGTTTCGCCTGACAAAAATCCTTAATGCTCACTGAGGTGGTGAAACCAAAAGGTGTGGCACGTACTACTGATCATACTGTCTGCTTTGATCTTGAGAGATGGCTGAATATTATTTACTCAATCCATTTAAATTTGTTGAGATCCTGTGTGTTTGTCATTGACCAACGCTTCAGGAACCCAAAGATAAGGTATGGTGAGCCACACAGGTGATAGATTTGTGAGCAGGTGAATGAAATACAGAGCTAGAAATCCTGATCATTCTACCTCTTAAATAATGTGTGCAGAAAGAAAGCCAGCAGGCAGGAACAAAGTGCTCGGGGGAGACAGAGGAGGTGGAGTACAATTGGGGAAGTTTTGTGGATGTTTGGTATTTGAGCTGTGTGTAAAAGGCAAGGAGGAACATTTTAGGAAGAGCCCGTGCCAGATACTGTTCTTGATGCTTGAGCCCGTGCCAGATACTGTTCTTGACTCATTGAATCCTCACAACATCCCTGTGAGAAGTAAACTATTATGACACCCATTTTACAGATGAGGAAGCAGAGGCTTGTGGCAGTTAAGTCACTTCCCTAAGGTTACATAGCTAGTAAGTGAAGAGGCTGGGTCTTGAGATATTTCCAGGTATGTCATAAACGCTCAGTAAATGCTGTGATGAAAATGATAATCATTGAATCCAGGGGCAGCAGCCTCTAAAGCCCATGCCCTCAACTACTGTGTCATCATGACTCCAACAGCATGTCAGAGAAACCTATGTGTGGGCCTTACCTGGGATCACTAGAGGCGTGAGTCCTTTTGCAGGGCACTCTTACAGTCCTGAGTTAAAATCGGGAGTCTTGTCTAAATCATGCAGCAGGCAGAGTTGGTCTTTGGCTCTCACTGGTCCCAGGAGTGACCCTGTCTCCCTCTTCTGCATTCCTTTTCTTTCAGGCTGCTTCTCCTGCTCTTTCCTCGCTTTTAAAAAAATCTATTTCTTAGTAAAAAATCAGACATTTTAAGTCAGAATCTTAGAACTTGAAATATGAAAAAAACATGGAAATCATTTAGTTCAGCTCCTTGATTTTGTAGATGCAAAAACTGTAGCTAAGTTGATCAAGATGCTTTTTCTTGCAAGTGACAGAACCCAATTTAAATTATCTCAAGTGAAAAAGGGAGATACATTAGCTTTGGGGGGTGAAAGCAGCATCCAGGATTCAGGAAAATGTCACTAGTTTATTTGCACTTTCTCTTTAATCTCAAATCTTTTATCTCTGCTTCAGAATATGATGGCCTCAATTGTTCCTGGTGTACTTGAAATTAATTTCTTTCTTTTGTTTTCTTTTTCTTTTTTTTTATGACACAGGGTCTTTCGCTGTCACCCAGGCTGGAGTGCAGTGGTGCGATCTTGGCTCACTGCAACCTCCGCCTCCCGGATTCCAGTGATTCTCCCACCTCAGCCTCCTGAGTAGCTGGAACTGCTGGTCTGCGCCACTACGCCTGGCTAATTTTTGTATTTTTAATAGAGATGAGGTTTCACCATGTTGGCCAGCCTGGTCTTGAATTCCTAATCTCAAGTGATCCACTTACTCCAGCCTCCCAAAGTGCTGGGATTACAGGTGTGAGCCACCTCGCCCGGCCCAATTTCTTTATATGGTTCCTGAAAGATAGGGCCATGGGAAACCCCAAGCTTACATCTGATGTTAGTTATTTCAGATGAAAGAGAAAACGTCTCGCTCCCTGTTGCTATATATCCCAGGGAAAGGCTCTGATTGGCCAAGCTTGGGTCACATGGCTCCATCTTGGACCAATCACTGTGGCTACAAGATGTGCTATGATAATCCACCAGACCTGGATCTCAGGCCATTTCAGTGTGGGAATGGGGTGGGAGTGGCAGGTGTTACAGAGAGCAGCCCCACAAGAATCATATGTGGTTTTACAGAAGAAGGAGGGTTGCTCTTATCAGAAAGGCAATGAGATAGCCTTCTAAGGTGGTCTCCAGTGATCACCACCACCTTCTGTTATCAAGCCTGCATGTAATCTCCCTGTGAGTGTGGGATGGTCCTAGTAAGTCACTTTTAATGAGTAGAATATGAGGAAAGTGGTGGGATATCACTTCTGAGATTATTTTACAAAAGTTTGTGATCTCTCTCTCTCTCCCCTTTGCTCACTCTGAGGAAGCCACCTCCCACATTGTGAGCTGCCTTATGGAAAGGCCCATATGGCAAGGAACTGAGGGTTGCCTCTGGCCAAAGCCAGCAAGAAACTGAGACCCTCAATCCAATAGTCCACAAGGAACTGAATCTTGCCAATAACCACTGAGCGAGCTTGGAAATGGATACTTCCCTATCCGAACATGGAGATGAAGACAGCTCTGGCAAACACTGATTGCAGTCTTGGGAGAGACCCTGAGCTGGGTGACTCCTTACCCATAGAAACTGGGGGGAAAAAAATCTATGTTGCTTTAAGTTGCTAAACTTTAGGGTAATTTGCTATACAGTAGCAGAAAACGAATACAGGGAGAAAGGACATTGGACAGACAGAAAAAGTGAGCAGACATCCACCACAGAACTTACTAGAACACACAAATACCATCATTGTTTTGGCTGCCTGAATGTCCTCAGACTTTTCCTTCCAGGTTTGTTTTCCTCTCTGCCTGGATTATCCTTTTTTTTCTTCACACTTTTAATTTCTTCCCATTCACCATGCTTTCCTAGGAGCCAACAGGAGAGGGAAAAGTGCAGGGAAGGGAAACATGGGAAGAAACTGGCAATAATGAGGGCCTACTATGTGTCAAGCACATTGCAGGCCATTTTCCACTGCTGATCTCACACAATCATTCCTCCCAATCCTACAAGGCTGGTTTTGTTAGTTCTATTCTGCAAATAAGAAAATAGAAGCTTGGAAAGTTGACATCACTTGCTCAGGACTACTCATCCAGGAAGTGGCAGCGCTGGGACACAAGCGAAGGACATTCATTCCACAGCAGCGTGCTGCCTCCTGGCAGGCAGTTAATTGTTTTTATCTGATAATAGGCCAGCTCGTTCCTGCTGGTGGGGTGTGATGACTCCAACATCAGGCCTTCACTCAGAAAGGGCTGACCTGTTGATTGTAATGCTTTCACCGAATTACTCTGTTCTTTTATTTCTGTGCCAACAGGTAAATTTCTAACCAGACCTGCTGCCAGATGAACAAGTCCCCTGGGAAGGAATCCCTTCTTCAGTCTTCAAGTCAAACTGCTTCTGTGCTAACCAAAGGCTAAGCCTGCCAGGGAGGGGGCAGTGCCACCTGCTTCCAAAGGCGCTGTGACAGCTCTTGTTTATTGAAGAGGGCTGCCCATCCCAGTGAAGTAAGATAACCAGGAATTTTATTTCTGAGAGAGAGTATCCTGGGCCTCCACATCAAGGAGCAGGAAAGCTCAGCCTTGGCTTCTTGAGCTATATCCCAGGGAGCTGTATCAGCAAATGGACAGGTGGAACTCTGATGCCTTCACCAAGATGGTTGAACAAGAGAACAAGATAGAGTTCTCATCAGCTGAACAAAAGAAATCATGACAGAGACTAGAAGATGTAAAGGCCTAGTTTCGGAGACAGAGACAAGTAATTTCCCTGAAATGTTATTTGTGCCATGTGGGTCACAGCTGAACTGCTGAGGGAAGCATTTTCAGAACATCACAGAGGGAAGAGTCATGGGTCTAAACCTTTTAAAGACTACATTTTTTAAAGGTCAACTGCTTTTTCCCTGGAGGGGATCCTTGTAATAGGTACTATAGAGAAGGATAATTAATAATCATGATGTTGAGAAAGTGGCCTGAAAAAGAAAAAAAAAAAACTTGGAACCAGCTTCTCATCGAAGATGTGCCTCTCTCCCTCCCTGCATTGCTGTGATCTAGGGTTGCAGTGATGCCCAGTTTTCCAGACCCTAGCTCTCACAGTCCGGACCAACTTGCAGCTGCATTTCAGTATCAATCCAATTTACAGAGCTGGAATTACGTTGTAGCGGGGCCCACTAACATGAACATACATTGTAAATTCTTTTTCCTCCTATTTGTATTTTCAATATTCTTTGTTAATTGTGATAATCCCTTATGACAAATGTGTGATGTATTTGCGTACCTCAGATTGAGCATATGTCTGGTATGAAACAAGTTGCCCCACAAAAAATTGGGGAGAGGCCGGGCATGGTGGCTCATGCTTGTAATCCCAGCACTTTGGGAGGCTGAGGCAGGTGGATCACTGAGTCCGGGAGACCAGCCTGGGCAACGTGGCAAGACCCCATCTCTACAAAAAAATGCAATACTTAGCTGGGCATGGTTAGGCACACCTGTGATCCCAGATACTCAGGAGGCTGAGGTGGGAGGATCATTTGAGCCCAGGAGGTCAAGTTTGCAGTGAGCTGTGATTGTGCCACTGCATTCCAGCCTGGCAACAGAATGAAACCCTGTCTCAAAACAACACAACCACACACACACACACACACACACAAAATTGGGGTAAGAACAAAAAATTGGGGGAAGAAATTGGACATATGAGTTTTGAAGGCATAACATCTGCCTTCTCATTGCTGAGACAAGTCATCTATTTTTAACTTCCATTTTCACGTTAAGGATTTCTCCCAGGCTATCCTTCAATCTCTACCATCTCTGAATTCCAAAGTTTTCTGTCCTTGCTCCTTGGGGTGTTCCGCAGCCTCCTGTCAGACTCTCCAAGGCTCCTTGTCTGCTGGGACTGTGCATGCCCCACCGAGGCCACATCCTACCAATATTGCAGCTTGGCTCCAGAATGGATTAGATAATTTTTGCTAAGCTCCTGCAGCTAGGTGTGTTTTTGTGAGGCTCACCCTATTCTCAGAGTTGTGAATCATGACAGCTGACCCTTACTGAGCACGCATATATGCTAGGCACGTGCTATGCTTTTTATGTGCATCATCTTGGTTAATCCTAATAAGAAGCTCATCCTTCTCATCAGCTCTGCTTTACAGATGGGACACTAAGGAACAGAGAGGTTAAATGACATGCACACAGTTACAAATCTAGTGGTAGTGCTGGAATTTGAACCCAGTCAACCTGACTCCAGAATCTGTGTTCTTGATCATGATGCTATTGATGGGTTCCAGCTTTTAGCCCATTTCCTGCAGGGTCCTTTGAGTTGCAGTTAATTGGGTCAGGTGCAGCTGTACCATGAGATAAGATAGGTGTTCAATAAATTCCACCCTAGAATCATTTGTTGAACATTTACTGGGTACAAGACACTGTGCTCACTTGTAAACCTGGGGTGTGGGTTTTGGTGTGGAGATGAAACATGCTATTTAGTCACTGAAATGATCAAGAAGGAAATCCTTTTGTTTGTAAGAATAGTAGATCTGACCTGAGACAAAATTGTGATCTTTCTGTGTCTCATTGTCTGGCCTTTCTCAAACCCTGACCCTGTCCTTTCTTCAACTTAGGAAGCCTCTTCTGCTTTTCCACCCAGGATCTTCTCTCCATGTTTCTGAACCCAGCGCTGCACTCAGAAACAGGGCAGGTGCCTCTCCGTGCATCTGAAGGCTTTACCTTCAGACCGTCCAGGTGTGCATACTTCAATGTTTATTTAGTTGCCTGCCTCTGGGGAGCATCCCAGCCTCACTGAGCTTATACCTTGGGACACCTTGGAAGGTGAAGGCAGCCGAGTCCTTATCGTAGAGTAAAATAAGACAAGAACTCTAAAGTGAGGAAAGGCCCCAAACTAAGCAACAAAAGGTGTTGTTTTCTTGAAAATGATGACGGAAATATTACAAATATTGATTGGTTGCAGAGGTAATACATTTGTCAAAGCTCATCAAATTGTGCTAAGGAATACCTTTGCATTTGTCTGTGTATAAATTTTACCTAAATAAAAGCTTTTTTTTCCTAAGAAATAAAAATGCCATAGTGCTAAAAGGACACTAGTAAGCAGAGAGCCGTTTCCAAGTACATCATCTAAGAGCCATTTGTTCAACAAATATTTATTGAGCACCTGATAAGTACCAGGGACTGTCCTAGAATCCATCAGCAATGAGACAAAGGTCCCTGTCTCCATGGAGCTTACATGCTAGCAGGGCCCTTGAAAGTGGCAGGCAGAGGCGGGCGCTTTGGCTGATTGTTTGCCCTGATTGCTGATCTCAAGAGGAGCAACTGGAAGCTCTAGTCTCAGAGGGGCTCAGTGATTCATGGAAAAGGGAGTTTCCTGAATGTCAGGTCTAGGGTTAGGCTGCAGCCCATGCTGAGGTCTGAAGGGAGTGGGTGGATGAATGGCAGATAGCTGAAAGAACACTTAAGGAGCTGTAGGTAGGTGAGATACAGCTTTATTCAGCAGCTCTCTCATCAGCAGCTCTCTTACACGGTCTGCTCTGTCTCAGCTGCTTGATCTGGCTGCTCCCATGCACAGCTGCGCTGCTGGCTTTCCCTTCAGGGTCAGCAGCTTAACTCTTTCTCTGTCTGGGCATGAGCGGGCCTATACAGTGTCAGCAGGGCAATTATACCTTTTACAGACAATAGTGGCTTAGAGCCAAATGATGAGCCTTCCCATGCTATGGCTACATGGATGTGATGACAAGTGGAGTAATACACCTATGCTCTAAACTTGCTGAATCACTCTCGGTGTTTACCTGGGGCTATCGCTGACCGAAGCATAGCCATGTTCCTTACACTGAAAAAGCCTCTGAATGCCTAGGGGAAAAAAGTCCTTACATGCTTGGGGGCTAGAGCCGCACTTTCCGGTGAGGCCCAGAAGAGTCTGCAAATCTTCCAGCCCCATCCCCAGTGTCTCTTTGTGGCTTGAGAGGGTGGCTCACCCACCGCCTTACCATATGATCCATGCCCTCTCCCCCCTAGCAAGGCACCTCCACCAGGGGCCCGGCTTCCTTCAGGCACATGTGCCCACAGGGCATGGGCTCTGGCAGAGGCCAGCAAACCTGGAGGCTGGAAGCTCATTTTCTGAGCTCCAGGAAGGGCGGGGAGGTGTGGGTTCTTTTTGAAACCAGACCTATGTGCTTAGAAACACCACAGAAGGGCTGGGCAGAGCCACTGGGGGTTGGATGGGGTTGCTGTGAATCATAGGAACTCTAGGCTAGAAGAAGCCATCTGAGAGGGGAGGTAGGTTCTTTTGAAGTCTCAAAATCTTTATTTAAAACAGAATCCAAGAACCTTTGATCATGCAGCAAAGTTTATGACATTATATACGTAATAAAGGACAATGAAGCAACATATAATCCTTGTTAATTAAAATGGTCTAAATTACATGTAATCTCTGAATTTACAAAGATAGCACAATGTATGCAATAAATCCTATTTCACAGTCTTTTTTTAGTAACAACAAGGTATTAGAGGGGGTAGGGTTGGTGTTGTAGGTTGTGAGACTTGTGGTAACATTGCTCATCTCTTTCCAATTTTTGCTCTTTCTCTAACCCATTTTTTATTCTTTAATTGACCACACTCATCTTGTTTGCTTTCTGTTCCATTAGCTGAAAACTTATATGGCACTTCCAGGTGAATATGAGAACATCATCTGGAAGTTGAATAAGAAAAAAAATAATTCAGAAAGAGTATCCTTAGACTTTAGAACATAAAACTTTCAGCAATTTTACAAAAATGACCAAACCCAGTGAACCTCAGGAATAAATGAGCAGCCAAGTTCTTCCTTAGCACATTGGAGCCATTCTCCAGAGGCTGTCTCACCTGATGGTTTACCCGGGGCAGCAGGTGGCCCGCGAGGGGCAAAAACAGAAGAGGAAAAGACACAGTCAGGAGAGATTGTGCACTCTTATTTGGAAAGCTGATGTAGTTTTGTAGAGTTGGCAAATTTTTTTCTGTAAAGATCCAGAGAGTAAATAGTTTCGGCTTTGCAGGCCACATGGGCTCTGTCAAAACAATTCAGCTGCTCCATTATAGTATGAAAGCAACATAGACAGTAAGTAAACACATGGGCATGGCTGAGCCTCAGTGAAAACTTTATGTATGAAAACAGGCCATGGGCTGGATTTGGCCCTTAGGCCATTGTTTGTCAGCCCCTGTATTGTTGGCTAAATGACAGTAGGCTAGAGAAAACTAAAAACAGGAGTAGAGGATATGGGGCTGGAAAATGGAGGTAAAGACTGTTCTGTGTTCACTAAACCTCCTTCCCTTTTCCTTTTCCTTCTGGACATGTAGGTAGACTATATGGTTCCAACCTCTCTCATAGGTAGGTGGGGCCATGTAGCTAAGCTCTGAATAGTGGAATATGGGCAGAAATGATATATACTGCTTTCAGGCCCGGCCCCAGAGAAACTGCCCAGGAGACCTCTGAGTTCTCACTCATTCTTCCTATATCTGCAGGCTCGATGCAGAGGATCCAGAGTCCTCTGGTATTAGTCCTAGTCCGCAAACCACCTTAGCGGTGCTAAAAACCCATGCATCTCCTGGTTCTTTCTCCCACACCCCACTACTGCTTGCCATGGCAAATCAGGCAAAATCTTTACCAAGGCAGTAGGGAAAGTCCTACCTGCTTTTAGAGAAGGCCATACTCTTGTTAAATATCAAAAGGCAAGTTATTAATTTATGCTAGAAACAGAAGGATACCTGTTGTGAGTGGATGGAGCAAGTGGATGAAGAGTCAAGGGTGGCTGTTGGACAAGTCCTGCTGACTTGTGCAGAGGACTTCGAGGCCCTGGAAATGACAAAGCCAGTTTGTGGAAGAAACCTGAGTTCCCACATAATAGGATTGAGCTGAACTTTCCTTCCAGCACTACTGGACTTTGACATGAGCTAGACATTAACTTTTTATTTTGTCAAGTCACTGAGAACTGGGGGTTTATTTGTTACAGCAGCCAGCACTACTTATTGTAACCAATATACAACCCAAGTATCAAGTTACTTTGTGCCACAGATCCCCCAGAAAGCCCAGGAATTGGATGTGACATGTACTTTTGAATGTGGGATGAGGTTGGAGTAGAAATTAGCAGAATTGTTTGAATTTTGAGAAAGAAAACCAGTCAGACCCTGAGCTCCTACCCTAACTGCAAAGTCAGGGGACTTTCTTTTTAAAGGAGTTTTCAAATGTCTCATATAAAATTAGCCTATTTGACCGGGTGCAGTGGCTCATGCCTATAATCCCGGAACTTTGGGAGGCTGAGGCGGGCGGATCATCTGATGTCAGGAGCTCGAGACCAGCCTGGCCAACATGGTGAAATCCTGTCTCTACTAAAAATACCAAAATTAGCTGGGTGTAGTGGCGGGCGCCTGTAGTCCCAGTTACTTGGGAGGCTGAGGCAGGAGAATTGCTTGAACCCGGGAGGCGGAGGTTGCAGTGAGTGAAGATCGTACCACCGCACTCCAGCCTGGGTGACAGAGGGAGACTCCATCTAAAAATAAAATAAAACAAGTCTATTTGATTCTCACAGAATTTTTGAAGAAGAGTGTAAGATGGAATTGTTTAGTTATGAAAACAGAGACGATTTAAACTAGCTTGAGCAAAACTGGAGGATTTTTTATAACAATGCAGGGCATTCTCCTGAACTTGAAGATAAGAATGTAGCCCAGTCCTAGATCAGGCCAGGGTCCTGGAAGTGGAAATCCACCAGGTCTGTTTGTCTCTCGGCTCTGCCTCTCTCAGCAAACTGCTTTGTTCTTCTGTAATTCAGATTCCTCAACCAAAGATGGCCAAGCCCAGCAACCAAGGTGTTTTACTTCTTCCTTTTGAAAAACCAGTTCAGAATGAATCTAAGTCTCCTGGTACCCATTCTAAAATCCCAGGAGAGAAAGTCTAGTACAAACATGGCTGCGGAGACCCAACTTAGAGTAAGGTTAGCTCTCAAAAGGGTCAATGTGAGCTGTGCAGACTCCTCATGTAGGCAGGCAGGACAGATAATGTTTTCCTTATTTCACATAAGGAGTGACATAGGAAGAGCAGACACTATTGTTCCCATTTTTTTGTTTTTTTTTTTTTTGGTAGAATGAAAGTGTGGAGTGGAGAGCTTAGTGGATTTGTGAAAGCCACCCAAACTCATCAGCAGGACTTGTCCAACAGCCACCCTTGACTCTTCATCCACTCAAGGATACACAACAGGTATCCTTCTGTTTCTAGCATAAATCAGTAACTTGCCTTTTGATATTTAACAGAGTATAGCCTTCTCTAAAAGCAGGTCAGGCTTTCCCTACTGCCTTGCCAAAGATTTTGCCTGATTTGCCATAGCAAGCAGCAGTGGGGTGTGGGAGAAAGAACCAGGAGATCAGTGGGTTTTTAGCAACACTAAGAAGATTTGTGGACTAGAACTATTTGAAAGCCTCTGATATAACTCACTCCCTGGATTCTAGACTGAAAAAATACCTAACTGGTACAACTGAAAAAATAATTTTAAAAAATCACACAAGTGGTAATAAACAGAAAAGTTCTGGTGAACAGGAATCTCATCTCTCAGTACTGACCCAGCAGAGTGCTTGATACTTAGTAGTTCCTCAATAAACTACCTAGTAGTTACTCAATAAAACTACTACTTGTAATAGATTGGTCAATCTACTTTTTGGAAGATTGGATGGATTTACATTTTCTACAGAAAAATTAGGAAGTGCTGAGAAACGAAAGGAAGACAATACAATTCCCATCACCTCTTGAAATATGTCCTTCATACTGTTTTATAAAAATGGGGTTTTAGGCTAGGCACAGTGGCTCACATGTGTAATCTCAGCACTTTGGGAGGCTGAGTTGGGAGGATCTCTTGAGCCCAGGAATTTAACACCAGCCTGGGCAACACAGTGGAACTCCATCTCTACAAAAAATTTTAAAATTAGCTGCATGTGGTTGTAGTCCCAGCTACTTGGGAGGCTGAGGAGGGAGGATCTTTTGAGCCTGGGAGGTCAAGCCTGCAGTGAGTCGTGGTCGCACCACTGCACTCCAGCCTGTGCAACAGAGTGAGACTCTGTGTTTAAACAACCAAACAAACAAATAAAAATAAAGTAAAATAAATTTTAAAAATAGGATTGTATTGTATCATACTGCTTTTTTCTTCTGTCTTTCTCTTTAGTGTTTTGGGAATGTCACTTGTTGTGGCAGCCCAGAATTCCATCTTATGATCACATTTATTTATTAACATTGCTCTCCTCATTGAGGTTGTTTCCAGTTTTTTTCCCCCATTCTAAATAAGGATGTAATGAATTCCCTGGCACCTCAATCTTAGACTGTTTCCTTAGGGTAAGTTCCTAGAAATGGAATTCCTGGCTCAAATGGCATATGCATTTTTAATGCTTTTGATACATTTTGCCAAATGGCCTGCCAGCAAGCCTGAATCAATGCATGCTTCTACCAGCAATGTTTGAGACTGTCTATTTTCAACGGTGTGATTAAAAAACAATCTTCTGCTTTATCAAATGCTTATAGGAAGCTTGTCAGTCCTTCTTGTCCAGGCAAGAGTCTGTCAGAAAAGACTGGACTGGGCATCTTAGTGCTTCAGAAGGTGGCCTGCTGGCAGATACAGGGGGAGCCTGTCAGGAGGGCACAGGCTGTGTGATCCGTATCAAACCATGAGCTCTTGGAAACAGGAGCTGCCCTTTGCAATTCAGATAAAGAGCAGAAAAGAGGAAGTCTTGCATTCATGCTCTCTGAAGGTCTCAAAGTGGTGTTTGACAAGCAGAGGCACTTTTTAAATGTTTCCTCCGGAAACCGAGCCCTTCTGAGACCAGAGGCCATAGGATGCAATGACTACAGGAATGCGCATTGACCACCTGAAGTGTAGTGTGAGTCTGAGGACCCCCACAAAGCTACCACCTGGCTCCTCTCACCAGGGAATGGACAGGGGCCTGAGTCCTGCTTGGGCCAGAGCCTGGATGACTGGGCTCACTGTCAATGACCTGAAAACCATCCATAAATTGAGGGCCAAAGTTTATTATGCCTGATGACAAAGCCTACATCTTAAAGCACACTCACATGACCCAAATCAATGTTGCTGATTTTATAGATAAGGCCGCAGAAACTGTTCACAGAGTGTATGAATTACCCCGGGTCACATAGCTAGTAACTGGCAGTTTTAAAATTGGGAATCGGTTTCCCAAATCTTTATTATTTGGCCTTTTTACTGCCCTGTAATGAGAATTCTCATTCTTTCTGTCCCTGATTATGCCATCTTCAAAAGAACTACATCATGGGAGAAAACAGATTTCATCATAAGAAACACTAGGCCCACGTGTTAAGTGCTTACGCCAGGGTGACTGGTGCCCATGATGGAGTCTCCATCAGCTTGGATTGGAGTGAGGATGATGAGGAGCTCAGCACCCTCTACCCACCTGAGAGGGACATGAAGCGACAAGCAAGAAATAAACTTTGTTGTTTTAAGTCCCTGAGATTCAAGAGCTGTTTGTGACTGCAGCATATATCTAGAATGCAGGGGGATGAGGAGGTTGGTGGAGTGAGATGGAGAGAAATTTACCTACAGCAGAGCCGGGCCATTCTTAGCACCTTTCCTCCCTTGAGACCCAGGTGACACTTGACCTTGGTGTCCTCTACCACCTGGAACTCCCATATTAACTTATGGGTCATTTAGTGGACGAAGTGAAATGTTCATCTTCTTGGGAGTGTGGGTGGGAGGGAGAAGACCAGAAACTGGAGGATATGGCTGTGAAGACAATGTCATGTACTTCACAGAACCACAGACACCCCAGTAGAACGTCTGCAGAACTTCAGAATCGAGTGCCCTTTCCCTCAGCTTCAGTGAAACAGGCAGATGCAGCAAGCCCCAGCTCTGCAGCAGGTTCTGCTATTCAGCCCGTTGGACTTGACCTCCTGTCCACCAGGGAGCCAAATACATGCACTGTCCCTCCCCCATGTGGACTGCTCAGGGCCCTGGTTCAGGGTATGGAGGTCCAATAGACTTAGGGAAACTTGGGGTCCTGCATCCCCATCCTCCTCATTATCCCCACCCCATGTCTTCTCAGTGTCCATAGTCTCATCACTTGACCGATCTTGGAAGGCCCCTTAGAACCTTGTCCTTCCCCATTTCATGGAAGTGAACAGTCCTCCACAAGATGGAAAATCCCAGGACCCGTGGGTGAGCCATCTCTTCAAACCAGTGCCTGTTTGCAGGGTAGCCAGTGGGCATGCCTGGCAACGTTGGTTCTTGGTCCCTGTCTTAGCATAATTATGTCATTTTTAGGTGCCACAGATGATAAATCTGTCTCTGCTCCCTTTCAACAGACTTTCTGCTGGAAGCATTTCTATAGATCTCTACTGTCTGTAATGATTCCAGAAGACTACTGTGTTTGCAGACAGCTTCCACGTTCACCTGAGAGTGCTTCATTTCAGCCCTTCTCTTTTGCCAGGCAGCTAACTAAATTGAGGCCAGGTGTAGTGGTTCATGCCTGTAATCCCAGCACTTTGGGAGACTGAGCCAGGAGGATTGCTTGAGCCCAGGAGTTCAAGACCAGCCTGGGTAACAGGGAGACCTCATCTCTATATATATACATACATACATACATACATACATACATACATACATGCATACATACAGAAATAGAATATGACCCTTCTCTTTTTCTGATGTTTTCCTTACCCTTGAAGCAAAATTCAATTTCTTGGGGGTAGGGGTCACTTTTCACTACTCTATAAGCTGTGATAATCCTTGGGAAACATAGGACAGATTTGAGTATCTGACTACTTTCCTTTCAGAGCCTCTTTAGCAGCCTTGGGAACTCCCATCTCACCTCAGCTTCTCACACCACCTCCTGCTACTGGCTTTTTTCCTGCAAAGAGTCCTGGCTTAGGAAGCAAGAGATCTGGATTTTGTTTCTACATCTATTCCAAACTGTGTGACTTTAGGCAATTGGCTTCATCTCTCTGGGCCTCAGCTTCCTTACCTGTAAAATGGCAATATTAGATCACTTCACGAATGAGCTCCATGCCTTCTGTCAGTCCCCTCTCACCCTAGACCTGGCTTCACGTCTCAGATCTCTAAGGCCAATATACTGTCCTTCCAGAGAGCTTTCAGTTCTTCACAGGCACCTTCTACAGGCAGGACCTCATCTCCAGAGTGCGACCCCAGGCCTTGCCCCAGGAAGGTGGGTGGTCTCTGGAGCATGATTCCGTGGTGTCCATCACCAACTGCAGACCATCAGCCACCCAGAACTTGCTCGTCTGTTTGGTACTCTGTTTCATTCATACATCCCACTTGTAGCAAATTTAGAGCACAGGAATTTCCCCTTTTTTAGGCCTTGGAGTGGGTAGGGTAGGGTGTACCTTGAACTTACTGTCATGTGAACACAGTCCAACTTTTCATTTCACTTTTATGATAGGGCCAGCAGGCAGTGTTTCACGTACTGTTTTTCAGAAAAGCCTGTGACGGGGCACTACACCTCATCCTCCTGACCTCAAAAGAGCCTGGTGCTTTTTTCATTGCCTAACCAGGGAGTTACGTTTTGTGGATAAAAGAAAATCTGTCTCCTCTCTCCTCCAGTGCCTTGGGTAGGTTGTAACAGGTGCTAGAATGGATTAGAAAGAGAAGTGTGCTCTCTGGGTTAAAAATGGAAGCCATTCAGGCAAATTGAGGAAGGCTCGAATCCAGCCAACTACAAACACAGTCTCGTACTCCTGCATTTGCAAATTATTTGAAATCTGCCTGGAAACTGGTATGTGATAGTATGGACAACTGAGACAAGCTAACCAAAACAGGGGCCTGCTCAGTGAGGAAAACCTGAAATGAACAAAAAACAAAGCAAAACCAAACAACAACAATGACAACAAAATGGGGTAATTAGCAGGGCTCTCAGGACTCCCCAGAATTATAGCTGAACAAGCTCGTTAAGGCCTAAGCGGTTGTTTTCCACCTGGCCGTAGCGCTGGGTGCACTCAGGTGGCTCACTGGAATAAGGATGGCTGTCACAGCTGCATTCCCAGCCACTGATTAATCCCTTCCAACCATGGCTGGGAGGTGGGTCAGGCACATGAGCCTCTCCTGTAGGATCAACCAAGACAGTAGCCAGGGTCCCAGCTCACCACTAAGTGGCCTCAGCAGCCCAGACAGAACATTGCTGTCTTGGGCCATTCATCATTCTTCCTGAGCTGGTTCCCACTTGTGTCATCTCAGGAAGACTTGCACAGGGTCCTGACAAGCAGTGAGGAGCAAAGTCCCACCATTGACAAAGTCACCTAACCACTCTGGACTGGTTTTTCTCATCTGCAACGTGAGAAACTTGCAAGCTCTACTATTCAGGTAGACTATGAACTGCGAAGTTAAGGCCCAGAATATAAAATATCAGGTGAGAGAATTGTCACCCTGATGTAACCCTAATGGTTAGGGGTCTTCTCTTGTTTAATCCTTACAATAATCTTATAAGGATGATTTTTGCTATCCCATATTACAGATGAGAAAAATGAGGCTCAGACTTGTCAAAACTTATGCAAGGAGGCCATGTAGCTGGTAAGTGGCAAGATTTGAATCCTAATGTGTCTGTCTTCATGTTCTTTTCCTTTGCACAGCGTCTCTGAGTGGAGAGGCACTGACTTCACTCAAAACCACCGCCTGATATGAAGAAGGCACCCCGATTGCACAGCCAATGACATTTGGAGTCCCAGATGATTTTATTACCGAGGAGGGAGGAAAGCCAAAAGCTGGTTTTCTCTTTGACTATGTAAGGAGCTGGTTGTCCTGCTAGAGTCTACAGAAGTGATTTCATTTGGAAGGTCCTTTCACCTACGAGGAGCTCCAACGGTGGCATGAGAATGCTTTAGTGTGCTGTTCCTTTCAGCTTCTATGTCCATTGAGTTATGAGACTCTCTTACTCCTTTGTCATGTTTCCCCCTCTCTCCTACCCCCAACTCTCAGATATGCAGAGAATGTCTGTGAAAAGGAGAATGGAAAAATTCCTCAGTAAATTGGAAGAACTCAAAAGGCCAAGTAGCCTCTCAAAAGGGCCCCCCGCCACTCTGCCCCCAAGCAGTAGCCAGGACCCATTCAGGTGCTTGGTTATTACTCCATCTGCCCTTTAACTCATAGCAAAGATTGCAAATTGGCAGCTAGTATGCCAGATCAAGGGCCATATTAATCCACATAGTTAAAATTATTTTCACATGTAACATTTAATAGATATTGGCTTTTCTTTTAAAAGAAAATCCAGAAGCTTTGGCAATAAAGGGCTCACATTTATTTATGGCAACAATGGCTAGGTCTGGGTGGCAGCTGCCCATGTGGCCCATTTTGCTTCTTTAATATCACATGTTTTCCCCTTGTAGGCATTTGAATCTGAGCCCTTTGATGCAGGCTACTAATGGATTTTGCTACCTCAGTCTATCTTCCTATCCAATTCCATTAAAACCAAACATCAAACTTGAAGACAAGGAAAACTCACACATTTTCTGAGTAGTTACATTTCTCTTTGAACTGAAAAAAAAATTGAGTACTTTTCTCAAAAACATTTATGTTTGTTTGAGGTTCCCAATAAGAACTGATTTTCTACCCTCTACCATAATTTTAGGAAGACTTTGTCATCGTATTTCATAAGTGGAATTTTGCTATTTTCAATCCACTAGGAATTTCTGGGTTCTTCATGCTCTCTTTGTTATAGTTTACTCTGAGGATCTGGATGTACAAGTGAAGACATTCTATAGAAAACACTAATCCCAGGCAACAGTAGTAGGGGGTGGGGGTTGTAATACTAGGGAAACATAATAGCCATGAACAGCATTTCTCTGGCTCCACTGTCATTTACCTTCTAGGAATTCTACAACCACTCAAATAATTCTGAGAATTTGCAAGAATTAGCCATCTGTGTAGCTGGTCTCCAAGATGTCTCCCAACAGTTTCCCTTCCTGGTATATTCATACCTTGTGTAGTTCCTGCTCACATTGGATAGGGCTAACCTATGTAAGAAATGGGATATTGTGGAAGGGTGGCCTCTGAGGCTAGGGCATCAAAGACATTGCAGCTTCTACCTTGTTCACTCTTGTATCAGTCCCTAAAGGGAACACAGCTGCCACGTTGTGACTACACTCAGGCAGTTCTGTGGAGAATTTCGTGCGGCTAACAGCTATGTGAATGAGCCACGTTGAAAAGTGAATCCGCTAGCCCCAATCAAGGCTTCAAGTGACTGCAGCTCTGGCTGATAGCTTAACTGTATATAACCTGAGAGACCCTGAGTTAGAACTATGTAGCTAAGCTGTTCCCAGTTTCCTGACAGAAACTCTGTGAGATCTTAACTGTTTGTTATCATTTTAAGCCTCTAAATTTTGGAATAATTTTTTGCACAGTGATATATAATGAATACCACATCTTGGCTACCATTCATTCATTCAACAAACATTTATTTTTTTTTTTTTGTAGGTGATGGAAGGGACTGTGTTTTGCTGTATTGCCCAGGCTGGTCTTGAACTCCTGGCCCCAAGTGATCCTCCCATTTCCACCTCCCAAAGTGTTGGGATTACAGGCATGAGCCACCGTGTCTGGCTTATTTGTTATGTATTATGTGTTAAACATCATGCTAGGTGCTCAGGATGCAGTAGAATAAGAGTAGTATGGTACCTGCCCTGGTGGAAATTATTATCTAATGGGAGAGATGGATATTAAGCAAGCATACAGAGAAGACAACATTGAGAGGAAAGGGGAACTCTTTAGGATAAAGGTGGGGAAGTTGAAAAGGAGACATTAAACCTGAGTCCTGAGACTGGAAAGCACCAGGAGGTGCCTGGCCTTTTTCCTTCTCACCTGTCTTGGTGTTTTCACTTTTTGCTGCCTTGAGTTCCTCTGGACTTGAGGCCGGGTGTTAAAGAAACTAACAAATGAAATGATAGAGAAATCCTACTTTTCTTAGGGGCAAATCTCCCCTGTGGTGGAAAATGGCCCATGCAGGATGAATGCTTTAAAAAGCCCCCAGGAGAGCGTGTAGTGGCCAAATAGCTCTGCATAAGGAAGGGAGCCAGGGGATATTTAGAAGCTGCCTAAAAGAGGGTCCTGAGAGGGAATAGAAGCTAAGAGAGACTTGGAAGAGAAAAAAAAAGTCTAACAGGGATTTTTATGCCCTAGTTTTTTGGGTGGTATGTGATAAAATGCACTTCTTCCCACAAAATAGTAAAATTCCTTGCTCCCTAATGCTTTCTGGAGTAGGTTTGCTTCTTGAGGATTCAGCAAAGCGCCACATCCTTCTTCTGGGTTGGCTTCAGGTGAACCCAAGGCTTGTTCATAGGAGACCAGCCACCTATGGTTTGGACATAAAAATGGAAATAAATGCTCCTGATCGTCACTAGATTTCCAAAATAGACAGCTATACTCCTGATGCTCGATGATGGCATCGCTGTCACTGCTGACAGCTGTACAGAGGTTGTTAAAAGCAGGCCTGAGTAGGTACTGATGCATGTGCCAACACCACTGCCCAGCACTATGCAGAGCATTTACACACTGCTTGGGAAATGCAGGCTGGCTGCAAGACTGAATGAGGAAAGCTGCCCATCTGCCACTACCTTCCCCTTTTGTGCTCCAGGGAGTGAGGTTCATGAGGAAGCAGGGGGTTTATGGCCATGTCCTTGTTCTAGCACCCAAGTGTGGCTCCACTGAGCGGGGCCTGGGACCACAGAGTTGCCACTTCCTTCTCAACTTGCCTGTCTTCCTGCATCGAACCGCCTGAGCACTTCTTCCCTTAGGATGACTTCTTTACCAGGAGCACCTGTGTGTTGTATACAACTAGGCCTCCACTAGCCTTTAGAAAGCACCTAGCCTTTCCTGAACTTGAGGTCGAACATGACTTGGGTTTAAATAAGGAACTTCTGCAGCCCCTGGTGTTCTCTGTGTGTCCAGACCAAACATAAGCCCAGCAGCTCGTGATGTTCCACACCCACACTTCCAGTACAGTAGACGCTAGCCCCATGTGGCCACTTATAGTTAAACTGATTAAAATGACATACAATGGAAAATTCAGTTCCTTAGTCACTCTAATGCTCAATTAAATATGGCTAGTAGCCATTGTACTGGACAGTGGAGATTATAGTACATTTCCAACACCACAGAAAGTTTTAGTGGATAATGCTGTGTCTAGAGCCAGAGCTCATAGAATGAATTCTGCTGTCAAGGAACTGGCTACCATGATTAAACAAGAAAACCGTCCACTCAGGATAAACAGTGGAAGCCCGTCTCACCCACGGGCTAGATACAAAAGTCAACAGATCTTTGTTTCTTTGGCTGAGGAAAGATTTGGCTTGTGGTTAGTGGCTGTGCATAAGAAATACTGACAGTATCTTTGTACACTGGCGTAACACTGCAGGGAGCTAGAAGGCTTAACTATGAGAGACCCAGGAAGCAGAACCAACTGAAGGCACATTTGAATCACATCCCCATTCTTCGGCTCCTTTTTCTTTCAATGGGATGACAGGTGGAATTGTCCCTGTGGTATTTATTTATTGATTTATTTGAGACAGAGTCTTGCTCTGTCACCCAGGCTGGAGTACAGGAATGCTATCAGCTCACTGCAGCCTCAAACTCCTGGGCTCAATCAATTCTCCTGTCTCAGCTTCCCAGGTAGCTGGGATTACAGGCACGTGCCACCACATCTAGATAATTTATTTATTTTTATTTTTATTTTTAAAGACAGGGTCCTGCTATGTTGGCCAGGCTGGTCTCCAATTCCTGGCCTCAAGTGATCCTCCTGCCTTGGCCCCTCAAAGCTCTGGGATTAAAGCATGAGCCATGGCACCCATGTATAGTGTTTAAACAGTTTTTTGCTTTGTTCTATATTTTGGTGATAAATGCATGGAGCTGAAGTTTGAGTACATTCAATGCATGTATGCTGTGATTCCTTGTAGATAGTCCACAAAGCAGGCCTTTCTTTGCTCCAGGCTTCGTTTAAGGAAGGGTATGCTCTCTACCAGAGACCCATGTGTTTTGTAATTAAAGAACATAAATTTCCTCCCTGAACTCTTTTCTTGGGAGGCTAGAATTTCAACGACATCATTGAGCATTAGGAAACACAACCCTGGCCCCATAGATCAAACCTGAAGTTAGTATATACTGATGAGTTTTGTGCCTGTACACATGCAAAGGGGATTTAGGTCCTTAGAAACATGGCTAAAGTCCTTTAGACCAGGGGTCCCCAACCCCCAGCCGTGGACTGGTACTAGTTGGTGGCCTGATAGGAACCAGGCCACACAGTAGGAGGTGAATGGTGAACGAATGAGCGAAGCTTCATCTGTATTTACAGTTGCTCTCCATTGCTTGCATTACCGCCTTAGATACCTCCAGTCAGACCAGCAGTGGCAATAGATTCTCATAGGTGCGTGGACCCTATTGTGAACTGCTCATGTGAGGGATCTAGGTTGTATACTCCATATGAGAATCTAATACCTGGTGATCTTTCACTGTCTCCCATCACCCCCAGATGGGACTGTCTGGTTGCAGGAAAACAAGTGCAGGGCTCCCACTGATTCTACATTATGTTGAGTTGTATAATTATTTCATAATATATTACAATGTAATAATAATAGAAATAAAGTGCACAATAAATGTGATGTGCTTGAATCATCCCAAAACAATCCCCCCTCCTCGCTGTCTGTGGAAAAATTGCCTTCCACAAAATCAGTCTCTGGTGCCAAAAAGGTTGGAGACCATTGCTTTAGACCCTCCCCACCTACCCCCATCACCCAAGACATGGCAAGCTGTATCCTCCCCAACCTTCTGTAGCTTGCTATGTTCTGCCTTCTCAGGCTGACTCTAATTATCTATCGACATTCATGTTTACATGTATTTTGTATGTACACATCTTGTCTTTCCAGCTAAATCATAAATTCTTTAAGAGTAAATGGTAGGTGTCTTTTCCCTGTTTGGTACCCCACAGTGTCTAATATGCCTTCAGATACAGTGCTTCTTTCACATCTAGCTGCATTGGCACCAGTTATGAGTAATTCTCTCATAGGAGAGAGAAACGATGGCTATGAATTAACCAGACAGATATGTTTTTAAAGCACAACCTATATAAAAAGGACAGTATTTGCCCTTTCAAGTTAGGAGGTTGAATTTTTTTAAAATTATATACTTAATTCTCAAGGATTGAAGGGGACTCTCAAGTCAAGGATTTACATCATTTACAAAACCAAAAAGAAAGTTAGTTGCCTTAAAACAAACCAACCTGTGAGGTGACCTCGGTGTCGACTTTAATCAGAGACTTATGAGAGCAGATCTATTTCCAACGTCTTCTAATAAAAAACTGTGGTCTTGTGCTCCATAGTGTGTATGATTTTTTAAATCTGAGGATTTAAAAAATGTGTGATACATGGTTAATTAGAATCTTAGAGTAACAGACCACACTACTCCATGAAGATTCTCATTTAAATAAATGTTTTCAGCAGTTTCTCATCATTTGGGGCATCTCTTCCTTATTCACTTTTTATTATAATACTAAACACCATTTTACGCTGGGCTAAAGGTCGTTGTTATTGCATTAGGAGAAATCTGTGCTCTCTAATATTGGAACAGCTGCAATAATTTAGAGTAAAAAAATCCCTAAGTATATTTTACAAATGCTATTCTAAATATTGCCTAATACACTGCTAATTTTGGCTAGATTTTAAATAAAATGATAATTCAGTGAAATTATATGTAAGGCACATTCTGGTGAATTAGAGCATAGTCTTAAGGATTAGCAGTTTTTACACTGTTTCTTTATAAAACTGTGGAGGATTATTATAGAAATTGGTGTCATGATTATTTTAAACTCTGGCTTTATTAGCTGTAAGAAATGCCTTACTCCTGCATGACCTGCTGTCACCTCTGGCTCTCCAAGCTCACCATAACAAGTGGCATTGCAGTCCTTATTTCCCACAGGAGGTCAGTTTAGGCTGGAGGTTTAAAGCACCAACCTGAGCACACATCACAAATCCAGGAGGCATGGGTGCCCCCTTCCCAACTCCTCGTTGTCACCAGAGACTCACCACTTTGATTCCTCCTGTTCCCATCCCAGCTGTTTAGGTAAGCTTTGATAATTTGCATCTGTCTTTTTAGAATTAATAATAGAATACTGACAGAAAGGGATGTGTTGGGGTTATTAGCAAACATTTGTTATTGTTCTGACTCATGAAAGCTTGGAAGGCCCCCAAAACCCCACATCATCCCCAAGGCCTGTGGTTGGCTTGCAGCTTCCCAGGGCCTATTATTTAGGGACTGTCTGTGTTGTCCTATCAAACAATGATGCCTCCTCACCCTGTGTTTGCTCAACCAGTCACCATCTTTCCCTGGGAGATGGAAGGGCGTATCAAAGCAAGAGAGTCAGTGGCTATTTCTTCCTCTGCTCTCTAGGTTGGGTATTGTTTCTGTACCTTAGATACACCCATTTTAATTAATTATGAAGTCTATGTTTTGCAAGGCAGGTCTCTGCCTTATGCAGAAGACTTTTTTTTTTTTTTTTAGTGAAAAATCATTTTGAAATTAACCTGGTGATTTGGAAGCAAGTGGCTCGAGGCAACCATTCAGCATTATGTACACACTCAGTTGCATTTTCCCGTGAAAGGAAGCCTTTAAATTCATTTCTACAGTGCCATGAAAGCTCACTTGGGCCACTGCTACTTGCCCTTTGCCTCTTTACAAGCTGTAAGCCACCACGTGGATTTGCATCAGAGAAAACTGAGTTCCACCTTGACAATTCTTCAGTGACTAACTAATTGAAATGCTTACCAAGAAGGAAGACAGGCCTCCCCCAGAACTTTAACCTTTCTAGGAGAAATCGCTATTTAAAATAGGCGTCAGAGTGTCACCTAGGTCCCAAACCAACCCAAAGAAGGAGGATTTTTACAAGACTCATTTGAAAGGCAAACTTTCTTTTACACAGTGTTTTATTTTTGAGGTAGAGGCAGAAGTGAGCAAATGAAATGATAGAGAAATCCTAGAGAAGAGAAAGTTAAGTCAGGGACAATGGCACATAGTTGTAATGTTGTAATGATAGTTGCAGGATCTTGGCACAGAAGGATGTGCCTGTGTTGAAATGCAGTTTTCACAGAATGATATCCATAGATTGGAATCTAGAGGGCTGTGCAACCCAACAGTTAGGAGTTCCCAAAGGCAGGTTACTTAATCTAAGATTCAAGAGACCCAGGACCACCTATACCATCCAGGGTGCTTCTTGCTTTTTTTTTGTTTTGTTTTGTTTTTTTTTTTGAGACAGAGTCTTGCTCTGTCATTGCAGGCTGGAGTGCAGTGGCATGATCATGGCCCACTGCACCTCAACTTTCCTAGCTCCATCGATTTTCCCTGATCAGCCTCTTGAGTAGCTGGGACTGTAGGCATATGTTGCCACACCTTTTTTTTTTAATTGAGATGGGGTCCCCCTAAGTTGCTAAGGCTGGTCTCAAATTCCTGGTCTCACATGATCCTCTGGCCTTGGCCTCCCAAAGTACAGGGATTACAGGCATGAGCCACCACACCTGGCCCAGGGTGGTTTTGAAAATACAAACCTCTGGGCCCTACTCCAGACCTGGTGAAACAGAAATCTCCTGGGGACTCGGGGAAGGGGAGAGCTATCTGCCTGTTAATCACACTGAAGTTTAAAGCCACCAGAGACCTTTGTCTTTTATACTCCAAGTGACACAGCTCAATAAATACCTGTTGAATGAATGAAGGCCTTAAGGAATCGTGGCACTCAAAGCTCCAATTATGGATATATTTTTTAGGCCATCTAATCCAAAATGCTGTCATAACGTAAGTAAAATGTGACATCCCCTAAGGGGCATTCCCAGCCAGGCTAGCGAGCAAGGGAAGCTCTCCTATCTTTTGTCCAACAGCCTCAGCAAGTTGTCCCTACCTTAACAGGCCTCATCTGCCAGTACTTAACTGCAAAAGCTGTGACAGAGGAACCAGCAAACCAGCCTCCCAATGCTGCACCCTAAAAAAAAATGGGATCAATAAAATTAAGGTATAAATAGGGCCCTAGATCTAGCATGTGAGTAAATCTGTCACCCAGCAATGATTGAAGCTGGGCAAACTTCTATAAGCCATACAGTTTTATCTGTAGGCTGAATAGCCAAGACATTAAATTTCTTCCCTAATCATTCAAACCACAGGAAAGAGAAGGCAAGAGAAATGCAATCTTGTTTTTGTATCTACATTGTGCTAAGATTATATTTGCTGATTAAAAACCCACTGCATCTTTCAACATCTGAATGGATTAACTGTAGTATATCTATGCAATGGAATGCAATAAAAACTATTGATATACACATGAATGACTCTCAAATGCATTATGCAAATTGAGAAGCCAGCTCTAAAAGATTACATGTTATACGATTGTTTTTATGACATTCAGAAAAATGCAAAACTATGGGGAGGGAGAATGGATCTGTGGACGCCTAATTAGGGTTAGGAACGGGGGACGAATTTATCTGCAAAGGAGTAGCACAAAGGAATTTTTTGAGATGATGAAATGATCCCGCATTCTGATTAAGATGGTAGTTACATGACTATATGTATATGTTAAAACTCAGAACTTTATACCAAAAGAGTGAATTTGCTGTATGCAAATTATATTTTAAAAGAACCCACTGCATTTACCATTCACAATGTAAGTTATTAGGTCTCTGAGGGCCCCAAGAGACTTTTCTTCTGTTTATCAGTGTGGGGAATGCAGGAAAAAGTTATCTTGAGGCATAAGTGTGAAAGTGAGGAATCACTGCTATGCCACGTGGTCTATGCTAAGTACTCTATACCTGGCGCCAAATGTAGCATGTTATAAACTGGAAACTGTTTTGTAGAAAATTCCTTTATTATAGTGCAAATTACTTTCAGCAGTGACATAATGTAACAACACATTTAGCAACATTTTACACCACACAGTAAATAAGAAAGTGTTTCTTTGAAAATATGTCATCATAGGAACATTATTTCTACATTAATGCCAGAAAATGCCAAGGCCGTTTATCTCAAGGCAAACAGGGCTCCCTCCTTCCTTTTGGGTATTTTCTTTTTAACACAAATGAAATGACTTGCCATTTTAACAAATCCTCAATTCTAAAAGTGATCTCTCAGGGGGCTTTGAACTAAGGTCGGCAAGATTTGAAATGGGGCTTCAAAATTTTAAATAATAATTTTAAAATACTTCTGGAATAGCCCAAAAAGTAGAAGTCACTTCTATTAAGTTTTAAGTAGATATACACACTCACTCCAATTTTACTGTAGAAATGGACAGATTGTCTAAAGCCTGCTTTCTATTCCCCCAGAGCCTGATTGTTATTTATACTCCTTGGTTTTGGTTATTGCAGAACTAGGGCTCTGGTCAGAAATAACACCTTACATACCCGAATACTTTCCTGTGGAAGCTTTACATTGCATTTTCCATCCTGAAATTCTCACCTTAGACCTTACAGGCCCAGGAGAGGGTGTGAATATTGTTTTCAGTTTACAGCTAAAGCCCCTTACTAATTTGGGCTATACCTGAATCAAATCATCACATCATTTAGATTAATCCCAATAGGCTTATCCAAGCGGTTCCCACTAACCTCACAGAGAAACAAACAGTTAACATTGTATTTTCACACTAAGCTGCCTAAGGGCTTGGCTGCTAATGAGTTAGCTGATAGGTAGACAGAATAAGCGTGTCAATTCCAATCAGTACACGCCCTGCTCCTCTAGTTTCTGCTGAATTATGCAGTGGGTGGGAATGGTTGGCCACTCAAAACAGTCTTCCTATGGGGCTCTTCCACCATAAGTTGGATCAAAACTCCACAAATGTATTTCAAGGTGCCCTTTAAGTCTCTCAAATTTAGGGACTTTTAAGTGACAAGCCATGAGAAGTTAATCACAGGCTTGAAAATACCTGGAACCACAGAACAGCCCCCACGGAACAGGCTGAATATGGTTAAATAAGTTGGCTGGTACATAAAGCTTTTCAATGTACAGCCAGTCTTGTTGGATACAGTGTCTTCTTATATAATACAATGGAACTGTGCTAAACAGTTTCAAAGTTGAGAAGAATCCAAATGTATCACCTATAAAAAATTCATAATTTTAGTTTATTTTAGACTTTGGTACTGAAACACTGTCTACATTCTTGACACTTGAAAATGACATGGTCACTTCAGTGCCTCTGCATGTTGTGTAAAAAAAAAAAAAAAACTCAAAAAAGGAAAGCAGGACAAGGATGTGTCATTACAAGACACAGTATGCTGTACAAACAAAACCTAAATTATATATAAATACACCCCCACCCCAGAACCCTGTCTTCCCTCACTACCTGATCAAAGCAATGCCAAGGGTCCCTCCCTCCAGGGCCAATGTAGCTTTTAAAGTCCAGAACCCAGGACTTTAAGCATCCCTTGCCTTGCGGTGACGTTTACAGTACTGCAACCTCCTGTTGGAGTCACCTGTTTGATCAGTTCCGTAAGTGCAGGGTAACACCTACAGCTTAATTGGAAGCATTCACTCTACTGGCTGGATTCAAAGACCTGGAGTCCTGGGAGTTAACCTTTCAGATAAACTAACTGGATCATTTCCTAATCTGGATCCTATCTAATCCTACTATCTCCTCAGAGCCAACACAGTAGGAAGCATCTTCTACTCTGAAGCTTCCAAAGGCATTACTTAGGGATATTGGTGAGGGTCACATAAGAAAAGTTATACAATGAGCTAACAGCTTAAGTTGATATAAATTACTTCCAAGTAAGTTATTCAGGGCCGTTTGCTTCTGCTTTACACTGCATTCCACAGTCATTTTCATATTATTCTTTTAAAAGTTTATACTATAGTCACTTTAAAAATTGTCTAAGCAATCACCTCTTTGTGTTTTTGATTAATAACAACTTAATGAGCTATTATATAAATCAAGAGAGAAATAATTAGTCTTAAGGAAGCCAATAATGTGCTAATTCCCAGTAAGGAGAAAAAGCAATGTAAATAGAATTTTACATAACCAACAATAACTTGGAAAGCAGTTTTATCAAAATGGTTTTGCAAAGGTTTCCCAAAAGCACTTACAGCAGTTTATATCAAGAGATCCTAAGTTTAGGGGTATGGAGAATCTCAATTCTTTAAAGCAGAAATTCACCTGTTTCATAATTGTAATATGTAATTTTCTCCCCTTGGACCTAAGATATTTATACATTCAAAAGTTTACAACTTGCTGTTCTTGAGACATTGTTCATTCTTTAATACATACATTGAGTATAAATAAATAACTACAAGAAAGCTTCAACAATCTGAATTAACATTATGCTGTGCAAAACAAAAACAAAAACAAAAACAAAAAACAAAAAAAAAGTCAAACCTTGAACAACCTACATTCTATGTAAATACCCTGACTAAAATATTGGTTGTGCTACACAATTCCACTTTAGTGCAGAAATGCATTGATTTCACTGTACCGTTGTTGTTGGCTTTTTAAGTGTCTTTAGCACTTCTGTTTCTAAGCATTGCCTTGCTTTGAAAAGATGAATAATTTGCTACCAAATCACAAATCATCACAAATCCATTTTAGTTTGGTCTGAATAAAATCCAGCATAAATGTATTATTTTATTCTGGGTATAATGGCTCGGTGTCTTTGTCCCAACAGCTTTCTTCTTAAGGGCAAACCACCCTTAAGTGAAACTTGCCATTTGTTTTTGTTTTCTTTTTAAGTCTCCAGATCTTGCTAGGACACTTCTTCCAGACCAACAGTCAGATAGTTGTGGCACGTGATCCTATTTGAAATAGAGGTGGTTTAAATCAGCCAAGCTTGGTGATCTGGAGGTCTCCATTTATCTTTATGGTGTCAATTGCAGATAACGTTTGAATGCGATGGTAAAAATCAAAAAGTTGGTGTCCATCCACAAACACTCGGAAACGTGGGTGCTCACAAAGAATTTCCACCTGGAAGAAACAAAATAATAATCCACAATTTCAATGAACGCTACTGGGGAAAACAAACAATACTTCATTTTAGAGAAAGAAAGGCAGTATCTTCAGTGGTTCACAAACATCAGAATGCATTGAGACCTGCAGAGGGCTTGTTAGAACACAGATTGTTGGGCTCTACCTCCAAAATTTCTGATTCCTGTGTAGAATGTAAGTGTAAAAGCTTTTTCCTCAAGTAATTTACCATAAAGTTCAATTACTGGTAGTGTGCTATGATGGGTTTATTAAAAGCATTGGCATTCACCATGTAAGGAGGCTCCATATGTGATACTAGTCACATTTATTTTATATTACTAAATTTTATCACCAAGAAGGGCCTATTTCACTTCAGTTTTGCTGTTGGGAGCATTATATTCCTCCTGGCAGTCAGAAGCTGTGGTTACTCACATTCATGAGCTATGCATTAAGGTTCATCACTAAGAAACTATCCTAGCCAAGAGGAGCCCAAGGGGACATCACCATTCTAGAGAAGGGGATGAGGAGAGATAATGGGTCAAGGGTGCCTTCCAGAGACTATAACTAGAAGTGCAACTATCTCAATTCTACCACCAATGCAAAAATCATGGATTCTTATTTTCCCCAGAATGTAAGAAGAGAAGTGAAAGAATTACTTCTTCATGAGGCACTTGAAAATTTCTAGATGAAGGGTAACCAGTTAAGTGTAGTTGTGTTTTATTGGGCTCACATGTAACATGGAGCTTTTAACTGAGTTGTCATTATTGTGATGTAATGTTAAGGTGTAATGACAATTCATCACTAGGTCTGACCCCTTTTTAACACCATTACTACTTGCATTTCCCTTTATTTTTTTTTTTTTTGACAGAGCCTTGCTCTGTCACCCAGGCTGGAGTGCAGTGATGCACACATAGCTCACTGCAGCCTTGAATTCCTGGGCTCAAGCAATCCTCCCGTCTCAGCCTCCCAAGTAGCTAGGACTACAGGTGTGTGACACCATGGCAGGCTAATTTTTTTTTTTTTAAAGGCAGGGTTTTTGCTGTGTTTCCTAGGCTGGTCTTGAACTCCTTTGCTCAAGCAATCCTCTTGCCTCAGCCTCCCAAAGTGGTGGGATTATAGGCACAAGCCACTGTGCCACTACCTGCATCTCTTATTTGGCATTGCCTTTCATAGAGGAAGGGGCTGCTAATGCTGCTTGATTGGATGAAAAGTTTGGATTGTGCTTCCTGCCCAGAAGATAGTGGGGAGCAAATCTTTATTCATCCAGCCCCAAGGGAAGGAATTTGTCAGCCACACAGCCTGTAACCATGAAATAGACTGAGGCTAATTAATCCAGAGGGGGAAACAAGGACACGAACATGGCCTCATTAGCAAAGGGAACAAGAGAAAATGAAATGATCATCATCATATTCTTTAAAATGTCATACAAATAAAAGAGCTACTTATTAGCTCTCAACCTTATTAATATTAATATTTAATAAGTGGGTACTTAGTATTGATTAATCAATCAGATATTTGGGGGTAGGTATCTACTATATGTTGGGTACTACATAGAAAAGTTACTTATTCTTAACAATTTGGACATGTAAATATGGGTCTATTTAAATGTATGACCTGAATAGAACTAAGAAGATACTATGGCAAGTGTTAATTTATATCAGCAAACAGAGCTCTTTTGATCTTTTTTTTTCACCATTGGGTGACAAATTTCCTGGACATGCAGAAATTCTGGCTGCTTCAAGTGTTCTTGGCACACACTAGGTAAGTCGAACATTATCAGCCTGCCAGTGGCTGGAGCCGAGGCACTCGAGGTACTCACCCTGAATGGCTGGTCTGGAATGAATGGAAAGTAAGGGATTGCTGACTGTTCTTCACCCCTCTCCCCAGATATACAAGAATTTCTGAGTAGCTGCCGATCTGTGAACACAGCTTTGAGTTCGATTGCCACATCGGCAGGAGGGTCTTCTGAGTCCCCACAGGTCAAGCTGATTGCAAAGCTGAAAAGAAAATCATCCCACTGATTAAGGGTTGGATATAAAAACATTTCAAAATGACCCAAGTGCTTATATTTCTTCTTCCTCCTCTGGGTTTGTCCATTTTTAAGAGGCCACTACTCTTCAAGAGAGGTTAGATTATGGAGAAGTAAGTCAAACCAGCTTATTTTGTTACCTAAAGCAAGCTCTGGTGAAAACTTTGGTGTTGAAAATGACTAAAATTAGAGAATTCCACTTCGGAATTCTCAAAAACAGCCACAGAAATTGACCAGGGGAAATAATGTTAAGTTGGGTTCTTATTCATCTTGATAGTTCTTGCTCCTGGCACCATGTTTCAAAACCATTAAAAAAAAAAAAAAAAATCCTCTGGCCTCCCTAAGGGTCAAAGAGAAAATGTGGGCCTATATTTATAATCTCTGATATAAATAGCTGTCTGGAGAAATGATGGCTGGGATTCATACATATTCGTTTCATGGGAACATGGTACTTTCTTGGCACTGGCAACTAGCAACACTGTCCACAAGGAGAGGAAGAGGAGTGCTAAACCACAACAGAAGTGGGCAGGGCTCAGCCACAGCCTGATAGTTCTGTCCTGACAAAGACTCTGCCTTACCTCTCTGGGTTGAGGTCTACGATGCCCATCACTAACACCTTCTTGCCTGGTCTCATGCCACCTTTAATGTGCCCACAAAATGGAACTATCTGAAAAGGGTGGGAGAAGAAAAATGAATTTTACAGCCTGTTAGGGAAAAGCCAAGACCTCAGACCCTGAAGGCCTGACCCACTGGAAAATGCAATAAACAAATGAATAAAATTTTAAAAAGCAATGAGAAAGGAGGAAGGTACAGGCAGAGACACAGAGCAAAATCATTTACCAGTCGTGGGAAGTACACGTCCGCTTGAACTGGAGAGCTCAAAGAGTTGTTTAAATGGCCATCATCTAGTTTCTAAAAATAGAAGTACACAGATTGGCTTTCCATGGGCTCTTTTTTGGGGGGCTGGAGGAAGAACCCACACAGATGTGGTGGAATCCAGCAGCCTTCCACATGCACACAGTGTCTGCAGATGATGCCTCTTCACCGTCTCTTAGATAATCTCATCACCCCCGAACAAAACCCATCCTTTCCACCCGGTAGTTAAGCCTCTGAAGATCCGCAGACCCTTCAGATCCAGATCAAAATCAAGGTCGAGGTCCACCGAAGAGCCAGAGCCCCACGCCGGAGGAGGGCAGGCCCCTCTCCAACCGTAAACGCTTCTGGAAGCGCGGTGGGCCAGGCCTGTCCTTCGGGACGTGACTGAAGTGCAGCGGCCGTGCTCAACTTCTCTCGGGAGCCCCGGGCGCCGACCCATTTCCAAGGGGGAATCCCCGGTACGTCGGGGGCGGTGGCGGGGCGCGCGCCCCGGACACACTCACCCACGCGCACACCTGGCTGGCGGTTGCACGGCACAGAGGGGGCTGTCGGGCGTCCCTACCCGCCATCCTCCCCAAACTCCCTCCCCAGCCCAGAGCCCCGCAGCCCGGGAGCCTCTCCAGCCCCTAACACCGGCCGCGCGCAGCCAGCGGCTGCTAACAGGTACCGGGCGCCTTCCCACGCGCCGGGCGCCGGCCGGGCCTGCGGCTGCTCAGCACCCCAGCACTGCTGGAGCAGGCGGCGGCGGAGTGCGGGACGGCGGGGAGGGGCGCCTCGCGCGCGCCCTGCCACACTCACCACCACGGCATCGCTGTCGGCCACTGATCCCGCCATCTTCTTGCCCGGCGCGGCGGGGTACGTGGGACGCGGCGCGCGGGCGGGGATCCCGGGGCTGTCCTGCGCGGGGCGGGGGCGGGGGCGCGGGTCCGAGCTGGCGGCGGGCGCGCGCACACACGAGGGGGCGCGCGCGCGCGCGCCCGGGGCCCGGCGCCGACCTGGCAGGCAGAGCCTGGGAGGAGGGGAGGGGAGGGAGGCAGCGCGAGCTGGGAGGGCGAAGGTGCTTGCCGCGGCCCAGAACGGCCCCGGACCCGGGCCGACGGGGCTGCTTGCTGCCGCTGCCGCTGCCGCTGCCCGACCAAGAAAAGTGGCGAGGGCCGTGCCGCGTCGGCCCTGGGCAGCATTTAAAGGCCTCCGGGGCCCGGCTCGGGAACCGGGAACAGGGCGGGGACCCGGCGGGGCTGCCGCGGCTTGCTCAGCGGGCCCTGCCCCTCGGCCATTGGACGGTGGCGGAGGCCGGGGCGGGAGGGACGGGCCTGTCCGGGTCCGGGAGGGCGGGGGCCCTGTCGGCTCTCACCGGCCAGAGGGTGGGCAGGGCCGGGGCTGGAGAAGTGAGGGCCCGAGCCGGTCAGGTGACAGGTGCTCGTGCCACCCGCGCCCCTCCCTCCAGCCTCCTTCCTCCTGCCACGTCCTGGGCGCTGGTGGGGCGATGGGAGGCGAGGTCGAGGGAAGATTGGGTGCTGGGGGTGGTATTCCAGAGTGGGAGACTTGGCAGGATTTCTTTCAGAGAATTCCAACAAAATCGGGGGAAGGATTCATTCTGCTCTCTAGGGCAGAAAGAGAATGGAAGGTCTGAAGGCTTGCAGAAATAAATGTGTGACCTGAAAGAACGAAGCAGAGAGGACTCAAGGTAGGGACCTTTCTATCCCAGGAGGCTAGATACAGAAAGGTCGCTCTTCCCTGTGGAAGGACAGGCAGGTCTAGGGGTCCCTGGACTCTCTCGAGCAGGAGTCAAAGCCTTACCAAATCAAAGTGGGCGCAGTCACTGTCCTCAGAGAGCCTCCATTGAGCCCTGTTTTTAACAAGTCACTTGCCCAGTCTGGGGTAGTCAGCTTCTCACTGAAAATCTCCTCATACCCTTTGTGGAGTACTTCCCAGGGGATACACACCTCTTTTATTCAAGCCAGAAATTCCTTTATGGCATTTCCACACTAGGACGATTATGTAACTTCTCAGATAAAGCTGTATCAACATATCCTCTATTAGGTGACATCCTTGGCTGAAACATTCCATTGCATGAATCACCGGGGCGTTCTATGCTAATAAGCAGGGAGCATGTGTGACCTACTGCAGTCCCAGAGGGCCCCTCAGAGGCTCCTTTTTTTTTTTTTTTTTTTTTTTTTAAATTGAGACGGAGTCTCCCTCTGTGGCCCAGGCTGGAGTGCAGTGGCGCGATCTCAGCTCACTGCAACCTTCGCCGCCCGGGGAGGCTTCTTTCTTCTAGTCACTGCAATTGGCTGTGTGGCCTAGAACATCAATGTGGCTTTTGTGTCTTAGTTTTCCCTTTATGGACCAGAGCTAATGATGGTAATCTCAGTTGAGCAGGGAGAATTACCTGCACACGCCTGTAAGCCTCACTCATATCCTCTGGAAGTGGTTCTTGAACTAGATAGAGGCTAAAGCGCAGTACGCTTGTGGCTGCAGCACACTTTGTTTACCAGTCTTAGCTCAAAATCACACTTTATTACTTTAAAATGTTAGGCACTTATAGGAAATGATTGACATTTGAAAGCATACTTTAGTATGTATCAATTTCTGAGAGTCTGGTATAGAGAAGAAGCATTAAAGTGCAGTAGTTCTTTATCATTAACTGAGTGACACAATAAGGGTGACACTACATGTGATGGTGGTTAAAGAGCCGGTGTCTCGCGTTCAAATCCTGGCTCTACTATTCACTAGCTGTGTGATCTTGGAAAAATTACTAAACTTCTCTGTGCCTTAGTTTCTTCATCTGTGACTCAGAGATGACAATGATGATAATAATGCCTATCTCAGGTTATTGGGAAGATTAAGTAAATACCTTCCTTAAAACAGTATTGGGGACATAGTAAGCACTTATTATACCAAAATACTGAGTGCCTGCTGTATACCAGGCACTGGGGATCCAGCAGGCTACTTTTTTGCTGAGCTTACATTCTAGTGGGCAAAGGAAATCAATAAACAAAATATGTCGGGTGACAAAAGTGTTAGGAAAAAGTAATAAGGCCAGGTGCGGTGGCTCATGCCTATAATCCCAGCAATATAGGAGGCTGAGGCAAGAGGATCACTTGAGGCCAAGAGTTTGAGACAGGCCTGGGCAACACAGAGAGACTCTGTCTCTACAAAAATAAAAAAAAAAATTAGCTGGGTGTGGTGGTGTGCACCTGTAGTCCCAGCTACTTGGGAGGCTGAGGTGGGAGGATCACTTGAAGCCAGGAGGTCAAGGCTGCAGTGAGCTGTGATCTCACCACTCTACTGCAGCTTGGGTGACAGAGTGAGAACCTGTCTCAATAATAATAAAAATAATTAAAAAGCCAGTAGAGAGAGAGATAGGAGGTAGGGTGATGCTATTTATACAGGATGGTCAGGGAAGCCACCTCTGGTAAAGTGACATTTGAGAAGACCCCTGAAGGAGGGGGGTGAGTCATGTGGACATCTGGAGGAAGAGTTTGCTGGCACAGGGAACTGCAAGGGCAAAGTCCCCAAGTACTGGGGCTGGGGGCAGTGACTGAGGAGATGTGTAGCTAGAAATGGATAGCCCTTCTACACTGTGGTTGAGGATTGGCTTTTACATGGGGAAATAGGAAGATATTAAAAGTTTCTGAGCAAAGGAGGGACATAGTTTGCCTTCTATTGTAGATTCATCCACATGCTGCTGTATGGAGTGGCCTTTGGAGAGAGGGTGGATGATAGGAGGGAGGGTAAAAATGGGACCTAGGAGATTCCTATAGCATTCCAAACAAGACGTGATGGTGGCCTTGACATGGTGGAAGTGGTGAAGATGTGAGAAGCCCTGGGCCCTTGATAAGTCCCAGCTGTTATCCTGCAGCTTGGAGAGTTCATATGGTCTTCTGAGCCTCAGTTTCCTCACTTGCAGAATTAAGGGGCAGAACTCATTCATCATTCCCTCTTAGCTCTTAGAAAGCTCTGGTTCATGAAAAGCTGTGTAAATACTATCTAAATTGAAATGGGTTTGAGAGTAGGTGCTGCTGAATGAAAATAATCTTGGGTTGAATCTTTTGATAAGTGCTTTTGTAGGGCGAAGAATAACCCTTTGATTTGTTTTGTAAGTGGAGTTTAAGATATTTGGATTGCTGGAGATGAGTTTCTTACATTTTAGGAATGTAAAGAATAGGAAGGTACTAAACGTGCTCAGAATGTTTTATCATGGAAAATTGCCTTTTATTCCAAAAGTGCTTGATTCCTTCTCAGTCTATAGAATGGTTTATTTTGAATATGAAGAGCAGAGAGAAAGCCTGAATGAGTTTTTTTGCTGTAACTAAAAGTTGAGCAGGGTCAAACTATCTCTTATGGGGAAAAGCCATTAGCAAACTAATGAATTATAGAGCTTAAAAAATTCTTTTTTGAGTTGTATAGCAAAGAATAGGCAAAATTTGCTCCATGCTTTGATTATAGGTATTTGTGTGTAAAAACATTAACCAAATTGGGACCCATTTATGAAATGCAGTAGTTAAATTTCAAGATGAACCATGTTACCACTGGAAACTACTAAAAACGTTAAAGAAGTGGGGAAGGCAGTCAAACAGATTATTAGCTTTGAAAAAAAGTACAAACAAATCTTTGAAGATGGGCTTTGCTAAATGATTTTTCCAGAAGAAAATAGTAGATTACTTCCTTTTTACCTTAACATTTTATATGTTTTGTTCAAATGTATGCACATGGAATTTCTAATATTGGGAGGAAGAATAAATATTGATGACAATTCAGCAACTATTTTATCAGTATTGCTACATGCCGTGGTACTATGGAGATAGGTGAAAATGCATGAGTCTCATCCTCAGGAAACTTACCGTCTACTCTGGGACATAATGGCAGGATGTATTAGTGGGTAAGATAATAAAGGCCTCAGACCCACAGCCTGAGCACTGATGTGGGGAGATTCACTCCCATTTGGAGGATTAAGGCCACTTTCTGAAGGAGGTGGCATATCCCTAAGCATATGCATAGCAGCAACTGCTGCAGAACTACAACAACAAGTCTTCGAAGACCACACTGCAGCTCTGTTTGTGGCCTGAATTCTAATCCCACTCTTCTCTCTGGTGTGGCAACCAGCTGAACTGAACCCCTGCTCCCAGAGGCTGCCTTTCGTCTGTGCCTTGGTCCAGAGAGGCACGTGCCTCCATCCCTTCCACCATGCCTGCCATCTGAGGCCTCCTATGGGCCATGATCCCAAGGCCCAACTTGAACTTACAGACCACTCATTTTCTATCGGTGTGTATATACACATTTTCTAAAGCAGGGTTTCTCCTCACAGTAGTGACATTTTAGGCTAGGAAACCCTTTTTTGTGGGGGGCTGTCTGATGTGTTAGAAGACGTTGAGCACTAGATGCAAATAGCACTTCCCCCTCCTAGTGTGACAACCAAAAATGTCTTTAGATATTGACAAATGCCCCTCTTGGAAGGGAAGGCACAAATTGTCCCCAGTTGAGGCTCAGGATACACTACCCCAAAATGTAACTGTAGGAGGCTAGAATATGGCACCCCAAAATATACTTCTTTGGCATATTTTGAGCTGATTATTCTAAGAAACTGCAGCTGGAAAAGCTGTCCTTTTGTAAAAGAAATGTATATCTATAAAGGAAATCTAATACAGTATCTGCATCATGAAGAGGGCTGCTCCAGACAACTTTTATTTTCTGGGTGACTTTATCTACATAACAAGATGACCTTTATTCACCATACGTTCGTACTTTCACCCTCCCACAACTTACGTTGCCACCATCCTCTTGAAGCCCTAAGCCCTATTCCTTTCTGTAGCTCAGGATACTATATGAGCTCCAACCATCTGACCCTTTGGAGTCTCATAATGTGTGGGACTCCCGTGTGTATGTATGTAATTAAAATGTTTTCCTCCTGTTAACCTGTCTTATGTCAAATTAATTCATAGTCCAGCCAAGGAACCTACAAGGGTAGAGGGAAGCCAGTTTTCACCCTGTAACAACCAATGATCTAGAAGGTTCCTTAAGATTCCTATTATCCATATTTATGTATATGATATGAAATTTTTTCCAGTCAAATCTAGATTTGATACATGCACATCAGAAACACCTTCCTTTTTATTTGGCAAGTCATTGCTTCCTGATTACCTAGGAGCACTTTGCAAATGATTCCACAAAGAACCTCTAAACTGAAGGATGACCCATGAGGGACCCTGTGGGTGTAGCTGCCAGATCAAAATGTCTTTGTAATATTGAGAGATTTGTGTGCATTGTGCATTCTGTTCCATAATATTGCCATGTTTATTTTGATGTGGACATAATGTGCTCCCCACGCCTTTACCTATAGTACAGCATCCCAAATGTTTATCTTGTTTACCCTGCAGCTTTGACTCCCTCCTCACCCCAGCTCTCAAAGGATGGTGGTATTCCACTTTGAGGAATAAGACACTGCACAGTGTTACAGGTCCATTCAAGCTTTCAGTTCTGCATAATTGCTTTTTCAGGCCAGTCCGCTCATGATCAATATTCATGTAGGCAGCAAAATACACAAACTCAGCATCCTTTTGTTTACCTACTTAGGTAGGAGGGCAAACATTTATCAGGCTGTATTTCTATATTTCACAATGTGATTATGGTTCTTAATTATTTTAGGAACTATGGTCATGGTTATCAAATAATTATTTTAGACACACACAAATGTGTGTTGTACCAAAGTAATTAGGGGACAGCCATAAAACTTGGCAGTCAATGCCAGTTCCAACATTTCACTTATTTTTGGTTTATTTATGAGGAGACTAGAATGAGCCTTCTGCTTGTGTTTTAATTACTTAGTGCAGAAAGGATTGATTTCAGAAAATCTCCAGCTTAAGAAGAGAATAATGAACGCATTCCCAGGAGGAGCTCAAGGCTTCAAAGGTATGCTCTGCTTCAAGCCCCGGGGAATGTCACCGTGGACCCTTTACGTGTCTGAGAAGTCCTCCCTAGAACAGAAAGCCTGGCCAATGGAGAAGTGGAATGCGCGCTGTCCAGGGAAACAGAACCCTTGCTTCCAGCATTTGGAACTGACAGTGTGAATGAGATATTTTAACACTCTTTCCAGTGGAGCTTTTTGTGTATAAAGAGTCAACCATGTGCTTCTGAGCCTTCTCTCCAGCCTCACCTTTGGCAATTCCAACAGGCGGGTCTGTGGTCAGCCAATCTTTTACCCATCAGGAATGTGACAGGCCTGTGTGGCGGTGCTCCAGGCCTAATTATGCTCTCTCATTATGCTTGTCATTTCTGTTTTCATTTGCTCGTTTATAGTTCTCCTCTTTACCGCCTCTGTGATTTTATTTTCTTGTTGTCAAGTGGCATAAAGGGCTTCTTAGTTTTGTAGTTTCATGGAAACTTGCCTGGCTTGGCTGGGTGGAAGAAGACCAAGATTTGGATTTAGCAGTCATTTGGAAATCCTGACTAATGGGGAGGAAAACCCAGGAGGCATGTTGCCAGGTGGTCATTTGATTTTTGGAGGAAACATATTTGGATGACACAGATTTCTGGATTTTTTCAAAGGTGAACTACACAGAGTATGGGTTAACAGCACAGCTTCTGAGCAAACCACCAACCAGAAGAGACCTGGGAATTTAAACCTGGCATCCAAATTTGATTGCCCAAGGTGACTGAGAGAAAGCATACTTCATTTATTTATTCAAGAACAATTTATTGAGCTATGCTCTGTTTTAGTTGCCATTATGATAATTTTTAGTTTTTTTAAAAGAGCAAAAACGACCACATGCATTACTTGCACTTAAAATACTTGCCCTCCTCTTAGATACATATTTCCTAAGGATATCTCTGCTAGCCTCATATCATAGATTCCTCCCCTGCACAATGCCTCTTCCATGTGACATATTCAGAGTGGATGTAGGAGCTCCCTTGCCAACATGGCAACAGAGCCCAGAAAATCAAAATGAAATGCTTTCAATTCAGGGGCTCGTTGCATCCCACCTCCATTTAGGTAATATGATTTCCATCTAAATCCAGTTTTTCTGGTACATGTTGATTTCAGGCCTGAATTGTTCAAATGATTATCCCATAGAGAAAGATTAAGAGTTGAAGAAAATGTTTTAAACCGAAGAAGAAATTCACATTGACAGTCTACATTGATTCAACTCAGCACATTTCATTCATTCACATTATTGGCCTTTGTTGGTTCAGTGCTTCTCTGAAACCTGATAATTAGTTCAAACTGTATAAATTCAGGAGGCTTTGGGCTGGCACGACTTTTTAAAAGATTGCCGTGTGTGTGTGTGTGTGTGTGTGTGTGTGTGTGTGTGAAGGTGGGGTAAAATGGAGAGGGGAAATTTCAGCTTTTTAAATTTTAATTTTAATTGTTATGTATTATTTGCACATTTTTATGGGGGTTCATGTGATATTTTGTTACAGGCATAGAATGTGTAATGATCAAGTCAAGGTCTTTAGGGTATCCATCACCTCGAGTATTTATCATTTCTGTGTGTTGGGAACATCTCAAGTTCTCTTTTTTCGCTATTTTGAAATATAGAATACATTATTGCTAACTATAGTCACCCAACTCTACTATTGAACATTAGAACTTATTCCTTCTATCTAACTGTATGTTCGTACCTGTTAACCAATCCCTCTTCATCCCCTGCCTCCCTCACACCCTTCTCAGCCTCTGGTAACAATCCTTCTACTTTCTACCTCCATGAAATCAACTCTTTTAGCTCCCACATATGAGTGAAAATATGTGATATTTGTCATTCTGTGCCTGTCTTATTTCACTTAACATAACGATCTCCAGTTCCATTTATGTTGCTGGAAATGATATGATTCAACTGTTTTTTGTGGCCAAGTAGTATTTCATTGTGTTTATATACCACATTTTCTTTATCCATTCATCCATTGATGGACACTTAGGTTGCTTCATGTCTTTGCTATTGTGTATAGTGCAGCAATAAGCATAGGAGTGCAGGTATCTCTTTGATATACTGATTTCCTTTCCTTTGGATAAATACCTAGAAGTGGGATTACTGGATTTTATGGTAGTTCTATTTGCAGAGTTTTTTTTTTTTTTTTTTTTGAGAACTCTCCATACTGTTTTCCATAATGTCTGTACTAACTTACATTCCCACCAACAGTGTATAAGAGTTCCCTTTTCTCCAAAACCTTGCCAGCATTTGTCATTTCTTTCTTTTTAGTAATAGCTATTCTAACTGGGGTAAGATGATACCTCCTTGTGGTTTTGATTTGCATTTTCCTGATGATGAGTGATGTTGAACATTTTTTCATATACCTGTTGGCCATTCATATGTCTTCTTTTGAGAAATGTCTATTCATGTCCTTTGCCCACTTTTTAATGGGATTTGTATTTTTTGTTTGTTTATTTTATTTTGTTTTGTTTTGTTTTTGCTGAGGTTTCAGCTTTTCCTAAAAGCCAATCCTCATTTTAATTACCAGGAATAAACAAAAGTAACTTGGGGAGAGAACACAAAGCAGCTGTCTGGGCTTGATTTTGATCCCATCAGTGTAATGCCAGGGAAAACTCCATCGTGAGGAAGAGAAGAACCTCATATCTTTTTTCTTTTTTTGAGATGACTCAGGCAGAGATACAAATATTAAATTTCTACCCTGTGGTGCTTTCTCACTTTCTCTGCTAACAGGTGTTCTCCTTGACAGTAAGGTGGAATCTTCCCACATGCAACAGATCCCAGCCAGTTCTGCCCACCTAGTGCATCTATCACTTAATAATACAAAATGGCTTGTTTCCATAGTAACCCGCTCTTCTCACCTGGACAGGTTGGCCCTTGTCATTCCTGGCCCTTCAGACACCTCCCCACTCCTTCCAGTAGATCTGGGCTTCCTCCATCCTCCTGAGCAGGTTCTTCCTCTATAGCCTGTCTTTTGTAGGCTAGATTTACTGAGTAGATCCTCACCCAGCCTGAAAGAGAAAATTAAGATCCAATAAACACATACCATTTCTATATGATCCTTCTTTGGAAGCAGGAGTAGGTAAGTTCCTGTCTTTCAGGAGGCCACTGTGCCTCCTTTTCTCTTTTAGTTATTGTTGACTGACTGGTGCTATAGCGAGGACGGACAGAAAAATGAGTGTCATCTCATTTCAAGCCAAGGTGATATAGCTAACAATTATTCTGGATAAGTTAAAACTAAGGGTTGGCACTAGATGATTTATATAGATTATCCCATGCCAGGTGATATATTAATAGAAATGAGAAGGAATAAGCTTCAGAGAAAAGAGGATGGGCAGAATTGCTGATTATGAGCAGGACGTGTGTTTTATCAGGTCTAACAATGATTTTAGTCCACAATGTTGTTTATTCTCAATGTTCTAATAGAAGATCATAAAACAGCCACAGGCTCACCCCAAAGCCATTAGTAATTATTACACAATGCTAAAATAGAGCATCACCCAGGAATCAGAGAGTATCTACACCTTATAGTAAGTAAATTGTAATTCAGTTTCCTTCTGCAATATTGAGCTTGTGTTTGGTCAATGTGGTCTTTTTTTCTTTTTCTTTTGAGACGGAGTCTTGCTCTGTTACCCAGGCTGGAATGCAGTGCACAATCTTGGCTCACTGCAACCTCCATTTCCCTGGCTCAAGCGATTCTTCTGCCTCAGCCTCTGGGATTGGGCTGGGACTACAGTCATGTGCCACCACGCCTGGTTAATTTTTGTATTTTTTTAGTAAAGATGGAGTTTCACCATGTTGACCAGGCTGGTCTCGAACTCCTGACCTCAAGTGATCTGCCTGCCTTGGCCTTCCAGAGTGCTGGGATTATAGGCATGAGCCACTGCGCCCAGGCAGCATGGTCTTTTAAAAACATAAATTGTGTAATGTCAACCCTCCTTAAAATCACTTGTTGGATTCTCTTGGTATTTAGAATGAAATCCCGAATTCCTTTTCCATGACCTTCAAGGCCCTGTAGGAGCTGGACCTGCCTCTCCAACTTTACCTGGGGGCCATGCTCTCTCCTGCTCCCCACTCTTGAGTGAAAACTGGCCTCCCTGGTGTTCTTCCAGCAGCCAAGCGTGCTCATGCTTTAGGGCCTTTGCATTTGCTGTTCCCCCTACCTGGAATGTGCTTCCCCAAACACTTGTCAGGTTCTTCATCCTTAAATCCTTAGCTCAGATGTCACCTCCTGGGAGAAGCCTTCCCTAATGCAGCCCTAACCAGGGCCTTTTACTGCATCCTCATCTGCACAGTATTTATCTCCATCTCCAGTTGTCTTGTTTATTACCTGGTGTGGCCTTTCCACCCCAGAAGGTAAGATCCCTGAGCACAGAATCTTGTCTTTTTCATGACTGTGAGAATTAGGCATGAAGATTTGTTGTTTGAATGAATGAGTGAATAGATGAGTTGATGAATAATGCATGGCCACAGATCTGCAGATGATATGTAACCTCATAGCTGTTGAGGACTCCAGGGTCCCAAGGCTGGAATTCACTTACTGACCTCCTGTTTCACGGTCTCAGAACAATTCCCCTTAGGTGTCCTTCCCACCATCGAGAAGGCTCAAGTCTAGACAGCATATGGATTTTATGTAAGTTCATGTTAAATATTAGCCAAAATTGTTGAACCTAAATTTAAAATGTCAGAAAATACCCTTGTAAGCAATAAAAAATGGAATTTGTAAGGTCAAGCACAGAAAAGATAATAGTGAAAAAAATCCTAAAGCACAAACATAGCAATATAATGTCTATATTAGTGGTATTATTGTTTCCTCATCTTGATTAGGTCAACTCTCAGGCTCTTTAGAGTAACCTAATATCCCTAATGCCAAACATTAACTCTGACATCTTCTGTAAGAGGGATGAGCAATGGAAGTGCTACCTTTTCCAGATTACTTACTTAATTTTATTTAACAAGCACTGTGTAGTGTTCACTATGTGCTAGGTACTTTTCTAAGTACTTGACAAATACCGCCACAGATTGGGTTCTCTGGAAGCAGTAGTTGAAACAGAGTTCAGGGTGTGAGATGCTTATTAGGGATTAACACCTTTGAAGGGAAAGCAGGAAGAAGTCGAACTGCAACGTAGGCTCAGCAAAACCTCAGCCAATCTGGCAGAGTGTCCTGCATCAGGCCCCCACCTCACTCAGTCACCGAATGTGCCCTGCCCCCCGCCCCCAGCAAGGAAGAGCACAGCTTGAGGCAAGGCAGCTCTTCTGCAGCTGAGCCAAACTGGAGTTGCTGAGAGCTAGGGGGAGGGTGTCTGCTGACCATAGTCCCTGCAATTGAGCAGTGAGTTCTTCCTTGAAGTGGAATGTGGGGATTGCATCTCTGTATCTGCTCAAATGTTAATTCATTTGACCCTTGTAACAACCCTATGAGGTAGGTCCTTTTATTACTCCCATTTTACAGATGAAAAAACTGACGTACAGAGAAATTAGGTAACTTCCCAAACTAGGTCAGATAGCAGAGCTGGGATTTAACCCAGGCAGTGTGGCTCTAGAATCAGAGCTGTTAACTACTCAGCTATGCTGTCTTATTACTTCGTAAAGAAGGTTAAGGGTAGCCTAATAATAATAATGACAGCAATATTGGCACTACACTTTGACGTTGTAAAGTGCACTCACATCAGTGCTTCAGTTTTTTATTTAGTTCTTTGTAAGGTGGTGTGTGCGTGTGTGTGTGTTTGCCTGATCTGGTGCATGTATTAAGAACGACATCAAAAGGTGATAATTTGGGGTTGTCTGTGGCACTTAAATATTAAATCCTGCCTGCAAAAATCTAGGAATCAGAACTAGAGGCTGAGGTGCAATGACTGGGCTTGAATTCCAGGACCAGACCGTATGTGCTGGGGTTCTTATGATGACCTGGGAAGAGGAAAGGTCCTCTTTAGTGTTTAGGACAAGAGAGTGAGTAGGTGGAAGAAAGGTTGTAAAATGTAGGGTGGGGCTGGCCACCTCTGAGCTCTGCCAGGCAAGTGAAGCGTTAGTAGAGAAAAGGACCTGAGGGAAAATTAGGAAGCACCATGAGAAAGAGGGTGAAGAAGGGAGAGGAAGGCGTTCTGCAGGCATGAGCAGTGTGGGCTGTGGGCGCTCTTCAGTAGGGTCTGTAAGACAATACAACACTGTGCATGACCAAGAGGGCGGGAGAGGGCTCAGTGTGGGTATATGGCTGTTCCTCAGAATGGCAATGTGTGGACTCAGACTGAAGTTGGGGGACAGAGGAAATCTAGAGGCAGTAGAACATTTCCCGTCACCTTTGTGGAATTATAGCTACACATACTCTTTTTTTTTTGAGACAGAGTCTTGCTCTGTTGCCCAGGCTGGAGTGCAGTGGCACGATCTCAGCTTACTGCAACCTCCACCTCCCAGGTTCAAGCGATTCTCCTGCCTCAGCCTCCCAAGTAGCTGGGATTACAGGCACGCGCCACCACGCCTGGCTAATTTTTTGTATTTTTAGTAGAGACGGGTTTCGCCATGTTGGTCAGGCTGGCCTCGAACTCCTGACTTCAGGTGATCCACCCGCCTTAGCCTCCCAAAGTGCTGGGATTACAGGCATAAGCCACCGTGCCCAGCCTAGCTACACATAATCTTTTAAAGATATTTATTTATTTATTTATTTTTGAGACAGTGTCTTGCTGTGTTCCCAGGCTGGAGCACAGTAGTTTGATTTTGGCTCAATGCAGCCTTGACCTCCTGGGTTCAAGCAATCCTCCCATCTCAGCCTCCTGAGTAGCTGGGGCTACATGCATGGGCCACCACGCATGTTACTTTTAAAATTTTCTTTATTTTTTGTAGAGATGAGGTCTCACTGTGTTGCCCAGGCTGGTCTTCAACTCCTGGACTCAAGCAATCCTCCTGCCTTGGCCTCTCAAAGTGCTAGGATTACAAGTGTAAGCCACTGCACCCGGGCTTTCAAAGATATTTTAAAATAATTTCCTACATTGTGAAATCATACTTCTTGTTCTAAAGACTGGGCTTAGGCAAGGAAGAAATCCAAGGATGGCAAATTTTATTTTGGATGATGCAGAATACACATTTCCCCCTAACTTACAATTCTATTTTTGTCTAGAAGAGTTCATGTAATAAAAGTTATTATCCTTAAGACTTTTAGCTCCAGTGGGATTAACTGGCTTCAAATTCTTTTTCCGGAGTTGGTGAAGAGTCCTCTCTGAGCCCAATAGAAGAATTCTGTTTTAATCCCTTGTTACTTTTATTTGTATATCAAGCATAGTCCAAAAGGCTGGAACAAAATCTTGGTAGTAAGCACTCTGCAAAAATAGGCAGCCGGGATACAATTCAGCAATGTGACATATAAACTTCCCAACAGACCAAATGTGTCCTCTGAGCCAGGGGGATTAAAGGATTCTACTTGGGATCTGAATGAAGGTTATTCTTGTTACTGAGCTGATTATGTCACCATCATTGACCCTTATGTTAACAGGTTCTTTCCCTTGTGACATATTCTATTCCATTCTCTTGTGGATATTTTAACATGATTTATTCATTTGCCCATTTTCGTAACACATAAAGCCATTTTAGAAACTTGCCCTATAGCCCACAGCATAACAATACTGTAAATAATTCACAAAGGAAAGCAAGTACAGAGGTGTTTAAAAAGTAATGTACACCAACTAGAAGAGAACTCATGAGGCCAACAACAGATCTTGCTTAGAGTAGATACCCAAGCTCATTTATTACACTAAGCCAAATTAAGAGAATGTGAAGAGACAGTGTATCCGGAGCATAACATATTTCTAGTACCATCCTCTGGAAAATGAGCATGGTTTCAGAGGAACACAGCTTTTCCTGGAGTAAACAGTTTGTGTTTGGGGAGGGAGTAAATAACTTATTTCTGAAATCTAGCATTTTATTGAAGAATGTTTTCTCAAACCTGACAAACCTTATGAAGGCAGAGGCAGGAATAAGTGTGGAGGGTCATTGTCTAGCTGTGGGGATGGCAGCAATGGTGGAGTGAGAGGAGTCTTGGAATCCTGCACATTCCCCACTGACCCCTTGGTGATTCTGAACTGCCTTCCTGTAGTCACTTCTCAGCTGCGCACAGTTGGTGGAACCCAGTGAAAATAAGCCATATTCCAGGGAGAACAAAAAAGGTGGAGCATATGGTAGTTCTATTGCTAGTTTTTTGAGAAACCTCCAGACCGTTCTCCATAGTGGTTGCACTAATTTACATTCTCACCGACACTGTATAAGTTCCCTTCTCTCTGCCTCCTCATCAGCATTTGTTATTTTTTTGCCTTTTTGATAATAGCCATTCCAACTGGCGTGAGATGATATCTCATTGTGGTTTTGATTTGCATTTCCCTGATCAAAATGTCACTCTATATTCCATAAATATCTACAATTATTACGTGTCAATAAAAGATAAAAGGAAAAAAGTCTATTTCTGGACTTTGAAATGCTTATATTTAATCCTCAGACACTGCATTTGGGAGCCACCTCTGCTTCCAGAACACTTGTCTCTTCCAAGAGCTGGATTCAGTATCAAAAGGTGAGCTCTTTCGTAGAATGCTATACTCAACAAAGAGTCAGGACACATTCTTATAAAAATCAAAGCATTTGACCACTAAGAGGTGAAATTGCTGGAACATAGGGTATACACATCTAATAGTTTTATACTGCTAGGTTTTTGTCCAGTGGGGCTGGACCAACTAAATTCATTTTCTACTCCCATGTGTGATGCATTTCCACTCACCTGTACCAACCTTAGTACACATTCATTTTCCCTTTCTAAAAAACAGAGACAAAAACACAATAGCCAGCTCACTAAAATTCAACCTCTAAAATATATCCGGTCATAGAGAGATCTAAAATGAATTTGATGGGCATCAATATGAACCTTCACCCTCTGCTTCTACCCTGAAATGCAGGCCACACACATACTCTTCAGCCTGATGTTGTTCTAGAATTAACTGTGCACTTCTTTCATGAGATGACATTCAAGCCACACAAAGACAGCAAGGTCAATGAGGGCTAGAAGGGAAAGTAAGCATGGCTCATAAAACCAAGAGGTACTTAAGATTTAACAAGATTAACAAGTGCTATTGAAAAGAGCTACCTGGCCTGAGTCACAGGCAGGGAGAAAGATGCCAGCTCAATTCTCCTGGCCTCACTAAAATCTTGCATGCAATTGCAATAAAGCTCTTTGGAAAGTGACAATGTCTTTAATGATTATTTCTCTTGAACCTTTGCAGAAAGAATGAGGTGTTCATTTTCACTGGCCCATTTATTTGCTGTTAACATTTCTTTCGTCTGCCTTGTTTGAGAAGGTTATGTCTGAAGCTTGCCCAGCTTCTTAAGTTCAAGTCATTTAGTACACAGTAAACTCACAGTGGACTCTTTTGCAACAATTCCCCCTGAAAAACTATAGTTTCAGTGGGATTCAGCAACAGCGAGCTAAGGGAGACAATCCTTCTACTTTTCAGGGAGTGTGCAAATGCATGAATGAGTGAAACTCACTAAATTATAGACAAAACTTGTCATTCAGATGTCTCCCAATCTTTTTGCTCTGGGCAAAAGCAGTTTTTCCAGATCAGGATATTCAGATTTTATGAGAATTGAGATTTTCAGAATACACTGTGCTTTATATTATATATGCCGAAAGTTGGCTTTAAATGCTCAATAACTAGATGATCTCAGGAATGTTGAGTAATCCCTGTATAAGCAATTTGCTTAGTGCTATATATAGAAGAAACTCTGGAAGCTATACGAGTTACATATATGCATTTCAATACAGGTGGGTAGACAGAGCACAGGTGTTTGTATAGATGCCTGATCTTTTTGGATGTGTCCATATGGAAGATACAAGTGCTCTGCCTGTCAGGGTAGGTAGCTTGGTGCTTTCATTCTGGTGATACTTCCAGCTGACTCCTTCATATTAATTCTCCCCTTCTTCCTTGCAAACAGGACCAATTTTGGGGTGGGTAGCAGTTTGTCCCCTAAAAGGCTCTATTCTCTAAACTTCCTTGCTGTTCAGGGTAGTAATGTAATGTCATTCTGGCCAATGAGATTTACATCTCATTGGTCTAATTTATGGGGATCTCAGAAAAGCCATTTTTTCCCTCATAAAAAGTTGGCATTTGGCTTTTCCTCTTTATTCTTCCTCTTTCTTTCTTACTGGAACACAACAGACATAAGGAGGGCAAACAGAAAGGTAAGAGGGGTCTGATCCTTGGATGGCCAACCCTGGAGAACCGACATCCAGATTTCTTATTCAAGGGAATAAACCACTTGTTTCAGTCACCATAGTCAGGTTTCTGTTTTGTGCAGCAGAAACCATGATACACGTAACCTAACTTGGAGCAGGATGCTTACCTAAGGAGCCCTTGTTCTAAACAAGAGTGGTTCAATTGCCCCAAGAAGTAACTGCACTTGGGGTTTGAAGGAGACCGATTTTCAAACATCCAGTTGGTTTGGTTAACCAAAAGAAAACAAAAAAGCTCTGAAATTCCTCTCTTAATCATTGAATTGCTTTAATGGTAACTATGATCCAAAAGCAAGAAGATATTTGTCTGACGGTCTCAGATTTAGTGGAAGAAAGCTTGATGGAGTCTGTCTGTATACTCCTGGCCATATTTATTTCTTGTTTTGGAGACAGGGTCTTGCTCTGACACCTAGGCTGGAGTGCAGTGGTGCAATCACAGCTCACTGCAACCTCAACCTCCCAGGCTCAAGCAATCTTCCCCTCCCATCTCAGCCTCCCAAGTAGCTGGGATTACAGGCACATACCACCACACCTGGCTAATTTTTAAATTTTTTTTGTAGAGACAGTGTCTCGCTATGTTGCCCAGGCTGGCCTTGAACTCGTGGGCTCAAGTGATCCTCCCACCTCGGCCTCCCAAAGTGGTGGGATTATAGGCATGAGCCATGGCGCCCAGTCCATATGGATTCCTTAGGTTCTCTCTTCCTCTCCTCCCCCCCCCAGCAATCCAATCTTGTAAGTTTCTTTAGTAAACAAATAAAAGCATCAAAAACAAAAATCAGTTTCTTACCCTGTAACACCAAATAATCAAGCTTACTTAGTGTGCACACATCTGTGAATGTGCAGTGAATATGTGGGCACATTATTGATACCATTCTTTAGCATAGAGGGAGAACCTAGACTTTTTTTTTCAGTTAAGGCTCTAGTCTAAATCATGTAAACATACATTTTAGTTGGTAAATAGAAATGGGCCTGTGAATTGAGAGGAAAAGTATCCAGAGTGGCGGATTTCCGTTTGACTTTTGCCATAATGCTTTGTCCACCTCAACTGAGAGCGAACAGTAAGTATTGGTAGAACAGCAAATAGCTTCATCTGAGTAGGGTGTTTGGGACTCATGCACATGACAAGATTGGAAAGGCAGATTGGGTATAGGGTACCTTGGGGCCAGGTTTAGGAGTTTGGAATTTATCTTATAGGCTACCCTTTCCTGGAAGCTTCCTCAGAACCTCAGGGCAATGAGATGTTTCACAAGAGAACGTTCCAGGGTCAGGTAAGTTTGAGAACTACACATGCTATATCCCTCCCTCTTGAAAATTCACACCATATAATTGCATAATAAAAGCTGAGGAGTTCTGTATTTAAAAAAACTGGTTAAACTTAATGCAGGACTCCTCCCTGGATTATAGCTGTTAGGAGGTATACACTTCAGAAGGTGCTTTAGGGGGAGCCAGTGGAGGTCTGTGAAAAGAGTTATGTAAGCATATGTTTTCGAAAGGTTTATCTGAAAACAATGTACAATCTAGATTAAAATTTGGAAAGGAGGGTTTTTGAAAAAAGAACTAGAGGCAAGGAACCATAGGTCAGGGTCTCCTCAACCTGGCTTTATATCAGAATCACTTGGAGATTTAAAAAAATTCCCTGACTTCATTGTACTTTTAAAGGTTCTGATTCAGTAGGTGCGAGTTGGGCCTGGGAGTATGTGTGTGTGCATGCATGTGCACGTGTGTGTGTGTGTGCATATGTGTGTGATTGCAAGGCAAAAGCTAATGTGGGGTTATTTATGAGTCCAAACTAATTTCTGAGGATTATGATAGTCCAGTTGAAAGTTAATGAGCCTGAACTTGGATTGAGGCAGTGGGAATGACAAAGATGAGAAGGATGCATAGACAAAGTGAAGCAAGAATCTGTTAAATACATGCCTTGGCAAGTGACAGAATGTGAGGATAGAAAAGAACAGGGAGAAATTCAAAGAGGTTTTTGCCTGGGTTACTGGGGAGAATGATCATATCACTAAAGGACGTTGAAGGTTAGGAGGCAAGGCAGCATTGTGAGGGAAGTGGGCGCTTGGTCTTGGACATGTTTAGGTTGAAATGCAAACATATAAGAACCCCTACCAAGTGGTTGAAAATACAGATTTTAAATACAGGAGAATGAAGGGGTCTAGATCCACAGAGAAATGGTAGTTATAGCTCTGGAGATCGCTGAACTTTCTGAGGGATGAGGTAGAAAGAGGGAAAAGCCAAGAATTGAGACATGGGGATGCCTGCATTCCGGCAGTCAGGATCTTGAGATTCAGTGGGGATGGTCAGAGGAACAGAAGAGTCAAGAATTTTCCTCCCCTGTTATGACAATCGGGGAGGGAAGCCTCCGGAAGGGTGCACTGATTTAGGGTCCAGTCCTTTCAGCCAGATCTTACAGCAGACAGCTATGTGCTGCAGGCTTTGGGTTTGACTCTGTGCTCTACTTCTTATTTCCACTGTGTTCTTGAGCAAGTTTGTTTAATTCTCAGAGCCTCAGTTTCCTCATGTCTAAAATGAGGATTACACTGCCTCATGCAGTAGCCTTCTAACATATGTAAATGCTGTATGATGGTATATAATATGGTACATACATGGTAGTGATTATTATCTTAGTGAAGTGTCCTTTAACCCCCATTTAAAAATTAGCTGTACAGACAAAATAAGTGAAAAGAAATAATAATCAACCATAATCCTATCATCTTAAAAAAATCAACTGTGTCCAGGTACAGTGGCTCACACTTGTAATCCCAATACTTCAGGAGGCTGAGGCTGGAGTTTGAGCCCAGGAGTTTGAGACCACTTGGGCAATATAGGGAGACTCCATCTCTACAAAAAAAAAAAAAAAATTATCCAGGTGTGGAGAGGATGAGACAGCTATTTGGGAGGCTGAGGTAGGAGGATTGTTTGAGCCCAGGAGATTGAGGCTGCAGTGAGCTGAGATTGTGCCACAGCAACCCAGCTTGGGCAATAGAATAAGACCCTGTCTCAAAAAAAAAAAATTATCTTTATTTTACATGTTTGATTTTTGTTTTTGACCACATGCATATATCATTTTACATAGATATAGCATCACTACAATTTTGTAGTATGCTTTTCAGTTTAGCATTACATAATAAGAATGTTCTCTTATTGTTACTTAACTTTCTTATTTTATTTGCTCAGCAATTTTTCAGTAAGTGGATATTTGAGTTGCTTCCAGTGTTGTGTTCTGTTTTATTTTAAATAATGATTAAATTAACTTAAACACTAATATAGCCCTTTAATTTTATTTACCTATTTTCTCCTAAGCCATTTAATTTTATTTATTTATCTATTTCTTCCCAAGCCATTTGACTTTTTAAAATTACTTTATTTTGGATGAACTATTCAGCAGCGGAATTATTGGATCAAAAGTATAGTGAATGATTTTCAAAATATATTGCTGAATGGCTTTTCAAAGGTTATACCAATTAACATAGTTTTCAAAGATTATACCTCTTGAAGTAAGAATATACTTCAAGTATATGTACCAGCTTTACCATCTCCTCACCAACTAGTAATGTCATTTTTTATGTTTTTGCCAGTATAATGGGAACTGACTGGCAATGTACTAAGTTCATTGTTGCTTAATTTGTGTGTTGTTTTTTAAAATAACAGTTTAGGCTAAATATTGAATATTTGTTTTACTGATTGCATCTCAGAGTATTATTGATATTAGTACAAAGGTTAACTTGTTGATGAAACATTTGTTTACTTTGAAAAATGAAAGACTTATGGGAGTTGCCCTTGGAGTGTTGAAAGAAAATGGAAGAATTGGATAGGATATTCTGTCAGTTAAGATGTTAGTCTTGAACATGGTGAGGCGTGTTCAACAAAGGGAGCGTTTACAAAGGTGTGGTCATGTTAAGGAAAACTAACAAGGAATGGTGCAGTATTCCAGGGTTGGCAACAATGGTATCACTTCTAGGCCTGAATAGGTCATAGGAGGACGCAAGGTAATGGACTCAGACAGATAGTTGTATGAAAGGGCTGATAGACAGGAGCTGTGGCCTTTGAATGGGAGACAGTTAACGCATGATGACCTAGTAGAGAAGGAAGGAAATGAGTATCCTGGCCTTGATGATTTCCACTCACCCTCTTGTGTCTTGGCATGGCATCCAATTAGTTGAGCCCAACTGCCAGAAGGCAGTTAATGCAATCCACAAAGGTCAGCCACCTGAAGCCCTAAGTGGAATGAAAAAGAAAGGTAAGTGGATCTGGAAAAAAACATGGAAAATATTCAGCACAAATATTCTGGCATTAAGATACTTTAGAGTGGCTGATGATATGAGACTTTACAAATAGATGCAAGATTGTTAATCAGAGGTCTCACTTCATTCAGCTTTTGAATGTTATTGAAAACTATTGAATTTAAATAACTTAACTTTCAAATAGAAACAAAACAGTATGTAATGCCATTATTTGATCCCATTCAGGTATGTGGATAGTAGAATTTATTCCTTGCTTGAAGGAAGTTTTACTACGCCAGAATCTCAGAAGCAAATAAGAAAGTAGCATTTCAAATCTCAGAAGTCAGTAAGAAAGCAAAAGAAGAAGCAAATGGGAGCAGTCAAGGAATGTTAAGAAGGGACGAGATGGCCGGGCGCGGTGGCTCACACCTGTCATCCCAGCACTTTGGGAGGCCAAGGCAGGCAGATCACGAGGTCAAGGGATCAAGACCATCCTGGCCAACATGGTGAACCCTGTCTCTACTAAAAATACAAAAATTAGCCGGGCATGGTGGCACACACCTGTAGTCCTAGCTACTCAAGAGGCTGAGGCAGGAGAATCGCTTGAACCTGGCAGGCAGAGGTTGCAGTGAGCCGAGATCATGCCACTGCACTCCAGCCTGATAACAGAGTGAAACTCCGTCTCAAAAAAATAAAAAAAAAGGTGGTCATATTTCATCACTCTAGTTGAATTACTTTTCCCATCTCTCTATAACTCTCCAGTCTTTGGATATATATATACAAATATTTGTATGTAGTTATAATCACAGCTCACAGCATTTTGATGGTGTAGTTAATACCTTGGGCTTTGGAGACTAAGATGCCTGGGCCTGAATTCCAACTTCATGACTCACTAACTTTGTGACCTTGATTAAACACTTCTATCCCCACCTGGCAGTAATGAGGTACCTCTCCCCCTCTTTGCTGGGATGGTATCAGAGGGGGCCTAGTGAATGGTAAGGACTTTCACCATCACTCAGCAGCAATGGGCCATCTCCACCACTGTGTCTAATGGCCATGTGAGGAGCTAGAATTCCCACCCTGCCCAGCAGCAATAAAGATGCCCTCCATGCTCAACTATTTGTTAGCTAAGTGGGGAACCAGGACTTCTACCCCCACCTAGGAAGAATAAGGCAGCATTCCTCTCTTTCACCTACCAGAACTGTATCAGAAAAAGTCAGTAGAACCAAGTTTAGTTAAGATCCAGTCTCATAATATGAACATATCCAGGACCACTTATCATACCAAGAACCAGAAAGCTCTCAAACTGAATGAAAAAGGCAATTCATAGAACCCAACAATGAGATGACAGTGATGTTAGAATTATCTGACAAATTTTAAGCAGCCATGATAAAAGCAGCAATAGCAATCATGCACACACTTGAAACAAATGAAAAAGTTGAAAACCTCAGCAAAGAAACAGAAAGTCACAGGAAAGAAATAGAAGAAATAGAAGCATACAAAGAAGAACTAAATGAACTGAATAATACAGAATGAAAACAAGAAACTTAGTGAAAAGCAGAATGAAGGAGACAGCAGAATGGAGGAGATAGAAGAAATAATCAGTGAGGTAGAAGAAAGAATAACAGAAATTACTGTTTGAAAAACTGAGAGAAAAATATGCTGGAAGAAAAAGAAACAGTCTCAGAGGCCTGTGGGACTAAAACAAGAGCTTTAACATTTGTGTCATCAGAGCCCCGGAAGGAGATAAGACGAGGACAGAGCTAAAAATGTACTTTAAAAAATAATGGCTGAAAACTTTCTGAATTTGGCAAGAGATATAATCCTACAGATTCAAGAAGCTGAGTGAACCCCAAACAGAATATATCTGAAGAAATTCACACCAACTCACAATTATAATTAAGCTTCTGAAAACTAAAGACAATGAAAAAATCTTGAAGGCTGAGAAAATGGACATTTTACCTAGAGGAGAAAGCAGTTAAAATGACAGCAGATTTCTGGTCAGAAATCAGGAGAACCAGAAGGAAGTGGTACAACATTTTTCAAGTGCTGAAAGAAAAGAACCATCCACCCAGCATCTTGCAAAACTACCTTTCGGGAGTGAAATGAAAATCAAGATATTCTCAGATGAATGAAAATTAAGAGAATTTGTCACCAGCAAACCTACCATAAAAAAATGGCTAAAGAAAGTTTTTTAAATAGAGAGGAAACAACAAAAGAAGGAAACTTGTAATATCAGGAAGGAAAGAAGGAAGAACGCTATAAACAAACATATGGGTAAATATAATAGGCTTTCCTTCTCATCTTGAGTTTTCCAAATTACATTGTATGGTTGAAGCAAAAATAATAACACGGTATAATATGGTTCTAAAATGTATGAATATTTAAGATGATCATATTGTAAATGTGGGAGAGTAAAGAAATCTAGACCAAGCATGGTGGCTCACACCTGTAATCCCAGCACTTTGGGAGGCCAAGGTGGGCAGATCATTTGAGGTCAGGAGTTTGAGACCAGCCTGGCCAACATGGTGAAACCCCGTCTCTACTAATAATACAAAAATTAGCCGGGTGTGGTAGCACATGCCTGTAATCCCAGCTACTTGGGAGGCTGAGGCAGGAGAATCGCTTGAACCTGGGAGGTGGAGGTTGCAGTGAGCCAAGATCGTGCTATTTTACTCCAGCCTGGGTGACAAGAGCAAAACTCCATCTCAAAAAAGAAAAAAAAAAAAGAAATCTAGAGGAAGGTAAAGTTTTTATCCTTTATTTGAACTATTAAAATTATGATACTAGTAGACTATAATAAGTTATATGTATATGATGTAACACTTAGAGCAACCACCATAAAAGCTATATAAAGAGATATACTAAAAATACTATAGATAAATCAAAATAGAATTCTAAAGAATATTCAAGTAAGCCAAAAGAAGGGAGGGGAAAAAACAGAGAGATGAAAAACAGAGAGAAAAAATAAAATGGCAGACATAAACCCTAAAACATCCATAATTACATTAAATGTAAGTTTTCTAAATACACTAATTAAAAGGCAGAGATTGCCAGAGTGAATTAAAAACATGACCCAACTATATGCTGTCTAGAAGAAACTTACTTCGAATAAAATGATATAGGGTGAACCTGAAAGGATGAAAAAAAAATCACGTAAATATTAAATAAAGAAAAGAAGGATTAACTATATTAATATCAAATACAGTACTCTTCAGAAGAAAGAAAATTACCAGAGACAGGGAATATTGATAATAACAAAAGAGTCAATCCACCAAGAAGACATAGCATCCTAAATGTGTATGCAACAAACAACAGAGCTGAAAAATATGTGAAACAAAAACTGATAGAACTGAACAGAGAAATAGACAAATCCACAATTATAGTTGGAGACTTCAATATCTTTATTTCAACAATTGATACAACTACCAGAGAGTAAATCAGCAAGGATGTAAAAGAACTCAACAAGGCTGGGCACGGTGGCTTATGCTGTAATCCCAGCACTTTGGGAGGCTGAGGCGGGTGGATCACGAGGTCAGGAGTTCGAGACCAGCTTGGCCAACATGATGAAACCGTTTCCACTAAAAATACAAAAAATTAGCTGGGTGTGGTAGTGCATGCCTGTAGTCCCAGCTACTCAGAAGGCTGAGGCAGGAGGATCACTTAAACCCAGGAGGCAGAGGTTGCAGTGAGCCAAGATTGTGCCATTGCGCTTCAGCCTGGTGACAGAGTGAGACTCAGTCTCAAAAAAAAAAAAAAAAAAAAATCAACAGTACAATCAACTAACAGAATTTAGTCAACATTTGAAGAACACTTCACCCAAACGCAGCTGAAAATTCATTCCTTTCAAGTGCATGTGGATCATATGCCAATATAGATCATATCCTGGGCCATAAAACAAACCTCAACAATTTAAAATAAGTAAATCATACAGTGTGTTGTCTGAACACAATGGAATAAAATTAAAAACAAATAACAGAAAGGAAAACTTTCTGTTATTTTGGAAATAACATTTCTGTTAAACTTGGAGATGAAAGAGCCCTTCTAAAGAATCCATGGGTCAAAGAGGAAGTCTCAAGGGGAAACAAGAATACATTGAACTACATGAAGATGAAAATACAACATGTCAAAATTTGTGGGACATAGCTAGAGAAATGCTGAGAGGGAAATTTAATGCATACATTAGAAAGAGGAAAAGTCTCAAATACATAATCTAAGCTCCCATGACCAAACTTAAAAAAAGAGGAGCAGAATAAACCCAAAACAAGACAAAGAAATGAACTAGTAAAGATAAGAGCAGAAATTAATAAAAACAAAAACAGAAAGGCAATAGAGAAAATCAATGAAACAAAAAGCTGTTTCTTTAAAGGAATCAATCAGATTGACAAGCCTCTATCAAGACTTACAAAGAAAAAAGAGAGAAGGCACATATTATCAATATCAGGAATAAAATGGCATATCTCTGAAGACCTCAGGGAAGACCCTGAAGGCATCAAAAGGATAATAAGGGAATACTATGAACAACTCTACATATATAAATTTGACAACTGAAGTGAAACGGACTGACACTTTGAAAAAAAACTATAACTCACTCAATATGAAATAGATCATTTAAATAGCCCTATAACTTTAAGGACATTAAATTAGAAATGTTTAAAATTCTCCCCAAAGAAATCTCCAGTCCCAGACGTTTTCATCACAGAATTCCACCAGATGTTTAAAGAAGAATTAATACAAATTCTGTACAATCTCTCCCAGAATATGCAAAAGGAGGAAATATATCTCCATTAATTTTATGAAGTTACTCTTACCATATACCCAAACAAGACAAAACAGTGAAAAAAAAAAAACTACAGAACAATGTCTCCTGTGATAGATACAAAAATCCCTTAAAAACTGGCAAATAGAATTCAGCAACATAAAAATGGTTACACATCATGACCAAATGGGGATTATTCCAGGGATGTAAGCGTGGTTCAATATCCAAAAATCAGTTTAATATATCATATTAACAGACAGAAATAAAAAATCACATGATTATATCAATTGCTGCGGAAACAGTATTTGAGAGCATTTAACATCTTTTAATGGTTAAGAAAACCCCAAAAATATAAATAAAGGGGAACTTTTTCAACACGATAAAGAACATCTACCAAAATAATTCTATTGCAATTATATTTAATGGTGAGAGACTGGATGCTTTCTTCCTAAGACTGGGAATAAGGTAAGGACGTCCACACTCAATATTCTTATTCAACATAGTACTGGAAGTTCTATTCAATTAATAATGCAAGAAATAAAAGGTATATGGATCAGTAAAAGAGAAATAAAATTATTTCTATATGCAGATAATGTGATTGACTATGCAGAAAATTTCAAGGAATCTACAAAAAAAAATCCTAGAAGTAATAAGTTCAACAAGGTCATAGGATGGAAGATGCAAAATAACATGCATTATATTTCTATATACTAGAGATGAACACATGTACACTGAAATTAAAAATAAAATGCCATTTATAATTGCTCAACAAAAGAGAAATATTTAGGTATAAATCTAATATGACACATACAGGACTTTATGGTGAAAACTGTACAACATTGATGAAAGACATCAAAGATCTAAATAAAGACATCGAAGGGCCATATCATGTTCATGGACTGGAGGACAACATAGTGAAAATGTCGGTTATCCCTAAACTGATGTACAGGGTTAACTCAATTTCTATTAAAATCACAGAAGAATTTTGTAGATATAGATAAAAGTATTCTAAATTTTATATGAGAAAGCAAAGGAAGTAGAATAGATTAAAAATTTTGAAAAAGGACGCCGGGCGTGGTGGCTCACGCCTGTAATCCCAGCACTTTGGGAGGCTGAGGTGGGCAGATCACCAGGTCAGGAGATCGAGACCGTCCTGGCTAACATGGTGAAACCCCGTCTCTACTAAAAAATACAAAAAAATTAGCCGGGCGTGGTGGCACGCGCCTGTAGTCCCAGCTACTCAGGAGGCTGAGGCAGGAGAATGGCGTGAATCCAGGAGGCGGAGCTTGCAGTGAGCGGAGATGGCGCTACTGCACTCCAGCCTGAGTGACAGAGTGAGACTCCGTCTCAAAAAAAAAAAAAATTTTTTTTGAAAAAGGAAAATTAAGTAGTAGAAATTGGTCTACTGGATTTCAAGATGTATTATATAATGATAATAATCAAAAGAACTCAAAAATAAACTTACACAAATATGCCCAACTGATTTTTGACAAGATGCAAAAGCAGTTCAGTGATGGTACATATGTTTCAATAAATAGTGCTGTAGCAATAGGACATCTGTAAGCAAACAAAACAAAACAAAAACCTCAAACTAAGTTGTACGTATTATACAAAAATTAACTAAAAATTGGGTTATAGACCTAAATATAAAATTATGAAACTTTTAGAAAGAAACAGGAAAAAATCTTCAGGACCTGGGGTTAGGCAGAGAGTTCTTAGTCTTGACAACAAAAGCTTATCCATAAAAGTAAAAATTAATAAATTGGATTTCATCAAAATTAAAAATTTTTGCTGGGCATGGTGGCTCACCCCTATAATCCCAACACTTTGGGAGGCTGAGGCCAGCAGATCACTTGAGCTCAGGAGTTTGAGACCAGCCTGGGCAACATGGTAAAACTCTGTCTCTACATAAAGACAAAAAATTATCTGGGCGTGGTGGTGCACGCCAGTAGTTCCAGATACTCTGGAGGCTGAGTGAACTAAGGTCCTGCCACTGCACTCCAGCCTGGGTGACAGAGTGAGACCCTGTCTCAAAAAATATATGTACAATAATAATAATATAAAAATTTTTGTTCTGCAAAAGGCCCTGTTAAGAGGACAAAAAGACAAATTATGGAGTGGGAGAAAAAAATATTTGCAAACCACATATCTGACAAAGACTAGTATCTAGAATATATAAAGAACTCTTGAAACTCAATAGTAAAACCCCCAAAAATCCAATTATAAAATGAGTACAGGACATGAAGGGACATTTCGCCAAAGAAGACATACAAATGGAAAATAAGACCTGAAAAGATGTTCAACACCGTTAGCCATTAGAGAAATGCAAATTAAAAGTCACAATGGGATATTACTACACACCTATCAGAACAGCTAAAATTAAAAATAGTATCATCATCACCAAATGCTGTGAGGAGAAATGCAGCGAAACTGGATCCCACTGGTGGGAATGTCAAGTGATACAGTCATTCTGCAAAAATGTTTGGCAATTTCTGATAAAACGCAACATGCAACTGCCATACAACCCAGCAGTTCTACTCCTGGGCATTTATTATCCCAGAGAAATCAAGACTTATGTTCCCACAAAAACCTGCACATGAATATTTATAGCAGCTGTGTTTTATGTAAATGCAACTTCAAGTCTCAAGCCTCTTTTTAATCCAATTGAAACCTTCTATATAGAGATTCTGGAGCCATCACTTCCACCTTTGTGAACTGAAAGAGAAAAAAAAATGTGAACATAAAATCAAGTACTTGATTTGAAGACTGATACTAAGGCCTCCAGGGAAAAGGGGAAAGTTACACACTATATACACTATGTAAACAAGGAATTACCGTGCTGCTTTTGTAATAATTAATCTGAACCTAGGCATTACTGGGCATAATTCAGATTCCTGCAAAAATAAAGTGTTTTAAAGTTTAGTGAATATTTATTGAACATCCACTATGTGCAAGCTATGAAATTTCCACATGAAATTAACCTCTGTACCTAACAGTTATCTACATTTTGCAGATGATAAAAATGAAGTTCAGAGAGGTTTAGATTCTGCTCTGTGTCAGGCACTCTGGTGTTTATCATGATCAGATTTCATTCTCACAGTTGGCCCTGGTCAAGTTTCCTACCTCCTGGTTTCTCAAGTTACTGGTCATCGTTGAGAAGAGCATACAGGGGTACTCTGAGATTGGACCCCAAAATTAGGGCAATGAATCTCTGAAGAGCTCTACATTAAAATGTGCAAAGAAAGGACATCTTGAAATATTAATCTTTGTGCTGTTCTTTTCTTCCCTTGCATTCTGGTTCCTTCCTTTAGTGAGCTTGTTTTAGTAGGAATACAAAGAGAAAAAAATGTAAATATGGAGCTGTTTTAAAAACTTCCAAACCAGGTGTCTTAGTCTGTTTTGCGTTGCTGTAAAATAATACCTGGGCTGCGTGCGGTGGCTCACGCCTGTAATCCCAGCACTTTGGGAGGCCAAGGCGGGCAGATCATGAGGTCAGGAGATCAAGACCATCCCGGCTAACACAGTGAAACCCTGTCTCTACTAAAAATACAAAAAATTAGCTGGGTGTGGTGGCGGGTGCCTGCAGTCCCAGCTACTCAGGAGGCTGAGGCAGGAGAATGGCGTGAACCTGGGCGGTGGAGGTTGCAGTGAGCTGAGATCACGCCACTGCACTCCAGCCTGGGCGACAGAGCAAGACTCCATCTCAAAAAATCATAATCATAATCATAATCATAATCATACCTGAGGGTGGGTAATTTATAAAGAAAAGTTTATTTGGCTCACAGTTCTGCAGGCTGTACAAGAAGCATGACATCAGTGTCTGCTTCTGGTGAGTACCTCAGGAAGCTTCCATTCATGGCAGAAGGCAAAGAGGAACTGGCATGTTGCATGGTGAGAGAAAGGGAGCAATAGGGAGAGTGGAGGGCAGTGCCAGGCTCTTTTAAGCAATCAGATCTTGTAGGAACTCATAGAGCAAGAACTCCCTCATTACCATGAAGAGGGTACCAAGCCATTCGGAAGGGATTTGCCCCCCAGAACCCAAACCTCCCTCTATGCCCCACCTCCAACATTGGGGATCAACATCACATAAGATTTGGAGGGGACAAATATCCAAACTATATCACCAGGTTCTTGCAAATCAGAAGACAGGGCTTTAAGGGTCATGGGGCACAGAGTTTATGCCATGCAAAGAAAGGAAAGTAATGAGAGAGGGATGCCATCTTGCCTGTCCTCTGTACTCCAGGGAGCATACTCAGGAGTCTCCTGTACTGGAGGGGAGGGAGCTAGGGGGAGCTTCCTATGAGGAGACCCCACCATCTGGCACCAGCTGAGTGAGAACACCATTTGCTGCCAGGCATAGGAGCCACGTGGCAGTCCTTCTCTGTCCATCAACCACAGCAGACACCGTCCCATGCCCAGTGACTACTGAGCTCCAGTCACACCACACTGTACAGACTCCTCAACCCCCAGCAAGAGCCTAGGGCACGTTTAATCCCCTCTACAGCAAAGGGGTCCTTGGCCCCCAGAGGGGCAGGGATGGTGAAGGGAAGAGCCAGCAGAGGAACTTGGGTGGGGCTGGACTGTGGGGAAACCCTTCCTGGTTACAGGGGTAGGAGGTTCCTCACAGTGGGCAGAGTGCATCTCTGTAGATGATGATTAACTGACTTGAAGCAGCCTGAGGCCCTGGAAGATGAAGATGAGGGGAAATGAGTTATTTTCTCTCACTGGGCTCCAGGATTCCAAAGCTCTCTCAATTGAGTAGGCAGGTTCATGCCCTGTCCAACCAAGCTCAGGGGGGACTAGTAAGGGGAGAATGTCTGTCACCTGGAGAAGCCAGTTACAACATGGCAAGTGACTAGCATGACTCCTGGGCAGCAGCCTTGTATGGCAAGATCTGTGGGTTTGCATTCCTGAGGAGTCCCAAGGAGCCTGAGAAGATCCAGGGAAAAGCCAGCCTCCTGGAGTCTGTGGTGCAAGGACTGTGTCTTTTGGGCACCAAAAGGAAGGTTGACCTCTGAGTGTGGGGAAGTGAGGGACATCTGGCTGACAAGAGAACTTGATTGTGTCCATTTTCTCACCTTGCTCTGATCTGAATGCAACAATTTTTTTCATGTTATTTTTCTAGAGTTCAGTTAAAACAGTAGTTGCACAGGTGAGGAAGGGAGTGTGTGTGTGTGTGTGTGTGTGTGTGTATAACCAGTGCTGAAGTATTAATTCACATGTATATTTCTAAAACTAGTAGAGGCACAGTGGGGCCTCCCTAGGACCAAGATCTGAGAAAATAACTCCAGTCTAGGAATGAGAACACATGCTCCCACTTTCAGCTAAACCCCCACTTCTTTGCCTTTAAAATGGAGAGCTTGGATCGAATGATTGAAAAACATTATAATCCTAGGATGTGTAGTTTTCCTTAGATCCTCACAAGTGTTTAAGTCAAACCATTCCTAATACTAGGTTTCTCTTCCTTAAGGTCAGTTGGCTATATGTGCGTGTGCAGTGTGTATCTGTTGTACCCATAGTATATATGACATACATGTAATGTACTGTGCAGTGTGTGAATGTGTTGTGTGTATACTATGTGTCTGCATGGTGTGTCATACACTATTTGTTCTTGCTGTCCCAAGCAACCCCTCATATTGCCCAATCAATGCTAGATTTCTGGATCCTTCAGAAATCCTCTCTCTCATACCCAGGCAAATAAGCAAGAACACATATGTGAAGACTTTTGCACTCCAGTGACTCTTGAGCTGCAGCCAAATAGCTGGAATTACATGCTTTGTAGAGAACCAGGGATGTGGCATGGCAATGGGAAATTCAGCATGTATTTGAAAGCCAGATTCCTTTTTCCAGAACCCAAAAGAGCAAGAGAGGTAGAGGCTAGCCTGTCTGTTGCTGGCAGCCTGGGGTGTGTGTGTGTGTGTCTAGTGGGCACCATTTATTAAAATCTCTGTTGTCTCTAACATGCCCCCATTCACATGCACATTTGCATTTCAGACTCCAATTTTCAAGCCAGCATTTCTTTCCTCTGCATCTCTTCCTCTGATTCTGTTGCTCTTCATTCGTCTCCTCAGCCCCTTTGCTTTCTCATTTTCCTTGGAATAGTGAGTCAAGCTCCTTCTGAACAGTAGTTTAGGGTTCTTAATCCACTGCATGGACGAGGCCCCCAGATTAAAGCAGGGGAGATTAGAATGCTGTGCAGTTGCTGGAATGCTGGGCCTCAAAGTCTTTTGACTACTTTCACCTTCCTGGTTATGGGAGGAGGGCTTCCCCTTGATTCTGGGGAAATACAGAGATGCCAGTGTCCAGCTTGCCATTCCACATCTGTTCCAGTCATGTTCTGTCCAAGTCCAAACTAAGTAGTTTAAAGTGATAATCATTTATTTGTTCATGAATCTGCAATTTGGTCAGGGCTAAAAGGGATAGCTCATCCCTTCTTCCACGTGGAACTTACTGGGGTGGCTTAAAGGCTGGAGTGGCTTGAAGGTGACTCAATAGCTGGTGCTGGAGTCATCTGAAGTTCATTCACTCACACATCTGGTGTTTGATGCTGGCTGTTGGCTGGGACCTTAATGGGGACTGTCAGCTGGAGCACCTACATGTGGCTTTTCTATGTTCTGGACTGGTGTTCTCACAGCAGGGTGGCAGGGTTCCAAGAGTGAGTGTTTCAAGAGACAAAATGGAAGTGCATATTATTTTTATGACTTAGTCTCAGAAGTCATTTAGTGTCACTTCTGCTTTTCTATTGGCCAAGGCAGTTACAAAGTTCTGTCCAAGTCTAAGAGGGGGTAACACAGACCCACCACTCAATGCGAGGAGGGTTCAGTGTCACATAGGAGGAACAGCATGTATCGTGTGTGTCTCTGTGTGTGTAGTGTGCAATGCACTATCTTGTACCAATGTAGTATACATGTATGGAGTATGGTGAACACACACTACATTGAAAATTCAGTCTGCCACATCTCTTTCCATATTCACTGTTCCTTTCTCTACCTCTTATAGTCCTGCTGGTTTAAATTTATTGACAGAGATGGGATTCGCAGTAAGGACTGTCATCCCATGGGTGCCAAAGCTTACACTTGGCTTGAATCACATGGTAGGCAGGATGGCCCCAAGATTCCTACCTGGTATAGACACCCTGTGTAATCCCCTCCTCTTGAATGTCAGGGACCTGTGAGTATGATGGAATTTTACTGGAGTGATTAGGTTACATGATCTGGCACAGGTGTGGGAATTTTGCTGATGTAATTAATGTCTCTCCTGTTACTTTGGGTCAAACAAAAGGGAGATTACCCTGGGCAGGCTTGACATAATCAGGCAAGTCCTTTAAAGGAGGGTTCAGGCCTTCCCCAAAGAGAAGATTCTCCTGCTGACTTTGAGGGAGTGAGCTGCTGTGTAGTAAGAGGGCCCCACAGCTAAGATATGAGGGTAGCCTCAAGTTGCTGAGAGCAACCCCTGGCCAACAGCCAGCAAGAAATTAAGGAGCACCATCCTACAACTGTAAGGAAATAAATTCTGTCAACAACCTGAATGGACTTGGAGAACTCCAGGTGAGAATACACCTGGCTGACGTCTAGATTTCAACTGTGTGAAACCCTGAGCAGAGAACCCAGCTACTCCGTGTCTAGGTTCCTGACCCCCAGAAGCTATGAGATAATGAATGTGTGTGTTTTGAGCTACCAAGTTTGTGGTAATGTGTTACATAGCAAAAGAAAACTACCATAAGTCAAAACCATGAGCTCCATTGGCAAGCAAGCTTTATTGGATGGGTAATTGGAGAAACACATGGCAGATCCAGTAGCAAGACTACACACATGCTGAAGGACCCAGCTCAAATGTCACCCCACTGCCATCTTCATGGATTCCCTTCTGCTAGAAGTAATCTCTTGCATCTGAAATCCTATAGCGTTGTTTGTCCCTGTTTTGTGATACTTCTCGTATTCTACTTATATTTATCAGCGTTCACGTCTTGTCTGATTGTAAGGTCCTCCCAGTGGAAACAGTGTCCCATTTATTTTTGTGGTGCCAAGGTACTTTGCATAATTCTTTGCATATCAACAAGATGTATTGATAATTTATTAAATGTTTTTTTGAACGACAGGACTTCAACTTTTATTTATTGAGGAAGTTTGAGAACACATTTTGCTATGATGATAATCAAGAGATGGTCATCACTATTGTTTTAAAGGTGTTAGTTGAAAACATCAAAACCAGCCAAACATTCTGTCCTCATTTGCAGTCAGTGAGAATGTTTCTGTCATTTGAGATTCTGAAATTAAGCCTACAAATGTTCATCCAATAGATTCTGGTTCCCAGGCACTGAAACTCTCTGCCAAGGGAGAATCACAGATCTGTCTGAGTAATCTTTATTTTTATCCTGAAAATGGAGAAAAGAATTTCCTGCACCAATAGGGACAAGCTGCTATTTAGCTATTACCTCTAGAATTAGGGACACTGTGCTAATGGGAGGTAGGAATAACATTTCTTCTTGGAGCACTAAATACAAGTCTATTTAGAGAAATGAGTAGCCTTTAGCTCCTCTTTTGAATTCCATTTTGAGACATTGAGCATAGAGGAAGCAGAAAGGTCAGAGAATAGAAAATAGCCATGCTTTTAGGATGGCAAATCTTTTGTATCAAAAGAATCCTGGTTGCTTTGGGCCTAGGAGGCAAGCCCTTGGGAGGCTCTTTCAGAGGCCCCTGGCACCTTGCCTTAGGGAACCCCATGTGGAGTTGTGCCTGAGGAACTGCACCCCACAGGAAACTGTTTTTGGCAAGTTTGAGTATTAATAACAAGAAGCATTACCATTAACAATCATCCTTGTAGCTCTTCTAAAACTATAACTGTAGTGCCACGAAGGATTCTTTTTGGCCAATTATTAGTCATGTCCGTGTTTATGTGCTTTAGGGGAGTGCCAGCTGATTACTCTGGGCTCAAGAACACCTTTTGAGGACTTATGGATCTGGGCCTCATAAAAACAGTGAGTAGAACACTGCATTTATATATCTCCTAGGAATTTGCAAAGAGTTTCATATACATCGTCTCACTGTACATGGGGGTGGGCAAAAGCCATCCTCTTCTAACTTAGGCTAATGTGGGTAGTGAAGTTCAGGGTCCGTGATTGTTAAGGCCTCAAATGGCATCTACTTTGTAAGGAAATTTAGAGTGAGTGTCCTCTTCTGGTTGCCAGATCTCACAAGGCTCCAGACATCTGGAGCCGACAGATCAGGTCACTACTAGTTAGCATCAAGATGGTGTTAAAGCCCTGAGTCAAAATTAATCACAGCAGCTATTCTGTAGTTCACCCTATGGTTATCCCCAGGGTCATTAATGAAACTGGATGTGACAGGTCCAGATTTTACATTTCATGTAGAGAACCAGTAAGCACTTATGAAATCTACCAGGAATTATTTCCCAATAATCCTGGCATGGAATCTGTGGCCTATTTGTTGTTTAGGCTCTACACAGTCCTTGGAATTCACTGGGTAGTTATCCTTATAAATAGCTTGCAAGCACAATGTCTTAGGGAAAAAACCTGCAGTGTGATGTACATTTGAAAGTAGGTGGCACAGAAGGAAGCTAGGAAGAGAGCTGGTGTATACCACTCTCTCCTCTGTTGTAAGGGAGGTGGGGGTGGGTGGAACGAAGAGGAGGGGGAATATTTGGGATCTAAGGAATGAGAAGGTTAGGATAAGTGGCCTAAGTTCATCCACTTCTTGCCTTCGCTTCACTGGGAGAGGTTTTTAAAAACTCAGATTTCGACCCAGTTCTAATGGATCACAGTGTCTAGGGGTGGGGCCCAGAGATCTGCATTTCAAGCATCCAAGTAACTTTGGTGCATCTGAGGGATCACTGCTTTGGGCCCCTAGAGACCCAAGGCACCCATGTCTCAGGGAATCCCACACTGAATTGTGCCTGAGGACCTGAGGACCTGCACGCTGGAGGAATCTGTTTTTAGCAAGCTTGATTATTAATAATGAAGCTTGAAAACCACTGATCTAACTAATGACAGACTGCAAGCAACAATGTAGAGATCCCTGGACTAAGAGTTAGGGTCCTGTGTTCAAGTTCTGCCACAAGCTTCCTGCGTGACTTTGTACAAGTCACTTTGCCTCTCTGGCTCTTAGTTTCCTCATCCGTAAAATTGGGGCAGGGTGAACAAAATAAGTGCAAACATTCCATCCTGCACTCACACTCTGGTTGGAAGACTATCTCTGACACAAATGCCTGGAGCCACGCAGGGACCCTGTGGCGATCCCTGTGCAGATGCTGGGAGGATGGGCGAGGGGACCCAGAGAAATGCATGAGGAAGAGTGTCAGGCGAGTGGCCTCACCATCAAGGTGGCTCTTGATTTTGTGGGGCCTGAAGTTCATGTAATTTGCGGGGCCCTCTTTAATAAAAATAATGCAAAACTACCATCAAAAATTAAATGTAAGGCCGGGTACAGTGACTTATGTCTGTAATGCCAGCACTTTGGGAGGTTGAGGTAGGCAGGTCACTTGAGGCCAGGAGTTCGAGACCAGCCTGGACAACATGGTGAAACCTCTTCTCTACTAAAAATACAAAAATTAGCCGGGTTTCCTGGCATGCACCTGTAGTCCCAGCTGCTTGGGAGGCTGAGGCATGAGAATCTCTTGAACCTGGGAGGTGGAGGTTGCAGTGAGCTGAGATCATACCACTACACTCCAGCCTGGGTGACAGAGCAAGACTCCGTCTCCCCCACCCCCAAAAATTTAAATACAAAACTGGATGTTTGTTTAGAATAATGCAAGAAATAACAATAAACTACATACTTGATGAAAAGTGTCATCAATACAGAATCCAGAAAAATAACAGTATTCTAATGAATTTGTTGCCCAAAACACCTTGATAATACTTTTTCCCTGTAGTTTTGGGCAGCATGCACTTTTTCTCTTCATGTGACAACAATTTTGTAATTATCATTTTCTTTGGAGAGAATAGAATGATAACTCAGTCTTTGCTCTAATGTGTCTGAAATTTGTTTTTCTAAGCTATTGATAGTTATTAAGAGTTGTTTCAGCTTCAGAACTCATTATTGGTAATATCCTGTACATTTTAAGGATTGTCATCAAATCTAGGAAAACCTTAATCAAGCTTCTTTTGTATCTGAGTTGTAAGAGTTGGAAGAATTTTTCCATATACTAGCTTTTGCCTTTGTCCATTTTAATCCTTGTTTTTTCTCCATTACCTGCATAGTTCTAGTGTTGGCTGCCACAGGCCACATTCATACACAACACCAGTGTGCCTCCATGTCAGGACACTGGTGAGTTGGCAGAGTGGGTTGTCAGAGCCATTTCTATAGCAGGGTGGCTAGCCATTACCGACCTGTACATGGAAGTGATGCAAACACCCCTGTAACCCGACACCAGATGTATCCCTGACTCCACTTCTCCTTAACCAGATCCCTGAGATGCCCACGATCACTCCAGGACTGCCTGACCTGAGGGGAAGCATGATGGAAGGGGAAGGAAAGTGGAAAGAAGGGGTGGTCTTTAACCTATTGCTGTAACATGAATATATTTTTTCTATATGTATATTTTATATGTCAATTTTCATATAATTTGTATTGCAGGAGGAATGAATATTGTGTGTACTATATATATATACAGCTATGGATTGAATTGTGTCCCCCCACCCTAGCCCCCCAGTTTGGTGGTATTTGGAGATGGGACCTTTGGGAGGTAATCAGTGTTAGATGAGGTCAAGAGCGTGGTGCTCTCACAGTGGGGTTAGTAGCTTTATCAGAAAAGGATGAGAGATGCTCTCTCTCCACTATGTGAGGACACAGTGATAAGGTGGCCATCTGCAAGCCAGGAAAAGAGGCCTTACCAGAAACTGAATCTGCCCGACCTTTCATCTTGGACTTCTCAGCCTCCAGAACTGTGAGAAATAAGTCTGTTGTTTGACCCACTCAGTCTACGGTACTTTTTTATGGCAGCCCAAGCTGACTAAGACATTATATATACTATTAATAGATCTATATTGTCATGTGAACCCATTGCTAGGGCCCTTCCAGGGCCATAGAGGAGCCAGGGCAAGGAGGACCCAGGTTCTTAAGCTTCATTGGCATCACAGTAACCTGCCTGTTTCTGACGCTGGGACAGAGACTGGGGTTGACTATGGGGATCACAGGGCTGAGATCCTTTCCCTGAGGCTGCTGTGTGGTTTGAGACACTTGGGCAGACACCTCTAGGGTGAAGTACTGTGACCATGGCAGCAGCCTGGGGTGTGGGGTTAACTTGTATTTCTTCCCTCTCCTCTCATCCCTCATTTAGAATTCAGGAAGGCTAGGGCCACACCTGTCCAGGTAACTGAGCTGAAATCTCATTAGTTATTCTCACCATCCCCAACCCCCATGGCCCCCTATGAAAGGGTAAGGTTTTAACTGTTCAGAGGAAGGGGAAGGGAAATCCTAAAACAAATGTCATGAAAAGAGGCTGAGAAACGGCAACACTTCCTTGGTACCTGCTTAAAGAGAGCACAAGGCAAAGCTGGACTGTCAGCAGAGGGTCCCATAGGGAGTATGCCTGACTAGGTTGTGTTAGGAGCAGAGGCAGCAGGAAGCTCCAGCAAAGACATGAGAAGGAACCCTGCTGGGGCTTCGGAGCGGGAGATTGGGCAGTGAAGGGTCCTGAATGGGTGATTGACTTCAAGAGACCAGAAGATAACTGGAGACCTTTCAGAATCCCCAAACATGTGAATACTCAAGAACATGCAGACTCAAGGTCAGTGGAAAACAATAAAGCCCCCTTGTTGATATAGCAGCTGCAGTTGGCCAGGTTCACTTACCAGCTAAGTGACATTCTGGAGCACCAAGCTTCCAGAGGGAAATATTTACAAGTCAGCCTCCTTCAAAAGGACATCCATGTCACGAGCATTCTGAGTCATGAAGGACTAGTTCATGAAGGTTAAATTAGCAAATACCATGAGCCTACCTAAAAAAAAAAAAAACAGTTTTGTGACCACCAGAAGCTGGAAGAGGGGGTGTGGCCCTGCTGACACCTTGACTTCAGACTTCTGGCCTTCAGAACTGTGAGAGAACACATTTGTGTTGTTTTAAGTCACCAGAGTTGTGGTAATTTGTTATAGCAGACCTAGGAAACCCACACAGACACCTAATAACTGCACAACACTTGGCTCGCCAGGAACAATACAGCCAGGTTACTTCCCATGTTATGGAGTCATAATAACACCAACCCTGAGGACTGATATAGCCAAATATAATCATATTAAGAGGATGGGAGACGGGAAGCAAGAAGAACATATGTATGCATTAAGAGAAGTAAATCCTTACCCCTAAGGGAAGTAGATGGAAAAAAAAATAAAAAATAAAATACAATCCCCTGTTTTGCAATTGCAACAGAATCATGCAACATGTCCTCTGTATTCATTTCCTATCAAGGTGTTACAAAGACCACATAGGTAGTGGCTTACCACTTGCCCAAGCTGGAGTGCCGTAGCGCGAACATGGCTCACTGCAGCCTCGACCTCCTGGGCTCAAGCAATCCTCCCACCTCAGGCTCCTTAGTAGCTGGGACTACAGTAACATGCCACCATGCCTGGCTAATTTTTGTATTTTTTGTGTATACAGGGTTTCACCATGTTTCTCAGGCTGGTCTCCTGGACTCAGCAATCCCCCTGCCTCGGCCTCCCAAAGTGCTGGGATTACAGGCATGAGCCACTGCACCCAGCTCCAACACACATTCCTTATCTCACATTTTCTATGGGTCAAGAGTCAGTGCACAGTTTAGCTAAATTCTCTGCTCAGGATCTTTTAAGGCAGCAATCAAGGTGGTGGCTGGGCTGTGTTCTGTTGAGTTGCTTGGGGAAGAACCTGCTTCCAAGCTTGTTCAGGTTGTCGGCAGAATTCACCTCCTTGTGGTTGTATGACTCGGGTCCCGGTTTCTTGCTGACTAGGCCAAAGGCCACCTTCAACTCTTAAAGGACAGCTGTAGTTCCTGGCCACATGGCTCTCTCACAGGCTCTCTCTCAACATGACAGCTTACTGCATGTCAGTAAGGGAGATTCTTTCTCTCTAGTTTACAGAGCCTTATATAAAGTAGCATAATCACGCTCCCATCACTTGTGACATGTAACATCGCTTAATCAAGGAAGTGACATCCCATCACCTTTGCCATATTTTATTTGTTAGAAACAAGTCACAGGCTCTGCCTGTAATCAAAGGGACTGGATGCTATAAGGGTGTGTTTTGTCGGCAGTCACTGTAGGATGTGTCTGCCACATTCTACTGTGTGACTTCTTCCTTTTCATTGTTGTGCAATATTCCTCTGCACGTGACTAAACCACAGTTTATCTGTTCTACTCCTGATAGATATTTGGGGTGTTTTTAGTGTTTAGTTATTAAGAATAATGCTATTTTAAGTAGTCTTGTACATGTCTCTAAATGAATATATGCATTCATGTCTCTGGAGTATATAATTAGGCATGCCCAGTTTTTTTTTTCTTTCTGTAATTTAATTCATTCAATACTTATTTACAATAAACTCTCCTTGCTGTAATTTAAAAAGTCACAACTGGGGATGGGGCTGGAGGGTAAAAGAAGGGTTGACTTTTGATGCAACAATTGTGATTTACATCCTCCTGCTCCACTCCCTGCCGCTAAGGTGGTGCTGATTGGATCTCTATTCTGTGAAAGCTTTGCTGATGATTTCTCTCCCTTCCACCTTTTCTTCTGGCAACCAGTTAAACATAAACTAGTGCCCGCCCACCCTAAACTTAAGAGAGTGCATCATGGTTGCTAGCCTGTTTTTAGGGGATATAGGTTTCCAGCTCTCAGGGACAGCCTTTTCTGTGTTTTTCTCAGCACCTGGCTTTAGTCTGCACATGTCTGAGAGTCTTGGCCACCAGAGGACCCCTACAGATGCACAGTGAGACCTCGAAGTGCTGGAGCCTAAATCTGTAACTTCAGAAGGACTGCCAGAGTCAGGCTCCAGCCCCAGAGGATGCGTTTCCCTTCAGTGCAAGGGAAATGAAAAGATTCCGTCATATTTAGAAGGGAAAGGCAGGTGATGAAGGAAACTAATCCACAAAAAGATAAACCCTCCAGCCTTTCTTTGGAGTCTGAGGTATCTTCCTTCCTCTGACCAGAAACTGAGAAGGTCTCACAAGGAGTTCTTAAATACAGGTGAACCCCATTTTAAGGCCAGCCAGAGCTAAAAATCATGTAGTATGTGATCTGAACTCAAAATTATTGAACTATTCTACACAGCTGCTTTTGCATGGAAGTGTTTGTTGTTGGCATGACTGCACATCTAATCACCCAGCTAGAAATTTCAAGTCCTCTTCAATTAATGTTGCCTCATCTCTCACACCCAATCAAAATAATTATAAATTCTGTCTGTGCAATCTCATAATCATGTATTAAACTATCTCTTCTTCTTTGCCTCCGTGACTGTGCCCTCAAGTCTTGCATCATTGCTTCCTGGATTCATAATAATGGTCATCACTTATTAATATTCATTGTATGTCAGGAGCTCTGGTAGGCACTTTATATATATTATACCATTTAATTTAAGAACATTCCTGAGAGGTACTTACTCATGTCTCCAATCTACCTATGAGGACAAAGAGGCTTAGGGAGTTTAGACTTTGCCAAGTTACACAGCTTATAGATGGCAGAAGTGGGATGCCAACCTGGATATGTTGATGCCAAAGTCTGTGACACTCTAATATGGCACTCTAATGGTGGCCAGTTGATCCTGCCCTAGACGATTACAGAGGTGTCCTGTGTTCTACTGATGAAATTAGGTGAAGAACTAGAAGTGATTTCAACAGGAAACTGATCCTGCTGCTCTTCAACTATTACCAGAAAGAAAGGCCCAAGAACAACTATTCTAAAAACACAGTAGTCATTTTGGCAGAAGTCTTTGGAATTTAATTAACATGTATCCAACAATACTATGCAACAGGTTGACTCTCAGTTCCTTGTGGGTACATTTTTCACATAATTTATTCTGGCATGACCATTCCTTCATTCAGCTAGTATTTACAGAGCACCTATAGTATTCCAGGCACTCTTCTGGATGCCAGTGATATTGCTGTGAAAAGATGACAAAGTCCCTGTCTTCATGAAGCCTACATTCTAGAAGGAGAAATAGAAAACAGATAACCAGGCAAAGAGATGAATGGCTGTGTATATGCAATGAGTGCTATGTAGGTCATGTATAGGCTGTTATCATAAAGAACGGCAGGGGTGGGGGATACTTAACCTGAGACATGAAGATTGAGAAAGAGACAGCGATGCTACGTGCAGCAGGAGGGAACTTTCAGGCAAACAAATCATGTGTTCAAAGCCTCTGAGCAGTAAAAAGGCTTGGGCTGGTCCAGGTGCTGAAAGAAGTTGAGTGTGATAACAGCATGGTGACTGATGGGGAGAGGAATGTGAGATGACATTGACAAGGTAGACTGAAGCAAGATGCTATAGGGCAAGACTTCGGGTTTTATTCTAAGTGCAATAGGAAGGCACTAAAGGGTTCAAGACAGAAGAGTGCCAAGATAGGATTTGTGTTTTTAAAAATTTGCTCTTGATTCTGTAAGGAGAGGGAATGTATGAGATGGAAGTGGGGAGATCAGTTACAAGGCTTTCACATCCCCTTTACACTTGTAGTGGTTCAAGTGTAATGGGTCTTAAAATTTATATGTTGAAGTTCTAACCCCCAGTACCTCAGAATGTGACTGTATTTGGAGATATAGGGCCTTTAAAAAGGTAAGTGAGGATATCAGGGTTGGCCCTAATGCAGTATGACTGGTCTCCCTGTAAGAAGAGAATATTAGGATGCAGAGAGATGCTCAGAGATGAAGAGATATAGGTGGACCTGAGATATACTTCTGAGGAAGAAGTGACAGATGAATTAAACATGAAGAGTAGGGAAGAAGATGAAATCAAGGGTGACCCCCAGGTATCTCTGGCTTATGCTACTGGGTGGATGGTAGTATCAGTTACTGAAAAGAGGAGGCTGGAGAGGAGCATATTTGGGAAAAGAAATCAAAAGCTCTTGACCTGTTAAACTGGGGATGCCCATTAGGCATGTGAGTGGAGATATGGAGTAGGCAGATGGTGGAAACAAGGCTGAACATCGGGGAAATGTAAGGGCTGGAGATAGAGAGTTGACAGCTGTGCCATGTCATGGTATTGGAAGCCAAGTGAGTGAATGAGCTTATTGAGGAGAAGGGACAGAGAAAAGAGCTGAACATCTTGGAGAAACCCATGTTGAAATCTCTGGCAGAGGAGGAAGAGTCAGGCAAGGAGACTGAGAAGGTGTGACCAGTGAGGTAGGAGAAAACCAGGAGTCTATGGTGTCTGTCAAAATAGAAGCAGGCTTAAAGAACAGGGAAATGGTCAGCTGTGCCAAATGCTGCTGAACAGTTGAGTGGGATGAGGATAGGAGAATATCCCATGGACTCACCAAGGTGGAGGCCATGCTATTCTTGACAAGAGCACCAGGGTGGTGGTTGCTGAGGCTAAAATGAAGTGAATTAGGAATGAATGAGAAGTAACTAAGTGGAGACAAAATGTGTAAGGATCTCTTACTAGACATTTGATTTTGGAGAGGAGCAGAGGAGTGAGGAAACAGCTGGAGAGGTTGAGGAGCCAGGACGACAGAGAGTAAGGAATAGATTGTGTTGCAGGAGAGGGAGGAGAGACCTGAAGGAGTGAAGATCTCCTTTTTGGGAAAGGGGTGAGATCCTTGGAAAGGATCCCTTGGAAAGACTGGGCTTTGCCTGGAGAGGGGACACCTTCTCTGCTATATTAGCACGAAGGAAGGAGATGCTGGTGGGCTTAGGCTTCATCTGATGCCTTCCATTTTCTCAAGGAAACAGGAGGCCATGTCATCAGCTGAGAGGGGGAGAGAGAAGGGAGTTGTTGAGAAAAGAGAAGAAGGCAGGAAACAGCCGGTTCATAAAGTGGTATATTGGTCCAGGTCCTTTAAGAAGCAAATGTCAAGATGGAAATAAGCATGCAAAGATTTTATTAGTGGAACCACCTGTGTGAACAAGTGAGGAGAGAGTCAGAAGAGGCTGGTACAGCTGTCCAACAGTGATGCAAGTCTGACCCTGAGTGAAGGAGAAAAGAAAGGAAGGTTGGATGGAAGCATCCTAGATTGCCATGAAATCTGGGGAAGGTTTGGCAGGATTAATGCAGAGCCAGAGTTCACTGTCAGAGGAGTGCCCTGTTTCCCCTGAATGAGCTTGACTTGTTATCCCTGTTGAGCTCAGCCATTGGCTGCAAGCAGCCTGTGGCAAGGTGGCCTTAGAGTCAACACAGTGATGGCTTTCACAGTACAGTGGCTGGGGACTTTGGTTAATTACACATACACTGCAAGATGCATTCTCACGGCCACCACAGTGAGGAAAGTGAGCTTACTTAGAATAGACATAGTCATGCTACCAGGCAGTGTTGGGCACCCATTTGAAGTTTGCAATTATAATTTGAAAGTGAAAGCCATCTTTCCTTGGAAACTGTGATGCTCAAATTTAAACACTTTGTGAATGCATGATTGAGATTTCAGACTGAATTCCCAGTCTGAACGAATTTCAGGCCAACATCAATGTGATCAATATTCTATGGAGTGAAGATTTGAGACCTTGACTTCTCATATGTTTATTTTCTGGATTGGACCCAGAAATATTCTCTAAGTTTGTTCCTTCTATAGTGCTGCCCCAGTCCGCCTTTGGACAGTGACAGAATCCTTTTGTTCATATGGGAGTCATGGTCAAGTCCTTAATTCTCATAACCTGTGCCTCTCAGCACATGTAGCTTCTGAAAAGTCAATTTTTATAAATACAATTTTTCTGACACCAAAAGTAATATATGTAAAAAATATGAAAACTACACTGTTGGTGACCTGCCCACATTCCTTAACCCACCTGGAAGTCATCTGCAGTTGTGGATGGTTCTGTTATATATGGATGGCTTCCTTTCTCAAGCACCTTTGTCCCCTTCTTGAGGACATTCTCTGGCTATAGGAGCTTTCTTGGCTTGCACATAGGGTGGTTGAAAGTGCCGGGAGTGCTGGGGAGTTAACATTTCCAGAAGTGATCCTTAACAATGGAGGATGAGAGTGGCTGGATAAATATCTTGACCAGCTATCTTGACCCTTGATGGGACTGTTCTGAGATGTGTTTCACAGAGTGTCTCAGAGTTTCCCTCGAGGGATTTAGCTCCAATTGCCAACAGTGGTAACCCATTCATCAGCACATCCCATATTGATCTTCTTTTCTTTCTTCTACTTCTTCACCCCACTTCTAGTGCCTCCTGCAATTATCTCCCAAGCAGCTGCACCCAAATTCTCCTTTCAGGAGTGAGAAGAACCCAAAACTAGCGTAAGCACAAAGCAGTCAAATTATACCACCTAGAAATAGACAGTTAACAGTTTATATTCTTTTATTCTTTCTATTCTTTATCTCTCTCTCTCTCTCTCTCTGTGTGTGTGTGTGTGTGTGTGTGTGTGTGTGTATACATTTGCCATGTTTAAATCCTTCTTTTTTCCCTGTTTAATGCTGTAGATCCTATTTTGTTACTGATTTTTAAAGCTGTAATATTACAGACAATTATCAGGTCATAAAAATTATGATACAGAAAATAATTGTTAATGACTATCTAGTATTTGTTTGGATGTGTGTAAAATTGATTTTGAAGATTACTGATCTGCCTTTAACCAGTAATAGAAAGTTACTCTACTCTAGCTGAGTTCTTTCCAAATAATGTGTCTTCCAACCATGTGTGACCCAACTTTTAGCAAACATTTATGGAGGATTGCCTGCCAGACATGCAGTCTACCCTTAGATAGCGTAGATCTTATTTCCCAGTCCAAATCAGGTGAGTCTACTACTGGGTTGATGTATTTGGCCTCTCTCCCTTTGCCACCTCTTAGTCCTAAGTTGAGGTTTGGAATATCACCTCCAGGAACCCTATGGAATAGCTGTGGAGAACTTAGCATTGTATAGATTGCTGAGAATCTATGAGACTTCCCTTGTGTGAGAATTTGGAGGAAAAATTCACTCAAGCCCCAGAACAAGGAAAAAGAAAGCGCTCACTGAGGAACTGGCTTTCTTTTGTCTTTTGTTCATTGTCATTTTTGTAACTTTTACATTCTCATTTTTGCTTTGTTTCATAAGAAGCTCAGAGCCTAATTCATATTCTATTTTTGGTAATTATATAAGATCAGTGTAAATCACTGGATACTAACTTTCCTTCTATATTAATCTTTTTACTACCCCTTCTTAATTTTCTCCTTAAACTTGGTTTCTCTTCAAATAAAAAAAAAATCTTACATTGGGTAGTGTATTAGTCTGTTCTCATGCTGCTAATAAAGACATACCTGAGACTGGGTAATTTATAAAGGAAAGAGGTTTAATTGACTCACAGTTCCACATGGCTGGGGAAGCCTCACAAACACGGTGGAAGGCAAATGAGGAGCAAAGACACGTCTTACATGGCAGCAGGCAAGAGAGCTTGTGCAGGGGAACTCTCATTTATAAAACCACCAGATCTCATGAGACATATTCACTACCACGAGAAGAGTATGGGGGAAACAGCCCCCATGATTCAATTGTCTCCACCTGGCCCCACCCTTGACATGTGGGGATTATTACAACTCAAGGTGAGATTTGAGTGGGGATACAGCCAAACCATATCAGGTAGACTTTTAAAGTCACCTCAAAAAATATAATGATATGCAGTATGTTTATGGCTTCCTCTTCCCCACCATTCCTTTTCCCCCTCCTGTGGGATGTCAGGGACTTCTGCTTGTTTTGTGGGGAGGAGGACAAGGGTTGTCCTAAACTATTGACACAGGCAGTTTGGATGGGACTTAGCAGTCTCAGGACCCACTGGGCCTCCCTCTGCAATGTGACTACCAGTAGTGCCCAGCCAACTATTGATGGGCAGATTTATCCCATAGAGATGCGAACAGCATCTGCTCAGATGTCAGATCTGCTGCGGAAAAGATGAGAAATGGGCTGCATATGTGGGCATCATTTTTGCACAGTTCCCTGGTACTCAACGCCCAGAGAGCTGGCAGCCTCTCATGCAGACCCCTCCTCCCTATGGCCAGGCCTCCATCTGCACCATCCCCACCCCCATGGTGGAGGAGAAGGAGTGACCCCTGTGGCAGGGAGAAGGTGAAAGTCACCTGCCCATCCCTCTCCCGATGTTCTCTTCTGAGACCTCTTTATTTCCCTAGACCTTTGCCTGTTGGTTCTCAAAAGCATCATTTGGAAGTAAGAGGTAAACCCAACTGAATATTAACTATCATTTTTATTTTTTTATTTATACAAGTTTATGGGGCACGTGTGAAACTTTGTTACATGTATTTAATGTGTAGTGATCAAGTCAGAGAATTTATTGCGTCCATCATCTGAGTACAATACATTTTTGTCAACTATAATCACCCTACTCTGTTATCATGCATTTAATTTATTCCTTCTGTCTTATTACATATTTGTACCCTTTAACCCACTTTTCTTCATGGCCAAATAGTATTTCATTGTGTATATATGACACATTTTCTTTATCCGTTCATCTGTTGATGGACACTTGGGTTGATTCCATATCATTGCTATTGTGAATAGTGCTGCAGTAAACGTGGGAGTGCAGGTATTCCTTTGATATATTGATTTCTTTTCCTTTGGGTAGATACCCAGTAATGGGATTGCTGGATTGAATGGTAGTTCTATTTTTAGTTTTTTGAGAAGTCTCCATACTGTTTCTTATAGTGGCTGTACTAGTTTACATTGCCACCATAGTGTATAAGAGTTCTCTTTTCTCTGCATCCTTGCCAAGATCTGTTATTTGCTGTCTTTTTAATGATAGCCATTCTGACTATGGTAAGATGATATCTCATTGTGGTTTTGATTTGCATTTTTCTGATGATTAGTGATAGTGAGCATTTTTTCATATACCTGTTGGTCATTCGTATGTCTCCTTTTGAGAAATATCTATTCACATTCTTTGCCTACTTTTTAATGGGATTGTTTTTTCTTTTTCCTCTTGAGTTGTTTTAGTTCCTTGCATATTCTAGATATTAGTTCCCTGTCAGATGAATGGCTTGCAAATATTTTCTCTCATCTACAGATTGTCTCTTCAGTATGTTAATTATTTCTTTTGCTGTGCGGAAGCCTTTTAGTTTAATTAAGTCCCATTTGTCTATTTTTGTTTTTGTTTTTGTTGCCTGTGTTCTCTTTATATTTCTGCTAAGAGAATCATAATTCTCCTGGGCAATGTATAGGCCTCTGACTCCCCTGACTGTACAGGGGAGAAGTGATAGAGGAAGAAAAGCACAATAACTGATCTAGGTTTGTATGGGTGAAATATACGCATATATGTGTACTTAAAGTATATAGAGAGAGACTATTTAGATGTTTGAATTTCTCTTATAGCTATCTATATGTGTATATGTGTGTCTGTAGCTCCCAGATCTGATCATATCATGCCCAGCCTTAAAAGCCTTCCATAGTTCCTTCTTGCTTACTATAGGATAAAGTCCAAACTTTCCTTGGCATGGCCTCCATGCCCTCTGTCCTCTCCACCCTCCAGCACCAAGCTTCCCTCCAATCAGCCACCTCCCTTCCCCCACCCTCAGGCTCCCATCATGAGCACCACTCCCTGGCCTTCCCATGAACCCTGCCCTTTCCCAGCTCTCAGCTCTACAGAGGCTGCTCACTCTGACTGCACGCCTCCCCCACTTCTTCTCCATAGTTGCCTGCCTGCCTTGGAAAGTTCTATTCATTCATCTCAAATGAACGTTCACTGTCCCTTCTGAGCTAAGCTATGCCTTCTTGAAATGGCAGTGCCTAGCACAGTGCAACCTACCAAAAAATGCCAAGCGAATTCTCAAGGACCCAAGGCTGAGTCAGGAGTGCCCTCCTTCCCGGCTGCCCGCAGAGCTCCTGGCTCACTATCCCTCCACAAGAGCTCAGCCCAGGTGTGTGCTGTTCATGGCATGCCTGCCTCTCTCATGACAGCCCTCAAGGCACCACTCGTGTCTCTCTCCTCCAGAAGGGCATTTTCAGCACCCTGTGCAGGGCCTGACACATGGTTGCTACCTAGTGTATGTTTGAATGAATTATAGATCGCTAGCATGGGACAGATACGCTGGAAGCAGAGAAACTGAAAGCAAAATGTTGGAGGTATTGCCCAAGAAGCAATAATCAGGACCAGTGACAAAGCCTCCCCCACACGTGAGGACTAGTTCACTGAGGAAAATGAAATTTTTTTGCAATGACTTGAACATCACCACAGCTCTTGAGGAAGGCCAAGGTTGTTTGTTTTTGGGTCCTCCCCCGTTGCTGTGGATGATGTGTGGTTATGATGGTGCAGCCAAGACAGTGGCAGCAGGCATGGAGGCCAGCCTGAGGGAAACCTCCAGAATGCCCTGCCTCCCAAACCTGAGCAGAGCCCATCTGCTTCCCCTCTACACATCTGTTGCAGCAGGAAATCCAAAGCCATGTTTCTGATTTGCCACTTCTGTTAGCCATTAGACTCTTGGCTGGTTTCTGGTCTTCCTGACTGTCAGATCTGGCTTCGGGCCTGGTGACCCGGCATATCCCTTTAAGATTGCAACAGGGTCAACGGCTATTGTCATTGACTACTCTCTTTATTATCATATTTCCAAGGACTTCCTATTCCTTCTTCCCTTGTATGAAATTTCTAACATCCATCGGTACAAAACCCAGGAGGGCAGGTATTTTGGCCTGTTTTATCTACTGTCATAGCCCAATGGCTGTGATGAACAATAGCAGGTACAGTGGATGCCTTTGACGCAGGGCAGGCAAGCTCCAAAGTGGAGCTTAGCCCACTGGGTTCTTGGCTTTGCCCAGTGAAGAATTCAAGGGCAAGCTGGAGACAGAAGAAAACAGCTTTATTATTATTATCATTATTTTACTATTATTATTATTATTTGAGATGGAGTCTCGCTCTGTTGCCCAGGCTGGAGTGCAGTGGTGCAATCTCAGCTCACTGCAACCTCCGCCTCCCGGGTTCAAGAGGTGTTACAGTTCCATGACTGCTCCTGTAGAGCAGGACTACTGTGTAGGGAGAGAGTAGCCGTTCAGGGCCATTCTGCAGTCATATTTACACGCACTTTAATTGCATGCAGATAAAGGAACAGTTTATGCAGCAATTTCTAGGGAAGGGATAGTAACTTTTGGGTCATTGGGTCATTGCCATGGAAAAGGGTGGTAACGCCCACATGTTGCTATGGCAACGGTGAATTGACCCGGCACACTAGTGGGCGTGTCTGATTGAAAGCGGCTTTCTCTGGGGCCGTTTTAGCTAGTCCTCAATCTGGTCCCGTGTCCAAGTGTCCAAGCCATGCCTCTGGAGTTGAGTGCCACCTCCTACCTCACCTTGTTGAATAGAAAATGAATGAGTGACAGTATGAATGAATGGACACCTGTTAAAAGAGCCATCTATTACAGCTAAATGAATGAAGGGCATAGACAGTCCTTTGGTTGTTTTTCCAACTAGAAATCTCTCCCTGTGTTCTGTGATGGCCTAAGTCTGGCCCTGCTCAAGTGAGGGACTTCCTCGATGGGCTGGTCTCATTCTTGTGCCCTCCAGGACAGCAGGGCAGAGGGAGAGGGAAATGGGAGGGGCTGAGGGACAACGTGGCTCTTCTGGGAGCCTCTTTACCCTGTGAAATTTCCTCTGGCAGCTTTCCCCCTTGGCCTGCAGCCTGTGCCGGCCCCTGCCCCCAACTCATTGGCTTTGGTTACAGGGACAGGCCCAGAGTCAAGAACAATAAAGGGAGGAGGGGCCTGCTTCACAGGGTCAGGGGTCAGGGAGGGGGTTTGAAGGGTGAGGAGATTGGCTCTGTGTAGCATCCGGTTTCAAACAACTCTGTTTAGAAATAGAAGAGAAGCCCTCCGGAAAATGGAAGGGCTCTGGCAGGCCTCCCAGCTGGCCAAGGAACAGCAAGTTCCTGCCAATATGTGACGGAAGTGGGGGATTTGTGGGGAGGGAGGAGGGAAGAGGGCACTGGAGGGAGTAGACACAACCTAGCAACATTTTCCCTGCTAAAAACCTTGCTCTGAAGTAAACATGGAGGGTTCTTATTCTTCCTGGCTGTGTGCACTCGGGCCAGCCTACTTCCTGTGGGCGCAATTATTCCCAGGGGTGTGTGTTTTCGTTTTTAAAGACAGAGAATTATAAGCTATTCATGGTCACTGCCTGAGAATTCTTTGGAATAATGAGATAGAAAAATCATCTCTACTGTTCACATTTCTGAGGAAGAACAAGCCTTCTAGACTCTCTCCTAGGATGGGGCTGGGAAACTCACTTTTTCTCCTGCTAAGCTCCTTCTCAGTCCATTAGAGCCAGAGGGCCAATAGGGGCCTCTTCGTGCTTTGTAGGCTAGAGGGTGTAAAGAACCTAGATGTGCAGGAAATCTGCTCTGGCTGATCAGGCAGGTGAACTCGGGGAGGGAGAGCTCTAAGGGAGGACCAAATGAGACAGTGGAGATGGCGGCTCGGCTTCAGCTCACCCCTGCTGGAGCATTCTTAGTGATCACAAAACCCACACTACTGCCTCGCTGATACCATAATGTGCAACCATGCCTTTTACTTTACAAATTTCAGGCACTGGCCTTTGGAGATAACAAGGTTGTGAAGTGTCCCACTTCGGGAAGGAATGCTAACAATTGAGTTACCGCCTTGTTGCCACTGACCAGAGCATCAGGTGGTCCATTACTCAAGATAACCGTGGCAACCAGATATGCTGACCCTCATCCCCTACCCTCAGGTGCTTTGCCCAGCCCACCCTGTATACCTCATGCCCCATGTTAATTCCTGCGCTTTGCCTAATAAAAAAGCAGGGCTCTTTTGGGGGAGTAAGTCAGGGAATTCTCTCTCTGTCTCTGTCTCTGTCTCTCTCTCTCTCTCTCTCGCTGCCTCTTTTATGTCCAGGCATAAGCTCCAGTGAAGCCTTGTTTGGAAAAACTCTTTGGGCCTTGTGTGAATTTCTATTGCATTGAGAGCCCAAGAATCATGGTTGGTAATGTGAGGGGCCTTATTGAGGGGGGGCAAGTCATTCCACATTTTCCAAATGAGACCGAAGTGGATACACAGACTAACAATAACTGCAGTGACTCATTCTCCTTTCCAGAACCTCAACTCACAGCTGTCCCCAGTGGCTTTGTGGCATTTCACAACAGTTTTGACTTTAGAACCTCTCTCACCTTGGCCCCCACTCCAGAGCCAAAGGAACCCCCACATCTCAGGAAGTAGGTTATGAATCTGGGATACCCTGGAAGCCCAGATGCAAAACCCATATTAGGGAGGAGGAAATGGGGAAAATGAATGTTTTTTAAAGCCACCTTCTACACAAGCCTCCCCAAGAAGGGTGGATCATCTTTGCTGCTATAGGAACTCTTATTCATTGCTGGTGGAGGGTCCAAAGAGATAATGTTAAAGTATTGATTTGAGCTGAAGGAGTGAATTATGCTAATAATTAGATTATTAATCCTTTTACAAATCTAACACTATCCAATTATTTTAACAAAGATGAAGGAGAAACTAATGAGTGTTCCATAATATCAGTATTGGACAACGTAGCTTTAGAGCTTTATGGTCACAGAAAAGGAAAAAAAATTGAATTTGTATACATTTTAAGAGAAATGATAAGGCGATTAATAAATGACTTTGATCATAAATGTATATTATATCAGGATAAAGTTCTTTAGGGAAAGAGGAGTGGAAATACAAACTCAAGGAGAAAAAAGGAATAATGTAAAATTTCTGACTGTTAAAGAAGAGCTTGTTCGTGATTTTTTTTAAAAAAATGGAACATATTAAATTGCTAAAACATTCCAATTCTATTTTGATACATTTAAATAGTGGCTTATAGTTATTCCAAAATGTTTAACTGTTAAAATGTTAAAAGATTTCAAATTTACAGTAAAATGTAACATTTTTCAGCTATTTAAACTCAAAATGAGATTTAAAATACCAACACAAAAATTTTAAGGCATCCCTTCAGAGTAGAGGAGGAAAAAAAAACTGTCAAAGGGGATATATAATGTTCCAACATTATTTTAGGGGACATGCAATGCAAGCAAAATACTTGAAGACTCCTGAGCTGGACAGCATTTGTGTTCTTTTCAACTCTTTGGATTTTGTGGATGGGGTCTAAGAGGTTACTCTGGTGAGTGGGCACTGCAAAGAGCAGGACACCTATCTCCAAATGTAAAGGTTCACTTACAACCAAGTCTCCAAACAAAACAAAGTAGAAACAAGCCAACAAATAAAACCCACCATCTCCTTCTCTTATACACACACACACACACACACACACAGAGCAGACCCCCCAAGCCCCCCAGTAGTTGTTCCAGTATAGGCCGTTCATCAACCTGTGAAAACATGAGCTTCGTTAGCAACAGGGCATGGTCTGATCCCTGGGAAATCTCTGGAGCTGGGAGTGGCCTCAAAGAGGATCATTAAAGATCAAAAACCCCACTTGAAGTTGTTTGTTCTGCTGCAGTGTAAATCCTCTTGGCTGAGCAGCCCTTGACAGAGTCTGCTGCCTAAACAGAAGTCTTAGACGGGTGTTTGGTTTGTTTTCTGTGGAAATCAAGGCAAAGGTCTGAGTTCCACATCTGAGTGCAGACCCAGGACAGTGTACACGGGATGGCAAAGTGACTCAAACTGAAAGAACTCAGTGGAAGCAGAAACTAGGAGCCAGAGGTGAGAACATAAGCCTCCCCACCCCCAAATGGAGAATATGGAGACATCCTGGGGACAGTGGCCTTTCCAGGCACGTAGAGGGTTCATGAGCTTGCATTTTGTCATGCATGAGGAGCCCAGCTTGCTTATATTCAGCTCTGCGTGGATTCCTCGTGCTGTTGTCCTACTCCAGGTGTCAGGAATAGCTCAGCCCTTCCCAGAGGCAGCAAGAGAGCAAGAAGGACAGAGGAGACTGAGCTGGCAGGTCTCTAAATGACCTCAAGTCACCACAGCCACTGGTGCTGAAGGAAATGGGAAAATAGTCTCGTGACCCAGCGAGTGCTTCCCATGCAGGTGAGCGCTGACAGTGGGAGACAGGGGTGTATCATCCTGGCAAGAGAGCAGAGGGGAGAGGAGAGGACTCCTCATGCTGTGGGAGCTGGAATCCTGGCTTGGCTGCCCTGAGTCAGCCTTCAATAGCCAGAGCCAGACCTCCCCTTCCTAGCAGGGCCCTGCCCAGATCAGGTGGCCGGGAGGGGCTGTTGCTCAGCCCTAATCCTGGGATCAACCCCAGGAAGTGGTAGCAGGACCCAGGTGGCCTTGGACCATTTCAAAGACTGGCATCAGATGTTTATCAGCTAGTATTTGTACAAGGCCCAGGCTGAGGATGCATAAGAGACTGTGAAAAATGTCAGGAAAGCGAAAACAGCTTTCTGTAAATAGGGCTCAGACCCTGGGCAAGGTGCTATGTCTCCCCTTGGGGCTTTGGTGAAGGAAAACGCAAACATTAATCCAGAGTGAGAGAAAGAAACAGACACCACCTTGTAGGAAGATGGAGGACTGACTCCAGGAAACTCCAAGAGACGGGATGCAAAGAGAGGCAGGGTCTGTGTTTTACTTTTTCTTTGAATGTTCTGCAGTCTGTCATCTCTGGAGGCCTCAGAACCTGGTGTCACATTACAGGGTGAATGCCAGGGACAAGCTAAAGAGAGGTAAGAACCCACAGCAGTGTTAATGGCCACTGTGGGAGAATTCTGGAGATCTTACACTATAAGGGACAGGGAAACATTCATACATTTAATAAACATTAAATCTCTGATAAAAACCTATAAAACCAATCATTTTCAACTTGTATTTTAATGTAACTCACATGACCTTTACCTACATGACTCACCCCTATGCACATTGCGAGATTTGGCCACAACTGTCAAATTTGTTTGCAATTCCCAGCTCCCAAACCCTAACTTCACCTCTTCCTCTCTAGCTTAGGAGGAAAGAAAGAATGCATGTAAGTAAGAGCATTGTTATTATAGGGTGACCTTGAATTGCTCTAATTCATTAAAACGGTGAATTCTTTGCAAAATTGAGAGATGAAGTGAGGCTGCATCTCTTTTATGTGTCCTGTGAGTTTGGCTCTAGCCTCATCTCCCCTCTGGCAAGAATGGCTTTCTCTCTTTCCCAGGGTCATTTCCCTGTGATGAGCCCAAGAAGTCCAGGTTACCAGGATGCTTATGAGAAAGCCAAGGGTCAGTCCTTGTCTCCTGGGCTACTGGAACCATCTCAGATGCATGCCTGGAGGCTGTGGGGCTCCTCAGCCCCTGCCATGCCCAGGGGGTCCCAGACCGCTGCCAGAGGCAGAGGGACTGGGGCTTGGACAGCCAGGAAAGTCCTTCCACACACTGTAGCTGCAGTTGAAATTCCACAGCCCCATTTGAGCCCCAGAGCTTGTCCTGGTCACTCTCACCTCCTCTACACTCCTGATGCTGGGACTTCCTTTGCTGCTGATCATGGAGTTTGTGGCTAGCTCTGGTCACAGCTAGCAGCCATGGTATATATCCTACTGACAATTGTCCTTTCAGCACAAGACACGGCAATCCCTGCCTTCTTTCAATGCTATGCTCAGCTAAGGAGCTGCCACTCAAATGGAATGGCAGAGCCACTTACCCAGGGCATGATCTGCCTATGAGAGCATGTGGGGACTGATCTCATGCCTACCCCTCACAGACTGAGGACCACAGTCTCCTTCTTCCCCTACCTTCCATACCCCAAGCCCACACCCAGTTCCTAACCCAGAATGGGTGACATGTCTTTCAAGGAGGTAAGCTCCTCTGAGTTACCTTAGAAACAAAGTCCTTGGAAGCCACCTTGCAGACAAAGGGTTGTGACTTAATTTTTGAGAACTGCTGAACTTGAAGCTGGGCCCTCAGCAGAAATGTCTTCTCTGTCTCAAACCATGCCCATTTCTGAAACTACCCCCTATCTCTTTCACAGGGGACCCTGCTGCACCGGTAGCCATTCTCCCACATCAGCTGTGAATATCAGCTGTGGGTCGTGTTAGGGTTCTATTAGCTGCTGCAACAGATTGAATCCCAATTTCAATGACTTAACACATTGGAAGTCTATTTATCACTCAAATAAGATTCCAATGTCAGATTCCTAGTCAGTGAGGGTCTTTTGTCATGTGGTGATTGAGGGGCACAGGCTATTTCCCTTGTGTGGTTCTTTCATCCTATGGCCTAAAAGTTCTCCACCTCCAACTGGCAGATATGGAGAAGTCACAGCTCCTTCTCCTCCTCCACTTCCTCCTCCTCTTCCTCCTCCTCTTGCTCCTCCTCTTCTTTCTTCTTCAACTATTGTAAAATATACATAGCATAAAATGTCCCATTTTAACCATTTTAAGTGTACAGTTCAGTGGCATTAAGTACATTGACACTGTTTTGCAACTATCACCACCATCCATCTCCAGAACTCTTTCATCTTTCCAAACTGAAACTCAGCACTCATTAAACAACATGAAATCCCCACTTCCCTCCTTCCCTCAGCTCCTGGAAACCACCACTTTACTCTCTGTTTCTATGAATTTGACTGTCTTAGGTACCTCATATAAGTGGAATTATATAATATTTGTCCTTTTGTGACTGGCTTATTTCATTTAGTGTAATGTCTTCAAGGTTTATCCATGTTGTAGAAGGTGTCAGAATTTCCTTCCATTGCAGTATACACCATACTTTGTTTAGTTATTCATCCATGATGGACACCCAAGTTGCTTCTATCTTTTGGCAAGTCACACCCTCTTCTTAACCATCTTGACCTGCAAGTGACACCTGTCTCTTCTGATCACATTCCACAGGAGAAGGTATGACATAGCTCCACCTACATGCAAGGGGAGCCAGGAAGTGCAATCCCTGGCTGGGCTGCCACGTCTCAGAAACCATTAAGCCTATGGAAGGTAAGGCACAATTTGTTGGTGGACAACTAGCTGTTCCTACCACCCCTTCGCCTTTGCACTTCCTGCAACAGCTACTCACAGTGGCCCAGAAAAAAAAATGTCTTTCTTTTTCTAGTTTCAGTTCCCAACAGGACAAATATTTTCAGACCTAAATACTTTCAATAAATAGTTATAGCTCTGTAATCCCAGCACTTTGGGAGGCCGAGGCGGGTGGATCACCTGAGGTTAGGAGTTCGAGACCAGCCTGGCCAAAATGGCAAAACCCCTTCTCTACTAAAAAAATAAAAATAAAAATAAAAAAAATTAGCCAGGCATGTTGGTGCACGCTTGTAATCCCAGCTACTCGGGAGGCTGAGGCAGGAGAATCGCTTGAACCCAGGAAGTGGAGGTTGTGGTGAGCCGAGACTGTGCCATTGCATTCCAGCCTGGGCGACAGAGTGAGACTCCATCTCAAAAAAAAAAAAAAAAAGAAAGAAAGAAAGAAAGAAGAAAAAGAAAAAGAAAAATGTATAGCTAACATTTTTGTAGATGTTCGCAATTTCCAACGTCCTTTTCATATTGAATGGTGGTACAACTTCTGATTCTGTCTCTGTCACTTTCTCACTGGATGATATTTGTAGAGCCCATAGCTCTACAGTGAATTCAATAAAGAGTAGTTATTAATCTCCACAGGAACATGAGGTATGTAGTATTTCCCCATTTGTATAGATGAGGATATTGTACCTCAGAGAGATTAAGCAATTTGCTCTAAGTTACCTAGCTCAAAATTGTGAACCCCACCTCTCTGTCTCCACCTCTCTTGTGGGGAACCATCATCATAGGTTTAAAAAGTAACCTTGATGTCCCTCAAAAAAACCTTGGAGCTCCCAAACCTCACTCTGCCTTTGGTGAATGACCTTTTGCACCAGAGCTGGTGGACCCAAGCTGTGACCCATCAGACAATTTGGTAAGGGAGGGAGAAGAGGTCCGGTCACTTAGGAGCCTGTCTTTTGTACTCGACCCCAGGGAGCTGCCCAGGACCCCCTTGAAGAATATCTTCCACTGTTGCAGCCACTTCCTGACAACATTCATGCACCCCCTTCCATGTTCTAGGGCCCAGGGATATACAGGAATATAAAGTAATCACTCCTCTCCAAAGAGTGTATCATCCAACCAGTGAGACACATATGAGCAAATAGCTCTCATGATGAGTGATATAGAGACACATTCAAGTGCTATGGGAATTTGCATGAGGGGCAATTAATTTTGCCTGACATGTGGCAAGCTACAGCAAGAAGGTGACAACTGAGCTGGGTGAAGATGGTGAGGAGAGGATTGAGGGAGGGCTACTTCAGGTAGAAGGAACAACAAAGTCTCAATGGTGTCAAAGTGCATGGGGTGTTTGAGGATGAAGAGGAGGTACAGTGAGGGCAAAGCATGGATGGAGATGGGGTGGGGAAGAGACTGAAGAAGAGGAGGGGTGGGTGGGGCAAGGATGAAGGGCCAGGATTCTGCAGATGAGGCAAGGAGATTATTAACTGGGGGCTAATCGGATTAGAGCCATCTTTTACAAAGCTTCCTCTGGCTAGGGCGAACAATGGGAAGCAAACTAATTCACCCATTTTATTCTAGCCCCTTCATTCTCAGAGGGCAGGACCACCCTAGCCATCTTGAGGCCACTCCTGATGCCACATAACAGGCTTACTCTAGGCAAAGGCCTGAAGAGAGACCACCTGAGGACATTGGTTCTCCCACAGTAACACTCTCCTTTAGTCTGGAGATTATGAAGGACTCCTGATAGACTTTCTCTCCTCTTTTTGGCTTGTAAACTAGGCCAAGCCCCCGAGTTGGGTATCTGGAAGGCAGGGTCTCTATTTGACACTTGCCAAGACAGAATTGAAGTGTGGGGATGCCAGGACCACTGTGGTGTCTCCCCGATCCTATGGACTGAGTGTGCGGGAAGAGGCGTGGGGAGACAGGGAAAGAAGGCAGGGGAAGTGATAGCAGAGTGGCGTCAGAACCCAGTCCAGCCCCCCATGACAGGAAATCACTGGCACCCCACTCACCTGCTGGCTTCCCACTTCCCATTGCCCTGACAGCAGAATGGACACCCAGACAGGTTTTTCTAAGTAATTTACAAATAGACCCGGAAAACAGAGGAGTTCTCTGCATGTAATAAGAAATCAAAACCTGAAGAGAACAGTTGCCCTGCCCAAGAAGCCAAAGGTAGCAGTGCCCCTTCTCTCATGCTGTGGGCCAGACACACTCCATCTGGGGAAGCCCTTGGGAGTTCTGGTCCTCCCCATGTGGACATGAGCAGGCCCGAGTTTAATGCCCAGCCCTCACCTGTGTGACTTTGGGTGACATTAATCTCTCTAAGCTTTAGCTCCATTATCTGAAAAATGCCACACAGGCTGTTATGATTAAATAATAGCACTTAAATGTGGACATCCTATCCTTGACCCTAGGGACCATGGGGATGTACAGTATTGCAGTGTGCATGCTTCCAAGGGCAGGGACCCTGGGCCTTGTGTGCCGCATTCACCAGGCTTTGCCTGCCCTGAGCTCAGGGATGTGAAAAGGAGCTTATCTCAAACCACTGAAAGTTCTTTCTTCTTACTTTTCCTCCAGGTCTCTGGATTTGATGGCAAATGGCAGCAGAAATGTGGAAAAGATCAAAGTGATGTCAAGGTTGATCTCTGAGTTTGGCATGGCTGAACTCAAACATCATTTGCCATGGACCCACAGTGTCTTCAGTAGCTGAGTGTGGTGTCATTCCCCTATGATATGTGCACTCAATTGCTGGCCAGTTTTTGTTTTTTGTTTTTGAGAGAGTCTCGCTTTGTCTCCTAGGCTGGAGTGCAGTGGCACGATCTCGGCTCACTGCAACCTCCGCCTCCCGGGTTCAAGTGATTTTCCTGCCTCAGCCTCCCGAGTAGCTGAGATTACAGGCATGTGCCAGCAGGCCCGGCTAATTTTTTTTGTAATTTTAGTAGAGACGGGGTTTTGCCATGTTGGCCAGGCTGGTCTCGAGCTCCTGGCCTCAAGTGATCCACCTGCCTCCACCTCCCAAAGTGCTGGGATTACAGGTGTGAGCCACTGTACCTGGCCCCAAAGTTTTAGAAATTGGATCATTTTAAATGTTGGAGGGGAGTTCATTGTTTAGGATGGCTGTGTGGCAAATCTTTTTTTAAAGTAAGTAATTCTCCTCTATTATAAGTCACCTCCTGATCTCTACATTTAAGGTTTGCTGTCCTGGATGTGTTCACCTATGAATGTAAGTGTGCTGAGATACACAGTGCAAGGCTGAAGTCAGAGTACACCACTGATGAACCCCTGGGAACTGGTAACCCAGCCAGGGAATGAACATCTTTTATGAATCAGTTTATCCACCAAACACTTGCAGAGAGCCTATCCCATGCCACCCCTGAGGGCACGGTGATGGAGAAGATATGCTTCCTGCCTCCAAGAACCCCATAGTCTAGTGGCAGAGACAAGCAGGTACATAGCTGCCTATAGTACAGCATCACAGGTGCCATAACATTGTGTAAACTGGGAATAATTCTATTCTCTGGATATAGAACATCTAACCAAGATATTGAGTATCTGGCTTCCCCTTCCCCACACTGGCCCTCACTGGGATCCATGTCTAATATTATGAAAGTCACACAATATCATTATAAACTAATCATAAATGGCACTGTCAGTTTGCTACAAAAACTTATTCAGAAAATATTCAGATTCTCCCATCAACATATGCCGCTATGTTGGCAAAAGCTCTGATTTAAAATACTTATTTCGTTTTCCTCTCCGATTTTGTTCTAGTCTTCAAAATGATTTCATACAACATAGCACTGAGTTCCTTAGTTCCTCTGACCCCTGCCAGATCTGAAGCTGTGATGTTCAAAAGTCAGGGCAGAGTCCATCTTATGATTGAGTTTCATAAGAGTCTAAGCCACTGATCAACATACTGTGGCAGAGTAAGCTTTCTGGGTTCCAGAATTTATTGTGAGTGGGCTGAGGGAGTTGAGAAATGGCATGGGAGGCCTAAAGAGAAAATAACTTTTGAATGAAAATTATAGGAAAGTGGATTTGAGATCAAAACAAAGGAAGGTTGATCATAGTTGGAATCATTTAAGATTGGTGGGGGTAGTGGGCTTCTGGTTCTTAACCCAGGCCAGGCAGAGGTGTGACAACAGTCAGGGGTTTCTAAACAGGGTGGGAGGTTAGATGAGAATAGCCTTCAACCCTTTGTGTTGAACTAAAATCCTAGCTCTGCTTTCAACTCCTAGACTCTGCTTCATCATTGCTAAGTTGGAAAGAGCAAGCAATTGAGAGTCCCTGCTGGCCACAGCTGGGGTGCCCCAGACCACAGCACTGAGCCTCAAAGGCAAGTGAGCATAGTGTTGGGAGCTGGGCTTCTGGATCCATCAACTCCATCTGATGACTCGGAAGTTCCTTCAGTTCCCAACACTGGAGTCCAGCAAGGCTGGTTTGTCTTGTTTTAATTATTATTTAGATGACTGTTTGGCTCATACCTGAGCAAGGTTCAAATCAAGTCAGACCTGTTAATTTAATCAAAGTTATATAATCACATTTGGGCACTTAAATGTAAACCAATTATGTTGGAAGCCAAGTATCTTGTACTCAGGAGGGAGTTCTAATAAGTGCTGGGAATGTATGCTAATGCACAAAGCCTAACCCCCAGAGTGGAGGGTGGAGCACTCCAGGGCACTCCTGTTTCGGTGACGTTGTTTTAATAGCTAGTGCTCTGGGTGCAGTCTGGGAAGATATTGGAAACATCTCAAGCAAGTATGACATCCATTTTACCCAAGCCCATGGAACCCATTATGTTTGGAACATGTCTGTCTGTGGCATTTGGCTTGGCTTATAAATGCACTATCAGAATCTATAGGAGGCCTTCGCAACAAGACGTGTCTTGGCCTTTCTGGTTATCAGCAATCCCTCCACCTCTCTCTTAACAAACATATGCCATAAGTCCTGATCAGGCATTTAGTTTTTTCACTTGGACCTTTTCCTAGTTCCTAGTCTCAACCCCAATGCCTCCTAATCTTGTACTTCTTCAAATACTGGCCCCCCTCTACTATGAGAGAGAGAGGAAAGTAGGGAGGAGAAGGAGGAAAAGTTATTGAGTTGATATGAGGGTAGTCAACCTAAAGCAACAATCAGGAGTAAGGTACTGGACTTGAGTTTGAAGTGTTTGTCACTAAACTCTCTCAAACTCTTCCAGGCTAACTAGCCTCAGAGGGCTTCTAGCCCATAGTCTCCTTGTATTTTCTGCCCTCCTCACTTGGAGTGGGAGGGAACCAGATGTCCAGTCTTTGTCCCGTGTTAAGAACTGGCCTGGCAGGCTTTGTTGAGACCATCCAGACTTGAAAGCCTCACAACCAGATGCCATCACAGGCACTTTCTGCTCTTAACCTTTGTCTGTGTCTCCTACATGAACTCATCAGACTGCCTCTGAAGAGGGACATTCTAGGGACAGTTTCATCTTCATCACCATCCTGGATAGGGAACCCTTCCAGACTCAGAGTTGCAAAAGTCAGGGAGGGGCTGCTCACTGGAGGTGGAGTCCTTTGGCCAGGTTTCACTGTAAACACATGGCTAAAATGTGTCGCACATGGACAGGCATGCTAGTGTGCTCTGGATACATGCTAGTGTGCCCCAGATATATGCTAGTGTGCCCCGTATAGCTTCTGGCTAAAGGACACACCTCAGCAAGGCCAAATGAGGCATCAGGATGAACTCTTCAAATAGACTTCATTAGACCCACAGAAGACTAACCTTTGCCTGACTTTGGATTACCCCTTTCTTGCCAGGAATTATGTTCAATGACTATATCTGGAACTAGAGGTCTTGATAGCCACACTTTGCTTGGTGTGGCTTCTCAGTCTTTTAAGGACATGGCTATCAAGGGCTCATGTTTATTCCAGGTCAGCCCTTTACCCCTTTCCTCCAGGGGCATCTATGGCAACAAAAGACCATGACATCTGGCAGGGCTGGCAGGACTATTTAGTTTAGGCAGGAATGTGGGTGTTAGCATGTCAGAGTACATCTGAGAAAACATTCCAAACCAACCTTTCCACACTGGGAACTCAACCCCCAGGAATCACCAAAGATAAGGGCAACAGTCTTATCTCTCGAGGGAAGTTCAGGGTAAAGTCCACTCCTGCTGTGGACCAGAGCTCAGGGAAGAAGAAAGCTCAGGCTGGCTCTGCCTGTCCACTTGATGAACTTCCACAAATGCCACTCTGGGAGCTGAGGCATATGAAGTGGGGAAGAAAATACCAGCCCTGCCCTGGAGCTCTGGGATGGTGGCTGTACACCCCTAAAGATGCCAGCAGATCTGAACTGTGGCCTATGTGTGTTTGGGAATTGAGAAATAAGGAGATAGAGGGACAGCAGGCAGGAAAAACTACAATTAGTCTCAGCTCACACAGATTTGGGAGTATGCAGATCTGAATTGTGGCCTCCATGTGTTTGGCTGAAGGATAATGATCTCAGGCCCAGACTTTTTTTTTTTTTTGTATCACTCGCTCAGGGGGCTCTGACCAGGAGCTTCTTTCAGATGACACAGATCCCGAGGAGCCACTTGCCTTCTACCCATGACACTTCTAAGAGTGACTCTTGCCATGTGACCATAGAGATAAGTGAAGTTTTCTCCAATGACATCATTAAGAAGTCTAAACTTCCCCAAAGGGAGAGGCTGTGACTAGGAACACAAATGTCTCAGTGTATCACACTCATGCTCCCAGATCTGTGGGCAGAAAAAGAAATCATAGAATGGTGCATATCCTAAAAATAAAAAGGAAATTGCTTTTCAAGTTATGAAATTTGGCCCTTCTCATTGTGAGTTTAAAGTACATGTTACTGCTTCAGTTTCTAAAACAGGAGGTGGCCAAATTCAGAGTTTAAAATGTCTAAGTGGTTATTTGAAAACAGATATTTAGAGGCAACTGAGAGAAGAATACTGGGGCCATGGGTCTGCAGTCACTTTCCCAGCAGTGCTCTGAGGCCTTGGGTCTCATAAAAGGTAATCATAGTTACGCCTTTTAAAGAAAGCTGAGTCTAACTGTAGCTTTTCCTGCCTGTTGTCCCTCTATCTCCTTACTTCCCAATTCTATCTATCTTTCAAAACCCAGCTCAAATCCCACCTCCTTCCATAAGTCTTCCATTGTTTAATATAGTTGGAATTTACCTCTCCCTCCTCTAACTCCCATGGCATTTTATTTACACCTCTCTGATGGCCACTTTCTACTTTCTATAAGGTAAGTTATATACTTGTTTTATATCAATAAATTTCAAAATATTGAAATCTTACAGAGTATGTTCTCTAACCACAATGAAATTAGATCATATATTAAACTACCTAGATAATCCTACATATTTAGAAATTAAATAACACATTTATAAATAACCATGGATCAAAGGAGACATTTTAGGGGAATTAGAAAATATTCAGATTGAGGGATAATGAAAATTCAATATTATATTTCAAAATTTGTGGGGTGCAGGTAGAGCAGTGCTTAGAGGGAAATTAATAGCTCTAATGTGTTAGTATTAGAAAAAGAAGGAAGGTTTAAAATTAGTTATCCAAATTTCCATTTTTAAATGTAGAACAAAAAGAAAAGTAAACCCAAAGAAAGAAGGAAATAATAAGTATAAAAGCAGAAGTCAGTATATTGGAAAACAAGCTGCAGGGATTTTTAACTCAGTCAAAAATTGGTTCTTTGAAAAGATTCATAAAATTGGTAAGCCTCTAACAAGATCGATCAATTAAAAAAGAGAGAAAATACACCTTACTAATATAGGGATGAAAGAGAGGATATCATTACCAATCTTACAGGTTATAATGATAATTCAGAAATGCTATGAACAACTTTATGGCAATGAAGTTGATAATTTATGTGAAATGAACAAATTCCTTGAAAAACACAACTTATCAAAATCAAAACAGGAAGAAATAGATAATCCAAATAACCCATATTTCATAAAGAAGTTGAATTAACTATAAAAAATATTCCACAAAGAAAACTCCAAGGCTCTATGATTTCACTTGTAAATTCTATCAAAAATTTAAGGGAAAAAATACAAATCTTGCATAAACTCTTTCAAAAAGAGAGAAGAAGGGAAACTTTCATTTTATAAAGTCAGCATAACTTTCATACTAAGACCTGACAAAGACATTTGAAGAAATGAAAATTACAGACAAATATACTTGTGAACATAGACACAAGAATCCTTAACAAAATATTAGCAAATAGAATTCAGAAATACACAAAAATGATAATACATCATGACCAAGTAAGGTTTACCTCAGGAATGTAAAGTTGGTTTAACATTTGAAAATCTGTCAATGTAATTCACAATATTAATGGAATAAAGGAGAAAAACTGTATAATAATCTCAGTAGAAACAAAAAAGCATATGATAAAATTTGACATCTATTTATGGTTAAAAACTCTTAAAACTTAGGAATAGAAGGGAATTTCCTCAATTTAATAAAGTACTTCTGCTGGGCATGGTGGCTCAGGCCTGTAATCCCAGCACTTTGGGAGGCCGAGGTGGGCAGATCGCCTGAGGTCAGGAGTTTGAGACCAGCCTGGCCAACATGGTGAGACCCTGTCTCTACTAAAAATACAAAAATTAGCTGGGCATGGTGGCGCATGCCTGTAATGCCAGCTACTCAGTATGCTGGGGCAGGAGAATCGCTTGAACCCAGGAGGCAGGGGTTGCAAAGAGTCGAGATCGTGCCACTGCACTTCAGCCTGGGCAACAGAGTGAGACTCCATCTCAAAATAAATAAATAAATAAATAAATAAAGTACATCTATGAAAAAACCTACAGCTAACATAAAATGGTGAAATATTGAATATTTTTCTCCTAAAATCAGAATAAAAGGAAGGGTTGTTCACTTCTAGCACTTCCATTCAAACTTGTAACTAGAGGTCTTAGCCAGAGCAATAAAACAAAAGGAAAAAGAATTAAAGAGTGGAAATAAAGTAATACATTGTCTTTATTTGAAGATGACAAGATTGTATAGATAATCCTAATGATAGAGGGCTAATATACAAAATAAATTACATTTCTATATAATAGCAACAAATAATTGGAAAATAAGATTCAAAAACAGTAATTAATAAAAGATGTTTAATACTTTTGCATTAAAAACTACAAAAGATTTTTGTTTTGTTTTGATTAGAGTTGGGGCCTCGCCTTGTCACCCAGGCTGGAGTGCAGTGGCACAGTCATAGCTCGCTACAGCCTCGAATTTCTGGACTCAACTGATCCTCACACTTCAGCCTTCTGAGTAGCTGGGGCTACAGGCATGCACTACAATGCCAAGGGAATTTTTAAAAAAATTTTATAGAGATGATGTCATGCTATGTTGCTCAGGCTGGTCTTGAACTCCTGGGTTCCAGTGATTCTCCCATCTCAGCCTGCTTAAGTGCTGGGATTACAGGTATGAGCCATTGCACCCACCCCAACAAAAGATTTTTGAGAGAAATTTAAGAAGACCGGCAAAATGGAAAGATACATGCCATGGATTGAAAGATTCAATACTGTTATATGTCAAGTTTACTTAAAGTGACCTAAAGATTCAATATCATTTCAACTACAATCCTAACAGATTTTTGTAGAAATTGGCAGGTTAATCTTACAATTTAAATGGAAATACAAGGGGCTTAGAATACCCAAAACAATCTAGTTGGGGGAAAACCTCAAAGCTCACACTAAGTGAGCTTTCTAAGTATCTGATGCTGATACTTATTATGGAGCTACTATGATCATGGTAGGGAGTTATTTAGGTCAGGGTAGACAAATAGATCAATTGAACAGAACAAAGAGTCCAGAAATGGACCCATACATATATGGTTTATTGATTTTTGACAGAGGCATCAAGGATTTCCTATGGGGAAAGAAAATTATTTTTGACAAATGATTCTGGAATAATTGGATAAATTAAACAAGATAAAATGAACTTCAATCACTATTCATACCACATAAAGATGTAATTCATGGTGGAACAAAGACCTATGTGTAAAAGCTAAAATTCTAAAGTTTCAAGAGAAAACATAAAAAATATCTTCCTGAAGTAAGGCAAAATTTTCTTAGGTAGAAAATTTTTATAAAATAAATAGTCATGAGAGAAAAAAAGAGAAATTAGATTTCATCAAAATTAAAATCTGCTCATTAAAAGAAACCATTAAGAAAATAAGTAGGCAAGTTACAGAGTAGGAAAAATATTCACAGTGCATGTAAGTGACAAATGACTTGTATGCAGAATATATTAAAAACTCACAATAACAAAAAGACAAACAGCCAAATTTTTAAGAGATAGGCAAAAGATTTGAGGAGACAATTCATGGAAGAAGACATATGAACAGCAAATAAGCACATGAAAATGTGCTCAATATTATTAGTCATCGGGAAAATACATATTAAAATCACAATGTGATAGCCTTTTAATCCTACTCAAGGGGCAACATTGAAAGCCCCAAATGTTGGTGAGTATGTCAAACAACTGAATCTCTCTTACATTGCTGGTTGTGAAAATGGTACAACCAACTCAGAAAACCATTTGATGAATTCTTATGCAGTTAAGCAAAGACCTACCCTATGACCCAATAATTTCACTTGTGGAGTATTTACCTAAGAGAAATGAAAATATGTATCCAAAAAGAATTGTGTAAAGATGTTCATAGAAGCTTTATTCATAATAGCCCCCAAACTGGAAATAAGGTAAATGCCTAGCAACAGGATGGATAAACAATTGTGGTATTGTACATTCATACCATAAAATACTACTTAGCAATCTTTCTTTCCACATATATACACATTTATGTTTATTTTATTCATAAATCTATATATATGGAAAACTGTGAGTTCACATTGATGTCTACAATTCCAATCCAACCACCACAAGGTTCATTTTTTCTCTTTCCTGTTTGTAACTCCCTTTCCTGACAGTGGCATCCACTACCCTTAATGTATTTACTTTGTAAACCAAAAAGAGTCTGAGGCAGGTCTCAATCAATTTAGAGGTTTATTTTGCCAACGTTAAGGACATGCCCTGAAAAAAGAAACATAAATCCACAGGAACAACCTGTGATCCTGCCTTTTTCCAAAGGTGATTTTGAGGGCTTCAAATACTTAAAGGGGAAAAGCGGTTGGTGGGGCAAGAGAGAGGGTATGGTCACATTACTGAGTCTATATGTTGCAGGAGAAAAGGAGCAGGTAGGGGAGTAGTCAATTCTGTATTCATCTTGCGCTCAGTAAAGCTACACTTTATATAAGGTAAGGTGAAGATAAAGCAGCTACCTGTGGAGATATTTAACCTTTTATCTGTAGCTGTCTGCTTAGGAACAAAAGGAAAGGCGGTTTCTTGCATGACTCAGCTTTCAGGCTAAGTTTTTCCTTTTGGCAGAGTGAATTGGGGTCTGGAGATTTCCTTTCACAGCTTAGTTGATCCATCCTCGTGTGTAACTGATCTTCTGTCTCTACTACTATCCTCTTTCCCATCTGGATGTCCTTCTCACCATATGCAGGCTCTGACACTGGGCATGGGGCTGTCCTTCCATGCGGACACCCTCCTTACCCCACTGGGGCTTGGAGACACTGTTCCTAGCCACTGAGAGCCCCTCACTGTGGACACCTACCTCACCCCACTCACTGATGGCCTCAGGGCCAAATGGATCAGAAAGGAAAGAGAAGGTATCAGAAAAAGAACAAAAGAAAGGGATGAATTTAACTTTGTTATTATTATTATTTTATACTTTATTCTTTTTCTTCTAAACCATGTTGCGGGAGGGACCTCAACTTTTTGTGAGATGGAGTCTTGCTCTGTTGCCCAGGCTGGAGTGCAGTGGCGTGATCTTGGTTTACTGCCACCTCTACCTCCCAGGTTCAAGCGATTCTCCTACTTCAGCCTCTGGAGTAGCTGGGACTACAGGTATGCACCACCACACCTGGCTAATTTTTTTGTATTTTTAGTAGAGACGGGGTTTTGTATTTTTAGTAGAGACAGGGTTTCACCATGTTGGTCAGGCTGGCCTTGAACTCCTAACCTCAGGTGATCCACCCTCCTTGGCCTCCCAAAGTGCTGGGATTACAGGCGTGAGCCACCACACTTGGTCAGGGCCTCAACTTTTACAACCAAGTGGGAGAATGAAAACAAAGAATTGTCTTAGACAAAAAGGCAATTCTCTCTCTAAAAGAAATTCTCTCATTCTCCTGAAGGCATTTATTCAAGCAGCTGCAATTTTAAAAATAACAATTTTTTTATCTTCTTTTCACTGCCAGTAATCTCAACCATGTCTTTCTTTGTGCCAAATGACAGGCACAGGCATTATCTGCTGTAGCTCCTCTGGACTAGGTTGTACTCATTTTACCAATGAGAAGTTTTGAGTCTTAAAAGGATGAATGGAGTAATTGGGACTTGAGATACCTTTTTTATTTGCCTCTAAAACTTTCCCATAGTCGGGCATGGTGGCTCATGCCTGTAATCCCAGCACTTTGGGAGGCCGAGGAGGGTGGATCATCTGAGGTCGGGAGTGCAAGACCAGCCTGGCCAACATGGTGAAACCCCGTCCCTACTAAAATAATAATAAAAAAAAATTAGCCAGGCATGGTGGCGGGCACCTGTAATCCCAGCTACTTGGGAGGCTGAGGTGGGAGAATTGCTTGAACCCAGGAGTCCGAGGTTGCAATGAGCCGAGATCGTGCCATTGCACTCCAGCCTGGGGGACAAGAGTGAAACTCCATCTCAAAAAAAGAAAAGAAAACAAAACAAAACAAAAAACAACTTTCCCACCATACTTAATGTCTTTCCCATACTCATACTGTTATACTAAGAGACCAACATACAAAACTAATTCTAACATGGTTGAGAAGATTCATTCAGCTAGCCTGGGGAACCCAGATGAGATTCAGGAGAGAGAAGTTCTAGTGCAGACTTCCTGGAGAAAGAAAAATCTGGTCAGTCTCCATTCTACCGGGCCCCGGAGGTAGGGGAGAGAATTCACACAGACCTGAGGTATGTAAGGCTCTTTTTGTAAAATAACAGGTTTCCAGACACACTTTCCCTGCAATTCCTCAAGATTAGCATTAATTAACTTATTTCAATTTATTAGAGATGTGATAGTTAATTTTAAAAATCTAGTGAATTATTAGTCTCCCATCAGGCATGGGGGAAGTGGGAGGTAATGGAAGTGAGTATGGAAAAGTTTCAATATCAAGGTTATTTAATGGGAGACATAAAATGCATAAAAGCCTCTTTATTAAATTTTCTTTAACTTTTCAATGTTAGAGACATATTTTGTTATAGTGGTTACTATTGTAGCATCTGCTAAGATCAAATCTTGGCTGCCGGGAACAGTGGTTCATGCCTGAAATCCCAGCACTTTGGGAGGCTGAGGTGGGCAGATCACTTGAGGCCAGGAGTTCAAGACCAGCCTGACTAACATGGCGAAACCCCGTCTCTACTAAAAATACAAAAAAAAAAAAAAAAAGTAGCCAGGCATGGTGATGCACACCTGTAATTCCAGGTACTCTGGAGGCTGAGGCAGGAGAATCGCTTGAACCCAGGAGTCGGAAGTTGCAGTGAATCGAGATTGCGCCACTGCACTCCAGCCTGGGCAACAGAGCGAGACCCTGTTTCAAAAGAATAAAAATAGAATAAATATCAGAGGTACCTCGAACCTTGCTTTTTTTGGCAATTTCCTGTAAGTCTATAATTATTTCGAAATAAAAAGTAAAAAATAAAAAATGTAAAACAACAAAGTTCGAGAACACTATAACAAGTGTTTATCAAAGAATGCTGGTGCTTGAACTTGGTAAGATATTGTTAAGATAAACTCTTTCTATTAAAAATTTAGAAACCACTTAAATATGGGTTTGAAAATGTCTGCATCCCAAGTAATACTTGTACATCTATAAAATATTATCATTTTCCTGAAACATAATCTTTTTATTGCTCAAATTTAATCCTACTTTTAAATGCCTTTTTTTCTCAAAAAAGTTCTACATTTGTAAGCTAAAACCTGAAAATTTTATCTTTTTTTTCTTATTAAATAACAAAATATGAGCCATAAGAGGGGATGGGGGCGGGAGCTCTGGATGCAGGTTGTTTGTAACTTCTGAGGCAGAGGCTCCACGCAGCATCCTCTGTATTGCCCTCCAAAGTGGCCCCTGCAGCGAGTCTGCTGGGGAATCACTGTCATCTGGTGTCAGTGGACCTGAGGTTCCTGGGCATGGTGTGGGGTAGGAGGGGGAAGTGTCAGGAGATGAGAGATGAGAACAGGCCCTGTATTTGTGGCCAAGGGGTTGGCCTTCACACTCCAAGAAAGAGAAAGTCACTAAGGCTTTCAGTAGGGAAAAATAAGATCAAATCTCTGTGTTTAGGAAGGTACAGTGTGTCATCTAATATAAGGTACCTGATTGTTAAGATCCACCGTTATTATATGTAGCCTCTAAGAAAGAAAAAGCAGTCAAGGTGAGGGGGATGGGAGGGAGTGTAGGACACCAAAGAGCTACACTCTCAATGGAAGGGTCAACAAGGAATGAACCCGCCTGGCTGCCAGGCCAGCAAGGAAATCTGAATGCCTCACAGCTGGCACTAGGCGGAGGTAAGAAAATAATCTCCTCTTAGAATGTGGACCACGGGCTGGTCCTCATGCTGGTCTGAGGTCTGAATTCACACCTTCAAGGTAGACCAAGAAATGTCAAGCTGAAAAGGTAAGTGGGTCTCAGGTTGTGATGGTGCAAGCAAATGCAACAGCAGTTATCAGAAATGGGAAATTTTGCCTTGAACTGAATTGAGGAAATGCAGTCATGTGTAGCAACTGGGAGAAAGCAAGAGGAAGCAGGGCCTCCTCCTGTCCACATGCTGATGGCACCACAGCTGTACCCTGTGTGTGATATGACTGCTGGCTGGACCTCTCCATTTCTCCAGCACCGCACTGCATAGAAGGTCCCTTTCCCCAGGTCTGCCCCTCTGCCTAGGAGTTCTTTGGGCACCCAAAGCGGAAACCTGGGGGTTGTTCTTGATGCTTCCGTCTCCCTCATTCAGGGCAGGTCCCCTAGATTGCCAGCTCCTCAGTCAGCCAGGGCTTCTCAGGGCAAGCACCAGCCACCCTTTGTAGGCCCAGGAATCTGAACTTGTCCGTATCCCAAAATGGCCAGACCTCAGAGTCTGACTGCAGGCCAAACAGCGTGAATGAGAATAGGACTTGACTGACTGATGCCAAGGGCACTGGGGTGCACATTTTTTCTTGCTGGGGCTTGTGCTCCCCTACTACCTCTAAGGGGGGCAGATAATTCTGCAAAGGATATCTGGGGGCTCTAAAGTCAGCACCGAGTAGAGGAAGGTGGTCAGTAATTAACAAAGAGGAAATGCATGGCTCATCCAGAGGTCTGGCCTTCTATTTATCCTCTCATTTAATCTTTAAATAGCCCTAGCATGTAGAGAGCATTATCGCCACCATTGTATAGCTGAGGAAAGTGGTGCTTAGAGAGAGTGAGTCACTTGCCCATTGCCCAAGATCACACAGGTAGAAGCTGGGATTTGCACCCGGGCCGTCGGTCTCCTAAGCAGCATCCTTTACCACCATACTCAACTGCTGAGGCTTACAAAAGGAGAAGGGGGCTTCAAACACCGTAGGGAATTCAGTAAGATTAGGTCTTCCATGACCACCATAGGAACTGTTTGTGAAGGGAGGGGCATGGTGGTCAGAGACCAGATTACAGTGGGCTAAGGAATGATTGGGTATCAGGAAGTAGAGGCACCACTGTAGGCCTCTTTCATGATATATGGCAATTCAAAGGGGTTGGTGGCTGGATTTTCTTTTTTAGGCTATGAGGGACTTGGATGGGCTGATTGGTTGAAGAGCAGGAGCCAGGGCAGAGATAAAATAACCAGGCCTAGGAGTCTCCAAGAGAGCAGGCAACAGGATCAGGGTAGAGTCCTGGTTGAGATGAGGAACACATCCTCTTAGTCCGAATGGAAGAACCCAAGATTGTTTGGAGATACTGGTAAGTTTATAGGAGCAGGCAGTGGAAGGGGTTATGCCGCATGGCCCCTGTTTTCTTGGTGCAGTGGGTAATGAGGCCGTTAGCAGAGACTGGGGGAGATGGGGACTTGAGGACAAAGGGCACTTTGGTATGGCCACTGTGGAAAGTGAGAAAGAAGGGGATGAGGAAAGGGGTCATTGAGTGGTACCTGGACCCCACATTCCCCAGGAATGTATTTCCAACTAATTTCACAAAGCAGCCCCTGCCCCCAGCATGCCTGTCTACTCCTGGCCTATCTCGTCCTGAGAGACACAGTCCCCATTGCACCTGTGGAAGTAGCTTAGGGACATGCTTGGCTTGTGTCATGGGATTAATGGAAAGCAGGGCTTTTTCCCCCTTTCTCCTGGAGGGGTGATGAGAAAAGAATATAGCCTCTAGATTCAGAAGGTCTGGGCTTGAATCCTCATTCCACTATGTACCAACTGTGTGACTTTGTGGAAGTGACTTAACCTCTGTGCTTCAGCTTCCTCATCTATACAACAGAGGTAATAATAGTGCCTGTCTTGTAAGTTGTTTAACCATGAGAGTCAAATGAATTTATGTATTTGCAGCGTTTTAGAACTCTGCCGGACACATAAGTGCATAAAAATGTTAGCTATTATTATGGATCTTATCTGATATCATCCTAATTGGCTTTGTAAGAGGCAGAGAAAAGTCTGACTAAATCTATCGTGGACCAATAATTCATGGAAAGGTGCTACAGTCACTTTTTTTTTTTTTTAACCAGCCAGTGTAGATTTTTATCAAGCAAGAGGATTGTCAATTATCTGCCAGAAATAAAGAAAGAAAGCCTTAAACTCACTTCTAAGGACTGATTCTGTTGCCTTGGTAACCCTTAAGATTCTCGTAACCCTTAAGATTCTCATAGCTGCTCTTCAAGGCGCCAGGAAATTAGTTCTCAGAAACATAAGAGCAATTGACACTTCTCCCGGTTCCTTCAGCCAGGGCTTGCCTGGAAATCTTACTGTCTTGCAAGTTCACATCTTGTATTTCCAGGATTCTTCCAGGGACAACTGACAGAAAACCAACAAAAATTGCTTCAGCAAAATTCATTTTAACACACGCAGCTGAACAGTCAAAGTCAGGCACACATACCTTTTCACACACACACCTGAACAGTCAATGGGTGGATTTGGTGGGTTTTCAGGCACAGCTTGATCCAGCAGCTCATGTGCTGTCATCAGCCCTCACTCTCTCCTCAGCCTTGGCTCCTTTGTTTTTCCTGTGACTTTTCTTCAGGCAGGCTCTTTTTACAGGGTGACCTCCATAGCCACATGCTAACAGTCTCCCCATTTCTTTCTGCTACAGAAAGATCTTTTCCTGGCCATTCTAACAAACATTCTAGGATTAACTGAATTTTACTGATTTGGGCCACAAGTCCATCTTTGAACCAGGTGCTATGCATAGGGAGTCCAAATGCACTAATTGGCCAGGGCAGGGTTAGGTTCCCATCCTGTAGGGAAAGAAACTAACAAGTATGCTCCATACATGTGACTGTCCCCAAGAACACCCTCTTCATGGTCATTGCACCCGGCAGCCCTCCCTAGCACTAAAAGTGGGCTTCCCCAATGGAAACGATAGATCTGCAGATAAAGCTCTCCCTCATGAGCCATCATCACCCGAGCCTCATCCCCATGAACCCTGAGAGGGAACACAAATTTCTTATCCCCTTGCTGCTAGATATAAAGATATGGGGTCTCCCACAATTATCTCTCCCGCTGGAACACAAGCATATATGAAACAGACACTGTCAGTGTCCCAGCAATATTCCCCGGGCCTGACCACTGTGTGAACACCAGCCAGGTGTCCAACTGCACAAGGGCTTTCTCTGGCAGCTGGAGCCTGCACTGTCTGAGTGCCCAATGGGCAGAAGTTTCAGAGAATTAACAACACTCCCCAGTCCCCGGAGCAGCCATCCACCAGTGACTGGTGGTGGTTGTGTAGAAGCAGCTCTCAAGTGAGATAACTCCGGGGTTACTGTCTTGTATTGACTCCCAGAGTTCTGCGGTGGGATTAAGCCCCAGTTCCCCTCGGTGGTAACTGGCTCAAGAATGTCCCTTTCACTGACAGCTTTCTCTTCCCCACTTCTATGGTGGTGTTGCCTGGGATCAGCTCCCAAAGAAACTTCACTCAAATTTCTATCTCAGGGTCACGACTCCTCTAGGTATAATTAGCCCCATTTTAAAGATGAGAAAATTGAGATTTTGTGAGGTTAAGTGACTTTCCTAACAATTGCAATTCCCCTTCTTTCTGCGGGAACCCAAGCTAAGAGACAGTCCACCTCCTCACGTGTGTGTGCATGTGCCCACGCATGTGCTCACCTTTCTGAAAACTATTTTTTGTTTTGTATGTCCAACACCTTTCTTTCCCACTGGGAAAATGCCTCCTTCTTTTGGGGTGCCACTCTTTCTTCTCTAAGAATCATGAGGTCCACATGGAAGCTGTCCCTTACACCATTCTACTATCCTGGCCTCAGTGATTGGTATAGGAGATGAGTAGATAACCCAAGAAGGGACAATCAGAGTCTTTCCCAAGAATTTTGAATTGTAACTAAGAGGAAAAAGGCAGAGCCTCTTGAAACTCATTTGCCAGGCAGTAACTCACTAACTATAACCGTGATGCTTGTGATTCTAGACTCCTTTTTGAGTTTGGCGGATCTCCTCTAATGATGGGATGGACACAGGGCAGCTAAGGATTCTCTTGTCTGTGTAAGCCACTGCTCTGTGAGTGGACTCGTCATCCACAGGTCACATTGCCAGAGGCCAGAGGTCACCGTGCTGGTTACGCACCACTGCCATGCTTATCCCAGGGCACGGCCCATGCCAGGCCCCAGGTAGACACTTCATGTCTGGAATGCATAAATGTGGATGATGACATGTTTGAGATGAACAAGCACCTCACGTACTTGAGAAGCATCATCACTTTGGGGGAACTTTTCCCTGAAGACCCGGGGTGTAAGAGTAGCCAGACCAGTGCCCTCAGGACTGGACTTTTCTCCTGGTTCTCATACCAGAGAAAACTAATTGTTGGGTGTGAATGAATTGCCTTGGGGGTTGTGACTGGGTACAGCCATATTAGAAAGCAAAGCGGTCATATGAATAAAAAGTCATAAGGATGGATTCCCACTCTGGAAAGTTCATCGAAATAAAAAATACATACACATAAAGGAGTTCATCCCAATGACATAAATGCAAAGAGAATTTTTTTGGGGAAGAAATTCCTTGATGTGATGTGTAAGAATAGACTCTGGGCTTTCCTCAGCTCCTAAGTGTTGGAAAAATTGCCTACATGAGAAAAAGAAAAAATTTGCCTGGACACTAGAGAGGAGATGGCAGAGAATGGGGTAGGGCTGGAGTGATCAGGGCAAGGCAGGCATCCTGTGTTAGTATCTTTTCCTGTGACACCCCAAATTTTCACTTTGGAAAGAGACTTTCCAACTGAAATATAACATATAATAAGCTGCACAAATCAGGGATGAACTGTGTGATGCATTTTCACAAGTAAATACACCCAGTAACCACCCCCCAGATCAAGACACAGGACATTATTTGAACCCCAGAAGCTGCCCTGATGTCCCCTCCCAGTCATCTCCCCCAGGAGGTAACCACTATTCTTTTTTATTTTTTTTTAAGACATAGTCTCACACTGTCACCCAGCCTGGGGTACAGTGGCACGATCTCGGCTCACTGCAACCTCCGCCTCCCGGGTTCAAGCGGTTCTCCTCCCTCAGCCTCCCGAGTAGCTGAGATTACAGGCGCCTGCCACCACGCCCAGCTAATTTTTTGTATTTTCAGTAGAGATGGGGTTTCACTATGTTGCCCAGGCTGGTCTCAAACTCCTGACCTCGTGATTCGCCTGCCTCAGCCTCCCAAAGTGCTGGGATTACAGACGTGAGCCACTACACCCAGCCCGTAACCACTATTCTAACATACATCACCATAGATTAGTTTTTCCTGTTTTGAAACTTTATATCAAGAGATCACAGAATATGTATTATTTTGTGTCTAATGTCTTTCATCCAACATTTTTACTGGGAGCTGCATGTATGTTTTGTGTATGGCGGTAGTTTGTTCTTTTTTATTGCTGTATAATATTCCATCAAATGACTCTACTATATTTATGTATTCAGGCCTTTAAGTTACCTCTTTACTGGTGTAATGTGGATAGACAAGAAGTACCTTATGAGCACAGAGTGCGAAGGAAGAGAGAAGCCTTGAACGCGGAGAACGGGGAGTTTTGGGGAAACTTTATCACTCTTTAAAGGGAAAGGTTGTTTATGCTCTGTGGCAGGCATGCTGCTGGGTGTTTGACCCTCTTTACTTAATCCTTATAACAACTCCTCTAGGTATAGTTAGCCCCATTTTAAAGATGAGAAAATTGAGATTTTGTGAGAGTAAGTGACTTTCCTAACAATTGCAATAGATATGTAGAAATGTGGAGAATTATAATTAGAAGTCAAAAAGTTGAACATATTTGTAGATAAGTTTGATAAGTGTGGGTACGAAGACATATATAGAAAACTTTTTTTAAAGTTCTATTAAGGATTCATGAAATTTTAGAGGCTTAAAAATTTCTTTACCACTGGCCAGGCAGGGTGGTTCATGCTTATAAACCTAGCACTTTGGGAGGCTGAGACAAAAGGATCCCTTGAGCAGAGGAGTTTGAGACCAGCCTGAGCAACAAAGCAAGACCTCTCTCTACGAAGAAGAAGAAAAAAACTTTACTACTACATTGATTTTTCAATTAAAAAATGATTTTAAAAACACTTTGACTCCTTCATTGCACCTCCCAAACCTTCACGTTCCAACCTTTTGACTCAGCTTTGGCCTCCTTCACCCCTCTCCTTTTCTCTTTCCCAGCCTTCAGATCAGATTAGATGGCCTATCTAGTTTCTGCTGTGATCTTATAGTCTCCAAGAAGACACCCACCCTGTTTTGTGAGGTGAGGCCTTTTGTTGGGGTGTCAGCTCTTTGCTGAGGAAGCTCTGCTCTGGTTTGATAATTTTCTGTTTTATGCTCATAAAAACTACAGGAGCATTTATGAGTCTACATAAATATAAACATCACCACTTGGTTGTCGTGGAGATGGGCCTCTCCCCACTTCCACCCTGTGAGTCTGGTTTGTACAGCTCGGCGGTGCAGGAGTCTTCAGAAAGCCCAGCCTCGCATAGAATTAGGCCCTCGGCATGTTGAAGCTGAAGACAGAGCTTCTGAGGTGGGGGCAGTTGGCTGTGTTGCTATCCAGATTGACTTTGCCCACTGTGTCATTATAGATATGGATTCAGTTGCTGTAATTAAGGACCAAAATAATAGAGGTATAAGCCAAGCAGATTTTGATTTTTCTCTCCCCTAAGGAGTCAAAAACTGATAAAAGGGGTTTCATCATGTTGGGGACCCAGATCCTCCTGTTTTTTTGATTTGCTAAATTTTAAGAATTGCTTTCATCTGCTTTGTCCAAAATGACTCACCACCATATGCATCTCCCAGCTTTGACAGATGGAGAAAAAGGGTATAGAGAGCATGCCCCTCTCTTTAATATCCTACCAGGTATTGCACCCATCAGCTTGGCATTGGACATGCGGCTGCATTGCAGGAACGTGACCACAGAGAGTAGTAGTTAAGCATGTGGACTCCAAGGCTAGACCACCTGGGTTGGAATCCTGATTCTATCCCTTACTAGCCAGTTAACCTTGAGCAAATTACTCATCTACTCTGTGCCTTAGTTTTATTATCTATAAAATAAGGATGATGATGATAATAATAGTGCTCTTCTCTCAGCTTTATTATGAGGCTTACATGAGCTATTATGTGGAAAGTGCTAAGAACAGTGTTTTTGTGCAATAAATAGGTGCTTAAGATAAACATTAATATAATTATTATTGAAGCTTTGCTGTACTATGAGGTGGTAGTGGTGATGGTGGTGGTGGTGGCATGGGGAGGTGGTGGTCGTAGTGACAGTGGTGGTGGGAGTGGTGGTAATGGTGGTGCCATGTTTGTGCTGGTGATGGTGGTGATGGTGGTGGTGGTGGTAGTGGTATGGTGGTGATGGTGGTGATGGTGGTGGTGGTAGTGGTATGGTGGTGATGGTGGTGATGGTGGTGGTGGTGGTAGTGGTATGGTGGTGATGGTGGTGATGGTGGTGGTGGTAGTGGTATGGTGGTGATGGTGATGGTGGTGGTGGTAGTGGTATGGTGGTGATGGTGGTGATGGTGGTGGTGGTAGTGGTATGGTGGTGATGGTGGTGATGGTGGTGGTGGTGGTAGTGGTATGGTGGTGATGTTGATGGTGGTGGTGGTGGTAGTGGTATGGTGGTGATGGTGGTGATGGTGGTGGTGGTAGTGGTATGGTGGTGATGGTGGTGATGGTGGTGGTGGTAGTGGTATGGTGGTGATGGTGGTGATGGTGGTGGTGGTAGTGGTATGGTGGTGATGGTGGTGATGGTGGTGGTGGTGGTAGTGGTATGGTGGTGATGGTGGTGGTGATGGTGATGGTGGTGGTAGTGGTATGGTGGTGATGGTGGTGGTGGTGGTGGTAGTGGTATGGTGGTGATGGTGATGGTGATGGTGGTGGTGGTGGTAGTGGTATGGTGGTGATGGTGGTGATGGTGGTGGTGGTGGTGGAGTGTGACTACTATAAAAATTCATGAAGACCAGATCAGAGCACACTGAGAAATCCTATATCCTTGATGTACACCCGTGCACTCCAGAATTAGCTCATTTGGGGCACCAGGACATCCTGGAGATGCCTCCCCGCCATGAGTCCCACCTTGACTACAGCAAGTCCCAGCACAGAGTTAAGCCAGAGCTGATGGTGTCAACTCCCAGGCAATATGACCTCAAGGTGGGCCAAAGAAAATCAATTCTGGGTCATGGAAGATATCACTCATCCATTTTTGAGTGAGAGGCCAAAGACCCGTAGACCAGGACAATAGTCACATGTCTCCACCCAAGTCACAAACACAGATGAACGGGACCTGGGATTCTGCCAAACTCTAGGGACTACCTGCCATCCTGGGAGGAACGTTCTCTGTGTCAGAAATGGAAAGGAGAGACAGTTGGAATGAAGCACTTTAATCCTGTATCATAGTAACAAGCAAATCCGTCTGAAAAGCCTCCTGCCTCCAGAAATTCAGATGGATGAAGTATTACAATTCAGTTGACCTTGCATAATTGTCTCATTTTATACTGTATTTCTGTGTCCCATGTATCTCCGGGCCCTCATGGGCACCCTCCTTCAAATGCTGACTCAGATTTCTGGCAGGGCTCCAGGGTACCCTGGCAGACACCTATCACATGCTGGCTCACATCCCTGGGCCCGCATTTTGCTCTGCTGGAACCAGCTGTGTCCCGGTGTAGTCTGGCAGCCCCTTGCCTCAGCTGCTTCTTCATCTGTCACTTTCTATCCCAGGACTTCCTACCTCCACCAACTGTGAAACCAGGGAGAGCTCACTCAGCCTTGCTGGAACAGGCACACACCCAGAAGTCTGAGAGAGTTAACCCCCCGGGGCAACTGCTGACCAATGGGGTATGGGAGAGGGTGGATGAATTCTCCCCTCTCCTGAGTCTCAGGTGGACAATGCTAAGGTGCATTCTACATGGCTTCTCAGAAGCTCCCAGTGGGATTCAGCTGCCACGGTGGTGACCAGCTCCATCAAGTGCCCTCAGATTGGCTTCTCTCTTTTCTCCTTTCGTTATCCAAGTTCCTCTGGCTCTTTGAATTCAGTTCCCAAAATAAACTCATTGCATTAAAGTCTTTGTCTCAGGCTTTGCTTCTTGGAGGAACCCTAGGTAGGACAGGTATGCAGGAGGGTCCTGGGGAGAAGATGGGGTACACAGTGACATAAGTTCCTCCTGCTCCCCCAACTCTGCTTTCTGCAGCATGCTGGCCTGAGAAGGTCTCTGAGTGGGGTGCCAGAAAAGAAGAATAGAGCGATTGCTCCCTAATTCATGGCTATTAACAATCTCAGTTTTGAGGAGTCTCAAATTTATATGCTTAGCCCGCACCTCCCCTGAGCTCCAGACTCATATATCCAAGTTCGGTTGGTTGAAGCAGGGCTCACATCTCCACGTGGATGTCTAGTAGGCAGCTCACAATGACATGGCCAAGACAGACTCTCACGCCCCCTGCCTTTTCTGCCTGTCTCCAGTGCTGTGCCTCCCTCAGTCTTCCCATTCCTAGTCAATAACAGCACCATTGTTTGCCCATTTGCTCAAGCCAGAAGCCTAGGGGTCATCCTTGAGTCTTCTCTTCTCTTGCCCCTCCACATCCTATCTGTCAGCAACACTTTTGGATTCTGCTTTCTGAATATCACATTTCATTGATTCTAAGACACACTTTTCCCCTCATATGATAAAGTCTATGAATTCAGAACACATCTGACAACTGATGGTGTGCCATTGTTTAATTAATGGTGTTTTCCTTCTTAGTGAAATTTGACCACCTCGCCATCTCCTCCATGAGCGTTCTGGTCCAAGCCAGCATCTCTTCCCTGCACTATGGCAGAGGCATTCTCACTAATCCCCCAGCTTCCACTTATGTTCCACTTTAGTCAACTCAGCACGCAGCAGCCAGAGAGCTCCTTTCAAATTAGAAATCACTTCACCCTGCTCTCTTGTTCAAAAGGTTCAATAACTTCCCACCATACTCAGAATAAATTTCAATCTCTTTCCTGCAGCATATGAGGCCTAACATGATCTAGCTCCTCATCTCCTACTACTGTCACCCCCCACTCCTTACTTGCCAGGCTTCAGCCACATTCCAGAACTTCTTCCTCATTTTCAGAAAGGGTCAAGAACATTCCAGCCACAGGGCCTTTGCGTGGTTGCTTCTTCTGACTAGAAGTCCCTTCTTTGGCTCACCTCCTTCTTTTGATTCATGTCTTCGTTCAAATATCCTCAGAGAGAGGCCTTCCCTGCCCACCCTCATTAAAACAATAATCACCTTACCATCATTTATTTTCTTTACAGCACTTATCTGAAATCACGTAAGTTTTTTCTGTTGTTGTTTTTTTGTTTTTGAGACAGTCTTGCCGTGAGTGCAGTGGCACAATCTCAGCCCACTGCAACCTCTGCCTGCTGGGTTCAAGTGATTCTCCTGCCTCAGCCTCCTGAGTAGCTGGGATTACAGGTGCCTGCCACCACGCCTGGCTAATTTTTTATATTTTTAATAGAGACAGGGTCTCACCAAATCATGTGATTTTTGTTGTTGTTCAGTTGCTTGTCTTTTGTCTCCCTCACTACAGTGAAGATTCCATGAGAGCAGCAAACTTGTTTCTGTCCCCCTAGCACCTGACATATATTAAGTGCTCAATATATACTTGTTCAATAAATGAAAGAATGAATGGAAGTTCAAAGGGTGAGAAGCTTGGATAATATCATCCCCAGAGGCAGCTACACACCTGTTTGCCCAGCCCACTCTTTCTGCAGGAAGAAGGAGCTATTGTATCAACAGCCCAACTGTACCAACTGCTGGGTGGGGGTACAGAAGAGACGTGCGTTGTTTTAATTTAGCTCCAAGGTCAGGCTTTATTATTTATTTATTTATTCATACCCCACCTCATTCCACAAAGGATTAAAAGCAGCATACAGGAAATATACAGTGCATGAAGTGAAATATAAATACAGAATAAAATTAGGACAAAGAAAATGACCAATGAGAATAGATTGTCCAGACTACACGGTCTTATATACTGGAGATGTTTGGGTAGCAAATGTATTTCTGAGTTTATTGGTCAAAAAGTAGAAGCTATAAAACTTCCTATGAAACTAGATGAGGACTCAACAAGGAAAGTGAGACTGGCTGTGGATGGTGGAGAATGTAAGTGAGTCACTGTGGATCTCTTTGGAAAGCTGGGTTGGTGGACCCAGTCTTACATTTCCTCTTGGCCCAGTATTTTGGGTATAGAGAAGAACAAAGAGCTGGAATAGAAAACTCACTTTGAAAATCCAATTATGTGATATCCACACTTCCTGCTTCATCCAACTCTCCTAGCTGGGCCTCAGCAAACTCAGGTGATGGACCTGCCTTGAGAAGTGCAACCTTGTCTCCCCTCCCTCACCTTCTTGCTATGAGAGATATGTCACCCACATTCCACTTTCTAGGTGAATGATAAGTTGGAGACACTCCAGACAGTTTTGTTTAGTCCTTTGTATTTACATGTCTGACCTAAACTTCAGCTGAAGCAGAGGTTCCCATCTCAGCCTTCAGTTGGTTCATTGTTTTAGAATGTGGCAGACAGTCGGAGTCCAATTCATTTTGGGAACTTTGTTAATTACAGAAGGGCTATTGTTCCAGGAGTGGTGTTACTCATCAAAGTGAGCCAAAGTGGCATATCTGGACAGGTCTACTTGGCAGCCAATCATCAGGCAGCTGTGGCTGCACCTTGTTTACTGGTTTATGACTTACCTTTTGGCCTCTCCTTCAACATGGATGCTGCACCGAAGGATGGACAAGAAAGGGAATCCCAGACACTTGAAAAGCTAAACAATTTTTTTCATTAATGTGAGTTACAGCAGTTTAAACTCTATGTTAGCAGCTAAACCTATTTCACAGAGATCCCAACATGTAAGAAAAACAAATGGAAAACAAATAGAAGTTTCTGTTTTACACACGACCCCTCTGCTTTGGAACTTGGTGATGGACTCCCACCATGATCCCAAGGCACTTCGAACACAGCTTAAAACCAAAGGCAATAGGCCGGGTGCAGTGGCTCACATATGTAATCCTAGCACTTTGGGAGGCCAAGGCAAGCTGAACACTTGAGGAGTTTGATACCAGCCTGACCATCATGGTGAAACCCACCCTACCACAAATATAAAACAGCTGGGCATGGTTGGCACATGCCTGTAATTCCAGCTACTAGGAGGCTGAGGCAGGAGAATCACTTGAACCCGGGGGGCGGGGGTTGCAGTGAGCTGAGATTGCGCCACTGCACTCCAGCCTGGGTGACAGGGTGAGATTCTGTCTCAAAAAAAAAAAAAAAAAATCATAGGCAATGGAAACAACCCAAGGTCTAGTGACAGGAAAACGGATTAACTGTTCAGCCATACAGTAGAATGTAAAAAGAATAAACTCAGCTATAAAAAAATAATTTTTACAACATGGATGAATCTCAAAAACATATTCAGTGAAAGAAGCCAACCAAAAAGAGTAAATAATGTATGATTTCATTTGTACGAAGTTCTAGAACCTGCAAAACTAATTCACTGTCATAGAAATCAGAACAGTGGTTGCCCATGGGGATGGGTTTAACTGGAGAACTTCCTGGGTTAATGGAAATAGTCTGTGTCTTGACTGGGATGGTGGTTACCCAGCTGTATCTATCTGTTAAGACTCATACCTTTGTAATCCATGCATGTTACCTGATGTAAAGTTTACTTTCAAAATTAAAAAACTAGAATGAATAATTATTGATTTCAGAAGTAAATCACAATGTGCTGTTTAATTAAAAGAAGGTTTGAAACATCTCTTTTGCAAATACTTGTATAAATAGGTATGAATATCAAAGCAAGTAAGATTTTTTTAAAAATCACCTTTTAGGCCTCATCACCCCAAGTGTGAAATGAGATCAAACTTGCAATCCCCACATCAAGGGGGATTGCTGGACCTCAGTCCCTTATCTCCCAATCACTTCGGCCTACTCTGAAGTATCGACCAATAATTTCTGAAAGTTCTTTAACAGATACCACTACGTGCCCATAAACCATTCTATGACCATCAGCTACTCTTTCCAGCTACTTTTGGCTTCTCCCCTTACCTTCCAAACCATCAGAGGGAGTAGGGACACTGCACCCCAGAGCCACTGAAGATACCTTCTGCAAACCCTCCACACTGCCTCTTTTCAGAGGTACTCAGTAGGAGGCAGAGGCAGGGAGCGAGAGCTTTCCTACCACCCTTAGATCCAGGCAAGTGGGTCTGTCCCACACACGACCCCTCTGCTTTGGAACGCCCTTCTCAAAATTTGAGGTGTTTCCTGGCACTTGTGTCCAGGACTTGCTCCCAGAAAGAAGGCTTGGTAGGTGGATTGCTCTCATTAGCTTGTGCAGTATTGTGCTCAGGGATCACGAGAGCTTGGGCCATGGGAAAGGTGAGAACATGCGGATCTGGAGTAATTCTCACTTATGGCAAGGACAAGTTCAGGCCTTTGGGGTACCCACAGCCCACGGCAGAGTTGTGCTGGAGCTGTGCATGTGTCAGCCACGCCCTGACGCTCACCCACGGGTGTTCCTACTGCAGTGCCACTTCCAGCACACAGCACGGTGGGGCAGTGGGGATGACGGTTTGCTTGGCAGTGGGCATCCTGTATCCTATGTGCACCCCACCATCACTGGCACACAAGGTGGTCACCCCACCCTCCCACAGGCCCCAGGCCACATGTTAGACCCTCCCCAGGGGTGGTCTTGTCTACTTCCTGGGGGGACTTAGAGGTTGTTGCTCCTCAATGCCAACTGGCCTTTACTATCAATGATGTCTTGGTGTCTCAGGTCGGTCTTAAGCCTTTTGGGACAAGGGACTGACTTTACATGAATGGGTTGGATCTTCTGGCTCTGTCCCCACTGTGCACCCCCCTCCTCCCACTTATCCTCCCTGCTGGTGGCAGTGTTTGCAAAGCTGGGGTGGGTAAACACTGAAAGACATCACGTTGTTGGAATACAATGATTACTGGATTCATGAGTTTAGGAGAAGACAAGATGGGAAGAGAATGTTTTTGCTGTACAGTTCCTATCAGTACATTTAAAGTGAGCAGAAAACAAATTACCATTCACATTTTCCTGCATATTCTAAGTAAGAATCTCATTTGTGGTCATCATCAATGAAGCCCAGAACAACCTTCCAGAGTGATTGGCAGCCAGGTGGCAGGATGTATGATATAGTCATGAGTTATGATATCACCAGTATTAAATAAACTATAAGGGAACTGCAGAGGTAAGAATTTCTACATTGTTAAATCACAAATGGGCCGGGTGCAGTGGCTCACATCTGTAATCCCAGCACTTTGGGAGGTTGAAGTGGGCAGATCACCTGAGGTCAGGAGTTCAAGACCAGCCTGGCCAACATGATGAGACCCTGTCTCTACTGAAAATACAAAAATTAGCCAGGTGTGATGGCACATGTAATCCCAGCTACTCGAGGGGCTGAGGCAGGAGAATGGTTTGAACCCGGGAGGTGGTTGCAGTGAGCTGAGATTGTGCCTCTGCACTCCAGCCTGGGCGACAGAGTGAGACTCCCTCTCAAAAAAAAAAAAAAAAAATTACAAGTGGGTTCCAAAGAGCCACAGAACTGTGAGTCACATCACCATCGCTACCTTTTCAGTACATTACAAAGAATCTTCAGGTGCACTGATTAAACAACAAACACATACAGACATATCTCTTTTCTATCCTTTATTCTGAATTTTTATTTGTAAATGGTTCTATCTAAAATAGACCCATGAATTTGCAGTACATTTGGTTAATGTACGAATGGTTAATATAGGCAGGGACCCTATAGAAATATCACCTGGTGCTCCACATGTCCTAGGAGCAACACTGGCATCTTCTCCTACCTAATTCCCTTGGATCCAGAAACAGCTACCCACAGTCTAGTCCCTAAGTCTCTCATAGTCCCATTTCCATCAACTCCTGCAAGTGCTTTTCAGCACAAAAAAATACCCATTGTGGTGGCCATTTTCCTCAAACAGAGAAGTATTCTTCCCCAAAGGTGAATGGAAGTATCCATCTCCAGCAGCTGAAGAACTCCTGGTATCTTTAAATAATGGTCATTTTCCAGGTTCTTAGCCTCACCACACGACCACCCTGCCTCCTTTCCTGTCATTCTAACTCAAATCTGTTAAGATCCGACCTCAGCCTAGCCATCCTCTGTGTGACGTTTATATACCGACAAGCTGTGAAGTCAGAAACTCTTGTTTCAAAAACTGAACACAATCTTGTAAAACATGCAACCTCAGGCAAACTACTTAACTGAAGCTTCCATTTCCTTTTATGTACTATAAGTCCAATTCCCTATCTTCTCTTCAGCAACAGTAATTTAAATTGCTCCTCTGCAGGTGATGTTTGCCTATTTGGGTCATGAAAAGCACACTCTTCCCGAAGGTGGTTTACATTTCCTGGGCCCCTCTGGGTCAGATCCTGGACCAAGGGCTGGGCTGCAGCAGCAGAGATGCAGCTACAAGGGCCGGGGAAGAACTAACTCAGGCTGATCTTTTTGGCTCAAGCCTCTAGAGACAGAAGCAGAAAAATCACTGCCAATTTAGAAGGCTCAAAACAAAACTCATGAAACATTCAAACAACTGCTAGTGAAGCCCCAGCGAACAGAAAACACTTGTGGGGAGACAGACTTTTACACCAATTTAAAGGTTCTCCAGCTGGGGATCCAGGTATTTGATATTCTCTCTGTGACAGGACAGAAGACAGAATAATCATTTCTATTGTAATAGTTATCATTAGTTCAGCACTTGAAGATTTTCAAAGCACTCAGCAACACTTAGTCCTACAACTGCGTGAGTCAAGCAGATAGTGTATTATCTTCGTCTCTAAGGACAACTCAAGCCTGGGGTCAAAATGCCACTCTTTCTGCTCTAACCCTCTGCCCAGCATAAAGTTCCTGTTGCATTCATCAGTGAGGAGGTAGCACTCTTTCCTCAGTTACGCACAAGTTCAAGTGAATGAGTAGATAAAACACCCCTGAAGCTATGTGCAGGAAAGAAGAAGCCCGGTAGGATGTGACTAAAGAAATAAATTAGTGTTTTGACTTCTTCAGAAGAAAGATGCTCCCTTTTACCAAGAAGGTGTTGAAAACAAAGTTATGCAGGAGCAAAACCAGCCCACTTCTTCGTGGGCCTGGCTTCTGACTGGGTCACAGAAAATTCAGTGAATCTGTGCTTTGGAAGTCACACTTTAGCTTCTTCACTCTAGTCCCCCATGCCATGGAGGATGTCCCTGATATGTGATAGTCTAGCCACTGCTGGCCACTTCCAGGCAAGGGTCTCTCACTCCCTCACAAAGCAGCCATGTGAAGGAGGGCCAGCCTAAGACCAGGGGCCCCTCTTTATACCTCCCACCTGTAGTCTTAACTTTTGTCTTCTGTATCAGTACAGAGAAAGTAAATTCCCTTTCCATGTGACAGATCTATCAGGTGACTGCTACATCCTCCTAAGTTGTTTCTGTTTCAGTCCAAACAACTTCAGTTCCTTCCACCAAGCCATACAGGACATGACCTCTACACCCCTTAGCATCCCAGTTGTGTTCCTCTGGACATGTTTTGGTTGGTGTCCATCTACGGCGGACACTGTTCATTGGCTAACTCAGCAGACATTTGCAATTCTTTTGCTGTGGCTACTCCCAATGTAAAGCATGAAAAACAAAACGCTGCCTTTCTCAATCTTCCCTATAACTAGGGGTGGCCATGTGACCCAGTTCTAGCCAATCATACATAAACAGAGACCTAGTGAAGGGCTTATAAGGAAGTTTTTGCCTTTTTAATTGTAGTGATAGATGCTACTAGCATAGTCCCTTCACCTTTTCTTGCCCCCTTGGAAGGGCATCTGATGCCTGGAACTGGGGTAGTCATCTTATCACCATGAGGGAGAGGCCAAAAATATCTCAGAGACTCAGGCAATGAAACTGTTGAAATGAGAATTGCCACCACCAACTGCCTTCTTCCAGACTTTCAGTGTGATGAGAAGATCAAACCTGCATTTATTTAAGACATTGTAAATCAAGTATCCTGTTATTTACAGCTGAGATCAATTAAATCTGATAGAGCTTAAAATATTGCATTTAGAACTGAGCATGATTGTCCAGATTTGGCAGGACTATTGTGATATGTGTTTGAGCTATTGTTTACCTTGTGCCACCCTAAGACCAACATTTTGGCAGCTTCACATGGTTGACTTCCATCCTTATAAGTAACAACAACAGTTTAAAAATTACCATTTATTGGGGTCTTATTATTTGCCACATATTATTCATTTATTTAACAAATATTTATTAATGCCAAATCCTCTGCTGAGAATACAGTAGTAGTAAATAAAATAGACACATTTCTGCCCTCAGAGTCTCATGTGATTATTTTTAATCTGAATAATATTTCAAGCTATATAATATCATTGCCATTTTTATATTATTCGGATATTGAGTATGTATCCACATAAAGCCTCTAACTTCTTTACACTTAAACTTCTGTGGAAATAGATGTCTCAATTCTGAATTTAACTGTAGGTACAGGGTTTCATTTAATTAATTAAATGATTTTAAAACTTTGTGAAACAATCTCAAATGTACAGAATGTTTGTAAGAGCAGCATTGTTTTACCCTGAAACAAATGAGCACGTTTGCCACATAATGCCCCATGACCCCTGAATACTTTATTGTGTATTTCCTACAAAAAAGAATATTCTTTGACATAACCACAAACCACCATTGAAATCTATTCATTAAGACTGATATATCACTACAGATATGGTTTGACTCTGTGTGCCCACCCAAATCTCATCTGAATTGTAATCCCCACATGTCAAGGGAGGGACCTGGTGGGAGGTGATTGGATTATGGGGGCAGTTTCCCACATATTGTTCTCATGATAGTGAGGGAGTTCTCATGAGATCCGATGGTGTGAAAGTGTTGCACTTCCCTCCTCTCTCTCACCTGTTCCCTGCTCTGCCATTGTGAAGATGTGCTTGCTTACCCTTCGCCTTCCACCATGATTGTAAGTTTCCTGAGGCCTCCCAGTCATGCTTCCTGTTAAGCCTGCAGAACTGTTATTCAACTAAACCTCTCTTCTTCATAAATTACCCAGTATCAGGTAGTTCTTTATAGCAGTGTAAGAACAGACTAATACAATTACCATTCTAATTCTTAGACAAATTCAAGTTGTGCAATAGTCCCAAATATGTTAAAGTAAAAGGATTGAGGCCAGGATCATACATCACACTTAACAGGCAATTCTCCTTAGTCTTCTTCGGTTAGTCTGAAACAGTTCTTCCAACTTTTCCTTGATTTTCAGAACCTTGATGGTTTTGGAAATCGCAAGCCACCCATTTTGTAGAATTTGTAGTCTCACCTTTCCACACAAATAGTCACATCGCAACAATCCTCCTGTGCTCTTGGCGTTGATTTTACCAGGTGCCACGTGATTTCTATTTGTCCCATGACTGGTGATGTTTACTTTGGTCACTTGATTATGGTGGTGTCTGCCAGTTTCTCCACTGTAAATTATTATTTTCCCTTTTGTAATTAAGTATTTTGTGGGGAAATACATTGAGATTATGTAAATGCCCTGTTTTTCATTGAACATTCAATTTATTAATATTCATTTTTTATCAGTATGGGCTCAAAGATTCCTGTCATAGTAAATAGACTAGAATCCATTATTATCACTATTTTGATGCTCAAATTGTCCTGAACACAGCCAGTGGGAGCTCCTTAAAGCTGGCTGCTGTGTCCTTTTGACATGTTCCTGTCATTCTTTGAGTACTACCTGGCTCACAGCCACAAGGTATTCCGAGCTCATATATCTCCGCTCCAGCCCTAGAATTGGCTATTTTTCCAAGGTGCCTGATTCCTCTTAGTGGAACGTGATATTTCCAAACCATGGTCTGGGTCTATCTGAGCCCTGCCTCCTATCCTACTAAGCTGTGCTCAGACCCCCAGTATGATACTGGAACAGGCTGAGCCCTGGCTATGAGCTTGGCAGAGTCCCCAGATCAGGGTACACCTGAAAGTGAGCAGGTCTGGCCCCTCCTGTGCTACAGGTGAAGCCTGGGGATGTGGGGTGGGCCCCATCCGTGGAACCAAACTGGCTCTAAATTATCTACCGAGCCCCAAGCCCTCAGAAGGACCCACAGGAGGTCTGCCCAGCCAAGGGCTTCAGAGTTAAGCTCGAGGAGCTCCAACAACACAAGGCAAACTCTTAATTGCTGCTTCCTGCAAACAACTGAGGAGGGAAGTTGCAAAGAGAAAACTCAGGGGTAAAGGAGCAGGGAGAATCTGTCTGAGATATGCAGTGACAGCCTCCACCACATCAGACTGAAGCCAGTGCAGGCCATTTGCCCCAGGAGGCACTTTCTGCAAACTTTGCTTAAGCTCCCCTCTGTGCTGAGGAATGCCCCCAGCTGGGATGCTTAGTTCCAGCTCACAGCCTGGCAGAAGAAGATGCAATGCTACAAGCGAAGAGAAATATTTCATAGAAAAGCAAGGGGGCGTTGGAGCCAGGCCTGATGATGAGCTCCACCTGCCATTTCCTGAGGCTGCAGCCAGGGCAGGGTGGGGCTAGAGGGGATCTTTTCAGGTTAGTCCTTGCTCACCTCCTGTGACTCTATCTCCTCAAGAGCAAGCTTCATGAGAGATGGTCTTGCTGGACACTATAGGAGGAAAAGAAGGAAGACAGGAAGATCAGGAAGGAAGACCAGGCTGAAGGGACGGGCAAACCACCCTTGACAGCTCTGCCCAGTATGACTGGGGTGGCTGTCCATCTGAGAATAAGAACTCAAAAGGCACATGGATGTTATTTCTCAATGGCAGTGACAGTCTGTGGGTCTCTGATCCTATCAGACTGTCCTCAGACAGAGAAGGAGGAGGTGAAAGGGGAAAAATACTGCCTTGTAAGAATGGGCAAAGACAAAAGTACTTCTAGGCAGGAGGTGAGAGAAGCAAGGTTGGCAGGGCAGAGGCTATCCTATAGTGAGTCTTGCATGCCTTAGGAAAAGGTGCCCATTCTGGGTACGGAGCCCAACGATCAAGAGGTGCTTCTGTGCAAACTTTAAACGGATGCAGTCCCATACCAGAATACACACTGTGGCAAGTGAGCTGTAGCTGAATTTCAGCCTCCACTCATCCCCTCAGCAGGGCATATTTGTGCAGGGTACAACCAACACCACTGTCCATGGTAGCCTTGAGGGTTGACTGAATTTTTACTGAGGGAATATAAATTTGTTGCTTTTCCCGAGTGGAAAAAAATATACACTAAGAACTCTATATTCCCTGCTGAAGATTTTCTCAGCCTACTTTGAGGCCTGAGCTTGGCTGTGGGGAGAAGTACCAGTGGAAGTTCTGACAGTGGGAGGAGGAATTGTATGTTTCCCATACAAGGACTGTCCCGTACTGACAGGAGGAAGCACATTCCTGGTTCATGATGGGTGAACACCCATGAATGGAGAATGGACGCCAGCAAAGACCATGCCTGGCATCGCACAGGGAGGGAGAATTGCCACAGCTTTGGGAATGAGGAAGAAGGCAGGAGACGGCATCCCTGCAGGGCCAAGGAAGAGACTCCCTCTTCCCAAAGGTAGAACAGCTGTTTCCCTGGGACGAGGCTGTGGAGGGAGGCACCTGCATTCCCCAGGCAGCAGGTCACTCTTTCTGTGCAGGTGTGGAGGAGAGAGTGGAGATGACTCAAGCAGGGGAGTGGCTCATTGCTGTTAGGCAGGTCTCAAGGCCCTGGGGTGCTTCACTTTCCTTCTCGCAGCCCCACCACTTTTTCTGTGACCTGAGCTTGTGCTTAGCTCTGTCAGGCTGCCAGTCAGTTCTTACTCAACCAGGAAAATCCATGAACCCCAGAGTCTGGCTGTACAACACCTGCCTAACCAGCAGGCCTGGACTGAGGTCAATGCACAGAAGAGAAAATACAAGTGTGTGTGTGTGTGTGTGTGTGCATGTGTGTGTCGAAACACGTATATGTATAGGGAGTGAATGGAATGTCCATGGAGAAAGAGACCTATTTTCTGTGGGTATTCTCCTGAAATCATCCTTACTTTAGCTCTGGGGGGCACAGCTCTTGGATGAGGTAACCCTGTGGAAATCACGACCTACTCTCACCTGAGTCTGCTGTGGTTTAAAGGAGCAGGAGTAACTGAAGGAAGAAAGGGCTCATATTCAGTGGCTGTCCTAGGTATGGGGTGAGGGCTCTTCAGGGGGACTAGAGGGGTCAGACTGTCAGTGAGGGGGCTGCAAGGCTGTGGCCTCAGGTCTAGCTCCATTGAGGGACAGAAGGCCCAAGAGGACCTGCTCCTCATCACTCAGCCTGTTCCTTCCCCCAAACGTCCTCCCTCCCCTTTTACCTACCCTTAGGAGCCAGCGCATTCCCCCTCCTCTGTTCCTCCTTCCTCACTAATTCTAGCCTCTCCTGTGCTTGTGATGCAGGAATGAGCAAGGGCTGAGGGCTGCAGTCCTGTCTCTGGGAGTGAGGACCACTGCTCACCCTTTCATGCTGACTGCCATCCAAGGCGCTGAGCGTAGTAGGCTTTCCCCTGGGGGCAGTGAGAGCCAGCTGTTTCCCTGCCCTATGGAATCGCTTCCTCTTCCTTCAGTGGTTCTTTGATCCAGTGAAGGCCCCCAGAGTCTCAGGCTGGCATGGTGCATAGTCAGTTCAAGTCAATTCAGTCTCTTTGAAGATGTCCGTGGAACTTCACAGCCACACTACATTAAGTCTGCTTCCAGGAGCTGACCCTGAGATAAGGGTTTGTGCACATGTGGTTATGAAGGCTGTGCTCCCACGAAAATCGCAAGGGAATGTGGACAGTGGAACAGAAAAGGAAAGCAAGGGGCTACCTCAGGTGAAGTCAGCAGCAGCCTGGCCCCTGAGGAGCTCTGGAGTAGAAATGACACCTTAGAGTTTGTTCCACCTTGAGGCAAGCGAGCTGAGTGTCATATGGTTATCAATCATTGGCTGCAGGTGGCCTCGAGGGTTCATACATTCCCAGCCTGTCTGCTCCTGAAGGGTGAAAGTGGCTCTGTTAGCTTGAGGACAGGACTGTTAGGGAGCCACAGGGGCAGGTTGTTCCCAGCAAAGCTCCCACAGCTGGCGGGGGTGGGCTGTGGGGAGGGTTTTGAGTGGATCTGGCCGGGGCACTGACAGAGTGTGTGGACGCGAAGGGCAGCTACAGCATCTCCCTTGGAAATCAGCCGGCGTGGGCTGGGGCTGGCAGCAGATGACAAAGGGCTCTGAAACTGTGGCAGGGAGGATCTGTCAGAGTGGGGAGATTGGGTAGTTTAGAGATCATTATGGGCATCCCCTATAAGACTTCTCAATATCAAGCTTTAAGTGGAACCAACAGATTTGCATGGCAAAGTTCAAGGTGTTGTTTTCCAGAATCATCACATTTCTCCTTCCCACTCTGTTCCTTCGCCTTCCTCTTATCATCAGGCTTTTTCATTCTACGGAATTCCTGTGTCACCTGCTGTTTGGACCACTCTCTGGCTGCTCACAGTGCCTTGACGTCCTCACAGGGTTAGTTCCTGATGGTTGTTATGCACGCAGCTGTGGAGATGAACTTGGATTTGATGCTCAGCTCAACCACTTACTGTGTATCTTGAGCAAGTTACTTAACTCTGGTAAGCCTCACTTTGCTCTGTAAAATATCATAATAGGAGGACCTACTTCACATGTAGTGTGAGAATTAAAATAGATAATTCACGTTAAGTGCATAGCAAGGTATCCAGCATGGTTTGCGCTCAATAAATGTCAGCTGTTGTTTCCAAATAATTGTCGTTATTCTTGTGTGCAGACAAGGTTTCCACACATATCTTGGTTCTGTCTGAGGGCAGGCACCAGATACGGTACCATATGCACTTAAGTAGGTGTTCATATGTGCATGGGGTTTACACACAGAAAAATCTGGGCAAGGAGAGAAGCCCATAGGTTCAGGACCCCTCAATCAGCAAAGCCTAGGATATCCACATTCCTCATGCTGGAGCTACCGCCCTGATATCAGAGCACAACATACACAGAGACAAGTGCCCCCTGGTGCCATCCTGCCTTTTTTACTATGCCAGCACCAACAGCCTGATGAGGGAGGCTCCCCTGCCTGAGGGAGAAATGTTCTCCAGGAGGAAATATAAGGCTTGGCAGGAGAAGGCAGTGGAAAGGAGGCTGGAGATCAGGCCATCAGGGAGGGCAGGGAGCAAGGCTCCCACGTGTTCTGCTTTGCCTGGGACAGCTGTGAGCCAAGTCTCAGGCTAGTCAGAGAACAAGCAGGTTCGACTCTGCGTTTCCAGGCCAGCCCATGCTGACTCAAACGTTACTCAGTCCTGGGCGGGGTCACCTAGCTCTCTCTGAGTCTGCCTTATTAGAGCCTTAGCAGTCCCCAGACTGGCTTCCCTGTTTAAAGCCCATGCTTGTCACTCTTTCCACTGCCACAGAGAATGGGGCTGAGTGTGCACGGCACTGGCTACCCGCTCCATGGGCTGCTGCCTCTGCCAAAGGGAAGATAAGACTTCCCTTCATCCACAGCTGCTGCCAGTGAGACACACTCAGGTAGGGGTGGCGCCCAGCCTCAGAGAGTGCTTTCAGAGTGCCAGGGAGAAGAAGGAGGCAACACCGCATGCATCTTGCTGCAAATAAACAGAATCCACCCTGGAGAAAGGGATGAAACAGGGGGTTGTGTGAGTAGTCCAAGGTGGGCAGGAAGTGGGCGTGTTGGTAGCAGGCAGCTGAGCTCTCTGAGGGCATTCTGGCCATTTTGCATAAGCATCACAAAACCTAGGAAACGTATGGTCAGTCAACCAGGAAAAGCCGAGAAAAAATGAGACACAGCTGCTTGTCAGATGTTACACACATGCTCAGTGTGAGAAGCCCTGCCAGTGACACACACACTCATATATGCACACACACACTCAGGCACACGCACTTGCATGTGGCATCAATGTCCATGTTGGAAGATGAAGGATGGCCACTAATAATACTCCCCTTTACCTTCCAAGTTTTCAGAAAACCAAATAATTTGTAGTCTTGTTCTACATGCACAGGCTGGTCTAACCTAGACAACCCCATTCCAGGTCTTTGTGGCAGAATGATGTTAGAACTCACCCTCTCAAGGCCTTCTAGGAACAGTGGGAAGTTAAAACTGTGGGGAAGACAGTGGGAGGTAGATGAGTCAAACCTTTTGTGGTCATGGACAACTTTAAGAATCTGATTAAAATTGAGGGGTTCTCTCTCTTTAGAGAAATGTGCATAGAGTGTATTTGTACAATACTGACATGTGACTCCAGGGGGTCATGGATCTCCCTCCCCAAGAGCCATGTATGAGTCCCTGGTTAAAACACCCCATTGTGAAGGATTCCGAATAGGAACTGAGCTAAACAAAGGCAAAGCACCAATGATGCTGGCGTCTCCAGCCACCACCCCCAGAGTCCCCATCTAAGGGATGTCATCCTGAGACTCAGAGAGTGACAGATGACAATGTCAAACCAGTGACACATCTCAAAGAGAAACCATCCATAATGCTTTCTCAGAACCACCCATTAGGTTCCAGACCTTCCAGTGTTCAGGGTACCACATTCCTAGGCCAGTAGGAGAGCAGGTGTGGAATGGCTGGATGAAACACCTTGAGGTGACAGTCCCCCCACCATCACAAATAGGAAACCAGCCTATTGTGGGGAGTTTCCCTGCCTTGTTGGAGGAGGCAGCAGCAGAACAATGGGAGTGTGGAGAAGAATCCCACACGGAGTGCCCTGTATGGGAAACTTGGAGACAAGCTCAGAATGAACTGTGATGCAGAGTGCACACTGACATGCCACTGCAGGTGCATCTCAGAAGGTGAACTCAAGGGCACGGGGACTGGGGCAACTGTCTACTTCACCTTGCTTCATGTTCATCCATTCACTGAGCTATCATTTATTGAGCTCCTGTGATGTACTAGACACTGGAGAAACAGACGCAATGACATGGCCCCAGTCCTCAAAGAACTCACAGTCTATCAGGGGAAACACAGCCCTACACTGCACATGATGAGGCAGTGCCATCTGATGAGTGCAAGCCCAAGCTTCTCTCTGAAGCTGAAATTATACTGCTGGAAATCGGCATGTGTTGAAGAAAAAAACCTTGTGCAGTTTGTGCCAGCATAGTCCAGAGTAGGACTCTCAATCTTGGCTGGGTATTAGAATCACCTGGGAGGTTTTGTTAACCTATCAATGACCAGACCATGCCCCAGATGAAGTAAATCAGAGTTTCTGGGTAAGGTCTCAGTCATCAACATTTTTTAAAGCCCTCCAGGTGATTCCAACATGTAGCACAATTGAGAACCTCTGGCCAGAGCTTCACATTCTCCTCTTGTGTGTACTATTATCCCAGTGTTCCCTGAATGGAAGCATTCATGATTGAGGAGTTTAGGACCTTAGGGAACAGCCAGGATGGGGTTGGACTCGTGAGTAAATTGACTTAAGCAAAAAGAGCTTTCAAACATTGTTTTATGTTCATGTAACTCAGTGACCAGTCCACTACTGACATCTTCAATTTCTCCAGGCTTGATTGATGCCATGAACACAGAGAGGGATCATGGTTTGTCTTGCTTACATCTAAGGCCCAGAATCAACTCTTCTGGATTGAATGACGGTTAATGATCTCTTTCCTTCAGGCGGAACTTTCTTTCCATCCCTACCTGAAAGGGTATAACCTGGTCCCATAGTCCCAGCAGAACAGTCATCATAATTTAGGGAGCATTTCCCAGCATTCCAGGAAATATGTAGGATGTGGACGTTTGTTGGTGTTGAGGTGCAGAAGGCAGTGATTCAAAATATCACAGAACCAGTAGGAAAAGGCAGTTCAGTAGGAATTCGCTCAGGGAAAATGACACACAGCTGCCTGTCAGGATACTGTACACATAGAACTCCAGGTGCCACACACACACACACACACACACACACACACACACACACAGAGAGAGAGAGATTTTATCAGCAGGCAGCATCATCCAGAACAAAGGCAGCAAGAATAAATTCCTTTAATTCCCAAATGCTCAGAAATGCCTATCGGCCCTTGGTTTGGATGGGTTAAACTTGGAGATTCATGAGACATTGAACTGAGAGAAGCCACATAGAGTTGTATGAGCCAGTCTTGCGCTGGAAAGGTCTGGGTTGGTGAGTGACATTTGGGAGTCAACAGCATAAAGAGGGTGTTTCAATCCCCAGACAAGGATGAGGTGCCTCAGGTAGAAGAGACTAAGGAGGGCAGAGGCTGGAACCAAATCCTGGACTGCTTGGGCTATTAAAAGCTGGGTAGAGGAGACTGGGCAGACATGGTGGTGAAGGAGAAGGGACACCTGGAGAGGGGTTGGCCCAGGAGGCAAGCAGGGGTCCAGGAGGAGGGAATGGGCAGGGGGAGAAGACTAGGACAAAAACATGACCACTGGATTTGGCAACAGGGCAGTCACTCGGGCTTGAACAGGGCTATTTCAGTGGTGTGGTGAAGGCAGAGGCTACGGCAGTGAACAGGGGACTCATTCTAGAAATGTTGAGTGTGGTGGGAGCAGAGGAGTGCAGCTGCAGCTGGGGGACATGTGAAAAGGGGAATTTTTAGTGTGTATTTTTATGCAGATGGGAATAATTCTGAGGTCAGGGAGAGGGAACAAGGCAGTAGAAAGGAGAAAAAGGGGGTATCCCAAGGAGTTCAGTCCCTGGGAAGATGGGGAATCTTTCCAGAGGAGGGAGGATCTGGCTTTGATGAAACAGGTATTTAGTTACAGTTCATGTGCTGAAGGACAGAAGTAAAGGTTATTCTACTTAGCTGGGAGGGAGAATACTTCTTGTTCTTTTCCCCCAGGTGGTCTGTGCTTGGCGGGTACTGGAGAAGTCTCCAACAGCAAGATTCCTGTCAGTGGAACATAGGCAATTTATACTCCCCTGCCCTGAGCTAATCAGAATTTCAAAAGGCATATTTAGACGTACTGTATCATATCTGAAACAGTTATGGGTGAGTGTGGGTGGTTTACCACTATCTAGGTCACATGTATTAAAATATAGAAATCTGAGCTCTCTTTAATCCATAAGATGAAAGTAAATATTACCAGACAGCAACAAGAGTACAAAAGAATGTTCTGTCTGTGTGGCCTCAAAAACAGAGTTTTAGAAAAAGTACAGCAAGAGTCCCAAACAGCATGAAGAAAACCAAAATAACACTCCTCTACTCTGTTTCTAACTCATGAAGTAGTGATCTAGTCTTTATCCCACGAACTGAAGGAAGAGCCAGTCACCCTCAAGAAAGCAAGTGACTATGACTTGTGAAAATTCTTACAAAGAGTGTTGCATGGACATAGTTACTGGATTATATTTCTGGAAATGAACTACTCGTGGCGAAATCAGTCTTCCAGAGAAAAATTTATTCAGATTTTTATAACCTTGTATTTCTTCTCAAAAATTGAGGAGGAGATATCCAATGAAACAGGAAAAAATATGCAGAGAAGGACATTGTTTTAGTTGATTCTTGAGTGCCCATAAGTGAAGTAGGGGCTAATATGCATTGATCAAATGAAAGAGGGGAGAGACTTCCATGAGCATGAGGAAAATGAGGAAAGCGTTCGGCGTCTTGCCCTGCTGGAAAGTGCTTGGCATCTTGCCTTTCTAGTGCCCTCAGTACCGAGTCCAACCTGCACCACACCTTTCCTCCATGTGAATTTCCTTCAACATCTACACATTTGATCACAGGCTGTCTTTCCAGAGCTCTTGAGACATTTCCTGTTCTCTGAACTTTGGCTCCCACCCTTTCCCTCTCCTCCTTAAATTCTCCCCCTTAGTCCCCATGACAATCATCACTTTCCTGAACACATTAATTAATGCTACTTGAACCAAACAGAAAAATGTATCCACTCTAGGCTAGGTAAGCAATGACATGCTGCTCTAGGGTGGGACCACGAGCTCTGTTTGGTTTGTCTTTGCCCGATCATTTCCTCATCCTCCTAAGTTCAAATCAGACAGATGGCCCAGAAAGTGCAATGGGCAAGTGGTCTGCTTCCCTTGGCCATTATCTCCAGGATGTGCTGTGGCACCGGGAAGTTCACACACCATGAGAGATTTCAGTGACATTTCCAGGGCCCTGTGGAGGGTGGGAATAAGTGGAGAAGTCTGGAAAGTGCCCTTGGCTGAGGCCAGAAGGAGTTGGGAGCTTGCCTGCAAGCCCGAGAAGGTGACTCACTGGGAAACAACCTTATAGATGAGTGATGAGTAGGGATGTGGCCAGGAGTGGCGTGAGGAAAAGATGCCTTTGACACATTCTAAAGCTAAGGTGGCAGGGTGGTTCAGCATTTCTCCCCAGCTTGCCTTGTGCTCTCTCCCAGTCCAGCTTCTGCTCCCGCTCCAGCTCCGGGCCCTGTGGGACCAGCCCTCAGAAGGGAGCTCCTCCCTCCCACTCTCCCGCTGATCTCCTCAACCATAACCAAGAGAGTGAAGGAAATCAACTGCTATCTTGTTGTACGTGGTGACCACAAAAACAAAGAGTTGTGCTTGTGGTTTGGAATGTCATCTCAGTTGTGAGGATGCGTGTAATCCTGAGTATGCAGAAGTTTGCTTGTGGTTGAAGGTGGGACAGATTACAGACTTCGTCATGTGTTTCTAGGAAACACTGATACCCTTTCCTTGGGGATTATTATTAGACCAAAGATGTCACAGGGGGAAAACCTCAACCACACTGATGGCCTCAGATCCATGCCCTGTTAGCTTGGCTCTGGGGTATCCAACTGCACCCACACTGGACACTATGCCAGTCTGCAAGATTGGGGGGCTGCCTCTGCCTGTGCACGCTGTGGTACCCAAGTATGACCACACTGCTCAGTGCTCAGTACCAGCTAGTCTCTTCCAGAAAGAGGTGGATGGGTCCAATCTAACTTATAAAACCTATTTCAATACTATTTTTAAAGAAGTTCCATTACCAAGAAACTACTAAAAGTTATTACCTATTTGCAGGGTGGTGGGCATAAAGCTGGGAGAAAGGGTTCTCAATATTTACTTTTGTAATATTTGTTTATTAAGATTTTAATTTTAGTTTTTTGTGTACTGAGTGTTTATATTTATGAGGTACATTAGATGTTTTGATACAGATGTGCAATGCATAATACTCACATCATGTAAAATGGGGTATCCATCCCCTCAAGCATTTATCCTTTGTGTTACAAACAATCCAATTATACTCTTTCACTTATTTTAAGATGTACAGTTAAATTATTATTGACTATCATCACCCTGTTGTGCTATCAAATAGTAGGTCTAATTCATTCTTTCTATTTTTTTTGTACCCGATCACTATCTCCACCTTTTCCTTATTATTACCAGTGAGTTTTGTACGTTCAGATGATTTCTTAGTAGTCATTAATGTCATTTTCTTTCTGACTGAAGTACTCTCTTTAGCATTTCTCTTTTTTTTTTCTTTTGAGACGGAGTCTTGCTCTGTCGCCCAGGCTGGAGTGCAGTGGCGAGATCTCGGCTCACTGCAAGCTCCGCCTCCCGGGTTCACGCCATTCTCCTGCGTCAGTCTCCCGAGTAGCTGGGACTACAGGCGCCCACCACCACGCTCGGCTAATTTTTTGTATTTTTAGTAGAGACGGGGTTTCACTGCGGTCTTCATCTCCTGACCTCGTGATCCGCCCGCCTCGGCCTCCCAAAGTGCTGAGATTACAGGCGTGAACCACTGCACCCGGCCTCTCTTTAGCATTTCTTATAGGACAGGTCTGGTGTTGATGGAATCCCTTAGCTTTTGTTTTTCTGGGAAAGCCTTTATTTCTCCTTTATATTTGAAGGATATTTTCACTGGATATACTATTCTAGGGTAAAAGTTATTTCCCTTCAGCACTTTAAATACCTCATGCCACTCTCAGTAAGGTTTCCACTGAAAAGTCTGATGTCAGATGTATTGCAGCTCCATTTTATGTTATTTGTTTATATTTTTTTCTTGCTGCTTTTAGGATTCTTTCTTTATTCTTGACCTTTGGGAGTTCAATTATTAAAAATGTCTTGAGGTAGTCTTCTTTGGATTAAATCTGCTTGATGTTCTATAACCTTCTTGTACTTAGATATTGGTATCTTTCTGTAGGTTTGGGAATTTCTTTGTTATTATCCCTTTGAATAAATTTTCTACCCCCATCTCTTTCTCCACCTCTTCTTTGAGGCAAATAACTCTTACAGTTGCCCCCTTTGAGGCTATTTTCCAGATTCTATAGGTGTGCTTTATTATTTTTTATTTTTTTCCTTTGTCTCCTCTGACTGTGTATTTTCAAATAGCCTGTCTTCAAGCTCACCAATTCTTTCTTCTACTTGATCAATTCTGCTATTAAAAGACTCTGATGTAGTCTTCAGTATGCCAATTGCATTTTTCAGCTCCAGAACTTCTACTTGATTCTTTTTGGTTACTTCAATTTCTTTGTGAAATGTATCTGATAGAATTCTGAATTCCTTCTCTGTGTTATCTTGAATTTTTTTGAGTTTTCTCAACACAGCTCTTTTGAATTCTCTGTCTGAAAGGTCACACATCTCTGTTTCTCCAGGATTGGTCTCTGGTGCCTTATTTAGTTCCTTTGGTGAGGTCTTGTTTTCCTAAATGGTGTTGATGCTTTTAGATATTCTTTAGTGTCTGGGCATTGAAGAGTTAGGTATTTATTGTAGTCTTCACTGTCCTGTAAGGGCTTGTTTGTATCCATCCTTCTCAGGAGGGCTTTCCAGATATTTGAAAGGACTTGGTTGTTGTGATCTAAGCTGTATCTGCTTTAGGGGGCACCCCAAGCCCAGCAATGCTGTGGTTCTTACAGACCCTTAGAGGTACTGCCTTGATAGTCTTGAACAAGATCTGGAAGACTTCTCTGGATTACAAGGAAGAGACTCTTATTCTTTTCCCTTACTTTCTACCAAACAAACGGAGTCTCTCTCTTTCTGTCCTGAGCCACCTGGAGCTGGAAGTGGAGTGACACAATCACCCCTGTGGCCACCACCACTTATTGCACTGAGTCAGACCTGAAGCCAACACACTACTGATCTCACCCAAGGCCTACTGTAACTACTTCCTGGTTATGGCCTATGTTTGCTAAAGGCCCTGGGACTCTACAATCAGCAGGTAGAAAAGCCAGCCAGGCCTGTGTCCTTCCCTTCAGGGTGGTGAGTTCTAGTGCCCAGGTATATTCAGAGGTGCTGTCCAGAAGCCAGGGACTAGAGTCAAAAACCTTAGGCATCTACCTGGTGTTCTATTGTACTGTGACTGAGCTGGCACTCCAACCCCCAAAACACAGTCCTTCTCACTCTTCCCTCCCCTTTCCAAGGCAAAGGAGCCTCACCCCATGGCCACTACAGGCACATGGGGAGTACTTCCAGACTACCACCAATGTCTCCTTAAGGCCCAAGTGCTCTTCAGTCAGCTTGTGGTGAATGCTGCCTGGCTTGGGACTCACCCTTCAAGGCAGGGGCTCCTCTCAGGACCAGGGCAGGTCAAGAAATGCCATCCAAGAGCCAAGTTCTAGAATCGGAGACCCCAAGAGCCTGCTTGGTGCTCTACCCACCTGTGGCAGTGTTGATATCTAAGGTGCAAGGCAAAGTCCCCTATGCTTTTCTCTCTGCTTTTTTCAAGTGGAAGGAGTCTCACCCCGTAGCCACCACAGCTGGGAATGTGCTGAGTTTCACCTGAAGCCAACAAGTCTGAGTCTTACCCAAGGCCTTCCCTGTAGTACCTGGGTATCGCTGCTGGCTTCTCAGGGCCCAAGGGCTCTTCAGTTAGCAGGTAATGAATCCTGCTAGAACTGGGTCCTTTGCTTTAAGGCAGTGGATTCCCTTCTGGCTCAGGGTGTGTCTAGAAATGTCATCCAGGAGCTAGGATCTGGAAAGGGGGCCTCATAACTCTGACTGGTGCCCTATCCTGCTGTGGCTGAGCTTGGTATGCCAAGATGCAAGACAAAGTCCTCTCCACTCTTTCCTTTCCTCTCCTTAAGCAGAGGGAAGGGGTCTCCTTTGGAGTTGCGAACTGTGCAGCCTGGGCTTAGGGGAGGGGTGACACAGACACTCCCTTAGCTGCCCCAGCTGGTGTCTCAATAGGTTGCATGCTCCCCCAGTCTGATGTCTCTGGTCCATGTTTAGCACTAGGACTCACCTAGGAATTGGAGTTCTTGTGACCTAGACTGCCTTTCAAGTTTATGTAGGACCCCAGAGCACTTTAGTCCACAGTGGCAAGGCTTGAGATAACTCAAGTTCAGACCACTAGGATTGGCAATTCCCTTCTGGCTAGGGCTGATTTAAATGCTCCTCCCATGGGTGGGTGTCAGGAAAGTTTGGTCCGGTTTTGTTTTCTGTTGTAATAAGGCAGCACTGAGTTCAGTGCCTGACAAATGCTGCAACCTCCCTCTCCCCAGCTCACAGAGACACTCTCCACACCAAGCCACTGCTGCCAGGTGATGGTGGAGGGGTGGCATCAGCGATCAAGACTGTTTTTCCTACCACTTCAGTGCCTGTTTCAACAATGTGAAATTAAAACCATGTACTGTGAGTGCTCGCAGTTTTTTTGTGTAGATAGTGGCAAAATTGGTTTCCTTGTAGGGAGGAAAATCAGTGGAGTCTTCTATTCTGCCATCTTGCTCTGCCCTAAGTCCCTCAATGTTTACCTTTTTATATTATCTTGGATTTTAAACCATGTGAGCCTATCTATATCTATATCTGTGTTTAACTTTTAAAACTGTATTATCTCAGAAATTTTCTTCTAGCCAAGAAATTCTAAAAAAAGTTTAAGTTGCTTGGTGAACAGTACAGTATTCATAGTCATAGGTTCTGTGTCAGAAATGTTCTATGTGCCTTTGGCCTTTGACTCAAGGTAACCTCTCCCCGAACGCCAGGGACTCTCATTTGTCAGGCAGGAACAGGAGGATAATGTTGTCCCCAGTCTCCAGTAATCTCATGGCCTCTGAGGAAGGTATGAAATGGGTGAAATGGTTCCCTACATCCCCATTCCTGAGGAGGACTCCAGAGAGGCAGAAGGAAGGAGAAATAAGCAAGAACCACCAGTACCTTTGAGGCAGACACACCCATTTCCCACTGGAGACCATCTGCTGGGGATTATTTACCACTAAAGACCTGCAGAACCATGTTGGAGCTCAAGGACAAAAGCAACCTATGCACTCCCATACGCATTTTTTTTCTGAGACACAGGGTCTCACTCTGTTGCCCAACCTGGAGTGTAGTGATGCGATCTCAGCTCACTGCAACCTCTACCTCCTGGGCTCAGCCTCTTGAGTAGCTGGGACTACAGATGTACACCACCATGCCCAGCTAATTTTTTTATTTTTATTTTTTGTAAAGATGGGGTTTCACCATATTGCCCAGGCTGGTCTTGAGCTCCTGGGCTCATGCAATCCACCTGCTTTGGCCTCCCAAAGTGCTAGGATTAGAGGCATGCACCACCATGCCTAGCTCTGTATGCATTTTTGTAGCAATTAATTTTTTCCAGAACATTAAAGTTGCTGAAAAATACTGAAAAATTGAAAAGTAGGTATACTATAACTCATGGAATTATTTTAGGCTTAAATATTTGATTTATATCAAAATTGAATTTATTATAATTTCAGTTGGGCTTAAGTTTATGAAAAATTATTTAAGATTGTCATATGTCAAGAGAAATCATCAAACATGGCCATTCTCTCAACTGAAGTGGAGATAAGCAAAGAAGTAGATTTGGAAAACATGATGGATGAGTTTGCTTCCACTAAAGCCAAGGGGCACATTTTTCCTTTTGCCTCAGGCTCCAATATGGCTCAGCCCAGCCCTGGTCTTTATTTTAAATTTTGATATTTTGTTCATCAGATTTTTTTGCATTAATTTTGATTTTTAAAAAATATGGCATTGAAATATTATTTATCTCAATTACTGAGTTTTTGGTGTTCCGTTCATTTTGCACTGGTTTGCCACAGTGAACCACAGCCAATCCTTGCCCAGTGGATTGCTTCCTGGATCTCTGTTGTCAAACTTGTATCCTCATTCAAATCCTCCCCGGCAGTCCCCTTAATGCCCATGACTGAGGAGCTGTTTCCCTCAGAGAACTTGTCTCTGCATTACATCCTCATCATTCAAAGCTCTAATCCCTGGAACCCACTTCAGTAATTCTGCTTTGCACCTGTAAAGCTATTCAGAGAATCACCAGCAGTTGTCCTTCAGCCTTGGCTAGAGGGAGTATACAAATATAATTCTCTTAATCTCTTGCAAGGCCTTTAATCATTCTTAATGCACTCTGTCTGATTGGGCCTGCTAATGGAGACATGCCCTGACAAGGGGGATCATAGGAAGAGAGAGTGACACTGAGAGTGACACCGACAATGCACAAACAACTTAGACCCAACTCCCCCAAGCCCCTTCTAGTCTGCCTCCATTCCCCCTGCAGAGGCCACTCTAACAGAAAGGGCACTAGAGTGGCTCCTTTCCATTTCCCCAGTTGACATCCTCCCCCGCCAACCAGATGTTTTACAGCTGGAAAGGGGCATGGGCAGTTGTTTCCTTTGTAAAGAGTTGTAGTATGAATACAATTTTCCACACGCTGACTCATGTGACTGTCACTCCATCCCTGGACTCCAGCACACAGTTCCAACTCCTTTGCTGACTTGGGGGTTGGGATGGAAAAGCTACTTTGATCCTGTAATTTAAGTTACTCCATGCCTCAGTTATTCACTCCTGCAGGCAGGGAATGGACTCTGAGTGCTCTCACAGTCCCTTCCAACCACAGGACTCTGCTGGGCTAGTATGAGAATCGTCTGGACAGAGCTGCAGTGTGACACACTGCTTCTGGGTGTGCAGAATCAAAGGAAAATGCTTATGGGCACTCCAGCTCACCTAACCACCTCTGTCATTTTAGTGTCATTCAACTTTATTAGGGCTATTTCTCTGAGCGTTTCTTTCCATTAAATGTTCCTGCTTATTTTGCTCAGTCTGTCCATTTATTTAGCCTTTCTGTCACATTTTCCATCTTGACTAGGTTCCACTTACGCGAAGGCAGAGAAGCCTCATTCCTCCTGGTCCCTGCCACCATGGCCTAGAATGTGGAGTGTGACAGGTGAGAGTGTAGGCTCTGCAGCCAGGTGGACCTGGTTGAATCTTAGTGCCACTATTTGCTAGCTGGATGGGTAGCTGGGCAGATTACCTAAGCAGTCTGTTGGCCCCAGATTCCTCTTGTGTAAAATGGGATGCTGATATGTGGCTCAGAATATTGTGAGAATTACAGATCAGGTGCAGAGCTTGGTGTTAAGCATTGAGTAAAGAGTCAAAAAATATTAGCTGTGGAATGCATAAATGAACTTTTGCATGATAAAAAAAAATCACCATACAAGAAATACATGAGTGCATTCTTGTTCATGAATTCTAATAGTATAGAAGTATATGGAGGAAAAAATGAAAGAATCCTTTCATTGACTGCCCCTCTTTATCTTCCTCACTTCCTCAACATTCATAATAGTTCTTTATTTCTCTTATTTTGGAGAGAAAAGGTAATTATCTAATATGTGAATGTATTCTTACTGTAAATATCTAAGTGATCGGAAGCATACCACCCCCAAAACTGGAGAACATTCCCTTCAGCACCCCTTTCACTCTTAGTGCTGCCTCTGGAGGTAAGCACTCCAGAGAATCTAGGTAGAGACTTCTCATCTCTATTCTATTCATTTACACACACACACACATATATGCACACACACACACATAATGTACACACACATATTTATACATCTTTTAAAAATATACCTTTAGCTTTTTCACAAGATGGCACCAAAAGCGAAGAAGGAAGCTCCTGCCCCTCCTAAAGCTGAAGCCAAAGCGAATGCTTTAAAGGCCAAGAAGGCAGTGTCGAAAGGTGTCCACAGCCACACAAAAAACAAGATCCACATGTCACCCACCTTCCGGAGGCCCAAGACACTGCGACTCCGGAGGCAGCCCAAATATCCTCGGAAGAGCGCCCCCAGGAGAAACAAGCTTGACCACTATGCTATCATCAAGTTTCCGCTGACCACTGAGTTCACCATGAAGAAGACAGAAGAAAACAACACTCTTGTGTTCATTGTGGATGTTAAAGCCACCACCAAGAACCAGATCAAACAGGCTGGGAAGAAGCTCTATGACATTGATGTGGCCAAAGTCAACACCCCGATTCGGCCTGATGGAGAGAAGAAGGCATATGTTCGACTGGCTCCTAATTACAATGCTTTAGATGTTGCCAACAAAATTGGGATCATCTAAACTGAGTCCAGCTGGCTAATTCCAAATATATGTATAACTTTTCACCATTAAAAAAAAATGTATATATATTAAACTGTATTTGCTATTCTGGAACTGCTTTTTCTCACTTAGCCATACAATTCAGACATCTTTCCATGCCAGTACACGTATATTCATCACAATTTTTAAATGGCAATATAATATTTTATAAGATATGTACAATAGTTCCCCCGATCCATGGTTTCACTTTCCAGAGCTTTAGTTACCCATGGTCAACTGTGGTTTGGTTACCCATGGTCAACTGCAGTTAAATGGAAAATTCCAGAAAAAACTCATAAGTTTTAAATTGTGCATCCTACTGAGTAGTGTCATCAAATTGTGTGCCATTCCACTCTGTCCAGCCTGTTATGTGGATCATCCTTTCGTCCAGCATATTCATGCTGTCTACACCATCTGTCCATTAGTCACTTAGTAGCCATCTCTGTTATTGGATAAAAAAAAAACATAGCACGTATAGAGTTCAGGACTATCCTCAGTTTCAGGCATCCACTGGGGGAGCTTGGAACATATTCCCCATGGATAAAGGGGTACACTCTAATTACTCCTACTGGTAGACATTTAGATTTTTCTCACAGTTTTTCATTATTATATAAATAAATACCTTTAAGCTCTATAGGCTGAGGACCAAGCCATTCACGTTGGCAGCTGCCCACATGCAACCTGGAGGCAATCCCTCTCCTATACTGTAGAGAAGCCCTTTCTGGGTCTGAGCAAGGACCCTTGTGAGATTAGAGGTCACACAGATCCTTGCACCAGCGTGTCTAAAGCCATGCTCATGGCTGTCATCAAGATCTAGTTCTTCAAAGGCCAGATGGAAGGGCTGGGACCCAGGCAATCTAAATCATTCACAGTCAGACAATAGAAAAAGGCAAGGTGTCTCCAGGAGATTGGCTTGCACTTTACCTTGAAAGACTGCCCAAGAAATTGGAACTGATATTTACAACTGTACTTCTCAGGTATTTGAAGATTGGAAATATGAACAAATGTAGATTTTAGGCATGAGTCATTGTCCAATGCACACATTTGAAAAAACACACAAAAAACCATGACTTGACTAAAACGCTGAATGACAGCAGGTGGTAGAGTTGTTGGATGATGCGTCTGCACATTGTAGGCCCTCCATGAAAGTCTCCTGAATGAATGAATGCATTTGTCTGATGTAGAGCCAACTACAGCTTAGCTCCACCTTGATTTTCCTTACAAGTTTACCTCATCACTCTACCAGAATCAGAGAAGTGATAAGGAAATGTCTCACATCCATTCTAGCCTGAGACTCTTCCTCTTCCAGAAAGCATGCCTGGGTCAGTATCACTAAAGGACACTGTCATTCCATATGTTCCCCAGTTGGAATGAGTAGCCTCAATTGTGCTAATTTGAACATGGCTCCAATATCGCTTTGAGAATGTTTCTATATTCGTGTACCATCAAGCTTGTAGATGTCACTGAGACAAGGGTTGTCTTATATCATTAAGTATGTACAGATTCACGTTATATGTTCAGTCCTACACTGTGTCTGTGACAGACACATATGCAGTCTGCCCAATAGAAACTCATCATCCTGTTAAGAAGAAACTTCGTTCACATCTGAAATTACTAGTGAGTTAGGTAATGTACAATATACACTGTATCAATCAGGATTCCAGTCAGGCAAACAGGAATCATGGCAGATGTTTTAAATAGAGTGTTTCATACAGGAAATTAGTTACAAAAGTGTTAAAAGGGCTGAAAGAACAAAAATGTAAGGTAACCAGAGAATAATAATGACAGGAAAATGGTCGTTGGGGAAGGTGGTGTTAGAGTCCAAGTGTACATGCTGTTGCTTTGTTTGAGGTGCTGTTACAACTGCTGACAGTGCAGGAACCACTGAAGAGGGACCACCCAGGCTAGAGCTGTGACCACTGAGCAGAGGCTGCTTTGGCTGAAGCTGGGGTCATCAAGGGGTTTCAGAAATTTTCAGAGGTGCCCCAAAGCAGGGATGGGGAGAGAGAACAGTGGCTTCTCTTCCTTTTCCATTTCTCTGCCAGAGCCTCTTACTGGAAGCCAGCTGGCAAGGGAACCTGGGAAATGTAGTTTTCAACCTTACAGCCCAGAGTCAGAGGCATGAGTGTGGGGCTGACAGACAACAGGCTAATAAACAACCCAGATTTTAAATGTTGTGATACAGGTGATTGAACAAGACAATGTATAATAAGGGAGTGAGCTTAAAATACAGTTGGTATAAACAAAGTTTTAGAAGAGAGACTACAAGGTACACTGGAGACAGCAAGAAGCTTCCACAACTCTATCAGTGGGAATGTTCTGGATATGAGTGAAGAAACCAACCTCAAACATGCTACGGCTGCAAAAGAGGACTTTATTGGGTTGCATGATTGTGGAATACAGGGTATTCACTGGCTTCAGGGATGGTGGGATCCAGGTCTTGAATGATGTTGCTAGGTTCTGTCTCCTCAGTTTATTGGCTTTGCATGTCTCGACTTTATGCTTCAGACAGACGAGATGGTTATCCACAGACTCCCATCTTCCTAGCAGGTTGACCTCACTAGGAAAAGTCGTTTCATTACATCTGGCAGGTCCCATCCCTGACCCAATCTCAGCTGCCAAGAGGAATGCCACTGTGCCTTACTCCACCAAATGGAATAGAGCAGGAAAAATCCCTCAGCAGGAACAGTGGGCAGCTGTTAACATGCAAAGGAAGATGGGCAAATGAGTGAGCAAGAAAAAGGTATGGCCACCGTAGTCCTCCATATGCACCACAACAGGACATAGGCTGTGCCCTCTAGAAACTGCTATTTTGTCTGAAACCTGAAGAAGATTTAGGGTCATTCTTTTTATTCTGTTTTAAATGGGGTCTCCCTCTGTCACCCAGGCTGGAGTGCAATGGCATGATCTTGGCTTACTGCAACCTTTGCCTCCCGAGTTCAAGCAAATCTCCTGCCTCAGCCTCCTGAGTAGCTAGGACTACAGGTGCCTACCACCACACCTGGCTAATTTTTTTATTTTTTATTTTTTTAAGTAGAGGTGGGGGTTTCACCATGTTGGCCAGGCTGGTCTCAAACTCCTGACCTCAAATGATCCACCCACCTTGGCCTCCCAAAGTGCTGGGATTACAGGCATGAGCCACCATGCCCAGCTGGATCATTTTTAAACCACAAATAAGCCAGTGTAAATTGATTTCCTCTGCGCTGTAATGCTCATGAAATATGAAGAGTCTTGGTCCAGGGCATCTCCCCATAGTACCTGGGGTGTTCTGAGCACACAGGGCACTCTCCACACATAAGGTGGTGCCAACAGCTGCCGGACACAGGAGAGGCAGCCCAGGCTACTGCAGTCACATGGTAATGTCACGTGCCATAAACACATAAGAAAGCCAGGGGATGCTCCCAGGAAGTTGCAGGGTATCAGCCAGAGTCCCAGAAGGAAGATGGCATTCCCAAAGGGTTTAGCTGAAGGGATTTTAATGAGGGGATGATTTATAGAGAGGTGGGCAGATTTCACAGAACCACAAAAGATGGTGAGATACCCAGGAACCTCACCATCCTGGGACTGTGTATTCATAGGTTTGTCACCAAATTTTTGCTAAAACTCAAGGTGCATATTATTGGGGTGCTATTTGGCATAGAAAACATTTGTCCAGGAAATTTTCTAATATCATGTCAAGTTAAACATAATTCATTGCAAATAAGAGGTACAAGGCATAGTATAATAGCAAGCTAGCACAAACAAAATTTGTAGACTTGCTAAAACATGGGAGAACAGCGTAGGCCAGAATAACAGTGATTAAGAGTTCAGGCTCTGGTGCTGGAGTCCCTGGGTTCAAATCCTTACTAGCTATGGGATCATAAGTGAATTTACTCATGTGTAAAATAGAGGTAATATTACTTATCCCATAAATTGTTATGAGGATTAAAGGATTAAATGCAATATTTGTAAGATGCTTAGAACTTTACTGGCACATAAATACTAGCATTATCTACAAAATTATACTACCCTTCCTCCGTTCACTCAATAAATATATAGTCAGGAGCCACATAACAATGTTTCAGTGAATGAGGGACCACATATACAATGGTGATTTCTTAAGATTATAGTATCATATTTTTATGTATCTTTTCTATGTTTAGATGTGCTTAGATACACAAATACTACTATGTTACAATTGCCCACATTATTCAGTACAGTAACGTACTATAGGTGTTTGTAGCCTAGGAACCATAGGCTAGACCAGATAGTCTAGGTGTGTAGCAGGCTACACCATTTAGGTTTGTGTAAGTATACTCTGATGCTCTCATTACGAAACTGCCTAACAATGCATTCTTTAGTAGGTATCCCCGTTGTTAAGTCACACATGACTGTGTATTAAATATTTACTATAGGCATCATCCTAGGCTCTGGGGAAAGTGGTAAGAAAAAAAAGACTACCTTTCCTGATGGACTGGGAAGAAAACATTAACTAATAATCACACACAGAAATAAAATCAAAACCATGAGTGGTGGTGCTTGGAGCCATAAGAGCTGGTAATGACTATACAGGGGTAGGCCTTCTTGAGGAAGTGACATTTACCTATGACCTAGATGAGTTTACTAGGGAAAGTTCATTAGGTAAAGATGAGAGGGGGAAAAATACCAGGCAGAGGAAGCACTATGTCCTCTGTGGCAGAAAGGATCATGGCAGGCATATTAGTCAGGACCCAGCCAGGAAAGCAAAACCCACTCTAGGTGATTTGATAGAGGGAATTTCATACGGGGAGTCAGAGGAGTTGAAAGAGCTCCCAGGGGAACCCTGAGAGTAGCAACTCCAGGAAGCTGGGACTACTGTATTTGTTTGCTAGGGCTGCAGTAACAAAGTGCCACAGACTGGGTGGCTTCACACAGAAAGTTATTGTCTCAGAGTTCTGAAGGCTGGAAGTCCAAAATCAAGGTGTCAGAAGGGGTAGTTCCTTTTGAGGCCTATGAGGGAAGGATCTGTTCCACGCCTCTTTCCTTGACTTGTAGATGACCATTTTCACCTATGTCTCTTCACATCGTCTTCCCTCTGTGTGTGTCTATCTCTGTCCAAACTTCCCCTTTTTATAAGGACAACATTCATATTGGATTAGGGTCCACCCTAATGACCTCACTTTAATTCGGCTACTCTATAAAGACCACAACCCTAAATAAGGTCACACTCTAAAGTACTGGGGGTTAGAACTTCAACACATGAACTTGCAGGGGAGACACAATTCAACCCATAGCACCACCCTGGAAGCTGGAGAACAAGGAAAGAAACAGTTTCTGGAGCCTAAGACAAGATAAGCTGGAACAAAGAGGGCCTGCCAAGATGGGTAGCAGGGATCACACAGAGATGGCTGTGTAGTGGGAACTGCAGCCACAGAAGAGACTCCTGAGAAAGAGAAGCAGGAGAAGTACTCTGGCTTCTCCTTCCTTCACCTCCAATATCTTTTGCCCTCCCTCACTCCCCATTGGCTGAACTTTACTGGAAGGCAGTTGGCTCTGGAGCCTGGAACAGCCCCCAGTGACACAGAGCAGATCGGGGGACCACGGGATGGGAAGGGTGGACATGGCTCTGACAGCAACAATGTAACACCCATGCAACGAGTCTGCGAGGCCGAATGGAAGCCAGCTGGCTGCAGGGGAGAGAGCAAGAGAGTCTGGCAGAAGGTGCACCTGGAGAAGGAAGTAGAGGCCAGGCCAGGTAGGAGTTTGGTCTGCATGCTAAGAGCCATAGAAATATCCAAAGGTTTTTAATAGAGCTGGGGGAGAGGCGGTGATGTGATCAGAGATGTGTTTTGAAAAGACCTATCTGGCTATGAAGTGGAGAGTGGGTTGAGGATAGTGGGGCAGATCAGTTAGAAGGCTACGCCTAAGAGAAAGCCTGTTTTACAAAAAGAGGGAGCTCCTGCTGCCCCTCTCTTTCCCTGGAGTTTTCATACCCTCCACGTGTACTAGACATGTGTATCTGCCAGTCAAAGCCACCCCTCCCCTGGTGCAGAGGCCCGCTCCAAGCTCTCATTGCCCAGTGTCCTTTTTCTAGATCCTCTCCTGGTTCACTTCCTTTCTCTCTGGGCAGTCCTTCCCATGCTGCAACACTGATTCTTCTTTTGTCACCCACCTGCTGCAAGGGGGGCCCTTGTCACCCATCTCACCCATCACTCTGGCTTAATGGTGCTGACTGAGTCCACGGCTTTGGTGGCCACCCATATGTTGCTGCTGCTTCTCAGATCTGTATTTCCAGACATGATTTCTCTCGTGAGAAAAATCAGCCTGCCAGATATCTCCACTGGAATGTCCAAAGGAATTGGAATCATGAGCTCAGCATGTCTAAAACTGAACACATTATCTTCCCCTCGCACGTGGACCCCTGTAACCTGCCCTTCATCCTGTGTTCCCTATCCTCCTTATGTCCCACCCCCACTCCTGTTTGAATATTTCACCAGAAACAGGAGTGGGGGGTGGGACGTAAGGAGGATGGGGGAAAGAACATCATCCTAAACTATTCCCTCTTACTCCCCCACATCCCATTGCTGTCCAAGTCCTGTTGGCTCTGTCCTAGATATCTGTCAAAATCCACTTTTCCTGCTACTTCCCTAGCCCAGGTCCTCATTTTTATGTGGGTTCATGCAGTGGTCTCCTAGCTGGCTTCCTGCCTCAAGCCTTGCCCTGGCCGGTCCACTTTTCCTACAATCAAAGTGACATCTACCAGTGTAAATAGATCATGTCCTTTCTCTGCTTAAAATCCCTTCAGTGATTTCTTATCGTCCTCAAGTCAAGTCTGATTACTATCTCTGCACAGTGCCCAGCCCACAATAAATGATTGGTGATTAAATGAATAAATGACAAACCAATATAGAAAAATTGCTAAGTGTGGAAATGAAGAAAAGATGCCATTTTTTTTCCCCTGGAAGTCTTTCCGACTGTCCAAGACTCAATCTGGATCTATCCTTGGGTGTGTTTGTATTGTACTTCTCACACTATACTAAACCCATCTACTTACCTGTCTGTTTCCTACTGGAATGTTCCTTGGTTGCTACTATATCTCTTAGCACAGCTCCTGGAAGAAAGTAAATGCTCAAAAAATATTTGATGAATGAATGAATGATAAGGAGAGCTCTGGGCTGGGGCTGACTATGAAATGCTTATTAGGAGCAGAGTGTGTCTGTCCTGGTTCCAAAGCACTGGGGGAACCAGGATGGGTAGAGAGGCTGAAGGCAAGCCCTTTAGGGGAAGGATAGCAGTGACGAAGGCTGAAAGATCAACAGCAATACATTTTTCTCAGGAGACTTCTTTGGGGCAGTGTTTTCTAAGCTGGGTTCCAGGGACCACTGGTCTTGCGAGATGCTCTATCTAGGGTTCTATATCAAATCAGCATGTAGAAACATGCAGCCCATACCCCTTGTGTACATCAGCATCTCAAAGAGTCTGAGAAGTCCTGCAGTTGAAAAACCAACACTTTAACCCTTTTAACTCAGTATTTCCTGAACTTATTCCATAAGTTTGAATATACAAAAATAAAGTTTTTTGCTTAATACTCAGCAACACCCCCTTCCACAAGATATACTGGAATAAATAGTGTTTGGTGGTCATGAGTATTTTAGGAAAAGGGCAGGAGAAGCTTGAATTTCCCCCAGTGTGCCTTGGGTGAGCACTGTGGTTATAGCCACTTGATGAGAACAGTCAGAGGAAGGCTGCTCTGGGCCATCAAGTGCAGACTGTATAGGACAGGAGAAGGGTGGGAACAGAGACACCCCTGAAGGGGTTGTAGATTCAGGGGGAAAGGTGATGGATGGCCTGGACAAAGATTGTGGTGGAAACAAAATCAATGGGCACACGATTTTCCCTTCTTGGAAGAACCTCTGAAAGGAGAAGCCCTATTCACCCCGACTGCCTGGCTTAGGCCACACCCCTAGAAATGCAGCTACAACCAGGGCAAACCATCAACAGCATCTTCTCAGCACCCATGCGATCCCAAGTAGGCATCCGAGGACATGCAAAAGAGAAGCATGTGTCCTTTTGTGGTCAAAGTCTGTTTTCTCTCTTGGAGCAGGTATGCTTCTGATGGTGCTGCAAGCAGCAGGGGGTAAGGCTGCAAGCTGGGCTAAAAACAGCCCCACCCCCTCTAGCCACAATCAGCTGTGGGATAAAAGCCCCTAAAGACCAAGACTGTACTCATGTCTGACTCATCTCTGCTTCCAGCTCTCAGCTAAACCTGCCCAGAGGAGAGCATGGCAGACAGGAGGGCGCTTGCTCAGAAGCCTCTAGGTTAGAGGTAAACAGGACTAAGGTTAATAAAGAAATTCATAATGAGGGTATAGCAACTGTACCCCCACCCCATCACCAGATGATGACCTGGTCTGAGAGAGGAAACATGCAGGTGGGTCACATAACTCAATGTAAAGCAGGTAGCGCACCATGCCTGCATTTAAGGGCTCAGCAGGTGTTACTTATTACTATTATTTACTCCTATGCAAGTAACTGAAAAAAAATTACTTCATTTAAGATCTTTAGCAAATACTTTTGGTGTTAACTCTTTCAGGGACACTTCTTTTTTAAAAATTTATTTTTTAATATAAATGGGACAGGGTCTAGCTATGTTGCCTAGGCTGGTCTCGAACTCCTAGGCTCAAGGGGTCCTCCACCCTCAGCCTCCCAAAGTGCTGGGATTACAGGCACGAGCCACTGCATCTGGCCTGAGGGACACTGCTAACGCAGTACCTGGTGCTTTTCTGGCCCCTAAGCCCATGGGCTTAGGAAAAAATTAAGTCAGTGCCAAAGAGGACCCCAAACCCCACCATTGTTTCACAGACAGTGTTCAGTATGGCCTGTACCTCAGGGTAATCACTTCATTTTGCTCTTTTCTCTCCAATGCTCTCAGTGTGGAGGGAACTGGGAGGACCTGTCTGACCACAAACAACCCACCTGAGGAGGCCCTGCTGCTCCCGGAGGGTGCTCCTGCCAGAGTTCTCCTAGTTCCTTGCAAGGAGCCCTGGAAAAACAATCCCACCCTGGGTCTAACATAGTCTCGGGGACTTTTAAACCAATGCCCAGCTAGAAAAAACATCTCAGGCAGTTCGCGGATAGAAGAGGAAATAATATTAAGAGCCTGCCATATGTTGAATGTTTACTATGTCTCAGCAGCATATAAATGCTTTAGTTTCTTACAGAAGCCCTCCAAGGTGGGTACTCTTATTATCCCCTTTTTACTAATGAAGAAACTGAGACTTAAGGAGGTTAAATACCTGGTAAGTAGATAGAGTAGGGATCTGACCTAAGCTGTCCAACTCCAGGGCTCATGCTCTTAACACTGTTTATCCTGCTTTCCCAGGAAACTACAGAGGCCCTTTGGTGCTCCCCAGCTCTCCTTGTTTTCCTGTTTCTAAGCATCTGAGTGCATCCTGATAGCTGTGGACAGCAGAGATTTGGAACAGGAGATTGAAGAAGTCTCATCTACTGCCATGCTTGGCACATAGTAGGCACTCAACACATGCTAGACTCTCCCCACCTCCTGTTGCTTCTTGGCACCAGGCTTCACTCTGGACAAGAGTTAACATCTCATCCTTTACCCATGTCTTCTTTGACTGAACATCTCGCTATTAGTGGGAGATGGGTCAAAGAAGTATTCACTCATCCTTTCATCCAACAATACTGACAGAGCACCTGCCCTGTGCCAGGCTCAGCCAGAGGCTGGAGATAAAGACATGAATGAGACCCCTGGTGACGGGTGAGAGACAAAGCAAAGGGCTCATTTCCATAGAGGATGATGGGGATTCACATATGGGGTTGGGCAAGGCACACAATAGAGCAGGGTGATATGGTTGGCTTTGTGTCCCCACCCAAATCTCGTCTTGAATTGTAGTTACCATAATCCCCATGTGTCATAGGAGGGACCTGGTGGGAGGTAATTGAATCATGGAAATGGTTTCCACCATGCTGTTCTTGTGATAGTGAGTGAGTTCTCATGAGAGCTGATGGTTTTATAAGGGGCTTTTCCCCTCTTCACATTGGACTACTCTCTCCTGCTGCCACGTGAAGAAGGCCATGTTTGCTTCCCCTTCTGCCATGACTATAAGTTTCCTGAGGCCTCCCCAGCCATGTGAAACTGTAAGTCAATTAAATCTTTTTTAAATAAATTACCCATTCTTGGGTATGTTCTTATAGCAGCATGAGAATGAACTAATACACAGGGTGACATGAGAAGGCTTCCTGGGAGACAGTGCCTGAGCTGATCTCTGATGAGAAAGTAAGAGGAGGACATTCCAGGTACAGGGAACAACATGTGCAAACACACAAGGCTGAAGTAAACAAACAGGAAGCTGTGAAAAAGGACAGTGATGAATGACTAGCCCAACAGGGTAATTTTGACCCCCAGGGTACATTTGGCAACAACTGGAGACTTTTTGTTTGCTTTCCACAATTGTGTGTGTGTGCATGTATGCACATGTGTGTGCAAGTGTCTGCTACTGGCATCTAATAGGTAGAGGTCAGGGATGCTGCCGAACATCCTACAGTGCACAAGATAGCCCCCCATGACAAAGAATTATATCTGGCCCAAGATGTTGAGAAACCCTGGACTAGAACAACAAACATAAAAACATATTATAGTACTTTGACAATTAAAACTTCATAGTACTAGCACATGAATAGATAGAGAGACCAATGGAACAGTTTAAGAATATAAATATATACAGGAATTTAGCATATGATAAAGGAAGCATTCCAAATTCAGTGAGAATTCAATAAGTGTTGTTGAGATTCCTGGGTAGCCATCTTGAAAAACATTGAGCTGGAGCTATACCTCACACCATATATCAGAATAAATTCCACATGGATTAAACATTTAAAGGTAAACAATAAAACCACACAAGTACCAAGAGAAAATGTGGGAGAAATCTTTCATAATCTTAGAGTGGGAAAGTCTTTCCTAATCCTGACTCACAAATCAGGAACTATAAAATAGGAAATTGATTAAGTCAACTAATAAAAGTTGAAAAAAACTTTTTAAGCTCTTGCATGTGAAACAAACAAAAATCAAACCTGTATATAAGCAAAGTCGAAAACAAATGCAAATCTGTAAAGGATACACAAAACTCAGCAAAGGGCTAATTTCTTTAAATTATAAAGATACATAAACCTCTAAAGAAAAGACCAATGAAAATACGAGCAAAGCATGTGAAAAAGTGGCTTATAGAACAATAATGAAAATAAATACAAATGGCTAGTAAACATATGAAAAGATGTTCAACCTCTTCATGATAAGAAAAATGCAAATTAAAAGTACTGACATGCCTTGTTTTTTTTTGTTCATTTCTCACATTTGCAAAAACCCAAATTTGAAAATACGCAGACATTTCCATATATTGCTGGTGGGTATGTCAACTAGTACAGCCCCTAGGAGGGCGATTTAGCAATATTTACCAAAATAGCAAATGCATATATCATCTAACCCAGCAATCTCACTTCTTAGAGCTTACTCCACAGATACATATATTTGCATGCATATGAAGTGCTATACATACAAGGTTATAAATTGCAGCAAACGATTAGAAACAATTTAAATGCTCGTTAATAAGGAACTGGTTAAATAAGTTAGAGGTTGGCAAACTACCATCAGGGCCCAAATCTGGCCTTCTTCCTGTTACTGTAGGACTTTCAAGGGAAAAATCGTTTTAACATGTTTAAATGGTTGAAAAAAATCAAAAGAGAATTACATTTTGTGACACATGAACATTATATAAAATTCTAAAATCAGAGTCCATAAATAAAGTTTTATTGGAACACAGCCATGCTCCTTTGTTTACACATGGTCTCTGACTTCTTTTGCACCTTAACAGAGAACTGAGCAGTTTCCCAAGAGACTCGCTGTCCCACAAATCCTAAAATATTTACTATTTGGCCCTTTATAGAAAATTTTGCTGGATTGGAGTATATCCATGCAGTTGAATACACGGCTACAAAAAAACAATTTAAAAAACTCTGTATGTATTGCTACAGAAAGGTTTCCAGGCTATATTACTAAATTTTAAACAAGCAGACAAGAAAAGTGTAAATTGCATGTTATCATTTGGATTAAAAGGCGGGATATATTTGTATTTTATTATAATATGCATAAAACTTATCTGGAAGCAAATACAAGAAATTAGTAAGCAGTGACTGTCTCTGGGGGAATGAGATTGGTGAACTTGAAACAGAGGAAGAACAAAACTGTGTGTATGAAGTATATTAATAATTATTTTTAAAACTATACAGTGGGTAGGATTTACATACAATGAAATATTATTTAGCCTTAAAAGAGAAGGAAATTCTGACATGAGTGAACCTTGAGGATATCATGCTTAGCAATGTCAATCACAAAAGGACAAATATTTTATGATTCCACTTACAGGAGGCACCTGGAGTAGTGAAATAATAAAGACAGAAAGTAAAATGGTAGTTAGTTTTCAGGGGTTGGGGAGAAAAAGGAATGGAAAGTTAGTGGGTACAGAGCTTCAGTCGCGGAAAAAGTTCTGGAGATGGATGGTGGTGATAGTTGTACAACAATGTGAATGCACTTACTGCCACAGAACTGTATACTTAAAAATGGCTAAAATGGCCAATTTTATGTTATTTATATTTTATCACAATATTAAAAATATCTAGGCCAGGAAAAAAATAAAAACACACAGTCGTAAATAAGAGCACAGATTCATTTCGCTAAAAAGTTGTTCGGCCCGGCTTTGCGGGTGATGAGGCTGGAGGTGTCTGCATGGCCTGATGAGAAAGCACTTGTATTCTGGCCTAAGGAGTTTGCATTTTGCATGTCCTGAGGACAATAAGGAGTAACAGGATCCATTTTGTTAAAAAACAAAATTCTGGAAACAAGAAAAGAATGGACAGAAGAGGCTTGGGTGGGCAGGGAAAGAAGAGGGAGATCTAAACTCTGACTTTTTTTTTATCTTCCCCAAATTCCTACCTAAGGGGCCTCGGGAGTCACACCCTACAAACCATACAGTCTCATCAGAGGGTTTTTTGTTTGTTTGTTTTTGTTTTTTTGAGACAGAGTCTCGCTCTGTTGCCCAGGCTGGAGTGCAGTTCTGTGATCTTGGCTCACTGCAACCTCCACCTCCCAGGTTCCAGCGATTCTGTGCCTCAGCCTCCCAAGTAACTGGGATTACAGGTGTGTGCCACCACACCTGGCTAATTTTTGTATTTTTAGTAGAGACAGGGTTTCACCATGTTGGCCAGGCTGGTCTGGAACCCCTGACCTCAAGTGATCCACCCACCTCAGCCTCCCAAAGTGCTGAGATTACAGGCGTGAGCCACCGTGCACTGCGTAGAAGGATTTTTATTTAACCCCCCTATATAAGGTGGTCTGCTTTCCAACCTGGCTCTGGCATAACATCACATAACAAATAAGGAAGGAAATATAAATATTTAAACCCCAAATATATTTTCTTGCCATATCTTGAAATTGCCTGGCAAGGTTGTCTCTTGTGGGAAAAATCTATGGAGAATCTATAGAGATTCTATGGAGATTTCCCTTCCCCTCCCCTCCTTTTTCCTCTTTCTTTCCAGACCCAGGAGATACTCAACTAAGAGCCAGGTAACCTTTTAAGTGGGATAAGAAACATTTTACAACCTGCTCTCTCTGAAGTCTGCTGAAAGCTTCTTCAGAACAATAAAACTTGGTCACCACCATCCTTTATCTTAACCTAAACATTTCCTTTCTATTGGTCCCAGGTCTTTAGATAAACTCAACCAATTGTCAACCAGAAAACTTTAAAATCTACCTATAAGCTGGAAGCCCCCACCTCTCCCCCACCTACAAGTTGTCCCACCTTTCTGGAGCAAACCAATGTATTTCTTAACTGTATTTGATTGAAGTCTCACGTCTCCCTAAAATGTATAAAACCAAGCTGTGCCCTGACCACCTTGGGCACATGTTCTCAGGCCCTCCTGAGGGCTGTGTCATGGGCCATGGTCACTCATATTTGGCTCAGAATAAATCTTTGCAAATATTTTACAGAGTTTGGCTCTTTCTGTCAACAAGGAGTATTAGAGGGTACCTCTTGGAAGAGAACCTGGGTGCTGGGGGACAGGGGTGGGAAGGAGACCTATTTTTTACTATAAATCCTTTTGTTGGATTTCTACATGTATGTTCATTTCCTATAAAACGATAATTGTGTTTATTTTTAAAAGAAAAGCTCTTCAAGCAAATATGAGGGAAGAGAAGTACTTTCCCAAAGTGTGGTGGAAGGGAAGGGGGAGAGTTTGTGATGGGGTGGGGGTGATGGGCCTGAACTTCATCCAAGCCTCTGAGGACCCGAGGAGCAGAAACTTGTGGGGATGTGAGCTAGAAGGTGAAGCCCACCGGTTCCTAGGTGACCTCTCTCTGACTTCATGGGCCATGGAACAGGCTGTCTCCGTGGTAATCTCAACAATGCTCAAGGCAGTCAGTGCCTGGCAACTTTGGACTTAAGAGTATCCGGTAGGTGCAAAACATCAGCCAGGCACTTGGTGCCCAAAGCCTTTGATTACACCCCAGCTGGACATCTAGAGCCTGGACGTCAGCTTGGGGAAAACCACTTCTTATGCAGAAAGTAAAGCCCAGCAAAGGCCACCAGGTATTCCTAACAGGAATACACCTAACAGGGCCTTTCCTCCCCCTCTTCCCAGCCCCACCAACTCCTTCCCCACTCTTTGCCCTACAGGGAACCTCTGCACGGCCAAGCTAGGATATTGGGTTTCTGGACTCTTGCTAGAACTTCTCTGAGTCATTCATTTTCTTTTTATTTATATATACTGTGTTGCCTCAACTATATTGCACCATTTAGTCTCAGGTCTCTGGGAAAGAGAGGATCTCACAACAGAAACATTTTTCCAGAAAAACCCTGAGAGGGGGCTGGCCTCTTTGAGGGCTTAAATGTCTCTGCGACGTCACAGAGGCATGCCAATTTCTGTCTTAGTCCATTCGGACTGCTCTAACAAAAATAGCACAGACTGGGTGGCTTAAACAGCAGGCACTCTTTTCTCACAGTTCTAGAGGCTGGAAGTCCAAGATCAAAGTGCCAGCAACAGGCCTTGGGAGGGCCTGCCTCCTGGTTCATAGATGGCCATCGTCTCCCTATGTCTTCACACGGTGGAAGGGGCAAGGAAGGCTTCCCCACACACCTGCCCTTTACTCTGCGGAGCCCAGCTTCCTACTGCAGTAAACTCTCACATGGCCAAGAAGGTAAAGGTCTGCTCAGGGCATTCACCTCCTTTCAGTGGTTCTCCACATTCAGCCCAGATAGACTCAGCCAACAGGAAACCCATTAACCAAAAGCTTGTGTTCTGTTTGGCCTCTTACACATCAAAGGGAACATAACAGTGAAAATTATAATAAGCAACAATGATCATCATCATTTCCAAGAGACAACATCAGTGCCAGCAGTTCCAATGAGACCCTGGGGTGTCAGTCACTGTATCTGCAAACAGAAAATGCAACTCACCTGCCTCTCCAGGCATCAAGAGTGCTCATAACGCTTAGAAAACTGTAAATAGCTTATAACTGCCAGTTGCTGCTATTGTTCATAAGTGCTTTGGGGTCACAGCTCTCGAAATAATGAGAAGGTGTGCTCTCGGCAATGAAATTAAACAGGCATTTCAGGGCAACCTCAGCTCAGATCCCTGGAGAAAAAAAGAACCTACAGCTTACCTCCAGAGGGGCACTGAGGATCATGTTTCACCCTGAGAGGGGGCTGGCCATGGAAGGAAATGACCTGAGGTCGGGGTGGGCCTCCATTCTGCGGGAGAGGGCAGGGAAGATGCTTGGCTGCTCTCACAAAGGAGCTTCTAGGATCTGCCTCTTTTTTTTCCTCACCTCCTCCTAAGGGAAAAAGTTGTTTTCCTTCCTGCGCCTCAGGGCAGAGCAGAAGTTGAAATGGACTACTTGTTCCTAATATTATTTACAGTTCAGCAAAGGACTTGGGGTCTCCAGCCTCAGGTCTAGAAACTCCTTCCACAGCCACACCCTGAAAAGGACTAGGTTAGCAGCAAAGCTGGGGCTCCTGAGATAGTATGCGATCTTCTGGTGGCGCTTTAAGCTTGTGGTATAAACTGAGGTGGTCTCAGGTCTCTGGGAAAGAGAGGATCTCACAACAGAAACATTTTTCCAGAAAAGGGCGCAGCTTTAGAGTTGCCTTAATAACATGGGATCTAGCGCCACCTAGTGCCTGCTGCGGAGCTTGACATGGGTCTTGCTCTGATAAGGTGGTTTTGGTTTTTTTGGAAATTGGCTTTAACCAAGAGAGAGACCGAAATGGAGAAACACGTTTTCTGCACACAGGGCTGTCCTCATGCCCACGATGAGGGACTGAGAGTTTGGTGGAAGAAGCTGAAAAGCTACAATCTTAATGTGTCACGGACGGGGGTGTTGGGTGAGGGGATGGGGGAGTCTTTCTCTTGGAAGGAAGCTGGGGTGACTCACAAGTAATATTTAGAGTCTTAGTCCCAGAAGATTGGCTTGGATTTGTCTGCATGAATATTTTTGCTCACACTAGAAAAAAAATACTGGTGCTATTTTATGACTTCTATGCTTTTCAAACTAGTTTCTCAGAGCTCTCCCAGAGCCAGCATAGGGGCTGCTTACAAAAAGCCCTTGGAAGCTGCTTCACTGTGGAATCCACTCCCGCTCCTTGCTACTGCCTACAGGACAAGCAGCCCTCCTTTTTTGTCCTGCCACTGTCTGGCTGCCCTCTAACCCTCTACTAATTAAAGCCACCATTTGCTATTTGTTTAACGTGATTCATTTCAACCTCAGAACAGCCAAGGCAGTGGATATTGGTAATCTCAACTGATCTTTAGGGAGGTTACAGGACTTACTCAAGATCTTTCAGCTCATAAGCAGAAGTGGGATTTGAACCCAGAGTTATTGAGCTCCAAAAAATTTGTTCATTTCACTACAGTACTCCATCTGCACTGCTAGGGGTAGTGGCTATTGCAGAGGATGCTACAATGTCCAGGAGGTTCCAGGAGGTTCTTGAGGAGACAAAGAACCTCTGAACTAGAGGACTTCTAGCTTGGAGGACACTTCCTGCTCTGGGCCTGTCCCTGTGACTCCAAGGCCTGGCTCGATGCTTGGTGTAAACACCTCCCTCCTCACAGCATCTGCCCTCCCTCAACACAGACATTTCCTCAGCCTACACTTCTCCACCCTTGGAAACCACCCCAGAGGAATAATGAGAGCAAAGAGCAGGGCAGGGAGTTGGCAACTCTGTAGAATGCCAGGAGAATCGTGGATTTGTCTGACTTCTGGGCTTTGGCCTCATCTGGTGGAAAACTGTGAAAATTCCCTACTGGCTCCTCCCTTTCCTTCCCTCCAGGCCCCTCCACCATTCTCCACCAAATAGACACACCTCCAGAAGAAGGTTAAGTAAGGCTACTCTCTGGATGCCTCTGAAACAAAGTGGTTTGCTTAAATGTACAGATTCAGAAATAAAGTTTAAATGGGGCAGCAGGCTGCAGTGGGACCCACACCCTGACCTCCATAAATGGATAAATGTTCAGGCTGCTGGAAGACCATGGAGGTGGTTTGGGGGTATCCGAGGAGCACAGAATTAAGAGACTGGGACTTCAGTCCCCATTCTGTCACTCCTCAGCTCAGTAATTTTGGGCAAAGTCACTTAACTACTGTGAGCATCAGTTTCTTCACTCAGAGAATGAGGACAATGATTCTCTTACCTGTAAGCTAACAGATGAACAAGCGCTCGGTAAAGCCCTGTAAGGGTGTGAGGTACCATACAATGAAGGAACTATGGGCATGCAGGATTTAGCTGAGAGTGCCTTTACTCACTTCGTCCTTTCCCTACCTCTCCCTCTTCCCCAAAAGGAGTCTGTCTCCTATAAAAGGGGTCTTAATACAGACTCACACACACGCACACAGGGTCTTCAGTTCTTGTGGGCTTTTCATTTTTTTTTTCAGAGTTAAATCATCTTGGAAAACAGCTTTTCCAATAAAGACCCAGTGGCCAGGACTGCTGGATGCACTTTCTTTAAAGGTGGCGGGAAACGCAGAAGCAGGAAGGTCCAGGACGGCATCCATCCTGTGCAAGGAGAAGGTCCTAAAAGGCTATTTCCTCTGCTACCAACTAAGAAAGATGGACGTTTGTAGCTGGGCACGGAGGCTAATCATCCGTAATAGTCTGGCAGTGCTAATGCATTCAGGGGAGAGCAATTAATGCCTGTTGGGGAACATCAGGACAGAGCTTAGAGTCTTGCAGCCTCTGGCAAAACCAGTTTGAAAACCTCAGGCTCCATTTCTAGTTTAGGGTGTCTCCACCTGGCTTGGCAAACTCTGTGCCTCTGCAAGAGGGAAGAAATAGCTTCCTAAGTGAGGCTTGGGAGGAACAAAGGCCTCATTAGGATCAATCACTTATTCCAAGTACACATTCCCAAGAATCTCTATTGATGATCTCAGATACAAATGAAGTAGTAATTAAGGATGTAATGCAAATGATCTTCAGCTTAGTAACTCTCTGTAATTGAAATTTACTAAATTAAGTCTGAGATTTTTGAAACTAGGCCTTTAAAAAAAAATTCCCCGGTTATAATTACCCCTTCTCCTCCCTCCTACCCACCCTTCAGTAATGTAATTAGTTTAAAATAAGATCCGTGGTAGGGCTGATGATGCGCTGCCTACTGAAATGCTGGCCTCCTATCAGCAATCCCCAGGGAGTGAAGAGAACAGGGGCTCGCATCAGTCAGAAAGGCCACTGTCGTGTTACCAAATATAGGACAAGGAAACCGGACACAGAGCTTGTGATACCGACTGTGCTGGGCGGGAGAGATTTCTCAGCTCTCCCTTCTGTTTCTTTCCCCTCTGCCCACAGACCTGGGATAAGCTATGGACCATTCAGAGAAAGAAGGGAATAGACTGGAGTAGGAGAGGAATTGGAATGTTTAGGGGGTGCTGAGAAGGCCCCTGACAGGAGAGACAGAGGGCTTGGGCAGATCAGAAACCTGGCTGTTTTCTCAGAGGCCAGAGTGCTAAATCTCCATCAGTAATAGCCCTGCGACTCGTCCAAATCCTGTCCTCTGCCACCTGATAGGACCACCCCTGGCCTTAGCTCATTTCTCCTGATATGCCCCAGCAGAGGGCAATGCCCGCTAAGCTCAGCCTGCCCAGAACCCAAGAGGAGCCGTGTGGGCAGAGAAGGGGCCCCAGCAGGCGCTCCAGCCTCCCCGTTCTTTTCCCCAGTTTGGTTTTTGTCCCAAAGTGGGACAAAGAAAGAGGATTGAACATTGTCCTGGGTATGTTTGATCTTCTAGAAGAGCATATTGGCCTATTTCATTTAATTCAGATGAAAAGACCAGCTTGTCTTTGAGATCACACTCTAATTTCATCAGAGCTGTCATGTGAGAACAGAAGAGAAGCTACCCACAGCCTTCCTCCTTCCCTTCCCCACTCCTCCCCTCGCTCACCCCCACCCTCCCAGCCCACGGCTTCCTGAAACTGTTAGATCAACACAGAAACACCTGAAGCCCATTGACCCTCACAAGGCAAAAGCCAAAGGCTGCCAGGGCCATCTTAAGATGCCGCACGAGAACAGCAGCTCCCTGGCAGGCAGCACAGACCTGAAAGAAAATGCGTTCTCCCACTGGCCCCCAGCCTTTGAAAACTGCGTGTGCGCACGCGCCTGCTTTCTGTCATCCATTCACATCACCACTGTTAGAAACTTCCATAAATGCTCAACTGAAGCGCTTCTGTCAGAGACAAGCAGCAGAGTTGTTTCTGGAGAGCACAGCAGGTGTATGTTCCATTCGCAAATCAGATGGAAAACACAGACAATAGCAATCTTGTCTCTGAATAAGCCCTTGCTTAAAAGTTGCCCTTAGCTAATGTGGGCACGTTGACTGTTGGATCTTGGTGCCCAGTGTAGGGCCTGGCACGTGGTAGGTGCTTGATAAATATTAGCTGAGTGAATAAATGAATGACTCACTCTTCTTCAAAAACTTTCAGGAGCTTCTCAGTGGTATGGAAAAATGACATGATTCTAAAATCTGGTATTGGGGATCCTGCAATCAGATGCCTGCCTGCCTTGCCCGCCTGGTCCCATGTTGCCAGGCTGGAGTGCACTGGGCCGATCTCGGCTCACTGCAACCTCTGCCTCCCGGGTTCAAGCGATTCCCCTGCCTCAGCCTCCTGAGTAGCTGGGACTACAGGCACATGCCACCACACTTGGCTAATTTTTTGTATTTTAGTAGAGATGGGGTTTCACCACGTTAGCCAGGATGGTCGCGATCTCCTGACCTTGTGATCCGCCCGCCTCGGCTTCCCAAAGAGCTGGGATTACAGGCGTGAGCCACCACGCCTGGCCAAGACTCTGCCTTTCTAACAAGTTCCCAGACGATGCTGATGGTGCTGGCCCAGGACCACATCTTGCGCATATCACTCACCCTGCATCCCACCAGCTGGTCAAGGTCCTGCTCAGATGCTACCGTTTTTGTCAACAAAACTGGGCACACTAGCAAAAAATGCACCCCCTCCCCGCCCACTCACCTCACTGCTACACCCCTCTGTGCCTGCCAAGACACTTTGTATCTGAGCTATTTGGCTGTGTCTCCCTGACCTCAGGGGCCTAAAGTTCTCATGCCTTTCCCCGTACCCCACAGAATCTCATTTAGTGCAGCCGGGGACACGCTACCAGCTGGGGCAGATTCCGTTCCATTCACTGGGACCTTAAAGAACTTCAGACTCCTTGATGCAGCACTCAGCCCTGGGGGTCCAAAGATGCATGACGCCCAGAGACTGCCCTTGAGATGAACATCTATTTTCTGGGTTATATTCACTGCTCACTGAGCCCACTCTGCTGTCCTTCCAGCTGCTGGCCTGGGGCATGACTGACCTGAGCAGACCACGGGATGTCCTCCCTGATCTAAACCAGTGGGAGGTTCCTCTCACTAATACACATCTCCAAGTTCTCAGCTTGCCTTGCTGTCTTTGAGACTCAGAAGGGAGGTGTTACTTTCGGTGGTAAGCCACAATATGTAACTCATAGAGGGCATGTAAGAGGCAGGTGAAAGATGTTTTGCAGCCTGTTTAAATGTCAGTGACTAAGACCCAGGGGTGCTCTGAGAACATTCTCACTTCTCAGTTGTGGGCACCTAAAAGGTTACTGTCCACCCAGTTCTCCTGCCACGTGGACTTACGGCATCACGGCCTCACATCCTCATGGGACCAATGGCAAATTATGGAACCTCAACTCAGGCTGCTTAAGTAAAATGGGAACTCTTTGCTCACCTCTGTGGCTTGGCCCAAGGTGACTCAGAATTGAAAAAGAAGCTATAGGAATCTGGGATTTAGGAACCATGTCTGGTCTCACACATGCCAGGACTCTCTCTCTGTCTATCCCGTTCTCATCTCTGCATGTCCTTGTATGTGGGCCTAACTCTCTCTTGCTGCATTCAGGAGAAAGGGTACCATGCCCACCAAGGCAGTGTGGAATAGAAGGGGGACTGTTCTCCAAAGGAGATAGGAGTGCTAGACAGACCCAAACCAGACATCCATTCCAAATGGTTAGCAAATGTTAAGTCTTTGTCACAAGTTAGGCACTCTGCTGTTTTACATATATGATCTCATTTAATCCCCAAGCTCACTCTATGAGTCAAGTATGGCATTTGCTGGTCTGACAAATAAAAAGGCATGACACAAATCATACCTCAGTCCCTTCTACCAGCTCCAGTGTTGGCTTTGGGACAGCCAGAAGATATGACCTGGATGGGAGAATGCATTTCCTTTGGAAATAAGCATATTGTCCTAGAAAGGGGGCCTAAAAGCCAATGCTTTAGCTCTGGTTGTCTCTGTATCAGTAGTTATGAGGCTAACACCATCAACGTCAAGTTGTTAATTTTGGATAATTTAGATCTCTCTATTAAACCATCATTTCTCTGTGAATCTACATTGAAGGAAGAGAAGTCTCATCAAGAAAATCAAAGGGGTTTCCTCCACTGTCTCACCCAGCCAAGACACATATCCTTTGGGATAGCATTTAAGCAGATAGATGATCCGATTAGATGAGGATAAGCCATGGGATTCTCCCTCCAGACGATCTGCCATCTGGAGACGTTTTCATGGATCCTAGGACCCTACCCAAAAAAAGGACTCTCCTCTCCAGCTTTATTTCTGTGACCACTTCTTGCCTATATTTTCTCTAAGAAGAAATGAGAGTTGAGACTTGCTCACAACTTTACCATTAAGAGAAAATAAATCATAACAGAGCCTGGTCACCACCCGTCTGAGTGGTCCCCCGACCCACCAGGGGCGTGGCTCCTTGGCTGCTGAGATTCTCAAGGCTGAGAGCAGCCCCTCCAGTGTTCCTACCTGACTGGGGACTTCGTGCAGCCGCAGGCTCTGCCTCTTCTGCTGTCCATTACATCCTGACTCACAGCACAGTGGCTGGCACACAGCGGGTGCCCAAGAAGTGTTTGTTAAACAAATGAATGATATTCCATTCTCCAGTGATAACTCAAACAACAATTGAAATCAGTTGGTGACTCCAAGCCAAGGTCACTGTGCTGAACATTATAGTTACATAGTTATATCAAATTCCTCAGAGACATCCATGGTTTTTCTCACTGGTCAGTTCTTAGGGCTCTGTTTTTGGTTTCATCAATGCAAATGCCAACTCTTTATGTAAATATTGTCATAAATTCCTTCTCAATATTCTGCCGTGCATTTGTTCAATATAAATGTGCTGATCACAGGCTTCAAATCTGGGTCAAAGAATATTTGACTGAAGTCAGACAACCAGAGCCCCAGCTCTATGACCACTAGCAAATGCCAGTATTTACTGAGCACTTACTATGTGCCTGACACTTTATATGCATAATCTCATTTAATCCTCAAGATAATCCTATGTAAATGGTGCCGTCATCATCTTGATTTTATCCATGAGGAAAGTAGAGTTTCTAGGGTGTAAGGACCTAGCTTATTGCCACATAGCCACATGGTAACTACTTAGTTCAAGGCAGAGTTAGGACTCAAACTCATCTGACTGACTCCAGTGCCAGTGCTTTCAAATCAATCCATAGCATTGCAAGTCACTTAACTTCCCTGCACCTCTGCTTTATTTTCCTTCTAATGGGGATAAAAATCATCTCGCAATTGTAGACTGATGCATTGTGTACACCGTAAAGCACCACACACATTTTGAGGTTAACATTGCCATTGCCTCCAATCAAAGCAGGGTGTGAGAAGACACCACTAGATTAATCAATGCTTCTCTTCCCTTAGGCATCTTGCCAGCGCTTCAGCAATCAACAGACATTACCCAACACCGACTTTGTGCCATTCACACAAAGATGAATAAGAGGGCACCCTTGCCCTCAAGAAGCCCACAATCTTATGAGCATCTCCACTAGTTAATGAGGGTCAGGGCTGGATCTATACACTCACCCCAGATGCCCCCTTTGCTTGATGGTTCCTTGTTTCTCTGCCACTCCAGATGTCCCCTTTGCTCGATGGTTCCTCGTTTCTCTGGAAGAAAGAGTAAAAGAGAAGTTTGAGCCTAATGGTTGGACCTCTAGGACACAAAGAATAAGAGGGTAGATAAGTGGGAATAAAGGCCACCCCTTAGCTCTGGGGATCACACTCCATCAAGGAAGGAAACCCTCCTTCCTGCAAACAATGGTATTATAGAGTGGTTAATGGGTTCAGGTAGCAGCTCCCCACTTTCCTGGCCATGTGAGCACTGCTTTAAGGCTCAGTTTCCTTATCTCTTAAGGGGAGGTGATAATTTTGATAACATGTATAAAGAGTTTCAGTCAGTGTCTGGAGCAGAGCAAACGTTAGGTGATGTGTGGCCAAAGGCAGGGGAACCGGTAGTGCAGGCTGCAGCAGCAACAACCTCATGAGCCGGTGGGAGGGAAGCGGCATCTGTGGCTGGGAATGAGGGGAAGCCACTCAGGACCCAGGGGAAGGAGCAGCACCCCTTCCTCAGTGAAGCAGGAGGACTCTGGAGCAAGCACCACTGTTGTTTAAACAGCCCTCACTTGTCCTGCATAGCCTAGAGAAAAGAGCGCCAAAATACTAAGTAATAAAATCAGAATGTCTTTCCACATTAAAAACTATTGTTTGCAGAGCAAGAACATCAGGTATTTGTGTTATGCTTTCAAATTCATTAGATTCTCAGAACAACCCCATGAGGCACAGAAAGAAATGACCACCCCCATTTTGCAGCTGGTGGGACTGAGACTTGTGAGCTGACACCATCTGATGAAGGTGGTAGAACCGAATTAACACCTAGTGCTTGGTCCAGGGTTTAACACCCTCTTTCAGAGCAAACCTTTGTAGAGAAAATGGAAAAAAATGCAGATGCCTGCCTGGAGAAGCTTTTAAACTTCCTATTCCTGAGCCCTCCTGAGACCTACTGAATAAGGATGTGCATGTTCCCAGGAAGCTCCCTCAGGGGAGCAGATACTGTTCTGCTGGCACAGTGGACTGGCAACCTGGAAGCCAGTAGCCACAAAGGTAATGCTCCGTTTGTAGCTGTAAGAGGGTTTGGAGCAAACACCCTGGTTGTCTGCCAGCCCCCGGCATCCTCTGCCCGCTCTTGCTAGGATAACTGCACTGGCCCACCGACTGGGGTTATGCCCATCAACAATCCCCCACCCAATCCACCCTCCACTGCAACCACCCCCTGCCTCACCCACATGCAAACCCCTGCTTAGCATTCTGCTCAGCTAGCAAGCCCCTTAGCCTGGCTGACAAGCCCTGCCTGATCTGACCGCATTATCCACCACTCTCTGCTCCCTAGCCAACAAGTCTTCCTTCAGTCTCCAGATCTGCAGAGATCCCCTGGTACCACAAGCCCTTGCACTTATGCCTCCTGCCTTCTGGAATGCCCATAGCCTCAAACCCCACTGCCCTCCCCTTCTAGTTAATGCCTCCTCCTTCTGACGGCACAGGGAAGTCTTGTCAGCCCCCAGTCTAGGGCAGAGTCCTTTGCTACGTGCTCTCTTAGAGCTGGGATCCCTTCTTTGGGGGATCTCGTCTCTGATTACAGCTCTACATGGAGGAGTGAGTTTTTAAAAATTTAGTTCCATCTCCTCTTAACACAGAAGAGAGTTTCTGGAGAGCAGGCATCATGGGGTCTGCCCTGCTCATCATGTCTTCTCACTGCTTGGCACTCAGTGAGCGTTTGTTGAATGATATTGCATGTTATTTGTAATGGGACAAGCCAGGAGCCCAGCTGCCTCCACCTCCCAATTCCCAGGAGGCAGGACGTTTGGAGGAGGCCAGGGTGATGAAGCCATTTTGACATCTGTGCTCCCGTCAAAGTGCAACGTCACTAGGTTTTATTACCATGTAACGTGCACGACTGACATTCCCAACTTTGTGCTGTCCACATCCCCTACCCTGGCCACGAGAGACTCCTATACCACAGTCTCCTTTGTCTCTGTTGGGTTTGAATTTTTATGAGGTGGAATTATTTTTGTAGTCAGAAAAGGCCATATAATTTTTAGTCTGTCAGAACTGGGCAAGACTCTAAGGTAACATTAGTTCTGTCTCTAAAAATCATAATTTAGAAGGAAGTATAAAGTATTTAATGTATGTCTATTGAAAGTATTTCAAGAAGCACTAGAAATTTATTTGAAATTTCTCTTGGCATTCCTAAGTTGAGAAAAAGAGATAATGTCATGGTTCAAATATCCTTTCTGCACCGGACACTGCAATGTGTTGTTAACTTTAAGGGATCTAGTGAAGAATGTGAGAGGCAGAGTGAATTCTCAGAAAAGAGGCAAATGCCTTGCTGGGCTGCTTGACAGCCCTCCCTGAGATAAACAAGGAGAGCAAATCCAGGAGCCCTGGTTCTAGGTGGCAGCCCTTCTGACACCTGCTTCACCCCAAATTCCACTCTGCATAAAGGCCAGGGATGGGGTGAGATTATTTGGTTTTGCACAGTATTACTTTTTAAAACCCTAAGGTCTAGTAGGTTGGTGGTTTGTTTTGGGCTGTGTCAAACAATTCCCACATAAAGTGATTGCATTTGAATTTCACCTACCTATCTGAGACAATTCCTCACCTCTCTCCCTGCTGTGAGCCTATGTCTTAGTTTGCTTTGTGCCACTATAACAGAATTCCACAGACTGGGTAACTTATAATGAAGGGAACTTTCTTTCTCCAGCTCTAGAGGCTGGGAAGTCCAAGATCAGGCGGATCACATCTGGTGGGGGCTTTCTTGCTAAGTCACCCCATGGCAGAAGGGCAAAGAGACGGCGAGAGAGAGACAAAAGGGGCTAAACTTGTCCTTTTATAAGGAACCCATTCCCACAATAATGAATCCACTCCCATGATAATGGCATTAATCCATGCATGAGGGCATAGCCCTCATAGCCTCAGCACTTCTTAATACTGTCACAATGGCAATTAAATTTCAACATGAGTTTGGGAGGGAACACACATTCAAACCATAACAACCTAGACTCTGGCCCAACTCTGGCTCCTCACTGGTAAGAATCTCTTTGATTATTAGAAATAAGGATCAAATAGCTGTTAAAGAATGCATGCTTTGGGCTGGGTCTGGAGAACACAGCCAAGGGCTTTGCTGACAGAAGCAGAGTAGTTAATGGCAAAAGTGTCGGGAGACCCAACCCTGACTGGGTCAGGTGACTTCATTCCCTTTATCGTGAATCTTACCACATTCAAGCAATTTTTCTCTCTTTACCCCTGGTAGGCTAGACCCAATGGGAACCTACCTGCTAACCTATACTTGAGATTTTAGCATTGCAGTGGTGTTGGGGGATGAAAGGAGGTCATTTTAAGCATAATAAATTTTGAGAGTTGAATAAAATGTTACCTCCTAGATTCAAAGAAAGATTGGATGGGCTGGGAGATTGATTGGCAGACAGATTTAAAGAAATATAGTGGGCTGGTCCACGGTATAGAAATCCGTAAGAGTTTTTGTGAACATGTGACCAGCCATAATTCCAAAATGTGTCTGCCACTTGATAATTATTCTGATGGATGGGCAGATGGATGGGTGGATGAATGGATTTATCCACTGTGGCAGACGCTGTCAGTGCCCTGCCCATATTCTCTGTTTTCATTTCTACACTCCAAAGCCTGCTTATTTCCCACACCTGCCACTCTGTCTCTTCAAGCCTTTATCTGGCTGGGAAAGTGCATCAGGCCTAGGAGCCAGAAAAGGAAGGTTACTGCCCTGGAAGCAGACTTCAACCCATGATTGATGGGGACGTGGTGAATAAAGACCCAGTCTCTGTTGGGTGACTCTGAGGCATGTCTACGCAGCAAGACTAACCCCCAGTTGCCCTCAGAGATAACTGAGAACACACTTTTTTTTTTTTGAGATGGAATCTTACTCTGTCGACCAGGCTGGAGTGCAGTGGTGCAATCTCGGCTCACTTCAACCTCTGCCTCCAGGGTTCAAGCGATTCTCCTGCCTCAGCCTCCCAAGTAGCTGGGATTACAGGTGCACACCACCAAACCCAGCTAAATTTTTTTTTGTATTTTAGTAGAGGCAGGGTTTCACTATGTTGGCCAGGCTGGTTTCGAACTCTTGACCTCAAGTGACCCACTTGCCTCAGCCTCCCAAAAAGCTGGGATTACAGGCATAAGCCACTGCGCCCGGCCAATAACACCCTCTTTATTGCCTTTCTTTCCTTCCCTGTCTCCTTTCCCATTTCCCCCTTAATGTTTCCTGGGGTAACCTTCCAAATGAACTCTTGTACTCAAATCCTTGTTGTGGAGCATGCTTCTGGGGAACCCAAACTAAGACATCCATCTCACGGACTGCTCTGTGAATGTGACTGAAAAGTCGCCAATGTCACCCTTACCTCTGCTTCCTAAGAACAAGAATAATATAGTTGGAAGAAGGGTGACAGCTAACTCACACATCATTGGATTAGTACCTAACCCTATCAAAGTGCATAATCACCAGGTCTTATTGCTGAGCAATGTGGTGGCTGACAGTGTTGACCCTCCTGCCGTCAGCAACTCCCATCCTAACCACAAGCAACTTCCAAGTTCTTCTTTAGCTCCGTTGGCTTTGAATTTTTATGTGGCACACTGTTTAATCTGCACCTAATTGGAATAGTATTAAACTCATTCTTGATTACTTCTCTCTGGAAACTCTCATCTTATTAAGTATTTAACAGAAGTTCACATTCATTACTGAAGCCGATCAGGCTCTGTTATTTAATGAATGAAAAGAGGACAAATGCCAGACCCACAAACCCATTTTCCTGGCCAACCTTGTTTGACAATGCAGCTTTCCTAACTCTAAGGTTGTCATGTTTGTTAAAAAAAACAGTCCTTTCAGCTTTTCTCTGATTATTAACTACCTAAATTCTCTACAGATCCTCGGAATACCTGCAATAATTTCTAACAACAGTAAAGGAGTGGTTCTCAGCCATAGCTGTGCATTAGAATCATCTGGGAAGCTTTTGTTGCAAGGGATTCCTGGATCCCACTACAGACCAATCAAATGGTGATGTGCAGACAGTAGTATTTTAAGTCTCCAGGTGGTTCTAATGTGCAAACAAGGATGAGAACCACTGATTTAGGGGAACAGAGTTTCTATAAGGCTTTGAACACCAGCTGCCCCAGGAGCTACAGATTTAGAAAAGCAGGAAGAGCTAAAAGTGTCATTGATGACAGGCCAAGTGACAAAGCACACATCATAATATAGTCACTGCATTTGTGGCCTGCCCTATGCTTCACTCCACCCTTTACTCACACTTCATTCTCTGCACTTGAGCCAAGGGACCTCGGGATGCCCCTCATCAACCATGTAATGATCTTTTGCTCTCATAATATAGCAAAGACTTCTCCTCTCCTCCCCTAAGAGATTTCAGATCAGGAATTTTATTTTCTCACTCGAAAGTTGAGCTTCATGTAGTCTCATTTCTCATGCATTTTAATTTCTCTATCTTCAGATCTGAGTAATTTTTGCTCCTGGGTGATTTTTGAACCTTCAGTTATTAGATGAATGTGGCTGCCTTCGTCCCTGGGGAGTTATCCTACAGGAGGTGTTTCTTACATCCCCAGAGTCCAAAAAATCAAAATGGAACCTAAATGCTGTGATATTTCTTTATGACTGAGCTCTACCCACAGCTGTCCCTTTATGGGCTTAGGGCCCTGGAGGATTTCAAGCCTGATAATGTATAAACTTTATAAAACCTTATAAAACTTAACAAAATCATAGTGATTATTTGGGATTCCAAGCCAAGGTAACATAATTTAAGTGAGTCCTTGAGCCTTTTAAGATGTTTTTATATCTTGGCATGTATCTGCATTTTTTCAGAAGGGGGAGACAGTCTATAGCTTCTTTCAAATCCTCAAACAGGTGTGTGTCTTCACACAGTTTAAGAATTAGCAACTTCATGCTTTTCCCCTCTTGCTCAAGAGCCCAAATACAGACTCTTTGATGTGAGAGGGACTCATATTGAGCCTCCTGGTCTCTTCCCTCACTTTGTTGCCTTCTCCTACCACCATCTAGGGGCTCTAGAATGTTACAGGATATAGCTTTCTGGTCACCAGAGAGGAGGCCTAAAGTCACAGAGCACCTGAAAGTCAAGGAGACAAAGTGATCCAGCTCCCAGGATCCAGCAGTTCTTTAGAAGAAAATATTTGGTATGGGTTCTCTGGTGGCCCATGAGATCCTAAGCAAACACTGTCCCAGACTAACATGACTCCAGGCTGAGAGCTGGCTTCACTGGAGAGAACAAGCCTCCCTTTCTTGTGCAAGCATATGTGATCCTTTTCTTTCCCCAAATTCTTAAAAAGGCATGAAAGGTGGTCATTTGTCACTGTCAGGCTTCCCACTGTATCAAAGCAGATACTTACCATGCTGAAATCCCACCTCAGCATACACCTCACTCCCTCACCTTGGAAAGGTTGAGTCTCCCAGTTTCTCTGCTGCGATGCGATGTTGGGGGGGCGGGGGCGGGGATTAATAATGTCTCACCTTCAGGGTGAGACAGAGGACTCTGTAAGTTCCATAAAGGGGAGGGAGGCTGTGAGTGTGTATGGGGGGTGGTGGCACGGGGAGAGGGAGCCAACATTTATTGACTCTCTAGTATGTGCCAGGTGTGTGCTATACCCTTCAATCATGATCACTGCCTGGTGAGCAGCTGCAGGGTACACTCAAGAGAGCAACTGCTGCACAAGGTCACACTGTTGGGCTGGAAAAATTCTCAACTCCAAGAGACTTACTCTTAAAAGAGGAGGAATAAACCTTTATAGTGCCTGTGACAATGACCGCCAATTGCACCTAGTATTTCATGCTTTTTCTTTAGCAGCACTGCCCAGTAAAACTTTCTGAGATTAAAATGTTCCATGTCTATAATGTCCAATGTGGTCATCATGAGCCACATGTGGCTATTGAGCACTTAAAATGGGGCTAGGCTGACTGAAGAACTGAATTTTAAATTTCATTTAATTCATTCAAATGTAAATGGCCATATGTCCTAGTGGCTACTCTATTGGACAGTACAGTTCTATGGTAGATCTGACTTTTAGCTTGACCCATGGTCCCCTGAATTGAAGCCTCTAATTCACAGCCTGTATTGCAGTCATGTGATTAAGTTTTGACCAGTGGATGCGAGGGGGGTGATATAGGCAACTTCCAGGCTATGCCCTCGAGGGAAGGGCATGCCCTCCGCATTGCCTTTTACTCCCTCCTGCTGGCTGGCCCAGGGTGTGGCCGTGAAACATCTGGAATCATGAAGACAACACCTTAGGGAGGGTACGGCAATAACATAAAAGGAAACTGGGTCCCGGAGGATGCTTTCATGAAGCTGTGCCCTAATTCCAGCTCAGACATCTATGCGTGAGAGAAATAAAAATTCCACTTCATGTAAGCCACTGTCATTTTGGGTCTGTGTGACTCTGAGCCACACCTATGTTCTATCCTAGCAGATATACAGTCTTCCTCCCTCTTACAGAGACTGGGGAAAACAAATGTCCCATGTATGAATTTCAAGGCTGCTGTCAGATCTTTATGCAATTTAAGGGCAGAAGCATTTGTGGAGCCTCTGCCCAGCAAAGCACTTTGGTGGGCTGGTCGGTCTGCAAAGGTAGACCTGAGTTTAGTGGGACATAAGGTTATGGAGAGCCAGATTCTATGCACAAGAAAGAAATCAGGATTTGGGGGAGAAGACTGGCTCTTAGAGAAGGGAGAAGGACCTGGAGAGAGAAGAAGGGACCTGAGAAAACAGCATCAGGATGGGCCTAAGGGGTAATACAGTCAGCAGGACAGTCCCCAGGGCAGGAATAATGGATGGGCTTTCTCATCAATGGCAACTGTTGTCCCTGTGTTGAGCTGTACTGCAGACAACCCCTTGCTTGCTCCAAACACTGCTGCACAGCCCAGCCTTGTGTGGATGGTGCTTTGGAGAAAGCTAAGGAATTGGGGCAGCATCCAACATGGGACAAAGCAATATGAGGAACACAGCAGTCTTAGAAGGAAAGACACGGGGTTCACTCAGGAGTGCAGAGGAATGGAGAAATCTGAGCAAGAGGAGACTAGGAGAACGGGAAGGTCCTCAAGAGTTCCAGCAAACTTTGTGGGAAGAGACATGCTGGCTTCCACCAAATGTGGGATGGGGGTTCCTGCCACTTCACTTGAATGTTAGAGAAAAGCATTACCCCAGAAGTGTGTATGGCCTGCGGCATCCAGGCAGTTGACACTTGGTTTTGCAGTTCCTCGTGGGACCATCTTTCCTCCTGGCCAACTCCCAAAAACCTGACAGCCAAGTTGGGAAGAGAAGTGAATGTTTCTTTCATGCTTTCTCTAACTTGGCTTGGATTAAAGGAGAACTGCTTCTCTTAAATCAAGAGTACGCAATCATTAGGAGGAGTGAGAAAATCTGTAGTTGGTAGAGGGCCAAAGTGGATTGGTGATCCTGGTGGTTGGAGACATTCAGAACAGGCGTTTGGGAATTCTGGGTTTTAGATGGGCCAGAATCCCATATCCCAACTGGCTCCTGAGACAGAACATGGAACACTTGCAGAAAGGTGTTAGATGTTGTTTCTGCTAATAGTAACACTATGTTTAATGTCCAAATATATTCTCTGTTTACACTTGTTCAAGTGATGGAATTTTAGGAGCTACACCTGGGGTAATAGAAAGGTGACAGGTGTTTCCTTGGTAATTCTCCTGAATATGGTTCTATCACATCTCTAGTCAAACTAAGATATAGACTGAAGCTTGGGACCCATTGGAAAAGGATCATTTGGGAATAAAAATCTTCACATTTATTGAGTGCCTTCTATGTGCCTGCGTGCTGCTAGACACTCTACACTAGTATAGTCTTCACAATCCAATGATATAACTTTATTTACATAATAAGGAAACTGAGGCTAAAGAGGTTGACAATGTGGCCTAAAGTCACACAGTGAGTACGTGGTATGGTTGGGTTTTGAACTCAGACTGACTGGCATTGGAGTCCACATACTTAGCTACTACCATATTCTACCTCTTTGCTCTGGGGGCGTTGTACTTAGGCACTGGGTGCACACAACCCTTCAGAACCATCCAGGGTCTTCCCATGAGCATGAAACTGCACAGAGGACTATATCCTCAAATGGCGAAGAGCCTGGGGTGAAGCTACACAGCTATTAATGTGCAACCTAGAAGTTTTTGCTTTTATTAGTTACATACACCTCTTTATCAACTTAGTTACTAGTCACATCCTAACAACTGTAAAAGCAGAACATTTCCAAAACATTTCTCTTATTTGATATTCCTAGTAGCCTGAGTTCCAGGCAAACAAGATTTTATTGTAATCTGAACAATAAATAAATGGTTATTTTCAAGCCCAACTTTAACTTTACTGAATATGTAGCATACTTATTATTCATTGCCTGCCAAAGCCACATTTTCACTAAATCTTGCAATTAGTGGAAAAACTATATTTTAAATACACATGTATAGTAGGTGTATTGAGTATAAGCCTTAATGAAATTCATTTTAAAACAGTGGAGTATCTGCTTGAAGACTGTATGAAGTACATTTTCCCGTGTCTTTTCTTAGGTTAATAAATATCTAGGGACCAGTTTAACTGCCGGCTTCAAGTAACCTACCAAGTAAAATAATATACCTAATGATTCTAGAAGAAGACATTTTCTTCCATTTTGAGGCAGTGTCTCTTATCTTGAAATTATGAATTTGAGGTTTATCTGATAGTGACTTTGCATGACCAAAAATGCTTTGGAGATTATGACATTAATTTTTAAGGAGGAGGAGGTCCAGGACTGTTGTTTTGTTGTGTAAAAATCTGTATTTTAAACATGTAATTCATTTTCAGTTCTACATTTTGTGTATATTGAGTCCATATTGCCGCCTTGGTAGAAAGCACAAAAGAGGGTTTTTAAATTTTCTGTTATATTAGTTATAAATGTTATAAAGGAGATAGAATTGAACAGCTTGTAACTGTACTGAATTTGATTTTCATTTCATAAGATTTATAGAGTGATGTGAGAGTTTAAACTTGTCCTAAAAAGGCTCTTAAATGAAAAACATGTCAGCTGTATTGAAAAAGGGCCTCAAAGAGCTTCTCCCTGCAGGAGTCAGAACTTATTATGGCATCATCAGCTAGTTTCAGTGCTGCTGGTGAAATGTGATTTCTCAGATAAAACAGCATCCCAAGAAATGACATTTACAAAACTTGGTTCTAGCCAGTTTGGAGCAAGAATTCACACATTCACACTGCTGTCCTCACTGCTGGCGGAGACCAAATTGAGAACATTTTTAGCAGGAAGAGCTGGCACTTGGCTCTGAACCCCATGGCTAGCGCCTGTGGAGAAACAGATAAGGAGTTGTACGGTTTGCTCCTAATAACCATGTTCCCTTGACATTGTAAATTTTTGCACAAAATTACCCAGAAGGCATAACAAAATACTCTTTGCTACAGTAAACCACTCCCGTGCATGGAAAGTATATAGTGAGCACTGGAGAGATCCGGGCTTCCTTTTCCAAAGTTTTTGGAACAGACTCCAGGTTTCTTTCCACCCAGGGGAAAAGCTGCTACAACACTTAAGGGCGGGGGGGGAGGGGAGGTGGGAATGATTAAAATTTGTTTTAAATGTGAATCATGACAAACCTATGAATTAGAAACTTAGAGAAAAACTTATTTGAGCAAGGATAGTCGCCAAAAAGCTCAGAGCAAAATTGAAAAAAAAAAAAAAAAGTCCTGATGCTCCAAGACTTCAGACTTGTATGCATCTGGTGCTGTTGAGAGACGCCCTACACTGAACTGTCTCCCCCCGGGGCCAGACGGCGCCTCAAACATTCCCCCACAGCCTCCTTTTAGATGAGGGCACAACTCCGTGAAGCTCCAGGTAGGATCGAATGTTATCTGGAAGAGGAGATACGTTAGTCCCAAACTGCTGATTGTCAAACTATCAGAGTCCTTAAGGAATTGGTCTAAGGGTAGGTAAGTTTGGAACGTAGGAGCTGAGTGGAGAAGGGAAAGGGGATCAAGAAATGGGTTTCGAGCATGAGACAGGGCAGAGCTGGGCATGAAAGGGGCCCTTGGAAACCAAGGGAGATTGGGTGCCTAAATTTTGGGAATAGGAGATGGGATAGAAGCACCTACATTAGTTCTCATTGACTATGACCCAGGTATGCAGAGTTTTTTTAAGCCAATTTTTCATAAGCTGTTATGCAACATTTGTCTTCATCTGTCAGGGAGCCTGCAAACCCAGTTGCACCACACAGTGGCGTGATTGTTTTCCTCCCGTCTACGAAGCTCTGGTTTCAGTGGCTCTGCCAATCACAGCTGTTTCTGGATTGTTCACAGGGACCGGGCACGGGAGCAGCGTGGGCGGCTGAATTCCATAGAAGCAGAGACCTCATTGTGACCATCAGCCCCAACTTGCTTTCATGGGGTTTTCACCAGAGCTTCCCACAACAGCTAAATAAGGGGTAGCATTTCTCCCTCGGGCCCCTGTCTGATGCCTCCTGTCCTCTAAGAGGGGTAGAAAGTGAGAGGAAAAAGCTTAGCAAGTCTGAATTATCCTCAGTCCAGACAATCAGCCAAGGGATAACCAGGAACAACTGGGGTTCCCCCGGATATTTGTTGGCCGTCCTCCCCTCGTGCTCTGCTTTGCAGACCTATCACTCAATGGGCCCTGAGTCAGGGGTAATTTACTAGCTATTTTACCAGTCTCACTACTTCACAGCGGGTGGAAGCTTCCAATTGGCTTGCAGCCCTCTAAAGCTTACAAAAAAAAAAGCCTATTTTCTGCCATATTGAGCTTTTAGGCTCTAGGCAGAGCTTTAATAAACTGAGCCCCAAAAGACGTCCCTCACATAGGGGGCTCTAGACAGCAGCCCTGACGCATGGGCCGATCTATTTCTTGCCTAAATTAAAAAAGTCCAAGTCTATTTTTCCCCCTCTTTCTGGGAAGCTGACCTAAACAAGTAAGGATATGCTATAAATGCCTTTCAAGACTCCACTTGCAGGTTCTAATTATAATTAAGATGATAATATTACTTTGAATTTGCGCTTTCTTCCAGAGTGCCCCGAGCGCTCTCAGCTGCGTGACGGCAGGTATTACGCCCTCATGTGTATCCACTTGCAGCTTCTAATTACACCGTCTTTTGATTCTGATTCTGAACTCACCTTCCTTCCCTGAGCCTGGGGCACAAGGGCCGCCTCACTGGGCTAACTTCCCTCGGTGTCTGGCCTGCCCTTCATTCAAGTTATCTGCTGGAGGAGGTTCCCCTGGCGGGGCCCCTGAGAGCTGGGCCTGACCTGCAGGCCTTTGCAGATGCACTGGCTTCCTCAGGCCCCATCCTGCCGGGAGCCTCTCCGCTGTGGCTGTCGTCACCCTCACTCCCCGGACTCCTGGGTGCCAAAGAGTGAGCCTGGTTTCCTGCCCTGTCTCTAGGGAAGGGCCCCTCTCTGAAGGTGCTCCACACCCAAGCCTGCCCTCAGTGGACTCTCTGCCCTCATTGCCCCATCTCCAGGGCAGGGGCAGGCTTGGACTTGCTCATGTCCCGCTATCCCGTGCTGGCAGAACACAGAAGCTTTGTGTGGTCTTCCAGGATCCCCTTGAATGCGCGCTGTGGGAGGAAATTCTGGCAGACTCTGACTTTTCTGGTCCCTCTAAGCTAAAAGAGTCCTACAGTCACTGAAGCCATGAGATGTAATCTCCTTTCAGAAATCAAATGTCCACTCCTGTGGAATAACAAAAACTCAAAACTGGATTTAGAGTCCTCATCTTTCTCCCAACTCAGGCCTACTATGGGCGTGGGGCGGTTGTGACTGACTCTCCTTGCCCTCTCCTCCCTTCAGCTGCTGACTATAGTGCCCCAGGGTTGGAGGAAGAGGAAGGAGAACTAGAGAAAGGTGCAAGAAAGCTCCAGGGTGGGCCTTCTCAGCACTTAACTGCTATTAAAGTTCAACCTTCCTCAGCAACTCCCTCCCCTTCATCATCACTGAGTTCTCTCACCTGTGGGTCGCAGGTGAAAGGTCGATGCATCGCAATCCCAGCAGCTGCCTCTGCTTCCTTGGTTCCTGGAAATCCAGCAACATCTCTGCTTCTCTTGGCTGAGGTTCCTTTACCCCCAGGGCACTCAATGAGCCAGCTTCCAAGTCCCTGCCTTCATCCTTTCCCCATTTCCCCTAGCCCAGTAAAGCCCTCTGTCTGCGCCCCTCCATCTGAAGACCTTCGAGGTTTTCAAGGCTGGTCCAATCCAGTCTGCCCCCAGACTGAAGGTGATACACATTAAGTTCTCCTTAAGCCCCTCTATCGTGAGAGGAATGAGCTGCATCCTCCATTTCTCCCCACTGTGTGCACAGGCACTGGAGCCTTCTCCAAAAATCCTCCCTGGAAACCTTGTCCCTTCACTCCCATTTTCAACTCTATTTTTAATATGGATCTTGGAGAGGGGGTTAAGAATAATGTTTTTTTCCTGACTCTGTGGGTCTCATTTTGGAACATGGTTTGTGTTGTCTTGGTTCTTTAGATGTAACCCAAACATGGTAGGAAAGGGAAGCATGAGCCGAAGTCCTCCCTGGCCTCCCTTTGGGACTTTTTTTTTTTTTTTTTTTTTTTGAAACAGAGTCTCGCTGTGTTGCCAGGCTGGAGTGCAGTGGTATGATCTCGGCTCGCTGCAACCTCTGCCTCCCGGGTTCAAGCGATTCTTCTGCCTCAGCCTCCTAAGTAGCTGGGACTACAGGTGCACGCCACCATGCCCAGCTAATTTTTGTATTATTAGTAGAGACGGGGTTTCACCATGTTGACCAGGATGGTCTCGATCTCTTGACCTCGTGATCCACCCACCTGGGCCTCCCAAATTGCTGGGATTACAGGCGTGAGCCACCGTGCCCGTTCCCCTTTGGGACTTTAACATCACATGTTCCCAGGGGCTCTGATTGTTAGAATACAGATTGTCCCCGCTTCCAAGTTGGGGCTTTTATGAATCCATAGTGTTAAATCTCTGGAGGAAAACAGAAGGAGGATGTCTGTGTGTGCTTCCCTGTGAAAATCAGTACAGGTGTAGGTAGTCTTCCTCAGGCTCCACTCAAATTTACTTAGGCTTTCCAGCAAGAGCAAGACAGCCATGATGTTTGGGATCATTTTATGCATGTATCTTCTGGGTGCCTGGTACCCAGAAGTTTATTTCACCTAATCCCAATCTATTTCCCTAATGACACAACTATGATGTGTCTTGGAATACTTACCCCTTCTGTTAGTATCATCCAGGTGTCTAAAGGAACAGTTTGAAGAAGCATTCATATATTTTGGAAAATGATAGTCTAAGACACTGCCCAGTATATTATCTTGTATATAGTACCTATAATATACTACTTATTATATAAAAGGTAATATAAAGAGGCCAGGCGGGGTAGCTCATGCCTGTAATCCCAGCACTTTGGGAGGCCGAGGTGGGTGGATTGCCTGAGCTCAGGAGTTCAAGACCAGCCTGGGCAACACAGTGAAACCCCGTCTCTACTAAAATACAAAAAATTAGCCAGGCATGGTGGCATGTGCCTGTAGTCCCAGCTACTCGGGAGGCTGAGGCAGGATAACTGCTTGAACCCAGGAGGTGGAGGTTGCAGTGAGCCAAGATCATGCCACTGCACTCCAGCCTGGGTGACAGAGTGAGACTCTGTCTCCAAAAAAAAAAAAAGTAAGATATTGAGCAGTATCTTTGACTATCATTTGTTACCTTCTGTTAAAGGTAAACATGATAAAACAACTACTGATGTTTAGTGCTAGAAAATATTTCTATCCATAAGCAAACATTTATGCTTCCTTTTATTTGCCAGTGAGAACTATACAACTTGATGTATTGCTTATTTTGCTTTGCCTACCAGGAAGCTCAGCACTAAATTTAGTGTTCAATTGCAGCAACTAATTCATCCCAGCAATCTGGTGTGTTTATCTCATTTCACTTTTATTTGGTTTCTGTTATTTTTCTCTTTTTTAAAGCTTTTGTTGGCCAGGCGCAGTGGCTCATGCCTGTAATCCCAGCACTTTGGGAGGCTGAGGCGGGCAGGTGACGAGATCAGGAGTTGGAGACCAGCCTGGCCAATGTGGTGAAACTCCGTCTCTACTAAAAATAGAAAAAAAAAAAAAAATTAGCTGGGTGTGGTGGCTTGTGCCTGTAATCCCAGCTACTCAGGAGACTGAGGCAGAAGAATTGCTTGAACCCAGGAGGTCAGAGCTTGCAGTGAGCGGAGATGGCGCCACTGCACTCTAGCCTGGCGACAGTGCGAGACTCTGTCTCAAAAAAAAAAAGCTTTTGTTATGTTTTTAGATATATTCTAACACTGTAAACCACCTCCAATCCTGTTTTTGTAGTTGTCAGGACATATAATAAATCCAAAATAAATATGAATAAAACTCACATTTGTTCATTCTTCCAAAATTGTTTATTGATCACCTCCTACATGTCCGGCATTTTGCTAGGTACTAGGAGAAACTCTGGAGGGCAAACAGACTAGTGCTCCCCTTGGAGAGCTCACAGGCACCAGACTCCCAGGCAGGAGGAGGGCAATGAAAACCCAAGGCCCCAGGGAAAGAGCCTGAGAAGAAAAATGATGAGATTGTGGAGTTGTGGCAGCCAGGAGAAACAAGTGTTTGCAAAGAAAAGGTAAATCCTCTGCTGCAAAGAGACCAAGTAAGACAAGGACTGAGATGTGCACACTTGGCAACAAGAAGGTCACTAGCTACTCTACCAAGAGCAATTTCACTGGAATATTAAATGAGAGATAAAGAAGTAGGGTCAGCAAGTGTCGACAACCCCTTCACAAAGTTTGGCTGAGGCAGAGAGAGACAGGGTGGGCCACTGGGGAGAATGTGATGACTTGTGCTAAAAGTGGCTCAGCCCCATCAGGTACCACCTAGGTAATGTCAAATGATTATTTGAATTCCTGTTAATATCCAAGTCTTTTTGATAGTCTGGGAGACTTGGACTATCAGGTCAATGAGAGAGGAAAAACACAAATATTAATGCTTTAGCTGCTCATTGCTCGGCTATCTTCTATTCTGTTAAATATCACTGTGGCTGTGGGTGCTGTCTTCCCAGAGCACCCAAGAACCCAGGAGCACCTTAAGGACTCTATTCTCAACTCAGATGTCTGGCACGTTTGGCTGCCAGTATACCGCTGGCCTCCATCCCAGTTCGACTTAAGAATACCACACTTTACAAAATCTGCACGATCAATTCCTCTGCACAGCAGAGGAAGTGGAGTTGGCCAACAAGCCCCATGAGCATGGGAAACACATTTACATTCAATTTTTCCAGGTCTGGGTTTATGTCCCACCTGGACCTCTGCTGGTTGGTTTCCTTATTCACCTGGCATTAGCTTGATTCATTGTAAGGATGGCTCTAATGACATGACAGCAATCTGCATTGTGATTTTGGTGTTGTGAACCTAGAAACAGTCCACATATCTTCAAGACAAACATAAGGGCCATGTGAGGCTCTTCCAAATTTACTTTCGTAATAATTGAAAGAAAAGTGGTAACTTTCTCCAAAATCACAGCAACTCAATATATAACTAATTACATGATATTCTGCCTCCTATTCCTCCTCTATCATGCACTTAACTTGCACATCACATAAACGTTCAATCAACTATCTCCTATTTTATAATGAGAGTTGTGCAATTACTTACATTTCTTTCTTTATCTTGGCTGCCAGGAAGCTCATATACAGGTTTTATTTTCAGATACAGCAACCTTCTTGAATTTTTCATTTGGCACATTTATTTATCCACTTACTTTGAGTCTATTTTTAAAATTTTTGCTCATTTTTTTTACTTACTATATATGACATTTTTGGAAACTGATTCATACCTTTTTTGAAAATGAGGTAGGGAATACATGAAATCAATGGATAATTATGCATTCCTCTGTTCCTTCTGCTTTCAGCTTACTCTCATTTGTGATATGGAAGGAATTCTTGTTTTCAAAGATAAACTCGTTGCTATTTTACCAAAGACTTTAGGGATGTGCGTGTGTGTGTGTGTGTGTAGCAAGATGCATTGTAGCACAATAGTTGAGAATGTGAACTCCGAAGACAGACCACCTGGGTTCAAATCCCAAATCTTCCGCTTCCCAGCATAGTGCCCTTAAGAAAATTTCTTTCTTAATTCTGTGGACCTTAGTTTTAATTATGAGAGTAATAATACTTAACCTATACTATGATTGTGAGGATAAAATGCTAATACATTAATACATGTAAAATGCTTGGAACATTAATGTTAATGGTTATTGTTGGTGTGGGCAGGGCAGAGAGGTGGTGCTGGAAATCAAGTCCCTCTCCAAAGGTGGAGAGAAGGTGGCACTACTGGTTGCTCTCCCTCCCTCCCTCCCTCTAGGTACTTTAGCCAGACTGTAGAAGGCAGCTGCGCAGTGGTAACTGGTTTAGAAATTTCCCTACTCTGCACAACAGGCCTCGGTTTTCTGCTCAAGATCCTTGCTCCACATGATCTCATTCTAATTTTCCCTACTTTACTTATTGAACCAAAAAAACTCCATAGGGACTTATGTCTATTCTTATTTTAATCCATCTCTTGAGCTTTTCACTCCAATGGCTTTTTAAAGACTTTCTATTTAGTTTTTTTTATTACTAGTCAGTTGGTCACTTTTATTCTTATATATGTTCATCAATAAAAGAGACAAATAGTCCTAGAAGGCAATCTTTTGTTCCCTTCCCCACAGAAGTCACTTTCAGTTCTTTTTAGCTATTTGGGATTTATTGCTATGTCTCTAAATAACATATTTGTGTTGTTTCTTGTCTGTTTATAGTTTGCTTTAGTGGTTGACATCATGCTGCTATTCCACTATGAAAAGCAAGAGATTTGTTCTCTTTCATTCTCATGCCCTATCACAGCCATTCATCCTCCTTGTACTCCATCCTAATTTGATTATATCCTAATTTGTTAGGATATAAATAGTTACATCCTAATTTGATTAGGTCATTTGTGATTATGTAAGCATCTTTGATTGCTGGGCCATGTAGTGTACTAAGAATACGTTTCCTTTCCTATAGCAGTTTTTATTTTCCATGGAATTAATGATTATTTTTCTCAAGTTCCATGATGTTGCTCTGGGCAGTGATGTCTTGAATATCGCCCCACAAGCACAGGCAACAAAAACAAAAATAGGCAAGTGGGATTCCATCAAACTAAAAAGCTCTGCACAGTGAAGGAAACAATAGACTAAAGATACAACCCACAGATTTGGAGAAAATATTTGCAAACCATACATTGGACAAGGGGCTAACATCTAAAATACACAAGGAACTCAAACTACTCAATAACGAGAAAATAAATAACCCAATTTTTAAATGGGCAAAGGACTTAAATAGACATCTCCCAAAAGAAGACATACAATGACCAAAAAAATATGAAAAAGTGCTTAACATTTTTAATCATAAGAGAAATGCAAATTAAAACCACAATGACATATCACCTCACAACTCTTAGTTTGGCTATTATAAAAAAGATGAAAGAAAACAAGGGCTGGTGACGATGTGGAGAAAAGGGAACACTTATACACTTTTGGTGTATTGTAAATTAGTGCAGCCATCTTGGAAAACGGTATGGAGGTTCCTCAAAAAACCAAAACTAGAATTACCACATGATCCATCAATCCTACTACTGGGCATATACCCAAAGTAATAGAAATTAATATGTCAAAGAGATATCTGCAGCCCTATTTTCACTGCAGCATTATTCACAATAGCCAAGATATGGAAACAATTTAAGTGTCCATCATGCATCAATGGATAAATAAATTTCTTAAATGTGGTATATATACACAATAGAATACTATTCTGGCTTTAAAAAAAAAAAAGGCCCTCAAATTCTGTTATTTGAGACAACATGGATGAACCTAGAGAACATTAAGTGAAATAAGCCAGGCACAGAGAGACAAATATCATCTAATCTCACTTATATGTAGAATCTAATCAAGTTAAACTCATAGAAGTAGAGAGTTGAATAGTGGTTACCAGAGGCTGGGGGCAGAGGTGAATGGGAAAAAGGGAGATGTTAGTCAATGAGTGGTGCCAATAATTAACCCAAGAAGACACAGTTCTGACACTGTAATCCCAGTGATGAAATCCTGAATGATCAAAATTCCTAAAGTCTAAAATCCTCAAAGTCTAAAACCCCTAATGTCTAAAATCTCCAAAATCATAATACTGAATATTGAAATACTAAAATCCAAATTCTGGGGAAAGGATTAGTGTATTTTCAGTTGAATGCGGGATAATTGCATCCTGTTAGCTGCATCATGTTGGGGGAACTATTAGCTTGTTATTGTCTTTATTTGGAAATTAAATATGATTTAATGAGATACATATAGATGCCAAGGTGAAAAGGGGTGGTCTTGTGGACTTAAATGTAGGTGTCAACTTGACTGGGTTGAAGAATACCCAGAAACCTGGTAAAGCATGATGTGGGGTGTGGCTGTGAGGGTGTTTTCAGAGGAGATGAGTGTGTGAGTGTGAGTGGACCAGGTGGGGAAGATCTGCCCCCAGTGTTGATGGGCACCACCCCATTGACTGGGGGCCCAGAGGGGACAAATACAGAAGGCAAATTGGTTTGTCTCTGAAAGCTGGGGCAAACTTCTCTTCTGCTGCCTTGGACATCAGAACTCCAGGCTTGGCACCCTTAAGACTCCAGGATTTACACTAGTGACCCTCTGGGGCCTGATGTTTTTGGCCTCAAACTGAGTTATATCATTGGCTTTTCTGGTTCTAAGGCCTTTGGACTTGAACTAAGCTATTCTATCAGCATCCCTGGGTCTACAGCATGCAGACAGTCTGTCATGGGACTTCTCAGTCACCATAATTGCATGAGCCAATTCCCCTAATAAACCTCCTCTATTTATACACATATCCTATTGGTTACGTCTCTCTGGAGAACTCTGACTAATACAGATTTGGTATTGAGGAAGCAAAGTATTATTTCTTCTTACTGTATTTCTTATAACACGTGAAAGAAATCTGAAAAATTGTTCCCGCACCAAAAGGCTGTGATAAATTAAATGTACAAGGCTACTTAATGGTGAAAGATGAAAATTTAAAAGCTAATTATTATTGGTGCTTCAAAAGCGGAAAATCACTTAATTGCAACAGCCAAGCAATAACGAGACTTCTTTACATTTACAGCATATGCTTACAAAATTTGAAGACCACAACCACTCTCCAAATACAAATGCAGCAAGTGATTTGAAGATCATAGAAATGATAATACAGGCAAAAAATGCAAGAAATCTCCCCTGCCAAATTATTCAACTATGTATGACTTCTGCCTTTTCACAGCGCCAATTTGCCATGCTATGCGTTTCATCTTTGCATCATTTTCAATACTGGATGTATAAATTGTGTAAAGACTTTCAGAGTTCTAATTCATTTTATGCATTTTTTGCAAATTTGATTCCATGAAAGTGCATTATCACATCATCGACTGTGTGTAATCATTGTGTGTGCATATAAAAATGAAGAGATAAATGAAGAGATGTTCGTTTTATACATCTGCATTTGTAAAATATAAAATTTCTTAAGATCTTGGCTGTTTGGGAGACTGCGTATGTAGTGGTGACCTATCATGGTTTTTGATCAATCTTGTCAAAAGACTTAGCTTGTCTGTCATGGCATTTCAGATGAGTGAATTTCAGATGTTATAAAGCTGGGTGCACACAATTGCCAACCACAGTGATATATATTTATACATTTTGCTTTTTGACATACTTCTTTATGAGTATGGTTTGTCTGCTCATAATTTTTATACTCTTGCAACTGTTGTTAGTATACCTGAGTGCTTATGTTTGCAAATGTATGTATGTTATTAATGCCTATTTTGTTGTATACAATGGCCTATGAAGTGTTCTGTTGTGTTTTTATGTTTATCAAATAAATTCCCCTTTAAAAATGTGAACACATGTCTTTACATTTTTTAAATTATTTTTTCCAGAATTGTATTTTTGGAATTTTAGACTTCAAGGATTTTGATCTTTTGGGACTTCAACATCTGGGATGACAGCATTTAGGATTGTGTTTTTCAGGATTATGGCTCAAACTCATCAACAGGTACAAAGTTTCAGTTAGATAAGAGAAATAAATTCTGGTGTCCTATTGCACAGCAATGATGACCAGTCAACAATAATGTATAATATATTGTATACAGTCATGTGTTGCATAATGATGTTTTGGTCAATGATAGACTACATGTACCGCCATGGTCCCATAAGATTATAATACCATATTTTCACTGTATCTTTTCTATGTTTAGATACGTTTAGAGACACAAGCACTTACCATCTTGCTACAATTGCCTACAGTATTCAGTACAGCAACATGCTGTACAAGTTTGTAGCCTGGGAGCAATAGGCTATCCCAATAGTCCAGGTATGTGGTAGGCTATACCGTCTAAATTTGTGTAGGTCACTCTATGATGTCTGCACAACAATGCAATTGCCTAAAGATGCATTTCTCAGAATGTATCATTGTAGTTAAGTAACACAGACGGTATTTCAAAATTAGCTAGAAGAGAGAATTCTGAATGTTCATGCCACAAAGAAATGAAAAATATTTGAGGTGATGGATATGCTAATTAGCCTGATTTTATCATTCCACAATTTATACATGTACTAAAACATCACATTGTATCTCATAAATATATACAATTATTATTTGTCAATTACAAGATAACATTTTTAAAAAGTTGTTTTTCACAATTGTCTATCACAATTGTTTAGTTTTTTACGACTCTAAGGTTAATTTAATCTGAACCCTCTGACAGTTGTTTAAATCTTCTCTCAGGATGTTCAGACACATCACATATTCCATCAACCTTCACCTTCCCAGAGGACTTGCCTGGGGCCTTCTAACCAGCCTTCCCCTGGATTCTCCCTTCATCCTTACACTGGGAATGCCTCCCCTTGTCTCTGGAGTTGAATCCTTCATTGTCCTTTCTCTTCATTTATGCCCTTGTTTTGCTGGATCCTAACCTCCAGTAGCTTCACTTTTAAGTTTATTTTTTTAACTGACAAGTAAAATTTGTATACATTTAAGGTGTACAACATGATGTTTTGATGTCACGTGTCATATCAAAACATCATGTACACCATAAATGTATACAAATGTTCCAAATGTTCCATGTTGTATACAAATGTTCTGTGTTGTACACCATAAATGTATACAAATGTTCCACATGGGTATACATTGTAGAATGGCTAAGTCAAGCTATATAACATATGCATTACCTCACATACTTACCTTTTTTGTGGTGAGAACACTTAAAATCTACTCTTTTAGCAATTTTTAAATATACAATACTTTGTTATTAACTGTAGTCACTGTGATGTCCATAGTTTTTTGAGAAAGAGTTCTTAAAAGAAAAATTTTTGAGACCATGTATGTATAAAAACATCTTTATTTTACCTTCATACTTGATTGATAATTTTGCTGGGAGGAGAATACAAAGTTGGATATGTTAATTTTGTTCCACAATTATGGAGGCATTGTTCCACTGTCTGTAGCTAAACAGATTCTGATTTCTTATCCTTCATATGTGAATTTTTCCCACTCTCCCTGGAAGCTTGTTAGATCTTTGTGTCTCCATTCACTGAGTCTAGTTTCATCTCTCTTCCTGGGCACTCAGTGGGCCCTTTCAGTCTGTTACCTCATGTCCTTCAGTTTAGAGGAATCATTTTACATGATTTCTTTGACTATTTAGTCCTCCCCCTATTTCTCTCTTCTCTCTTTCTCGAACTCTCTTTTACTTTTTCTTTCTCAGATTTAGGATTTCCTGGACTGGTCTTCTAAATTTTTTATTTTTCTCTCTTCCCTTTTAAAACTCTTCGTCTTCTTATTCTACTCTTTGGAAACTTTCATCAACTTTATCTTCCAGCCCCTCTACTGAGTTTTTTATTTCTGCTACTATGCCTTAAATTTTCAAGAGCTTTTATTTGTTGTCTGAATGTTGCCTTTTTATAGCCTCCTTCATTCAGGCTGGTCAGGTCCTTGATTCTCAACCTTGGCTGCACATCAGAACCAGCTGGGGAGACTAAAAAATTACTGATGAGTCTTGTTCCCAGGGATTAATTGATCTGGAATTCAACCTTGGCATTGGGGTTTTTGTTTTTAAAGTTCTCCAGATGATTCTAAACTTCGGAGAGCTATTGATCTAGGTTACTATGGAAACAACCTTCCAATAATAGTAATTTCCAACAGCAAAAGTATGCTTCTTACTCATCATTATTTCATCATTAATTGGTTGATGGCTCAGTTCTGTGTCTTTTCACTCAGGGATGGAGGCTGACAGGTCGAGCCTCCAGTGTCTGGAACATCACCACTTGCTGTACCATTCGGTGAGTATAGAATTTTGTCCCATCGTCAGTCAATAAAAGAGGAGAGTTGAGTGGCAGCAACTGCTTAGAGTATCAAGCTTCCATTCACATGTCACTGGTCAAAGCAAGTCACATGTCTACTCAGTGAAGTGCAATCCTACCATGTAAGCAGAGAAAGGAGAACTGGAGTATTTGCAATGGCCTTAATGACTCCAGTGCTAATGCTCTCTGTATGTGTTTATTAGCCATTTTTGTTTCTTCCTATTAAATTACATTCATGACTTTTTGCCCTTCTTTCTACTGTGTTGTCTTTTTCATGTTAATTCAGAGAGATATTTTATATATTTGAAATACTAATCCTTGATGTTATGTTTGTTTCAAATATCTTCTCTCAGTTTATTTTTTTACTCTCGTAATTACATGTTATAATGAACAAAAGTTTAAAATTTCATGTATTCTAATGTATGAATATTTTATACTGGTTTTTTGAGCATTTTGTTACTTATTATAATTTTTCTTACTCGAGTCATGCAAATAGTCTATATTTTTAATAACATTTTAAAGTTTTGTCATTTTTAAACTTTCATTTAATCTATGTAGAATTGATTTGTGTATATAGTATGAGGTAGAAATCCAATTTTTCTTTCCTTTTTTTAGGGAGGGGTGATTATTGTCCCAGCCCCATTTTTGAGCACTCCATTCCTTTCCTTACTGATGTATAATGGCTGCTCTGTTATGAATGAATTTTTTCTTATATGGTGAGTTTATGTCTAAGCTCTTTTCCATTGCATTGGTCTCTCTGTTTATTTCTCATACATCCTCCCCTCCCCTTTGGCTTAACTGCTGGGGCTTTATAGTAAGTTCTTGATATCTGCTATGGCAAGTCCCTTCCCTCCTCCTTCAAGATTCTCTTTCCTCTTTCTTGTTCTTTGCCCTTCCATATACATTTTATAAGCAGCTAGGATTTGTCTGCATAATATCCATAAAATATTTCTATTGAGATTCTGATTGAAATGATAGATAAACTTGGGACAAATTGATCTTCATGATATTGGGTCTTTTTATCCTTGAACATGACCTTTTTTTTCACTTTGGGGTCTTTTTTACCTATCTTTTAGTAAAGTTACATAATTTCTTTTTACATCAAGGTTGAGACAAATTTTTAACATTAGTGTCACAACTTGGGTGTCCACATTCTATAGACAATGTGAATTTAGATCTTACCATACGCACAGTGCAATTCTTATTCACCTCTGACTTTGAAAGTTATCTTTTTGCTTTTGAAAATGGCAATTTCCTTTACTTGACTTCATGCTTAGTTATGTATGTAAAACATTTTGATTATATTTTAGCCAGAAGTTCTTAAATGTTTAGAGTGAGTGAAGAGCTTCCACTCATGTGTCTCTTATCTTTAACCAAAGACCTTCCTAACTTTCTGTAGAACAGCTAACCCAGTTTCACAGATTAACCAGAGCTTCAGAAAGTTTGTGATAGAAAAGATATTATGACTTTCTTCCCTATAGATGACCATGTCCTGCCTAGGTAACTTCCATCCTTCTCCTCTTTTTGGGCTTGCTTACATATTTAGATTGTCAATATGGGACACAGCTACCTCTTGAATGTATTAACACTCTAACGACTTTCAAGAGACATTTAAAAACAGCCGAAATAAACCAATTAATGGCTGACTGCTAAGTTTGCATAAATTTTATCAGTCATTTTCTTCATGGATGGAAAAATTAAGAAACACCTATGACATTAGCCAATAGCCGAAATGTTTCAAGTTACATTATAGATCACAGATCTTTATCCCCTCATCTCTTTTTCCTCCTTGAAGTAAACAAAAATGCCCATTAACGCCTAAGGCTATCAGACAAATGCCCATTATACTGACCTTGATTGACCCTTTTTTTTTTTCAACAACTGCACACCTTTTAGAAATAATTTGTTGAGCTGCAATCCCAGTCAGCAACTACAATGTCAGTTTTCAGCAAGCTCTTGCTGAGTAAGAAATCAGAAGATTTAACCACATTGGTGAGAAAGTCAGATGATTTACACATAGGCCACAGGGTTGCGTTGCTGCCTTCCTTCTTTAGAGAAACTCCAGGCAAACATATTTCCTTTCTTGAGAGAATCAAACTCCTACAGATCCACACTCTCTCCTCAGTTCACAGTGCAGTCAGGTGAAATAGCTCACGGATGAGTTAGGAAAATTCTTTAACAGAGAAGGGTAAGCAGAGGCTATTTCACACAAAATAACAGTGAAGTCAAGCACTGTGATGTCTTAAAGGGAGTGTACACCAATAAATTAAACCAAATAATTAGAAGATGAAGCTCTGTTTCTCAATGGACCTGAGCTCTTCTGCTGTATGAGTTTAGATCTTCATTTGGTTGTCAGACTGAATGGGATTCCAAGGGCATTCATGACTCTCAAAATAAAAACATAACAAAGGGGGTCCTAAATTCCTGTGATAAGACGACATATACTGTTCAATAATAATAAAGTAAATAAGTAAAAGGGTGAATTAATAAGGGAAATGACCCAATTGAGGGGAGATTACTCTACGTTTGGAGGAGTACAGGCTGATGCTGTCTTCGCCTCCTCCCTCTCTCTTCCAAGGAAAAGGAAACAGTCCTTGAACCCAGGAAGAGAATGGTGGCTTGGGCTCCAGGAGACTCATGGGTTCTCAAGTAGTAGGGTAGCTGTTTCTTTGCAGATGTCTCAGTCTCAGAGGTGAATAGCTAGGTGGTAAACCAGAGGGCTGGGGGCCAGGAGAGATGTGGGAGCTTGATGCCAGGACCTGGGGCTATCAACCACTGCAAACAATGAACCTAAGCAAGAAATAGAAGCATCAGAGCAGCTTTTCTCTGAGTGCTGGGACAATGAGCACATCACTGGGTAACCAGTGTGGACTGAAGACTAGGGAGCCTTGTCTGGAAAATTTTGTTCTGTATAACATCCCTAAGACCTTCTCATAACTTGATGGGAATATTCCTGCCCCAATAACTAGTAATCTGTAGAAAGCAGAGGCTCAGGGTGAGATGTAATTTGATTTAGAAAGTAATTTTGAGCAACTTTTGTGTCCAAATTTGGTGTTTGCAAACACACACCTGCCACAATAGCCACTTTTTGTCTTAGTATTTATATGCCAGCCATGGAGCTGAAGTATTTACATGCTTAATTCTTACAAAAACCACTGAAGTATGTATTACTATTGCTTTAGACTTAGCTTTGCGGGGGAGCAGTGTCTGACACCCCACATCCTAGAAGGCAAAAATGTTTTAAACTGTTGGAAACAAGGCAGTGAGCAGATTTTGTTATGTAAGTAATGTAACATAAGTCACGTTGCTACTTATTCTTCGAGTGTGTAAAAACTGAAGCGCTCCATTAAGATAAAATATAAAAACAAAGAAAAACAACAAATACTCTCATAGGAGAGGTTGAACAAGAATCAGCAGTATCCTGGGTTTTGAAATGACTGACCAGCTCAAAAGAAGCGAGCATTCAGAACCACGGACAGAGGCATGACCATGCAGGGGCAGCCCCCCACCCCCCAAAATAAAAATGCATTTCACTCATGCCACCCCTAGGATTATCCCCGCTTTACAAATGAAGGAAATAGGCACAGAGAGATTAAGCAGCCGCCCAAGGTCACATTGCTGATAATGAAAGAGGTGGGAATAGAACTCAAATTCACCTGATCTTAAAGCCTATACAATTTTACTGTTGAAGCCAATCTTTCCCCTCCCCTTCCTCCCTATGATGTTTTGATGGGTTTCGTTACAATTTGACCACTCTCCTTAAGACTATTCATTCTGTTAGTCACATTCTCAATTAAAAAAAAAAAAAAGAACTGCATCTGCATCTTGGCTGCTGAAATGGCATTCCAGATTTGAAGCAAGAGAGGCAAGTGCAGGAGGTGCACTGATATCCCTAAGATGTTCCCTTTTTCTTTCTTTGTTCCCCTTTAAGCCTAGAGCTGTGGAAGAAAGGTGGTGTTGGAGACACACAGAGCCACACTATCTTCAGCTTACTGCTTCCAAAATGCTGTTTCAGAGCTGTTCCATCCCCCGCACCTCCCCCTGAACCAGCCAGACGTCCTCCCGCCCACCTGCCATGTGCTGGCCATGTGCAGTTAAGCTGCCTGTCCCTAGCACCTCTCTGGGGTGGCAACAGCTCTATCCTATCAGCGATCAGCTGCAGAAATCCCACTGCTCATCAGCACCCCTGCATCTTGAGCTAGAAATAGCCCTGGAGTCTCCATGTACCATGAAGAGCAGAATAGGGAAGGATGTGGATGATTTTTTTTTTTAAAGCTATCTGGTACTAAATTGTTTTTCTGTTAGGCTGTGTGCATGAGTTCTCTCCAGTGTCAATACAGGCTATCCACATTTGGGCAAAGGAAGCTATACGCTGTCAGCCCATACAGAGAGCTGGGCAGGCAGCCTAACAGCCCAGTTACCTGCTGCTTCATCCTCCATCTTCAGGGTAGCAGAGTGGCTCTTTGCCTCTTGCTGACAGCTTTGATCTTAGATGTCCTCTTACAAATCTTTCCTGCTTTTGCTAGGAGTCACCCTTTGTCACTCTGAGAACTGAATGTGTGGGAGCAGGGCTTAGAGGTGTAGGGGTGTGAAGCGGTAATCACAGTTCACAGAGTGAGGCCATCACACTGGGCAAAACCCCAACCCACAGCTTTCTGATTGAATGCGAAGTGCAGGTGCTCTCCACACTCTCCCTCATTACTTTGTCAGTCTTCTTAAGAACCTGGGGACTTCTCACTGGGCCACCTCTGGTCCTTAGGCCACCTTTGACAGAATCTCTTGCCAGGGTTCATGGCTTAGAAGCAGAGCCTGGCTAGATTTCAGCCCCTACTTGCCCCCTTGGCTGGGTGCCCTTGTGCAAGGCAATCCCACACAGCTATGCATGCAGTCCCTTGTCCTGTTTGTCTACCTCCTCCTGCTGGTGTTGAGATGGTCATTTCTCACATCCTCGTCTGCTTTCCATGCTCTGTTTCCTCGAGGCCAATGAATCAGCTGCATTTTCTGTACTCTCTCTCCTGAGCAGCTTTAATCTAAGAGCTACCAGGAAAGGAGGGTCCCTAGACACCGAGGATCTACACCACAGGGAGGATCCTTGGTTACCGAGTTCTAGTAGCTCAGGCATCTGTTACAGAGCCTGCAGTTGCCACATACTGTGGACCATTCTGGAAGACATAAGCCACATACATTTCCAAATGTATTATTGTCTGATGGTCCTATGAAGATATCTTTTTTGGGGGTAGGCTGTAACATGAGTAAAAACAGAAAGAAAAAAGAAGAAAAACAATAACACCTTGAACAGACTCAAAGCCCTTCATTAATAATTTGTTCACCAAATACGTATTAAGTGCCTATTGTGTGCCAGGAACCCTACCAGGTTCTAGGATACAAGAGTCAACAACAACAACAACAAACCCATGAATCCTGTCCTTATGAAATTGATATAATGGGAGAGAGAGATTAAACAAAAACAAATCCCACAAATGCATACAATTACAAGCTGTAAACGTTCTGTGAATGAGAAGTGCTTACTGCCCTTTGAGGACAGGGAGTGTCTCATCTGTCTTGGCCTCTCTAATGCCTGTTACTCAGTAGGTGCTAAATAAATTTTTGTAGAATCAGTGGGTAGATGGGTGGCTACATGAAATGAAGAATGATTGCACAGCATAAGAATCATCTAAAGGCACATCATCTATAAGAGGTTGTGAGGACTGAGAGCCTTTAGTGCTGAGTAACTTTCTCACCATGGTCATTAATTTTACTTGTAACCTCAGACTATCAAAGCTCTCTGCAGGTCAGCTGTAATTGAGAGTGCTATACAGAGGCCCAGGCATGCAGCATCTCCTCACCAGAACTTGTTTGCTTCTCCCTGAAATTCTTGAACTGGAAGTATCTTCCTGAAAATCAAGTAGTTTTCTTATTTTTATTTTTTAGAGACAGGGTCTTGCTCTGTTGCTCAGGCTAGAGTGCAGTGGGGCAATCATGGCTCACTGCAGCCTCTAACTTCTGGGTTCAAGCCATCCTCCTGCCTCAGCCTCCCATGTAGCTGGGACTACAGAGACCTGCCACCATGCCCAGCTAAAATTAAGTAATTTAAATAGTCCATCAATGAGGTGGAGTAAAACCTGCTGCAGGTGCTGTGGGATTTCTTCCACACTTAGTTTTCATAGCATTCTTTGGGTTTTCCTCTGGGCTTTACAGCATTGTGGTCATCTCTGAAGCTTTGATTTCCTACTCGTCTTGGTTGAAGACATGCACTAAAAAGAACTCAAATAAAAGTGGGAATTATAAGGAAAGAGGTGGGAATCTCATAGGAACCAGTTTAAAAGTAGAGGTGTTATGTACCCTGAAAATATATACATCTATTACTTATTGATAAAACATAAGTAAATAGGCCGGGCATGGTGGCTTATGCCTTTAATCCCAGTACTTTGGGAGGCCAAGGTGGGCAGATCACTTGAGGTCAGGATTTCGAGACAAGCCTGGCCAACCTGGCGAAAGCCCGTCTCTACTAAAAATACAAAAATTAGCCAGGCGTGGTGGCCCACAGCTGTACTCCAGGCGACTCGGGAGGCTGACGCAGGCGAATCGCTTGAACTTGGGAGGCAGAGGTTGCAATGAGCCGAGATCATGCCAGCCTGGGCAACAGAGCAGGATTCCATCTCAAAAAAAGAAAAGAAAAAGAAAAAAAAAAAGAAAGTAAATAAATAAACAACAACAAAAATAACAACAAAAAAAGAAAGAGCATTGTTTCTCCCTCTTTCTCCCTCTCTCTCTTACCCACACTCTGAAACCATGATATTTCTTGTCTTTTCTTTACTCTGCTTTTCTTCCCCATCTTCTCTTCAGCTGACTTTCTCTGCAAGACTCTTGCTTTGGCTCTCCCAAAACTTGGGCTTGTGCAAGGCTCTGGCTTGCCATGGCCCCAGCTCTAGCTTCAATTCCTAAGGACTGGATTAGTCAAGACTCCCCGGGATACAGAGTCAAGACTCTCTGAGTTGATACATACTCAAACCAAACTAGCATCAGCACAAATAAAATAATTCAGGCTGGGCTCGGTGGCTCACGCCTGTAATCCCAGCAATTTGGGAGGCTGAGGCGGGTGGATCATTTGAGGTCAGGAGTTCAAGACCAGCCTGGCCAACATGGTGAAACCCTATCTCTACTAAAAATACAAAAATTAGCCAGGCGTGGTGGTGCATGCCTGTAATCCCAGCTACTCGGGAGGCTGAGGCAGGACAATAGCTTGAGCTTGGGAGGCAGAGGTTGCAGTGAGCTGAGATCACACCACTGCACTCCAGTCTGGGCTACAGAGTGAGACCCTGTCTCAAAAAATAAAATAAAAATAATAAAATAATTCAATCACATAATTGAAAAGTCTGAAGGTACGTAGCTGTAGCCACAACTGAATATTTCATCATTAAATAATATGAGCCATCTCTCTGTGCATGTGCATCTCTCTCTCCATCATTCTCACCCTGCTTTTATTGATATTGCCTGATGGCAACATGGCAGCCAGCAGCTACAGATTTACATTGCTCCTCCTCTCAATTTATAATCCCAGAGGAAGAGAAACCATTTTCCCCAGTAGTTCTGGCTACAATCTAGGGGACTCTGGTTGGCCCAGTTTTGATCATGAGACTACAGTTGAACCAATCACTGAAACCAGAAAAGTGGAGTCCATCAATTGACAAGGACTGTGTCACATGTCTACCTCTGAGATTATTCTAGGGTCAGCTCCTCTAGAATCACAAGGCTAAGTGCTTTGCAGTTCAGATTTTCAAGAGATTCTGATTGGCCCAGCTTCGGTCAGATGTCTACCCTCAGTTCAATCAGCTGTGGCCAGGAGAGCAAGGTTATCTGGTACAAATATGGTTATCAAGACCCACTTCTTCAGGATGGATTGTGAATGGGGTACAGATTCCCTTAGGGGGTTATGGGTGGTGGGGCAATATCGACTGAAAAAATTTAAATGTACCTTCCTCAGGTTGATACCTTTATTTTACTTCATTTTACTTTTTTTTTTGAGACAGGATCTCGTTCTGTCTCCCAGGCTGGAGTGCAGTGGCATGAACATGGCTCACTGCAGCCTCAACCTCCTGGGTTCAAGCAATCCTCCCACCTCAACCTCCCCAGCAGCTGGCACTACAGGCATACACCACCATGCCTGGCCAGACACCTTCATTTGGAAGAGACATATTAAAATGTTTAAGATATAAAAAAATATTGGGCAGTTCAGACTTTACAGACCCATGCAATTTTTAGGACAGAAAAAGGCTGTCGAGATTATCTAGTAACAACCTCTTCTTTTGACAAATGAGGAAACTGAGGCTCTGGAAGATTTGAGTGGCTTGTCCAAGCTTTACAGCTCTTTTGTTGTAGAGCCTGATACAAACCTTAAATCTTGATTCCCACACCAAGATTTGCCTAACACATCAGGATGCTTAGCCAAAGGCTTTAGACATCAGCTTAGCTTCTCCATGGCAGGACTACTTCAAGCTTCCTTGTTTTCTTCCATGGGACCACTAGACCCATTCATTGCGAACAGTTGCTTGCTAGAGGGAATTCAGTTTAATGCAAGTAATTACTGGGGATGACTCCATATCTGGCAATGGGTTGTGTGCCGATGGTACACTAACAAAGAGTATTTAGTATGCTTTGGTTGAATGGAGTTTAGAAAACTATGGTCCCTGCCTTCAAAGAGTTTATAGTCAACTTGGGAAGAAAAGGCTTTGATACTTGTAGTGAATATAAATAATAGAAGACAATATTTAATTAAGTACTAAGTTGAATATTAAACACTATTTATACATTTTTTTGACTCATCCACTTTTTTCTACCTTTAATTACAGTCATTTCTTTTAGAATCTCCCCTCCCTTGGCTTAGGCTGTTCTCACAGGGCCAAGTGCAGAAGCCAGTTCCCATTCATTCTTGGCACTTGAAGACACACCTATGTCCCTTGGGAGCACACCCCCATGAGTCAGAAGCTCTGGAGGTCCCTGCTGAATCAGAGTCCTGTGGGACACTCCTTTCTTCATCACTGCAGTCAGCTGGTCAGCCGCCTCCTCCCAGAACACTGTATTGTGAATGAGGGCCAAAGGAAGGTTTTGCTGTTGCTGTCATTGCTGGACAAAATGAGACTGGCCTCTGAAAGCTAAAATGGCAAGAAACACTTCTACTGCTGAGGATGTGGGGGACAACTGAATGAAGTAAAAGAGGGAGTCCTCTTCCTCCAGACCTCCAACCTCTGTAAACAGTACATAGATTAGAAGACTCATGACTCAAATCCCAAATAAAGGATGTTTTGAACATTCTTCTGGGTGATCCTGGCCAGCTAAAATAAACAATGGTACCCATATCTTCCTCTAATTGGCATTAGATTTGCCTTATTCCCCAGGCAAGGGTGAGAGAAAGCCCCAGGAAAAGGGGTAAGAAAAGGGAAGACAAAATTCCTATTTCGCTGCACACATAACCAGGGCATACCACTTCTTCCAATGTGCAAAGTATGGACCACCCGAGCTGGTTTCTCAGTGACTGCCTTGCCAAGGTGGATGGCTGCTGCCTGCAGAACCTTGGCAAGCGAGTGGGTGCATAAACGTTTTGCTTGTTTGTTTGAGACAGAGTCTCACTCTGTCACCCAGGCTGCAGTGCAGTGGCACGATCTCAGCTCACTGCAACCTCTGCCTCCTGGGTTCAAGCAATTCTTGTCCTCAGCCTCCCAAGTAGCTGGGATTACAGGCACCCGCCACCATGCGTTAATTTTTGTATTTTTAGCAGAGACGGGGTTTTCACCATCTTGGCCAGGCTGGTCTTGAACTCCTGACCTCATAATCCACCCACCTCGGCCTCCCAAAGTGCTGGGATTACAGGCGTGAGCCACTGCACCCAGCCCATATATGTTACAGAATGTCTACCACCATCTCACACAACATGCATTACAGCCACCCAGGCTTTCAGTCTTCCAATACACCATGTCCCTCCCACATGTCATCTGTGCATATGCCATCTCTTCCTCCCCACTTTCTACCCTCTTCACCTAGGAACTCCTACTGCTGTCTTAGATCTTAGCTTACATCTCACTCCTCAGGCAAGGTTTCTGTCTAATAGACACCATGGCACACTCTCCTTCCCAGCACCTCACGCCATCACAATTTTCCATTTGTTTGATCATTGTCTGTCCCCCACACTAGAATGTAAATTTCCACAAGGGCAGTACCAATATCAGTTTTGTCTCTCATGGCATTCCATGCCCAGCACAGTGCCTGGCACTTTGAAGGCCCTCAGTAAATATTTGCCGAAGTTTTATGGACTTGACCTGGAGGATGGGAGGCTAAGCAGGCAGCCAGTATTGAGGGATGGGGGAGAGGCTGAAGCTGAGAGACAAAGTGTGCAGAGCTGAAAGTCAAGTCAGGATATGGGAGAATGGGGACAGAGCCAGAAGCCAGAGAAGGGGGCCCAATGTTTAGTACAAAATGGAGGAGTGCCAAGGCAGCTCTGGGGAGCCAAAAATGCAGGGCAAATGGAGACTGCAAGGCAGGGCAAGGAAGTGGGAGGGGTCCATACCAATGCAGGACCCCAGAGCTGCTGCCCAAAGCAGGTTTCTACAGGCCTGGGTAAGCAGACCACACTTAACCAGCTAAGATGAAAGAGTGGGTAGAATGTGATTAAGAGAACTTCCAGAGCAGTGATTCTCAATCCTGGCTGGACATTTGAATCATTGGGAGCATTTTTTAAAAATACAAAGGCCCATGTCCAGAAATTCTGCCTTCTGTTTTTATCCTAAAGGCAAGAAGCAATTGAAGGTTTTAAGATGTGTGTGCATGTGTATGCGTGTGTGTGTGTGTGTGTGTGTGTGTGTGTATGTGTGTATGATGACGATGATAATAATGTTTGTGTGGATAACACATGGGGGAGACCAGTTAGAAGGGTGTTATGCACGGGACTCAAGAATAAGTGTTTTACAAAAGCATCCTATGCATTTAAAATATGCACTAGGGTTGGGAACCACTGTTCTAAAGCAATAGTCTTTAATCTTGGCTGCGTATTGCATTTGCCTGTGGAGTTGTAAAAAAATATTGATGCCTGACCCTCACTCCCAGAAATTCTGATTTAATTGGTCGAGTATGGCCTGTGCATAGGGATTTTTCAGAGCACCTCCAGATTTTTCTAATGTGCAGGCAGGGTTGAGAACCACTGCTAACGCTATTCAGGCTACTCAAAGTAGCAAGTCTGCGGACCAGCAGGATAGACAACATCTGGGAACTTCGACATGCAAATTCATGAGCAACTGAAACAGAAACTCTTGGTGGTGGGGCTATCCAGGAGATTTTGGCACCTGCTACAGTTTTAGAACCATAATTCCAGAAAGACAAAGTAATAATTTCCAATTGGGAACCCAGATTCCCACTAGGGAATCTGGTCTGCTGAATATTTTAGAGGCTTTGGAGTTAACTCGCTTCCCTAACCTAGTGTGTAACTTTGGCTTCCAATCAAACAGACTGAGGATGAATAACAATAGTTTCTCCTCTGTGAGACCCACCTTCCTCCATCTTGGGGCACATCCGGTTGGAGCAGAGGCTTGACATTTTTCTCACGGTCTTTCTGATCTCTCACTCTGGCAGGATCTCTGCCAGAGGCTACATTACCTCCTACCCGAGGCCTGACTTCCAGATGTTTTTCATATGAAACAGAGAAGAGGGGGCAGAGAGAGCAGGGAATTGGGGAATGGAGCAACACAAGAACTAAGGAAGCAAACACTGCCTGCTCACAGGAAGCGGGTCTTCTCCTGGCAGATCAAATGCGCAGAGCACGACCTGGGGAAGTGGGGGAGGCCACTGCGGTTGACTTAAGGAAGAATTCTCCCCATGGGTGCGTTTCTCTGGCTCCCTCTCCTACGTAATAATGTGCAGCCACAGTCATGATTTGCCCTCAATGCATCCAACATTTTTCTCCCAGCTTGTGACTTAGCCAGGCATTAGACAGATGGCCAACCTGTCATAAGGGTGAAGGTTTTGGCAATAAAATGAGGGTCTAACATCTCACACTAATGAGATCAAGGCTGGGCTTGACCTCTGTCCTGCTTTGTTGGATTTTCAGGTGTTGTTCAGGAGCATCTGTGAGTGTGCTTCATGCTAGAGGGCAAAGGCTCCACTTGAGTGTCTCATATGGGACAGAAAGAAGTTTTGTGTCTTTGTCATTGCCTTCCCTTAGCAGGAAGGAGAAGTCCTTCAGGGAGGCAGAATAAAGACTGATACTTTGTTAGCATAATAATGGGGTCTCATATGTTTCTTTGAGGGGATAATTGAGATATTATTTTGAAGTTTGTTCTTGCTATATTTTTTCCCTTCTCCATTCCAAGAAGGTAGCTAGGCCCTTTGAGATACCTTCTGCCAGAAAAATTACCCAAAGCTTGGAAATGGGCAAAAGAAAATAAGTACTAGGTGTTATTTTAGGACAGTGCTAGGGATGACTTCCTACTTGCTAAGGCTATTTTACAACTCTATAGAGGTGAGGTTAACTTACAGATTTTTATTCAGTAGAGATGCAAATAATTTCTGTTCAGTGCAACAGAGAAACCCAAAAGCTGTAGTTTATGGCCCTGTTGGACAATAACCAGTTTTGTATTTACCCAACAATTTACTAAGTTGCATTATATACTACATTCTCAAATATTCTTTGAACCAGTTTTAACATCTTACTGTCTCCCTCATTCATGGGAGTTAAATACGATCTTTGACATGTGTTCATTTTATATTTACATGAGAGTCATACTCTTTAGCCTTCAAGCATGGTTTATGTTATAGACAACCTCTCTGTCTGGCTTTTGTTTTTCAAAAGGCTGAGCTTCTTGACAGGTTTATGCGACATGAGGAGGAAAAGAAAGCAGAAGCAGCAAGAGAAAATGAGGGAGGTTTCCCAAGACTGGGAAGGTGATGGGCCCACAGGTCCTAAAGGTCAGGTTGACTCCTGATCTGCTCTCATGCAGAGTCCTGAGAAAGTAGCAGGGTTTCCAGAGGGGAATGGCTGAATGGGGTCCCTTGGAGTCTGGGAACGCGACAGGAGGCTGCATCCCAAGCATAGCGCTCCCAGCCTCCACAAAGATCCAAGTACACAGCAGCCACTCTAATTAAAGTCACTGGATTGAAGGGGCCATGGGAGGTTGGATAATGGGCTTTTGAAGAGAGACCAGAGGGAGTTAAAGACCTGTGGGTCTTTGTTCTGCACAAGATACATGGGACCCTCACATCACCCTGGAGGTAATAAGACTCCCCCAATAATGACTCAAATTTCCCACTAACCCAGGGGGTTGGGGACTTACAATCAATGTAAATGAAGCAAACTGATACATCATTTCTCACATATCCAAGATAGTGGAATAAGATTCCTGCCTGTCCCAGAGGCCATTATCCTAAGCAAATGAACGCAGAAATAGAAAACTAAATACTGAATGTTCTCGCTTATAAGAAGGAGCTAGATATTGGGTACTCATGGACATAAAGATGGCAACAACAGACACTGGAAACTACTAAAGTGGGAAATGGGGGGGACAAGGGACAAAAATCTAACTAATGGGTACTATGCTCAGTACCTGGGTGACAAGATTAATGGTACCCCAAACTTCAGTGTCATGCAATAAACCCAGGTAACAAACCTGCATATTTACCCTGTGAATCTAAAATAAAAGTTGAAATTATTTAAAAATTGCCTGCCACATTAGCAAGAGAAAGGTTTCCTCATCTCATGGATGTTCCATTTGGAAATGTCTGAAACACCTGAGTACTTTTGATGAAGAAGAGCACAGAGCAGCTCAGCTCCAAGGGAAGTGCCCTTAGTCTCCAGGGAGACCCACTCACAATGCTGGAAAAATAACTGTCACCTCCCTGGGGAGCAACAACTTATATGCTGAAAGGTGGGATCAGTCAAATATGGGGTCAAAGTAATCACACACTAGGATTATTTGAAATGATGCTCAGTAGGCTCCCCTGACTAGAAATATCAATCTCAGCACCTAACTTTCCTCCAACACAGCTTCATTCTTTCAAGTCTTCAGATATTCAGATTTTAGTACATACATTCCTGGGAAACCATAAACCCTAAGTTAGTGTTTCTCAGGTGTGTTCAATAAGTACACCTGCATCAGAATTACCTGGGGAACTTGGTAAAAAGTATATTCTTGCTTGAACCCGGGAGGCAGAGGTTGCAGTCAGCCAAGATCGTGCCACTGCACTCCAGCCTGGGCGACAGAGTAAAACTCCATTTTTTTTTTTTTAAAAAGTATATTCCTGGACCTTTCCCCAGACCTATTGAATCAGATCCTCCGGGAATGAGAAGGAGGGCAGGGTATCTGTATTTTTGACAAGTGTTCCAGGCAATTCTGATATCTTCTAAAGTCTGAGAACACCTGGGGTGGGGTTAAGGGTAGGGCAACAATTTGACAATAAACATGTGGGGCAGGGGTTTCTATCCTGGGGTGGCCTCCTGTCGATATGTGACTCCCGCACAGAACGAAGGGTTTGTATGTATGCTTTTGTATGTATTTTTTAGGGAAGAGAGGTCTTAACTCCCATCGGGTCCTCTAAAGCCTTGCTATTCAGAGCGTGGTCAGAGCAACAGCAGCATCAGCAGCATCTATTAGAAATGGAGCTTGTTAGAAATGCTGACTCTCAGGCACTGCCCCAGACCTCCTGACTCTGAGTTTGCATTTTAACACAATCCCCCATGATTCTCTTGCACATTACAGTTTGAACAGCACTGATCCAAGGGAGGGGTAAGGTGATAGGAGGGAAGAAAGGAGGTCTCAGAGGTGAAAAAAAGTATAGATAATGAAAGGTCCAAATCTACCAATTCCCCATTCAACTAAGGACACTAAATAATTGTGTGTGCATCCACAGGAGGATGAATGAGACACCCTTTCGAATGAGACACCCTTTCCAGGGCTTTTGCAGTTCCAGGAACCTAAGGCTGCTCCTGTCTGTGGCTCTATGGCTCAGCCAGCCCCGACCCCTCACAGGGCAGCCAGGGCTGTCCCCTGCTCCCTTGCCTGAGGCTATCTACTACGGGGGTGAAGTCAGTGCGAAGCCAGAGGGTTGAAGACGCCCCTTGGCTCCCAGGTCTCCCTGGCTCTCCTTCCCAAGCAGCCAGCAACTGTGCCCATCTGCTCCTGTACAAGGGCCACCAAGGGGAGGGGGATTCCTCCAGATGGCAGCAGGGGCAGTCACTCGGAGCTGCAGGCCTGAAAGGTAGTACAAAAAATGAGTTAAACTGCACCCCCATCCCTTTGGTTGCAGATGATGTAGTAGAGAGAAACAGAGGAAGCAGGGGTGGCACCTGCCAACCCTTCCTCCAGGCTCCCACTGAGTTTGCTCGGCTCTGAAGTTGGTCCTGGCTGCCCTCCCGCTGTTCAGCACTCACCCACATGGTCCTTCCTCTCCAACAATGCTGTCAGAAGACTTGCCACTCTGCTCCCAATATGTGCCTGGCCAGGGGCCAGGGACTGGCTGCCGACCCACTGACTACCACTGAGCCAGACCCATGGCTTCCCCTCCTAGAGCTGCAGCTGGCATTTCCTCTCTGCCCCCTGGTCCCTTTGGGCTGCAAAGGAGCCCTCTGGCTCATCTTAATCTAGGCATGGCTGGGGGCTGCTCTTGGGGTAGGCTTTAAAGCCTTCTTTGCTCCATTTTGCAAGTCAACACCCCGCACACCTGCTCTCTCCCTTCCTCTTCTCTCTGTGTTCATCTCTGATTCCTTCTGTTGTTATTTCTCCCCATCCCACCCCTTCAATCCATTGTTCCCATCTACACATAGATATATGTCAGGATCATGCCTCTCTGAGATATCCTCCTTTAACCTCATATACCCTCCTAGCTACTGCCCTAGTTTCTCTCTCCTAACAGTAAAACTTCTTGGAACAATCATCTTCACATATTCTCTCTTATTCCTGCCTTCCATTAATTCCCTTACTCGCTGCAACTTGACTTCTATCTGCACTGCTCCACACAAACTGCTGGAACCAAGGACCTGTGTCCCCGTATTGTAAATCCAGTAGACACTCCAGTCTTTACACGCTTGACTCCTCAACGGAATCAGACACAGCGACACGTGCTCTGTCCTGAAACGCTCCCATCTCCCTCTCCCATGGCATCCCGGACACCCTGTTTCCTTTCTAGCTCCTTCTTAGCTGCTTGCGGCAGTGTCTCTTTTTCTATCTGATCCATAAATGTTGCAATTTATCTGCACTCAGCTCTTCTTCCTGCCTTCTCTTCCTCAGATTTAGGGCCTAAATGATTTCATTACAGAAAAATGAAGTCATTTTTTTCTAACACATTTCAGTGTGGACTGGGATTCATCGCTAAAGGACAGGCAAACATAAATCTTTCATCTCAAACCATGATAAGTGCTTGGAAGGAAAAATTTAAACAGAAAGACTGGGGGAGAGCCTAACTCGGCCTAATTCACACTGGGGTAGGAGTAGGGCGGCCTCCCGAAGGAAGCAACATTGGAGCTGAGACCTGACGGAGGAGGGGAAGTTGCACAGGTGCAGGGTCAGAGGAGAAGCAAAAGCGAAAGCAAATGAAACAAAACAATAAGTGGTAAAGGCTCACACAGATGACACACATATCCCTACCTTCAACCCAGACCTCTTCTCTATGCTGTTGATTACTTATCTACCAACCCTTCCTACCTTCCGAACATTTCCATTCCGGCATCACTCAGGCATCTCAAAAAGTCTGGATTTCCTCACAGGCACTTGTTTTCTCCCCAGACTTCCTCTGCTGTGTAAATGGCTTCATTTTCCCACCAGTTGTTCAAATAGAAACCTGAGAGTTCTTACCAACTCTTCCTTTCCCTCACTCCGCACATCCAACCCAATGGCAAAACCTGTTCCTTCTACCACTAAAATATATCAAGAACCCATCCACTTGCTCCACTGCCCCCAGCCTGGTTTCAGCCACCATCTGCTCTCAACTGGAAGACTGCAATAGCCCTTCAACTGCACTCCTAACCTTTGCTCAGGACACCCCCCAACCCCATGCAAGAATTAATGTGAACTTTAAAGAACAGGAACTGCTTAAAAATTCTGAAACAGCTTCCCATGTCACTTAAATACAAATCCCCTGGCCCGCACTACAGAGTCCTGTGTGATCTGGCCCCTGCCTGTCCTTCCAACCTCACCTGGGCTGCCTTCCCCTTGCTCACTGGATTAAACTCTTATGGCCATCTTTCAGTTCCTCAAAGCCTTCCCTCTCTTGCAGGCTACTTGTCACAATTTAGGTGACTAAGGCCTATATTTTTCTCTAAAGCATTGAGTTCCCATTCTATGGAGTGGTAGAAACGTATCTCAGCCAACTTGGAGTTTCTTTCCTTCTCTGGCGTTCCTCGACAGTTAAGTTGTGCCAGGTCATTAGGCTGGTGAAGGCCTGTCAGTCTTCCGTCACCTGTCCACAAGGGTGTCCAATGAGACATCTTTTATTCTCATAATTGTAGGTCATTGAGGCACATAGATCACCACTCAGATGAGTTCCTGGTGTCTGTGCCCCTTCACAAATGGTGGGCAATCTCCTTGCGGCTTTCATGTCTCACTTGGGAGCCAGGACTCTGCCTGGCTGTGTAAGAACAGTTTGTTCAGACCCACTGCACAGCTATTTCCCAACCCCACTCCCCACTGGACCTCAGGACAGATGACATCTCTGGTCTCCTCCTGTCCCCTCTACCTCTCCTTCCACAGGCCTGGGGGATATTTTCTAGTCCAGGGGAGACCCTGCTCTCCTCAATCCCCACATCCCCCAAATATTTTGGCTATGACTGGAGTCCTATACAGTTCCCAGGGGGCTTTTAGCCTTTTAGGGACCAGAGCTAGGAAGATTCATTTCTTTCTGTTACATCAACCTTAAAGCAATGGGCACCGAGTGCCAAGCAGCTTGGCCTGAGGGATGGGCAAAGGGGAGAAATAACAGGAAACTAGGACATCAGTAAACATTCAGAAATACTGTATTATCCCACCCCATTTGTTCAATGCCCACCTCTCCCACTCTATTAGTTAGAGTTCTCCAGAGAATTTTATGTATATGTAAAGCCAGATTAAGTCCTTTAGGGGCCCTAAAGCCCCACATAATTTAAAATAAAATAATTACTCAATCATAACTTTAAGAAACTCTTGTAAGTTAGTTTTCTCCAATGATGACTATTTCGATGCTTTGTTTGAGATATCAAACTCTTTCTAAAATTTATTTCTTGCAGGGGAGAGGGAGAGGTTGGCATTTGCTTTGCTGGTGGCTGAATCCCAGGCTTATTCTGCGTTGTGTGTGATCTCATAGTGCCTTCCCTCCGTGGTGGCAGGGGGTCATGGGAAAGCTGGGTAGCAGCTTAGCCCACCTGCTTATGGTAGCCACAGCCTTGACATTCCTAGGAGGCCAGCCTATTATCCACTAATTTAAAAATTAGTTCAACTCATTTCCTTGGAGGAGAAGTAATAAAGCTACTAATCATCTGATCAGAACTTCTATTTCCTTAAGAACTCACGGAATACTTATGACTGATTCATTCCTACATATTTTCTTGTGTTCTTGACATAAGAATATAAGACCAGTCTTATCTGTACATTTCACTTATCCGGCAAGCAGGGTAGGGGAGACTGGGCAAAACCTGAAACCAGAATTGCCTGATCCTTGTCACCTGGTTACATAATGTTCTTGTAACCCAAATAAACTTAATATTGCCCCTTAGAACTTAAAGCATTCAAGGCAAAGTGGACCTTGAAAAGAGTCGATTGTGATTGTAAATAAATCCCAGTAACTACTGCCTTTTCTCTTATTAGCTACTTCTTCAATCCCCATTTTTGCTTCTAGGGCTTGTTAGATTAAAGTATAGTGGTCCCTCAGTATCCATAGGCAGTTGGTTCCAGGATCCCCCCTTGGATACCAAAGTCCCAAGACGCTGAAGTCTCTTATATATAATGGTGCGGTATTTGCATGTAACCTACACACATCCTCCTGTATATTTTAAATCATCTCTAGATTACTTATAACACCTAATACAATGCCTACACAACACTTCATTCATGTGGGTTCAATGTAGTACTCAGTGCATGGCAAATTTAAGTTTTGCTTTTTGGAACTTTGTGGAATTTCCTTTTTTTCCAAATATTTTCTATCCTTGGTGGATTGAATCTATTGATGAGGAACCCATGGATACAGAGGGTCCCAGATGCTACTTGATCTACTCCTTAATCTCTTAACTATGTTGACTGCTATACAAATAATATTCCACTTTGTATAGAAGAGATGTGAGGATGTGAGCTGCACTTGTGCAGCTGTGGTTCCAAAGTTGCAATTAGAAGAAGTTGCCCACCACTTGTGAAGGGGCACAGGCTGTGCAACTGGCCATCTGGGCTGTTTGGGAGCATGGCAAGGACATGGCAACTGCCTGGCTGGCCTCCTAGGAATGTCAAGGCTGTGGCTACCATAAGCAGGTGGGCTAAGCTGCTACCCAGCTTTCCCATGACCCCCTGCCACCACGGAGGGAAGGCACTATGAGATCACACACAACGCAGAATAAGCCTGGGATTCAGCCACCAGCAAAGCAAATGCCAACCTCTCCCTCTCCCCTGCAAGAAATAAATTTTAGAAAGAGTTTGATATCTCAAACAAAGCTTCGAAACAGTCATCATTGGAGAAAACTAACTTACAAGAGTTTCTCAAACTTAAGATTGAGTAATTATTTTATTTTAAATTATGTGGGGCTTTAGGGCCCCTAACGGTCTTAATCTGGCTTTACATAAAGGAAACGCAAGGATAAGATAAAAGGAGGAGTCAACAAGTTAATTCACCAATAAATGTTTAGTGAGTCCCACAGTAGGTGTAATGATGATACAAAAAGCATGTGAACTCTTCCCAAAGCACTTTACTAGTTAGGCCTGTAGGTTATTTGGATGGTGGGGTTGAGGGAGAGTGAAGCTTTTGTAAACCTATACAATGCATGAGAAATAATCTTGAGAAATGGATCGTAAGAACAAAATCAGGCATGAAAGAAAGCTGTTGATGAGAACATAAAAAACCTAGACCAAGGCAAAGAGGGCCTCACTGTGGGTAGAGACACCAACAAGATAACTCCACGTATGTGCCAGACTTAAGTGCAATTGTGGACATACAACAGTAAAACCAACAAACAAACAAACAACACCCCCCACCAATCTCACCCTTATGGAGTTTAATTACTGGTTGTGATGGTAAATTTTATGTGTCAACCTGGCCAGGCCATGGTGCCCAGATATCTGATCAAAAATTAGTTTAGATATTGCTGTGAAGGTATTTTTTTTAGATGTGATAAACATTTAAATAAGTAGACTTTGAGTAAAGCAGATGACCCTTCATAATCGTCTTGGATGGTGGCCTCATTCAAATTGTTGAAGGCAGTAAGAGAAAAGACTGAGATCCTCTGAGAAGGAAAGAATCTGCCTCCTGACTCTGCCTTTGGAATCAAGGCTGCAACATCAAGATTTCCCTGGGTCTCCAGCCTGCCCTACAGATTTTGAACTTGCTAGTCTGCACAATCGTGTGAGCCAATTCTTCAAAATAATCTCTCTCTATATATATATATATAATATATATAATCATATATGTATAATTATATATCCCCACATCCCCCAAATATTTTGGCTATGACCGGAGTCCTCTACAGTTCCCAGAGGGCTTTTAGCCATATATATATAATGTTGTATATTATATATATTATAATATATAATATATATTATAATTATACATATGTAATTATATATATTTTATATATATACACATATATAAAAAAGGCTAAAAGCCCTCTGGGAAGGATAAGACTTTTTTTTTTAATTTTGCATTTGTGAATGTTCCAGGAATTGGAAAGAATTGAACCAGGCAGATTTTAAACATTCACGAGATGATTATATCAATGTGAGTTTGCCTTTGACCATTTAGGGCAGTGGATATACATCAAGTTGTTTTCTTCCCCTACACTGTTCCTTTCTGGAATTTGGGACATGAAATCTAGATTCTATGCAATAATATAGAGCTGAGTTGAGATAAAAAGTTCAGTCAGGACTGAATCCTTAGATCCAGGCAGATAGTGAACAATTTTTAAAGTGGACACAGATAGTGTCTGGTTTTTAAGGTAAATGACCTGTACAATTTGAAGCACACTTTAATTCTCAGTTGTACATTCCAAGTTTCAAAAACAACAATAAAAAACTGAAAAAAGAACTGCAAATCTATTGGCTAAGATAATTTTTTGAAAATAACATACAAAGTAACAAAGAACTGCAAATCTATTGGCTAGGATAATTTTTTTGAAAATAATATACAAAGTAACATGACAAAAACCATATAGTTTCTATAAGAGGCAATTTTATTTACTTGTGTTCAAGTGATGAGGCAAGTAGCTGATAAATTAATTAGATGTTTCAAATAAAGTGGAGATTTTAATTTGTTTCCCTAACTTTGTAGCAGGCAAATTAAATCCTATTTGATGTCTTTATATTCACTAATGAAGAGTGTGTGGTAATGCATCACATATATTCTGGCTGTGCTGTTAATAATGGACATGAGTAACTCCTTAAAATCATTCTTTTTGGAGGCTCTACTGTTGAAAAGAATGAATAATTTTTCTATCTCAAAGCACTCAACAAGAGTTAATGAGGAAAGTAAGAGTGCCATAGGGCTATGTTTGTAATAAAAAGTATCAGCTTCGTGGCGACACCTGCAAAGGTCCCCATATTCTGTAGGAAGTAAAAGAATAGAACCGGGTAATAGTTCACTATTTGACCATATTTGAGCATCTTTTATTTGGAACACAAATGGCTTTCTCTGCTTTCCTGGATCAACATATGAAAAATTTGAGCAAAATATTTTTTTCTTGCCAGTACGTTGAATTTCCAAAAACATCAGTTAAATTCCTAATTGTTGGAATATTACTGTCCCCAATTAAAATGTTTTCAGTTTTCATCCACTTAGGGAAGCAATGAGTAATGAAAACCAATCTCAAAGACAAAGGGAAAAACAATAAGAAAGTCCCATTCCAAATGGAGTCAAGCATCTGGAATTGGGTTAGATTCATTTTTGGTGGGAGACTCTCCCAGACACCTGTCTTTCCATTTCTTTTTGTACTGTGTAACTCCACTGGAGGCTGAGAAGTGCCGGAAAGTGAGGATTCTTCCCACAGGCTAAATATTGGAAGAATCTGTAACACCAAGTGTGGAAAAAGAAAACTCCTCAGTATTCATGCTGTGAAAACTGCAAGGTGAGCCGCTACTGCTGATCCATAAAAACAGGTGAAATCTTATTTCCCGAGGCTTTTTCAGAAAGAAAGAAAGGGTAAAAGGAAGAAAAAAAGGGGGGGAGGGAGGGAAAGAAAGAAGGAAGGAAGGAAGGAAAAAGGAAAGAAAGAGAAAGAAAGAAAGAAAGAGAGAGAGAGAGAAAGAAAGGAAGAAAGAAAGAAGGAAGGAAGGAAGGAAAAAGGAAAGAAAGAGAAAGAAAGAAAGAAAGAAAGAAAGAAAGAAAGGAAAGAAAGAAAGAAAGAGAAAGAAAGGAAGAAAGAAAGGAGAAAGAAAGAAGGAAGGAAGGAAGGAAGGGAGGAAGGAAGGGGAAGGGAGGGAAAGGAAATTATGAGGTACACGGAGCACCAACCAGATGCCAAGTTCATGTAACCAATAGATCTTAGATTCACACTGGGCCCAATCACAGAGGAAGCAATCAGTGGCTAAAGGTGACTAAGCACTTTAGGAAATTATCACCCTGGTTTCTCAAATGGTAGGTCTGATTATATTTTCACATACTGGGTCACGCCTCATGGTGGCACAGCCTCGTCCATGATCACCCCAGAGCTGGTGTGGGCCAGACACCAGAGCCTCCCTGGCTGGAGAAGGACTGTGAGAGACTAATTGTCTATGGAAATGAATGGTTACAGTCACTGGGCTCTCAAAACTGGAATGCAATTTATAAAGCAGAGCATTATTATTCCAAAACCCACATTCTGCAGAGGAAGTGAAACTTCTCCAACTGGTTGGTGAGCTTCTCAGTTGTTTACCTCTGGGCTTCGGTTTCCAAGGGCAACTTATTTCCTAGCCTCGCAGGCCATAGGGAAAGAAATCGAGGGCCCAGGTTACAAAGAGGTATTTGATTTCAGGCACTACCTGGCTTCCCAGAATGCCAGCTTTCACCAGAGTCCATGAGAGGCTGCTCGGGCTGTTCCTGCCTGGGGTCTGAGTTTTCTGGCCCCGTGCTGAGGCAGGCCTCCCCCGCAGACCCTTTCAGATCTACAGCTCTTTCTGATAAACCCAAGACCAGTCCCAACCAAACCAACTGGAAAGGGTCCAGGGTCAATTCTCAAACCCTTTTGGAGACCCTGAGCCCAACCCCTCCCACTTGGGGTGCCTTTTCCATCTCATAAAGGAGTTGAAGAGCAGTCTTTCATTTTTTCTTCCCCTTTGTGTGAGTCCAGGACTTGGAGAAAAGCCTTTCTTCTCCTCAGACCCTCTTTGGAGCAAAGTCCTGGTGGTCTCTTGGATGGGCCAGGTCCCTAAGCTGGGCAGGCAGGTGAGTTCTGGCTGCTGCCCTCATTGTAAGGAAGCATTTGGGTGCCCTCTTCATGACAATACTTGCAGTTAAAATACAGACATCTTATTCAAACAGGAAATTTACATTTTTTGCATTCTTTAGACAGGGCTAAAGGGGGATGCCACAGGAGCAGCAGAGCAGATGAGGAATCTGTGGAATGTGAATGTTTTTCATACTTTTCCCCCTGTTGGTAATCATTTTGTTTCTCTATCCTCCTCATCCCCAGGTGTGCCAGCAGCCCACCTTCCAGAGCCTACCTTCACGCCTCACAAGGAAACAGCTTGGAAAGGACTGGGGCATACCAACATGTTTACGGAATCAGCCTTTGGCATTGGAATAGATCCAGTTTCAAATCTCTAGGCCACTCCATCATTTAACGGATAGAGGTTGGCCAGGCGCAGTGGCTCATGCCTGTAATCCCAGCACTTTGGGAAGCTGAGGCAGGCGGATCATCTGAGGTCAGGAGTTTGAGACCAGCCTGGCCAACATGGCAAAACCCCATCTCTACTGAAACTACATAAAATTAGCCAGGCATGGTGTAGCCATGCGCCTGTAGCCACAGCTACTCAGGAGGCTGAGGCAGGAGGAACACTTGAACCTGGGAGATGGAGGCTGCAGTGAGTTGAGATTGCATCATTGAACTCCAGCCTGGGCAACAGAGCAAGACTCCATCTCAAAAAAAATTTTAAAATAAAGGATAGAGGTAGAAGAGGACTAATCAAAGGGCAAAGAGGAGAATCCAGAAGGCCTGGTGTTAAGAAAGCTAGGAAAAGTGATATTGCCTGTTGCAAAATGGACAGAGAAGGCAGGTAAGTGGACGGGGTCATGAGGGAATCAACTGCAGGAGCTCAGCTGTGAAGGAGAAGAGAGCATTTTATTTTAAAGGAAGATTACTGACCATGTTCCCATACTGCAAGGGAGGGTCCAGAAATGCAGAGAAGAAGAAAAAAGGAATAATGGAGACAGCAAAGGCTCATGAGAGACTGGAGCTAGAGCACCAGTGAGGGCTCTGGGCTGGTGAGAATTCAGCTTTTCTTTGAAAATACAGGAGAGGGCTTGGAAGGTGAGGTGGCTGCAGAAGAGCCTGCAGCTCTGAGGATGAGAATTCAGGGAGTTTGTGAAATAGAAGCTGCTATAGATTGAATGTTTGTGAACACCAGCCCAACTACCAAAATTCTTATGCTGAAGCCTTAATTAATCCACAGTGTGAGACATTGCAAGGTGGAGCCTTTGGGAGGTCATCAGGGTGGAGCCCTCATAAGGAGATTGGTGCCCTTATAAGAAGAAGAAACCAGAGCCCTCTCTTGCTCTGCCAGGTGAGGACACAGTGAGAAGAAGGCCATCTGCAAGCAGGAATGGGTCCTCACTAGGAATCAAATCTGCTGGCACCTTGATCTTGAACTTCCCAGCTTCCAGAACTGTGAGAAATAAATGTCTGTTTTTAAGCTACCCAGTCTATGGTGTTTTATTATAGAACACCATAATTCTATAATAAATTATAGAATTTATTATAGAATTATAATTATTATAAATATTTAATTAATAAATATAAATTATTATTATAGAATAAATTCTACAATTTATTATAGAATTATAGAATTTGCCAACATGGCAAAACCCCATCTCTACTAAAACTACATAAAATTAGCCAGGCATGGTGTAGCCATGCACCTGCATGACTACAGAATTCTATAATTCTATGATAAAATATAGACTATGACTAAGACAGGAGCCTTGGTGGTCTGCCAAGAGAAAGGTGGTCATGGTTGGGGAGGGGACAGCAACACAGCAGTGAGGGTTTAAGATGAGAGAGAAACAGAACAGGAGGAAAGGATGCTGACCAGGGGCCTGTGAGGGGTCACTGTGCTAAGAACCCAGCCGAGGTCAGAGGCCCCAGGTTGTGTAGAACCCAAACCACAAGAGTGTGTATTCCTCTAGCCTCCTTCAGGAGTCCTTGAGTAGGAAGAAAGAGGGAAAATGATTCACAGAGAAAACTGATTCACAGAGAAAGGTTTGCAAGACTGACATAGCAAAAGGAAGGGGAAAGTGGGTTGAGGTTGCTGGCAAGAGTCACAGAAGACACACACATGTATACATATACATACATATATAATTATATAGAATTGTATGTGTATATATAATTACATATGTGTGTATATATATGCTAGAGAGAGAGAGAAGGATTGATCACAAATGTAGAACAGGTCTGAGTTGCTAAAGTGGAGTGGAGTTGAAATTTTTTTTGATAAGGCTCTTATCAAAGAATGCTTCTGGAAGATTAATCTTTTTTTCTGGAAGGAAATAGAGGTAAGTGCACCACTTAGCAGGCTGATGTAATGGTCCAGATCAGAATTAGTAAACACACAGAATGCAAGTTGCAGTGACCCACCTGTGCCTCTGGCAATCGTCACCAATGGACAACCACACTCTGCTGCTGAACTCAAAATCTTTCTCTACACAGTGCTCGGGCAGCCACTACCAATTAGTTGGAATTGGCCCAGGAGATGGAAACTGCTTTCAGTTCTGGTCTGGATGAAAGGTAATAAGCCTGGCCTAGGTTTTTAGCAGCAGGCATGAAGTGACTGCAATGTGGAGCCCACCACAGGGTAAGAGAAAGAACATCTCACAGCCAGCCAGCCTCTGATCACTGGGTTCCCAGAACCCTGAGAGAGCTGAGGGTGGTGCCAGAAACGATCTCTGGACTCAGAATTGCTCTGGGGCACACCCAGAAGGCCAGTTGCTACTGAAGCACCCGAGCTCACCTGGACAGTCTCTCAGAATCCCAGGTCGGTTAGCCTTGGCTGGCTTCGGGAAGTGGAGAATCAGACAAACCACAGATCTCATGACTCAGTGATCTTCCATAAGGGAGTAGATGAGTGTTTCTGGCACTGGCCTGGTAGGAGCTCGTGGGAGGATGCCAATAATTCCCTTTAGTTACTCTGGGTCATGGTGTCCTACTAGCTAGAGCCAGCCTGAGGCCACAAGGAAACAGAAGCAGCTTTGGGCCCATCTCTGAGAAATACCTTTCACTTTATCTAATTCCCTTTCTTTTGGGTGAGCAGCTTCAGCCAGCAGGAAGCTTCATTTCCTTCCTCTCTGCTGGAACTCCTTGGTTCTGGGCCTTTGTTTTTATCAGCCATTGCAAAACTGATCTCTGATTGCACAATATGGGCAATGACATGACAGTGACTGAGACTCATGAATCCCATTAAGCCCAGTGGTGTTAATAGATCAGATATTCATAAAGAGATAGCAGTATTAATCCCTGACTTGTCACCACAACTTCCTTCAGACTGTCATTAATATTAAAAAGAATAAGTCATCGATATGTCATGCTGGTCTGCAGTTGTTTGGGGCCTTTTGTTGTTACATAATGAATGGGTTCCATGTGAAGGCCTCCGGGAGTGGTTTTTGCTGTTTATCTCTTTGTTCATGTTTGTTTATTTGTTTCTCCTTAGGCACTTATCAGAAGAACCAAGAACTGAAGATACAGGAAAAAACTTCTGCAAGTTCAATGTCCAAAAGAGACTAGGATTTAATTGAAACATACAGATCTAGAAAATCAAAGTCTGATTAAAAGAGTTAACAAAAGAAAGCACAACACTAAGGGGTGTGTGTGTGTGAGAGAGAGAGAGAGAGAGAGAGAGAGACAGCAGGGCAGGAGAGAGGGTAAGAGAGCAAAACAGCTTTGCAGGGGCAGGTGATGGTGTGATTTGAAATGCCTATGAGATGCACATCTGGCAGGTCTGAAGCCTGCAAGTAACACATGGAGCAAGTTACCCATCACCCTGGCATTTCCTCAAGTCTAAGCTATATTAGCGTCCAGCCTCCCACACTTTTTTGTGCATCCTAACCTAATTAGTTAAAGATTACATTCTCCTGTGTGAGTGGCAGAGTCTCTTGGGTACAGTCTTTTGGGCTAGGACCCAATAGATAGCAGTGGCTGTGTCATTTTAGATAGCAGTGGGAATTTGGTAATTGATTTAAAAACAAGTCGGCCGGGCTCGGTGGCTCACGTCTGTAATCCTAGCACCTTGGGAGGCCGAGGTGGGCGGATTGCCTGAGCTCAGAAGTTTGAAACCAGCCTGGGCAACACAGTGAAACCCCGTCTCTACTAAAAATACAAAAACATTAGCCGGGCGTGGTGGCATGTGCCTGTAGTCCCAGCTACTCAGGAAGCTGAGGCAGGAGAATTGCTTGCACCTGGGAGGTAGAGGTTGCAGTGAGCCAAGATCGCGCCACTGCACTCCAGCCTGGGCGACAGAGCGAGACTCTGTCTCCAAAAACAACAACAAAAAAACAAGTCAACAGATACACGCAAAAGTTCCCAAGGTGTAGGCCACATTCCAAACAGGGTTTTAATGGCTACCTACAAGTTTCCTAACCCTGCTTCCCCCCAGTTCAGCAGAGGGATCTTTCCTCAGCTAGCAGGCATTAATTGAATACCTATTAATGAATAGGAAGGAGCCATGGAGTAAGACAAGCTGACCTTAGTCAGTTTACAGACTGATTAGGGAGGTAACATGGGGCAGGGGGTGCGTCTGTGAATTGAACTACAATTACTAAAGAGCATGCAAGATGTGCTGGAAAGAAATGTGAGGTCCAGAGTAAGAATGTGACAAGTTTTTCTGAGAACAGCCTATGAACTGATTCTAAAAACGAAGCAATGGATTGTTTTAGTTTTAAAAATAGCTTTGGATTTTTAAATCACAAAATAAATAACAATTTGTTATAGTAAATTAGAAAAAAAACAGGTTTGAAAAAAGTTTAAACTTACAGACCATCCCACCACTGCAAAGCAACCAGTGGGGCATCACCCTGAACCCTGGGCCCCATCTTTTTTTTTTTTTTTTTTTGAGGCAGAGTCTCACTCTGTCACCAGGCTGGAGTGCAGTGGTGTCATTTCGGCTCACTGCAACCTCCGACTCCCTGGTTCAAGTGATTCTCCTGCCTCAGCCTCCCAAGTAGCTGGGATTACAGGCACATGCCACCATGCCCAGCTAATTTTTGTATTTTTAGTAGAGACGGGATTTCACTATGTTGGCCAGGATGGTCTCCATCTCCTGACCTTGTGATCCACCCACCTCGGCCTCCCAAAGTGCTGGGATTACAGGTGTAAGCCACTGCACCCAGCCCCATCTTTATCCACTGCTTTACACTTCCTTCTACCACTCCTGTCTGATCTACTTCATACCTGTGCAGTGTCTTCATTAGATTTCATTTGACCAAATGTTTCTACTGCTAAAGCAAATTTCAAAACTACTGCTAAACACCTGGTCCAGGTAAATTCCCTGACTCTTGCTTTCCCTGCATCATTCTCCTCTGATCAGCCTCCAGTGGCAACCTCCTCACCTTGGCCATTCTGGGCTGTCTTGGTCAGTTCAGGCTGCTATAACAAAATTCCAGAAACTAGGTAGCTTATAAACAATGGGAATTTATTTTTCATAGTTCTAGAGGCTGGGAAGTCCAACATGAAGGTAAATCCTGTGTCTGGTGAGGATTCATCTTCTAGTTGTAATCTCACATGGTGAAAGGGGCCAAGGAGCTTCTTTGGGTCTGTTTTATGAGGGCACTAATCCCATTCATGAGGGCTCCACCCTTGTGACCTAATCACTTCCCTAAAGGCCCCATTTCCTAATACCATTGCCTTGGGGGTTAGGATTTCAATATATGAATCCTAGGGGGACACAAACATTCAGATGATAGCAAGGGCCTTCTGCTTCTGGCTACAGTCCATCTTTACAGCTTGATGTCCCATCACCCTCAACAAGACCCTGTCTCTGGAATGCCATATGCATGTTCTTACTGCCAACCTTTTGCTCACATCTTTCCACCATGTTATGTGACCAACTCTTCTCTTCAAATATCTCCATACCGATTCTATAATCTGAGTTTGCCTAGCTCCACTGACCTATGAATCACAGCAATAGCAGCTCCCCCCATTGCATCTGGCCACACCTGAGTGATGCAGAACCTCTGGGCCCCTCAAAGTCATAGCCAGAAATTTCACCCTGGGGGATGTTTGATGTGTCCTCACAATACCCCACAAATGTGTCTCCTGCCATGTTCTTCCTCTCCTGTTTCAGCCACTCTTACCCTCCTCCCCCTGTTATGCTTCCAGCTGAGGCAGCCACTCCTGCTCAAGCCTTCCATGAATATCATAATGTCCTCTTTCCTGATGACCCCAAGGCTGCACCCTTAAGGTGCCAGCATTGTAGCCCCTGGAGTCCTCAAGGCGCAGGTGCTAGGGATGCCAAGAAACACCACTCACAGCCCTGTAACTAAGATCCTTCCTGAAAGCCACTCCTTTGGCATCTATCCTCTTCCATAGGCTCAGATCAGAGGCCCTTGACTGGCAGGGGCCTCAACAGGCCCCATACTTTCCTTTCCATTCTACTGTCCCTGTGCCATAGAGAACTCTTGACAATTGACTTATGCAAATGGACATCTGATAGCCCAGCTGGCTCGTCAGATGTGCTCAGAAATATTCTAATCCCATTGGTGGAAACAGTTTAGGTTCAAATAGCCAATTCGACTATATACCCTTTTAGATCCTGAGACTCAGTGCCAACCTTCATAAAATCTCTATCTCAGGCTAAATAAACTCACAAGCCTCTGTAGGAGGCATGGTTGTACAGTTGACCCTTAAATAACATGGGGTTAGGGATACCAAACTCCCTTGCAGTCTAAAATCTACATATAACTTTGGAGTCCCCCAGAACTTAACTACTTATAGTCTACTGTTGACTGGAAGCCTTACCAATAACATAAACAATCAATTAATATCTATTTTATGTTATATGTATTATCTACTGTATTCTTACAATAAAGCAAGCTATAGAAAAGAAAACGTTATTAAGAAAATCATAAGGAAGAGAAAATATATTTACTATTCATTAAGTGAAAGTGTATCCTCATAAAAGTCTTTATTCTCATTGTCTTCATATCTTTATAGCCTGAGGAGGAGGAAGAGGAGGGGTTGGGCTTGCTGTCTCAGGAGCTTAAGAGGCAGAAGAAAATCTGCATTTAAGTGGACCTTGAAGTGCAAACCCATGTAGTTCAAGGGTCAAATGTACAATTAATTTGGCAGCTATTCATGTATTTCCTTGTGACAGCTCTTCTTTCTGCAAATTGGTGTTAACATTTTTATTGTACTAAAAAAGATATATTTTAAAGGTATGTCTTTTTTATTTTAAGCATGTTGAGCAAAGAATGGAAAGTCAAGAAAGACAGTCCTCTTCCACCTCAACCCCGAAGAACACAGAGATAGCTTGAATAATTTAAAATTGTCAGTGTTTCATGTTTATGTCTTAGCTCATCATTCATGTAAGGCCCATGGTTTTCATCATGATATCCAGTAGGTACTCAAATACCAGTTGGTTCTGTTATTTTAAGGATGTTTAAGGTCATTATCTGTACCTTAATCAAGATCACAGGAGGTAGGGAGAAGACAAGATAAGACAAAGTAAAACATGGGACAGAAATAAAACTATATAAGCATAGTAAAAATTTCCAGAAGAAAATTTACCTTAGCATTTTGGTGATAGGATAAAATATTTCTAATGTAATTTGCCACTTCTTAGGGATTTCAAAAGCACATACCAAGTATCTAATTTGCCCATTCAACAAATACCTATTAAGTACTTACTGTGTGTCAAATAGGTTCCTAACAAGATAGCCAGCATCCCTCCCCTCCAGAAACTTCCAGTTGGGTGTAGAGAGGCAGAGACTAAACAAGATCATTTCAGACTGTAAGTACCATGGGAAAAATAAACCTAATGACTGGGGAGTGAGGATGAAATGGTCAAGGATGCCTTTTTGAGGAGGTAATACTTAGGCTGAAACAGACTGATGGCAAGTCATCAACCACACATAGTCAAGGAAAGAGCGCTCCCAGGCTGCTATCTACGGGTTGTGAACTGCACACGAACTCCACTTACAAGGACACCAATGGCGCCCCTGGAGTAGTACAGTAGCTCAGGGTGTTCCAAGCATGTTTAAGTTAATTCACTTGTATAATTAATTTGCTCTGCTCAAGTAACCTCGCACATCTATCGACCTGCACTTAGTCCAGCTGGATGCAATGACAATCAAATTAACCACGTGGTAATTCAGACCAGTCAAGAAAATGACCCTCAGCAAATTGCAGGCTGGAGTTGATTGTGCAGTTTGTGACTATGTATATGTTTTTCCACTTCTGGAGACATGGGAGACAAGCCTGGCAATTGACATACTGTAAGTGGGAAAAGCTTGAGATTATTTTTGGAACCAATCCATTGTCTACTCCTGTCTTCCTGATGCCAGGGAAAGGAAATACGAGTAATTGCTGTCCAAGCCGAAAGCTGGTTTTCATGGTGAGAATTCCTCCTTCTTTGGTAATGTTCATATGTGGGGTTTTAAAAATAGCTTTTATAATTACAGACTATACTATTAAAGGTGTGCCACTCAATTAACCATTTGCCTCCATAGCATGGGGATATCCCATAATGACAGGTTAATGGATTCCACGTTTAATAAAAACAAAAGGGACCATTAGAGTTCTAGTAAAGTCAGCAGCATAACTCTTTGCTGGCCATGGATTCCTTGTTAAACTGGCCTCAAAAGCAAATGTATGGAGAGCCTTTAAGATTTCAAACTAGTTTAATGAGTTTCACAGAAATGTTCAAAGGTAGCTTTCCCATCAACTTAGAATTGAGGCAGTGGAAGCTTAAATGGAGTCTTATGTTCACCTCAGAAGTGGGATACTCAGAAACTGACCCCTTGTTCCTTGAATCTCTCAGCTAATCCTACTTCCTCTCTGAACTGTGCTCACCAGTGTTTGAATCCATTTAAGTCAGTTCTGAGGAGGAAATTCCAGGCACTCTTCCCTACATATTCTGGCATGCAGAATCCAAAAGGAATTCTAGGGGGTGGAGGGCTGGCAGGAACACAGAGTGGGATGGGGCAGAAGTAGTGTTCCTGGGGAGGGCCTGGATATAGGATGTCATGCCCAAACAAGGGAAGGAAAAATGCAGGCCACTCTGGCAGGTAGGGATATTCAAGGGCTGCCAGTTGCAAGAAGCAGGATGGGGTGTTCATCCACCCGTGCCAGGGGGAGCAGGGTTATTCTGGGATATCCAATTCAAAATAGGTGGAAAAATGGGTCAGGGCTCAGGACCTAAACAATGAGGGCTAAAGGACCAGAAGTCTCCAGATAGCTACCTAGAGTATGTTTTCAAACTTTTGTGTGAATATGAGTCTCACAGAAAATGCAGATTCTAATTCAGTTGGTCTGGGGCTCTACATCTCTAACACATTCTTAGGTCATGCTGCTGCTGCTGGCTTATACACCACACTTTGAATATCAAGGGGATAGAGTATAGGTTAAGGTGTCTCCTTCTTTTTCTCCTAAACATCATGGTCCCAAGAGGAAGGAGAAAGCCTTGTACTCTACAGCCTGGGCAATAAGACTGCTACTGCCCAATAACACTGCTGAGAAGACACATCAGCCCCCACTGATCAGGGGAGCAGTCAAAGTCCTCTTGTTAATTCCAGGGCAGAAGCTGAGCAACTGGCTACTGGAAGAGACTCACAGCAAAAAACAGCCCAAAACAATGGGCAAAAGAAAGGTCATATTTGGTGAGTCCAGGGAAGAGGCTTAAGTCTCTACCCCTTTTTAATGCTTTGAAAAAAAGGATCTCTCATCACCCACACTATGGTCAGTGCTTTGAGTAAGGTCCCTCTACAGAGTGAGCCTCAGAGTATGCTGAACAAACACTGTGACCCAGGCCAGCAGACAGGGTTGAGGGGCTACTGCTCTCTCATAGTAATCTAGGAAAATATAGAGGGAAGATTTCTTCCGCGGCTGCTTTCCAGGAGCTCTAAATTGGGTACTGTGATGGTTAGTTTTATGTGTCAAATGAGCTAGACTATAGTACCCAGTTGTTCAATAAACACTAGTCTAGGTATTGCTGCGAAGGCATTTTGTAGATGTGATCAACATCCACAATCAGCTGACTTTGAGTAAAGGAATTATTCTTGATCATTTCTATGGGCCTCATGTAATCAGTTGAAAGTTTTCAGAGAAAAACTGAGGTTTCTCCAAGGAGAAGAAATCCACCTGTCAATTGCAGCTCCAGCTCCTGTGGGAGAGTTTCCAGCCCTCGGGCCTGACCTATAGATTTCAGACTTGTCAGTCCCCACAATCACACAAGCCAATTCTTGAAAAACTTTTGTAATGTAGAGTTGATCCTCATTATCGATGGATTATGTATTTGGAAATTTGCCTACTTTCTAAAATTCATTTGTAACCCCAAAACCAATACTTGCAGTGCTTCCGCAATCAATCACAGACATGCTCAAAGCAGTGAAAAGTTTAAGTCACCCAATGCACAAATTTTTCAGCTGAAGTCAATTGAGGCAGCACTTTCATGTTTCAGCTCTCATACTGTAAACAACTGTCCTTCTCACAGTTCATTTAGTGCCATGATTTTCACATTCTTGTGCTTTTTGTTGGTGATTTCATTGTTTAAAATGACCCTTGAGTGTAGTGCTGAGGTGTTGTCTGGTGTTTCTAAGCACCAGAAGACTGTGATGTGCCTCACAGGGAAAATACGTGTGTTAGATAAGCTTCATTCAGGCATGGGTGGTAATGTTTTGGCCATGAGTTCAATGTTAATGCATCAACAGTATATATTAAATAAGGTGTCTTTAAACAGAAACACACATAAAACAAGGTAATATCTTGATCAGTTGATGAAAATGTTGTGACCAGAGGTTCATAGGAACCTAACCCTGTAGATCCCCTAGGAGCAATGGTTCAGCATTTGCTATTTCAATGTTTGTGACAGCTTTATAGAACACTGCTATCACGAATAGCAAGAACTGACTTGGGTGGGGGTGTGTGTGTGTGTGTCCTGCTGGTTCTGCTTCCCTATGTTCCGCTTCCCTCTGCTTCCCTGGTAGCCCCCTTACTGATGCAGATGCAATACTGCCCTTTCCTCTAGGTCTGGCTATGCCTAGCACAGATGACAAGGGTGTTATGTCCTTTCTGTATTCAGATCCTCGACAATACTCTGCAGATGGAGGGGAGGAGTCCATGTACAAACCTCCTAGTGAATGTTAACATTCCCTTTAACAAGGAGAGTTTTTCTCTTACTAGTTCAGATTTAGGAACATAAAATATATGCAGGACTAGTAATTTGGATGTTATTCCATCTCTCTGATACAGTAAGAAGTAGGCTAGACTAGATAATGACTGGAATGCATTTCAGCATTTTTAATGCAATTTGAGTGATGAGTCCCAAATTACTTTTTCAGTGTAAACCAATCAAGTATATTCTAGTTTGAGTGTCTTTACCAAAAATAAACTTCTTTATGAATGTATAAAAAGTAATTAGACTGTCTCCAAGACATTGAGCCTATTCCCAAAGGGGGAAAGAAGCCAGCATGTCTCAGAGAAAAAGGAAAGCATCAATTCAACAAGCCCACTGCCCTTCCTCTCCCCACCCTAGTGGTCAGTTTTCATTTTCTTGGGCTGTAGTTATGATTCCAGCTTGCCTGGCCTGCAGCTGCAGGCTTCATTCCTAATTCCAAACTTATTGTCTTCCATGTTGCGCTGACTGCCACAGGAGGGTCTGGGTGAGAGAAAGTAAGGTCTTAGCTCAAATCTACCCCGCTCCTGAGACACCATGCATGCTCACTCCCTCCATGGGCTGGGTCCACAGCCCAGCTCTGCAGCGCGTGCCCAACACCTGAATGGGCCTTCAAAGGCTTACAAATAATTCTCTTTTTACTTCAAGAACATGTCACGACTAAGAATAAGCACCATGCATCAGCCACCATTGATCCTGAAATAAAATGCTGTCTGGACAAAAAAGAAAAAGCTTCTTTTATGCACTGATCCTAGGAAATCAGACCACCATTCACTTCACAGACCGTCTGCAATGTAATTCAACTGTCAAAGAGTGTTCAAACAAACAGAGGAAGGGGAGAGCATAATACAGCCTGAAATTTACTTGTATTCAAAAGTATTTCCCTTTAATGTTTAGCAACTTCTACAATATGAGTAGTACTGTAAGATGCTAGATGGTAGAATGGCAGCTGCCTTTTCCTGTAACTACGTAATTGATATACTAAATAAGAATGATACACTAAATCAAATGAAAATGAATGAAAAAAAGTGTCACCTCACCACCATGAAATAAAAAAGTGTAGAAATATATGTAGTAAACATATTGAGTCAAATATTCTCCACTCATCAAAAAATGCCTAAATGGCTAAACAGGACTAGCTCTTATGAAACTTGGCTTTGAGGGTCCACCGTGGCTCTTTGCTCCACATCTTCACACCCTACTGGTCACTTCCCCTTCTGGTACACTAGATGCAAGATGCTCCTTCTCTCCTCCTCCTTGTCTGGCTCTCAGCTGGTTGCCCACTTTGAGAGGATTCAGTTGAGTCAAGGGGCCACAAGCAGCCCACCTCCTGCTGTTTTAAATAAAATTTTATAGAAACACAGCCATGCTTATTTGTCTGTGTACCATCTGTGGCTGCCTTTCATCCTACAAAGACAGGGCTGAGCAGTCGCAACAGAAACTTTATGGACCATATGCCTAAAATATTTACTTTCTGATCCTTAACAGAAAAAGTTCCCCATCCCCTGAATAAAGCCCTTCACATGAAAGTATAGCACTTTTAAAAGTTACTCCTCCAGGGATGACTTAAATTTTAATAGGGAGATAATTTTCTTAATCTAAAGGAATTAATGGCTAATAACAGAATTTTGGTCATTAGCAATGGAATACTTTAGAGGTATTTTGGGGTTGGGGAATTTCTTAAGCTTAATAGCTATCTATACTTCACCTGCCCATCACCCAAGTTTCAGACCTACCTATGGAGTATTTTAATAAAATCGAGAGGGTTATTAGGACGTGGAGAAAGACTCAAAAGAGAGGTTGGTCTGAAAGGAGTTTGAGAGTGCTAAAGATGGCAGCACTTGTGGGGTCAAAAACACACAACCCAGGAGATTGCCATTTGTCTCAGTCTCACCCAAATGTTTAGTCTTATTCATAAATTTCACAAAGATATTATATTGAACTTCACAAAGTAAAACTTTTTTTTATAGCACATAGATATTCTCTCTGAAGTCCCCATGAGTAGTGTTATTTATCTCTAAAGAAGTCTCTCACAACAAAATAGCAACAGAGAGCACGGTGCAGCCTTGTTTCCAGAATGCTGGGGCTCACTCCACACCAGCATTATTAAGTAGACTTAGCAAGACTTTGAAGTAGCCACTGCACAAAGAAAACAAGAACATCTGGTTTCCCATCCCGAGGTGAATCAGAGGCTAAGCATGCATAGGAAGTAATAATCGCTTCTAACATTTGCATTTGTTCAGGATATTACAGCTCACAGAAATGTTCGCCAGAGCGTTCTTTTGTTTAATCCTCAGGACGATCCCTGAATGTGAAAATTTTCATCCCCATTTACAGGTAAGGAAATGAAGGTTCTAAAGTTTGGGTTAAAAGGCTCACCCTAGATAAAACTGCTCTTGGAGATGGAGTCAGAGCAAAAACTCAGGTCTTCTGAGTTGTCTCTGGGTAGAGGGTTTATTCCCTAAGTCCATGCTGGAGGGAGTCTCAGGTCTCATCAAGAGCAGAGTAGGTCAGCACAGTCATTCACCCAATTCTTGAAGGCCACGGTTTTGTTTCTCTTTAGGTACAAGAGTGGTAAGCAGCAACCTAAAACAGGAACGGGCTCCATTCAGGTATGTGCATGAGCTACCTTGCTGGTACCAGGATGCACTGCACATTGCTCCTGGACCCTCCTGGGATGGTGGTCACATACCACTAGCACCTTAAGAGGCCTTTCTGCAAACTAGAAGGCAGACCAGTTCCGCAAAGATGCTCCTTCCCATAGCTGACCCAGTCCTGAGCCAGGTGCAGCTCAGCAAGCCAAGCAGGCTAGATCCAGCCCCTGCTCAAGCCCTTCATCCCAGACAAGCCACCATCTCCAGGCACAGCCAATACAAGCGTCAAGTGCCCACTCAGTTCAAAGACCTCTCCTCTCCAAGAAGGGATGTTTCTTAAAAGAAAGAAAAGCTTACTGAGAAGAACTGAATCCATACAATAAACACTACACAGTTTACCAAGAAGGTCACAGCCACCATCTAATCTCAGCATGGTTTGGGTGGTGATGACAGCCCTTCTGAGCTTGAGAACTGCGGCTGGTTGCAGTTCAGGCCATCTCCTTCCCGCCTGGTTCTCCCTCTTGGCTAAGCTCCTTTCTGTATCCCATTCAAGCCATTTTCCCCATTAATTTAGGTGCTACCATGTTTAACAGGAACATCCTTGAATCAGAGGGCACATATAGCTAGCAGAGGGGTGGAATTATTATTGGTGAGTGGGTGGGTAGCTGTCCCCTTCCGCATGTTTCTGTCACACTCTGACAGGGGATCCTGCTGGGATAGAGTGCCTCTTCCAGGCCCAGACCTTTCCAGGAGGGCATCTGACATCACAGCATGCTGGAGCTCTTCCTGCTCCTCCTCTAAATGTTCTCGGGAGCCCACATCATCACTTAGGTCAGGGGGCAAAGTCCAGCTGAGCTCATTAATCATATTAGAGTCACCTTTCCTGCTCAGGGATCAGGAGCAGCAAGAGCTCACAATCTTCTTTCGAGTAGTTTTTTCATAGATTTGAAGGAAGAATGGATCCAAGAGCAAAACAACAGCTTCAATTAAGCCTGGGAGACTAGAAAAGAAGGTCTACTGAGAGTGCAGCTGGGAAAAGCAGGAGAGTTAGCTGGGGTCCTAGCTGATCTCAGCCACACCTCTGTCATGTGTCACGACTGAGCAGCACTGAGAACAAGACCTCAAGGCAGGCAGGTAGAAATGGACCCTCAGACTAAACGTTCAATAGACACTAAATATATTCAATTTACAAAGCGCCCTGCTAACATTTATATGGTGTGCCATGTCTTTCCAGTCCCACTCTGATGGCTACCACCGTGGTCCACAGGAGAATTGTTGAGCAAGTGGAATTTGCCTTCAGTAACTTCCTAGCACCTCTTCTACACACTTCCCTTTAAACTCTATTTTCTCCCATATTCAGATTTAGGTTTTAATTATCTTGTTACTGGATGTGGGGTTTAGTTACCACTTTTGTGACAATATCATATGGTGGCTTTAGATCCCTAATTATTAACTTTTGATAAATAATGAGGTATCTAGAGAACGCTGAAATTTGACAGTATTTTCAGGAGTATATCCCACTCCAGGTTAGACTGTACCTTTGTAGTATTTACTCCCATCAATTCAGCCAAAATTATGTAGGTAAAATATAGCCAAGGTATGTTTATTGATGATATAAGAGTTATTAAAACAATTAATAACAGGTTTATGGTTTTTGAAATGATTATACATAAAACAGCCTTTGATCCTGTGTCAATTCTCTTCAAAATATATTAATAAATATTCTTAGCCAATAGACCTTTGCTCCAAGAGTAGGTTTACACTACCGAAAGCCACTGATGCCACAAAATTACCTAATTTTTACCATCAGCAAGGAAAGGGCTTTTAATTTCCCACAATAGAAATACTAAGAAAAAACTCATTCAATGAATGTTTTGGTTTGGGGACAATTTCACAGGGTGAAGATGGGAGGGCCTTGCCCCAGCATTGACCGTGTGGATTAACCTCCTGTAACTCATACAGTTCACAGACTCCTCTCCTGCACAGACACCCGCAGCACAGCCACTTGCATTTGAAACCCACCAGGTTCCAGGAAAGGCTTGTGACCGACAGGTCAGTGCGCTAAAGCTGTGAGCCAACAACAGGGACTTCCACTTCTGCTTTCCGAGATCAAGCTGTCTCGGGAAAATGCTGACGCGTCTCCACTTCTCTTCCTGTCTCTGTCTTCCTGTTGATCTGTGTGTGCTTTTATAGCTTTATCACTTAACACTTGTTCCACTTCATCCCAAAAGAATAAAGGAGATGAGTAACGAATTCAGACAACCTGCTAGTCCCAATTCAGTTGAACCCCTCTTAAGGCAGCCAAGAGTAAAAATCTCAGATTTTAAAAGATGATGGGCACATTATGAAGTGATTATTCACACTACAAAACAGTTTTTAGAACCCAGAATGATAAAGCTGAAAAGGGATCTTAGAAATCTTTCATTACACTCACCCTCTTTTATAGATGAGACTACTAAGCCCACAGAGGGAAAATGACTCGGCCAATGACCCTCTCATTCTTAACTCATTCTTTGCAGAAAGGGAAGTTTTGCAACCGGAACTCTAAATTTTTAGAGAGATTAAAGTATGATTATTGCCCAGGTGCAGGGGCTCACTCCTGTAATCCCAGCACTTCGGGAGGCCGAGGCAGGCAGATGGCTTAAGCTCAGGAGTTCAAGACCAGCCTGGGCAACATGGCAAAACCTTGTTTCTACATAAAATATAAAAATTATCCGGGCATGGTGGCACACACCTGTAGTCACAGCTACTTGGGAGGCTGAGGTGGGAGGCTCACTTGAGCCCCAGAGGCAGAGGTTGCAGTGCATCAAGATCATACCAGTACACTCCAGCCGGGGCAACAGAGCAAGACCCTGTCTAAAAAAAAAAAAGTATGATTTTATTTAAAACTATTTAAATTAGACACACATTCCTAGGAAAACACTATTACATGTACTGAGGGACAATGGCTTGTGAAATGGAGTATGAATGCATGTGGTACCACATTTATATATGTGGTTCCATACTCTAGAATAACGAAAAACATTCCACATTCACATTTGTTTTAGTATTTCCTATTAACAACTTGTGTTTGGAATAAATACATGTTATTAACAGAATCATCCAGATAGGCAATTAATGAATGTCCTGAGGGTATATAATGACACAAATATATTTGAAAGCCTTGAGAGGAGACAAATTACTAACAAGGTCAGGGCCACTTCATTTGCCCTTGATAGCCTTGTGTGAACACACCCTCAGCCACCTTCTGAACACTCTCCAGGTTCAACTTCTACAACCTGCCTCTGTGATTTATCAGGTAGCAGCTGTGTGAGCAACTAGCCGTGTGCACGTGGGCACACACACGCACCCATACACGATGCTCCTAGGAACAAAACCTGGCACAGAATCTTAACTGAATTCAATAGAAAAAAATGATTTTTTTTTTTTAACTTGGTGCAGGCATCCTTCTGAGGGCCACACTGTCACTCTGGGCTTTTGTCCTGGCTGGCTCCTGATTTTTCAATGCATGCTGAAAACACCACTCCTGCACACATACACCCGGAGGCAGCTTTGGCTTGCTGCCACCTGCCCTCACTGTATTAAGAAATGTGGATCCATTGCTATTATGGAGCCTGAAGCAGAGCCAAGAAGAAATCTCAAAGGACCCACTCCCTAGACATATGTGAATAGAATAAAAATGAGACACAAATGATAGCACGAAGCCTCCAGCACTCTATGGACAAAGTGAGGGGCTGTGTTGCAGGTCAGGAGAAGGTTCTTGTTCTTGGGAAAGAAATAAAATTAAAATATGGCTATCCTTTACATAAGAAGTTCCTTCAGACCTATCATCAACAGAGGGGGTCTTTTTCTGTTGTTTTCCTCCAAGTAGGAGTTGGAATTTCTTAAAGCAAAGATATACATTCAAGGCTGAGTTTAGAGGTGTCTCCATGACTGCATACCAAGGGTTCCCAGCCTGCTGATCAGATAATAGAGGAATCAATCTCATATGCTCATTTATACTAAAGTGTTAAAGATTTGATGTGTTACTTCTCCCAGAGGTAGTTACTTTACAAAGGCCCATGGATAGAAAACAATATTTAACCTAAAGGAATATACAGAACTTCAGATACCAGAATTTCAGGTAGAATTTCAGGCACCGGAGCTTTTTAACCCTACCGAGGAAACCATTTATTAATACATGGTGTATCTAAACATATCTGTCTGATGCAGTGACAGAAGAAAAAGAGTGTCATACAAAGCAAACCTACAAGAGCAAGTCATGGCTTCTGCTATTTTTTCTTTCTCTTTCCCTTATCCATTCTAACCCCATAATGGTTCCCGCAACCTCATGTCTCTGATTCCACTGTCCCATGTGATTGAACCAGTTGTGAAGATTCAGCAAAGCGTTTCTCACCATTTCATTTGTAAAGATAAACCCAGTGCTGAGATCATTGCAAAATGAAATTAGAGGTCAAAAACAATGTTACAGAATAGAACAAAATGGCAAACATTCAGGCGGAAATGTTAGGCTACACAAGAGCTAGCACAAATAGTGCACAAAACTGCAGGAATCACCAATGTTTTTATGACAAAGGAGGCATTTAAGCTAATGATTTAAGCTAATTCCACTGCAGTGTGGTCCCAAGGGCAGGGCAAGAAGATGGGTCCACCCCCCAGGGCAGGCAATCAAGGGGTCCATGGCCTGGAAGGGACTTAAAAACAATAATAAAACCCACTGAAAGCCAGCGTGCTTTTTATTATCACCACTGCAAGCAATTCTAAACAATATCAGTGATAAACTGCTCTCCCCAACACCAAAAAAAATGTTTTGTTGGTCTAGGTTCTACACAATCGCTGAAGTTGCAGTTGAATTTTAGGAATATAAATGTATGCTTCAACTCAGCACTTTTTAAAATTGTGCCTTCCTTAGTAAACATTGCATTCTACATGGGAGTTGATTCAGAGAATTAACTCCATGCATTTATTTTGAGAGTAAGTACAAAACAAAGCTTGCTTTGGGCACAATTCGTGTCTCAGCCTCCCTGGTACTGTACTACATATTCCCGTTTTCAAACAATTGATTGAAATAAACAATGATAGCTCAGCGATGGTAAAGACAAACAGAACTTGAGTTACTTCAATTCTGTCATTCTATGTGACTGCCGGAGTTTTTTATTGTGTTTAAATTTTCTGGAATTTATTGTGAAATGAGATTTTACGTATTTCTGCCAAATGTATCCTTATGTTTAAGGCTTTTTCTTACTTTTTTAATCTGTTCCTTCATGTGAAAGTAAGCTTTCAAAATAAAATTAATGAAAAATGTTCCTTGATCAAAGATAGATAGAAACTTCATGAATATGGGAAGAAAAATAACTCTGACAAAGTCATTGACAAATTTGCAGAAGTTAATCACAAAAACAGAAACCAAAAAATCACTATTCATGACTGTGAAATTTCATGCGTGTCCGTGTGAAGAGACCACCAAACAGGCTTTGTGTGAGCAATAAAGCTTTTAATCACCTGGGTGCAGGCGGGCTGAGTCCGAAAAGAGAGTCAGCAAAGGGAGATAAGGGTGGGGCCGTTTTATAGGATTTGGGGAGGTAAAGGAAAATTACAGTCAAAGGGGGTTTGTTCTCTGGCGGGCAGGAGTGGGGGGTCGCAAGGTGCTCAGTGGGGGTGCTTTTTGAGCCAGGATGAGCCAGGAAAAGGACTTTCACAAGGTAATGTCATCAGTTAAGGCAAGGACCGGCCATTTACACTTCTTTTGTGGTGGAATGTCATCAGTCAAGGTGGGGCAAGGCATATTCACTTCTTTTGTGATTCTTCAGTTACTTCAGGCCATCTGGGTGTATACGTGCAAGTCACAGGGGATGCGATGGCTTGGCTTGGGCTCAGAGGCCTGACATTCCTGCCTTCTTATATTAATAAGAAAAATAAAACAAAATAGTGTTGAAGTGTTGGGGCGGTGAAATTTTTGGGGGGTGGTATGGAGAGAGAATGGGCGATGTTTCTCAGGGCTGCTTCAAGCGGGATTAGGGGCGGCGTGGGAACCTAGAGCGGGAGAGATTAAGCTGAAGGGAGGTCTTGTGGTAAGGGGTGATATTGTGGGGTTGTTAGAAGAAACATTTGTCATATAGAATGATTGGTGATGGCCTGGATACGGTTTTGTATGAATTGAAAAACTAAATGGAATAACAGAAGGAGAAAAACAGGTATAAAAGGTCTAAGAATTGGGACGACTCAGGATGTCTGATTAGAGAGTGCTTAAGGAGATTCACCATAGTCCTGCCAGGAAAGATTATTTATTTACTTCAAGAGTTAAGAGTGGCAGTTTGGGGATAGCACCAGGAGATATCAGCTGTGATGGCTTGGAGAAATAGTGTAAACTGGCAGTGTAGACAAGAGCAGGGCATGTATGAGTAGTTGAGAACGGTGAATACGAGTATGAACTAGACAGAAAATAGTAGGGATGACAAGTTTGTTTGTTTGTTTGTTTGTTTTGAGGCACAGTCTAAGTTGGTCTGGTGTCTGGAATGAGACTGGGGCCTAATAAAAAGGAGCGTCTATACAGGAGCTTAAATGGGCTGTGCCTTGTAGCATTCCGAGGACAGGCCTGAATTCTGAGAAGGGAAAGTGGTAAAAGTATTATCCAGTCCTTTTAAAGTTGGTGGCTGAGCTTGGTGAGGTGTGTTTTTAAAAGACCTTTAGTCCATTCTACCTTTCTTGAAGATGGAGGACCATAAGGGATATAAAGGTTTCACTGAATACTAAGAGCCTGAAAAACTGCTTGGCTGATTTGACTAATAAAGGCTCGTCTGTTATCAGACTGTACTGAGGTGGGAAGGCTAAACTGAGGAATTATGTCTGACAGAACGGAAGAAATGACTGCGGTGACCTTCTCAGACCCTGTAGGAAAGGCCTCTACTTATTTTGAGGGCCTCTAAAAGTATTAAAGCAGCGGCAGCCACTGCACACAGACTTGAGGGCTAGGCTAAAACAGTAAGGTCAAGTTGTTTGGACAGAAAGGCATGCCTAGGAAGGAAAGGAGTTGTTGTTTTGTAGAAGGTGCTTGGGTTTGAGAGATCAGTTGGACACGATTGGCAGGGAGAGCACGTGTGTTTTTATGAGAATTATGCCGAGATAGGTAACAGATGAGGAGGAAATCTGGGCTTGATTGAAGTAATGGGGGCTGTCTGTGAAGCTTTGCGGCAGTACAGCCTAGGTAATTTGCTGAGCTTGATGGGTGTCAGGGTCAGTCCAAGTGAAAGCGAAGAGAGGCTGGGATTAAGGGTGCAAAGCAATAGTAAAGAAAGCAGGTTTGAGATCTGAACAGAATAATGGGTTGTAGAGGCAGGTATTGAGGATAGGAGAGTATATGGGTTTGGCACCACAGGGTGGATAGGCAAAACAATTTGGTTGATAAGGCGCAGATCCTGAACTAACTTGTAAGGCTTGTCTGGTTTTAGGACAGGTAAAATGGGGGAATTGTAAGGAGAGTTTATAGGGTTTAAAAGGCCATGCTGTAGCAGGCGAGTGATAACAGGCTTTAATCTTTTTAAAGTGTGCTGCGGGATGGGATATTGGCGTTGAGTGGGGTAAGGGTGATTAGGTTTTAATGAGATAGTAAGGGGTGCATGATTGGTCGCCAAGGAGGGAGTAGAGGTATCTTATACTTGTGGGTTAAGGTGGGGGGATAGAAGAGGAGGACGCAAAGGAGGCTTTGGATTGGGAAGAAGGGCGGCAGTGAGATATAGCTGTAGTCCAGGAATAGTCAGGGAAGCAGATAATTTAGTTAAAGTGTCTCAGCCTAATAAGGGAACTGGGCAGGTGGGGATAACTAAAAAGGAGTGCTTAAAAGAGTATTGTCTAAGTTGGCACCAGAGTTGGGGAGTTTTAAGAGGTTTAGAAGCCTGGCCATCAATACCCACAACAGTTATGGAGGCAAGGGAAAGAGGCCCTTGAAAAGAGGGTAATGTGGAGTGAGTAGCCTCTGTATTGATTAAGAAGGGGACGGGCTTACCTTCCACTGTGAAAGTTACCCGAAGCTCGGCGTCCGTGATGGTCTAGGGGTCTTCCGAGGTGATCGGGCAGTGTCAGTCTTCAGCCGCTAAGCCGAGAAGATCTGGGAAGGAGTCAGTCAGAGAGCCTTGGGCCAGAGTTCCAGGGGCTCTGGGAGTGGCTGCCAGGTGAGTTGAACAGTCCGATTTTCAGTGGGGTCCCACACAGATGGGACACGGCTTAGGAGGAATCCCAGGCTGCGGGCCTTCCTTGGCCCAGTGGCCAGATTTCCGGCACATGTAGCAAGCTCATGGGGGAGGAGGTTCTGGAGGAACCCCTGGCAGCTGCGGTTCAGGCGTTTGGAAGTTCTTGTGTGCTGGAGATGTGGCTGGGGTTTGTCTCACAGTGGAGGCAAGGAATTGCAACTTTTTTCTATTATGGTACACCTTGAAGGCGAGGTTAATTAAATCCTGTTGTGGGGTTTGAGGGCTGGAATTTAATTTTTGGAGTTCTAATGTCGGGAGAAGATTGGGTAATAAAATGTATTTTGAGAATAAGATGGCCTTTTGACTTTTTAGGGTCTAGGGCTGTAAAGTGTCTCAGGGTTGCTGCGGAACAAGCCATGAACTGGGCTGGGTTTTTATATTTGATGAAAAAGAGCCTAAACACTATCTGATTTGGGATAAAGAAAAAGGAGCATTAACCTTGACTATGCCTTTGGCTCCCGCCACCTTTTTAAGAGTAAATTGCTGGGCAGGTGGGGGAGGGCTAGTCACAGAACGAAACTGTAAGTCGGACCAGGTGTGAGGAGGGGAGGTGATAAAAAGATTACAGGGTGGAGGAGCGGAGGCTGAGGAAGAATTGGGACCTAGCTTGGGCTGGCGAGGAGGGGAGAGGTCAGATGGGTCTGTAGAAAAGGAAGATTAGAAAGACTCAGCGACGCTTGGGGTTGGTACTGAGGGGACAGGCGGGAGGGAAAGAAGGAAGATTTGGGATGAGTTGCACTGGTCACAGAGACTAGGAAGGGACTGATGTGTAAAAGAATGCCTGGACATCAGGCACCTCAGACCGTTTGCCTATTTTACAACAAGAATTATTTAGATTTTGCAGGATGGAAAAATTCAAAGTGCCATTTTCTGGCTATTTGGAACTACTGTCGAGTTTGTATTGGAGTCAAGCGGCATTGCAGAAGAAAATAAGGCATTTAGGTTTTAGGTCAGGTGTGAATTGAAGAGGTTTTAAGTTTTTGAGAACACAGGCTAAGGGAGAAGAAGGAGGAATGGAAGGTGGAAGCTTACCCATAGTGAAGGAGGCAAGCCCAGAGAAAAGAGTAGAGACATGGAGAAGGGGTGGGGGGTTCTTGCCCTCTAGAAAAGCAGAGAAGGGGTTGGGGCACGGAAATAAGGGATTGGGGCACAGAGATAAGAGGTCAGGGTGCGGAAATAAGGGATTGGGGCACAGAGATAAGAGGTTGGGGCGTGGAAATAAGCGATTGGGGTGCAGAGATAAGAGGTTGGGGTGCGGAAATAAGCGGTTGGGGGGTTCTTGCCCCCTAGGAAAGCGGGACTTGCCACTGAGCGTGAAGGAGAAGGGGTTGAGGGGTACTTGGCCCTGCCCCAGGAAAGCAGGACTTGCCGCTGAGGGTGAAGGAGAAGGGGTTGAGGGGTACTTGCCCCTGCCCCAGGAAAGCGGGACTTGCCGCTGCAGGTGAAGAAGGGGTTGAGGGGTACTTGCCCCTGCCCCAGGAAAGCGGGACTTGCCGCTAAGGGTGAAGGACCAAGGCAGGTGTCCCTGCGTGGTCTGACACCCTTGAAACGTGAGTGTATAATCAGAGAGGCGTCCCTGCAATGATTAAACACCAAGGGAAGGCTGCCTTCCGTGACCGGCGCCGGAGTTTTGGGTTCATGGATAAAACGTGTCTCTTTTGTCTCTACCAGAAAATGAAAGGAATTGAAATTAAGAGAGGGGAGAGATTGAAGTGTGGCACCAAGATTGAAAGGAGAAAGAGGTTGAGGGGTAGTGAGGGACGTTGGAGAAGAGAGTAAAAAGAGGCTGCTTACTGGATTTGAAATTGGTGAGATGTTTCTTGGGCTGGTCGGTCTGAGGACCTGAGGTCGTAGGTGGATCTTTCTCACGGAGCAAAGAGCAGGAGGACAGGGGATTGATCTCCCAAGGGAGGTCCCCCGATCCGAGTCACGGCACCAAATTTCATGCATATCCATGTGAAGAGACCACCAAACAGGCTTTGTGTGAGCAATAAAGCTTTTAATCTCCTGGGTGCAGGCGGGCTGAGTCAGAAAAGAGAGTCAGCAAAAGGAGATAAGGGTGGAGCCGTTTTATAGGATTTGGGTAGGTAAAGGAAAATTACAGTCAAAGGGGGTTTGTTCTCTGGCAGGCAGGAGTGGGGGTCACAAGGTGCTCAGTGGGCAGGAGTGGGAGTCGCAAGATGCTCAGTGGGGGTGCTTTTTGAGCCAGGATGAGCCAGGAAAAGGACTTTCACAAGGTAATGTCATCAGTTAAGGCAAGGACCGGCCATTTACACTTCTTTTGTGGTGGAATGTCATCAGTCAAGGTGGGGCAAGGCATATTCACTTCTTTTGTGATTCTTCAGTTACTTCAGGCCATCTGGGCATATATACGGGCAAGTCACAGGGGATGCGATGGCTTGGCTTGGGCTCAGAGGCCTGACATGAAAGACCAATATGTAGGTATAAGTTTTCATCCCTTTATTCAAAAAATACACTAATGAAACTAAAAATATTATACTATAACTTTCTTTCCTTTTTGGATTGTAGCATTTACTGTATTTTTAGTTTTTATTGATACGACACAAAATTTCATAAAAGAACATTTCTGGCCATCATTATTTTCATTTCATGTTGTGATTATTACTAAAAACAGCTTTATTATATAGAGCAAAGAGGTTTTAAAACTGATGTAGTCTGGGTGTCAAACACTAGCCCTAGGGCTTCCAATCTGTTACCTGCTTTGTTTTTGTGGTTCCCTGACTCTCTTCCTCCCTTTAGCCTGGGCCTTCCCCTCCCCTCCCCCACCCACACCCCCATCACTCCAAACAAGACTTGTTAGAAAGGTAGATCTGATGCACTTAAAATAATTCACCTGTTCTCTCGGGTTCTTCAGTCTTTCTCCTACTTTTTCTTATAGAGAGTCAGGTTACGAAATTAGAAGAGTTAAAACTCAGTCCTTCACTCCCTTTTCCTATTTGCTGAGAGTAGAGATGAGCTGAAGCGTAATTGGCCAGGACTCACCAATCCACCTGAGAAGCTGAGAAGCTGAGCCAGGCTGGGGAGAGTGGGAGAAAGGATTCAGACAGCACAAACCCTACTTTGACTCTGACCTCAGGCATGCCGCCTCCAGCCAGGAGTACTCCTGGCTTTTCTTTCTGGAAGAGCATCTGAGAAAACATTGTCCTGAGATGTAAAACTGCCCTCCACACTCAGGCCCCCAGCATCACCCATCACTTCAGAGACAATAGAGTTTACATTTCAATGCATGCCCCATCCCACACCTCCTCCCAACTCTGAAGTTCCAACTCTGGTTGGCCCACTGCCCTTAACTCTGAAGAGTCGACTCAAAGCTACAGGGAATATCTTTCCCACCCAAATTTGGCATAGGAGGATCATCCCGCTTCAGTCCCCTGAAGGATCCTAAGTTACCGAACAGCGATTTATTATGTCATGAAGGGTCACGTTTCCTTCATGTTAGTGATGAGGGGAAAGTTATAGTATTTATTTTTCATTTTTACTTAGCTGAATATAATGAATTCCGCTGATGGCCTATTTCTGAAATCCACCAATCAAAGGAAATTGTAAAGTTCACCATAGTAACAGCTCTGTGTCAGTGGCCCGCGTGAGAACCACACAGCCTGGGAGGCACCGCAGCTGAGGAGGCACTGGCCAATGGTGGGGCAGAGTGATGTTACCATCTCATAGCAACCAAGGGATCTGCATGGCAACATCAGTTGCTATATAAAAGAAAAATTAGAAACAATATTCTGTTAGGGAGAAATAAAGATATTAACTGTTAAGTCATACTTGAGTCACATTTGTGAGGACCTATCCCAAAATATCCACCTAAACATAGCTCAGATGATACCTGCCAGATTCAAGTCCACATGCCAGGAACATTCTCCCCCACCAACTGGCACCACCTGAGGACTGAGAGAGAGGAGCATGTCCAGGGAACAGACTGCTTCTGCATAGGAAGGAGAGGGCCCTTTGAATACCAGTAACCACAGAGCATATTGGCGGGGTAAATTACACATAAATCATCACATTTAGTCCTGTGAGGGAGGCAGGGCAAAATTATTATTATCATCAAGTTCTCCATCTATCTCCCATCCCTTCCTCCCCCGGCTTTCCCATCTCAGTTAATAGCTACACAATTCTTCCAATTGTTCAGGCCAAAAACCTCTGAGTTCTCCTATTTTCTTTCTCTCACACCCACATCCACTCCATCAGAAATGCTATTCATTCTTCCTTCAAGCTATCTCCAGAATTCAGCCTTTTCTCACCACCTCCACAGCTACACCCTGGTCCACTCCACCACCTGTCACGCAGAGGCAATAGCCTCCTAACCCGTTTCCCTGCTTCCTGGGTAGGCTTGCCTATGGTCTATTCTCAACACAGCAACCAGAGTGACCCTTGCAAAACATAAGTCCTTGGCTCACAACCCTCCAATGACTTCCCATCCTATCTCAATGTAAAAGCCCAATCCTTCCCAGGACTACACGGCTTCACACACCTTGGCTAGGGAGCTGACCCATCTGCTGCTATTGTCTGCTTCTCTCAACTGCTCTAGCCACACTGGCGCCCTCACTGGGCTTCTAGCACATCAGGCTCCTTCCTACCACAGGGCCTTTGCACTAGCTACCTCTTGCAGAACATTCTTCCCCCAGAGACCCTCACTTCATTCAAGTGTCTACTCAGATGTCACCTTCTCAGTGAATTCTTCTCTGACTTATTTTAAAACTGGACTCTCTATACCCATAGCCCCTAACCCCCATCCCTAGCACCAGTGAGCACCTAGAACAGTGCTGGCATGCAGTAAGTACTCACTCAATATCTAACGATGAATAAAGGAAGCACTGTTTTACAGATAGTAGGGCTCAAGAAGCTAAATTATTTACTCAGAGGCTCCCAGCCAGGACGCATTAGAGCCTAGACTTGAACCCAGACTTACTCATGCAGTGACTCCCACACTGGGCTCTACACTCTCTATCTCACTTTGGCTTCCTTTTCCAGAACTACCACCGCTTCTAAGTGCCAGGAAAGCATGAATTCTCTGGGAAGGGAAGAGGAATGGCTGGGCTGATGGCGTGGCTGTGCAGACAGCCACAGCAGGAATAGAGAGTGGGGGTGAGCTGACCCAGACCCTGAGCAGTGCCCCGAGTGGAGCCACCCTTCCAAGGGAATCAGCAAGTATGGCTGAGACCATGTCAGCGTGACTGCCAATGACACCTCATTGATGATGACCTCTCCCTCCCTTCCAGGCCACTTCTCTTGGGTATAGAAACAACTCTTTTGAACATTCAGCATTCCTACCCCTGTATGTGCTTGGATCAAAAACAAAGATTTAAATGGAATTTTTAGTCTGTAAAGTGTTTTATCCTCATTTTTGCTAGTTTGTTATCAAGGAGTCTCAGAGTTGTATTAAGTGTATATTGCATGACTGATTGAAAAAAAATAGAGAAAATTCAGTCACCAGATGTTTTTTGGTCTATACAATAAATAGTTTTTGGTTAACAGAAGCAGCCTAGTATTGTGGGATTATGAAGAATAGCATTTTTCCATTAAAATTATGCTGAACACTGGTAACAGCATGCCCATATTCTCTACACTGAATCTGGTGGTGGAGGGTAAGGAGTGGAAGAAGAGATGAAGTGGGAGAGGGGAAAGACCACCCAGAAACAAGGCAGGGAGGGGAAAACCAAAGGCAAGAACATTTTGCTTCCATGGCCTATATCGGCAATTAGGAAATGCTGGTGTAGACACAGACATTGTCATCAATCTTGCTGTTGAAGAAAAAAAAATAGTCATGACTCTCTCACCAAGAAACTAGAAACATGAAAGACAAACCAATAACAATAATCACTACCGCTTTTTGAGCATTTACAATGTAGTACGCATTTTGCTAAGGGCTGGCATACAGTTTTACATTTAAGCCTCTTAGCAAACCTGGATGGGAGGAATTACCTCCCCATTTTATAGACTATTTACAGAGAAATTGAGTAACTTACCCAAGGCCGTACAACTAGAAAATGACAGAAATGATCTGGTTGCCTCCATAATCCCTGCATTTTTTTTTCTAATTTCCAGCTTTTATTTTAAGTTCAGGGGCACATGTGTAGGATGTGCAGGTTTGTTATATAAGTAAACGTGTGCCATGGTGGTTTGTTGCACAGATCATCTAACTACCTAGGTAAAGCCCAGCATGCATTAGCTATTCTTCCTGTTGCTCTCCCTCCTTCAGTCTCTGGCAGGGCCCAGTGTCTGTTGTTCCCCTCCCTGTGTCCATGTGTTCTCATCATTCAACTCCCACTTACACGTGAGAACATCCAGTATTTGGTTTTCTGTTCCTGCATTCTTTTGCTGAAGATAATAGCTTCCAGCTCCATCCATGTCCCTGCAAAGGGCATGATCTCATTCCTTTTTATGGCTGCATAGTATTCCATGGTGTATATGTACCACATTTTCTTTATCCAGTCTATCATTGATGGACATTTAGGTTGACTCCATGTCATTGCTACTGTGAACAGTGCTACAAGAAACATATGCATGCACGTATCTTTATAATAGAATAGAATGATTTATATTCCTTTAGGTATGTACCCAGTAATGGGATTTCTGGGTCAAATGGTATTTCTGTCTCTAGGTCTTTGAGGAATCGCCACACTGTCTTCCACAATGGTCCCTGTTTTTAACTGTTACATTGCACCTCCTCTCTCTACAATAAGATTAATTCACATGCTATAAAGAAACATGGAATACATATAAAATCAGGAGGTGATATAAGGAAACATAAAAAAAAAAAAAACCTCAGTGAAAGTTCTGATCATTTCCAAGAATGCAGAGCCCTGTGGGGAGAGCTAGGCAGGTGTGTGGAGGCCCTGAGGAACTTGCTTCACAGTTCCACTTCTCATCCCCAAGGTGACATCATCATCCCCTCTATTTTGCACCACAAAATTAGTTCAACAATGATGGAAAAGGAAATGTTAATGTCCTGCTCACAAAGGTTCATGTTGCCAAAAGTTGTAGAACACATACTATTCTCTAAACGTTTCCCTGTTGACATAAAACTCACAGGTAAGGTGTTTTGTTACATGGAGAACCCCAGGAGAGTTGAAATAGGGGATAGGGGGACCAAAGCTGTGTGCCCAAAGCAAATGTGTAACAATGAAACAGCAAAAGAACTAACAAAACTAACTCCATTTTTGTTGAAGGGGCCTCTACCCATTCCTGCAAGTAGGCTAGGATAATTTTAGAACACTGAGATAATATGCAAAAACAGCAATCCTGTAGTTTTTTAAACTAACTCTGGGATTAAAGGAGAAGTATGTAAACAACTATGTTTTGTTAAACGTTTATAGAAGCATTGTGATCTGACCAAGGACAAAGAAATTCCCAACCTTCTCAGACCCTCACTGACATGCAGATGTCTGTGATCACTGGTTACCTCTTGATTTTGACCTCCTCCTTTTCCCATGTTCTTAACATAAAAAGAGCCTAAAATTTGTACTGACTTAGGATGGTGCTTTAGGATACTAGTCTACCCTCTTCTCAGTTTGCTGGCCCTCCAAATAAACCTGCTTTTGCTCCCACCAATTCTTGTCTCTTGAGTTTTGGCTTCTGAATGGTGAGGAGCTGTAACTGAATGGAATCAGAGCACTGGAGTGTTCTGCTGAAACTTTTGGCCTGGCAGGGAGGAAAAAGCAGGCTTATATTAAAGCTGCTATTCTTTCTCAGCTGCATCACATTCATTCCAGTGCTTTGCCCCAGAAGCAAATATAAACCTAAACAGAAAAAAAAAAAAAAAGAAAAAAGACGTTTTTTGGATTCCTGAATTAAAAACAAAACTCCAGCCTAACTTTACCCATGAACATGAAACCAACATGCCATAGGACCTGGCATTCTGACACAGTCCAAGGCAGTTTCTACCCAGGCTAGACTTTCTGGGAAGCAAATGTTTTCCTGTATTCAAATGGATCTGTGTTACCTAATATCAGGACTAGCTCTCACCTCCTAGTTTACCTTTGCAGTGAAACTTCTGTTGATCACCCCAGACCTGAACTCCCTTAGCATGAGTTGTTTAGACCAGGCACCTGTGTATTTGCAAATACTGTAGAAGGCAGTATGACTTAGTGCAAAAGGTTCTGGGACCATAGAGCTGCAAGCTCAAATTCCAGCTCTGAGATTTGTTACTTGTGAGATTTTTGGCACGTGACTACCCTCTTCTACCTTTAGCTCCATCACCTGTCAAATGAACACAATTAAACCTATCTTACAGAAGTTTTTTGGTCAGGAATAAGTAAGTTATTACATTGGGAAAGAGCCTACTATAGTGCCTGGAACATACCAAGTTCAATTATTATTTTGCTCAATTATTATTTTAAAAGCAAAATACATACAGAAATGAACCAGGAGATGGTCAAAATTGGAATGTAGCATTCTAATTGGATATCAATCCTTGCTGAACTATCCTAATTAATTACATATGTATGGACTCCTCAGGAAAAAACTGAAGTACAATCAACCCCATCTCCAAAAAGGAGTCATCCTACTCACCAATTTTCGAGTGAAGTCTTCTATTTTTCCCTCAAAATTGAACATCAGCTTTCTTCTCAACATACTCAAGGACAAACCCCTAGTCTAATGATATTAAATACTACATTTAGGCTCAAGGATGATGGGTTGCCCTTATGATCATGTTCTACTGCATTTCAAGAAAGTTGTGGTTAAGGACAGTGTCATCTTTGTCTCAGTATCTGCAGGTCTTCTGCAGGTTAGTCTTTGAGTTCAAAAACAAAAAACACCTGAATAATCATGGTGTACATTTTGGGCTATAAATCCTATAAATCCTGTGTAAATGTACTTGCCCAAATCTAGAGTAGGTAGAAATAACCTTTTGACAAAAGGAAATCCCGATTTTAAATGATGTAAAGCAGAGCCTATGTTAGTCCCTCCCATTCTTTTAAACATCTGTGTAAATTATAAACAGTCCCCAACTTGCAGGAATTTCCTTTTTTTGGCATTTGGGATAGTGGAAAAGCCATATGCGTTCAGTAGAAATCATACTTTGAGTGCACATACAGCCATTCTGTTTTTCATTTTCAGTACAGTATTGAATAAATTTCACGAGATACTCAGCACTATTATAGGCTTTGTGTTAAACGATTTTGCACAACTATAGGCTAATGTAAGTGTTCTGAGCACTTTTAATGTAGGATAGGCTAAGCTATGATGTTTAGTAAGTTCCGTGCATTAAATGCATTTTTGACTTAATTTTTTTTCAACTTAAATAGACTTATCAGGACATAGCCCCATTGGGGAGCATTTGGTATTTGCCATAACCATTGGGAGGGTTAGATTGATGCCCTCCAGCCATTGGGAATAGAAAGACAAGCATCTTCCCTGGTGCTGATGTGAGTTTATCACTAGGGAATTGCAACAGCTTTATGAAGCAGTTGTACCTGTTGTCTGATTATTTGGAGACAATGTAGTTGAGCATAAACTGTGGAAATGGGGGATGGGGAAGGGGCCATGGTAATCTGCAGGCCCAGTTCAGGTATTTGGCTACTGGGGTGGAGAGTAGGAGCCCTGTGTATTTGCTGGAGGACTCAGTCAGCCCTGAAGGAAAAGAATGAAAAAGAAATATGTGGGACTGAAGGGAAGTTGGGGAAGCGGTCGAGAACTTGGATGCCTAGATTCTGCCTGGGTGCTCTGGCCGACTGTTGGTGTGGAAGGATGCTTCCAGATAATACAAAGGATAATGCTGCCCAAATAGCCCCTGAGCTAACTCTGGGGCTGTTGTCCCCTGTTCCCTAGAAAGAGGGCTATCAGGAACTAGAAAAGACAACGCCCTCCATTCAGGATGCTAATGAAAGAATCCTTAGGAAGAAAGCTCACTCTCAGAGCAGCATATACAGTCTCAGACAGCAGAGCAGGAGTGGCTCCATTCACAACTGCAAGAAATCTTCCAAGTAAGCGTCCAAAAAGAATGTGCAAGACATACTGCCCTTAGGCCCAGGCAAGAGGGGACCATGCTTTGGAGGACTCCACATGTCACAAACACAAAAAAGACATAATGTTAAAGAACACATGGACAGCTTTGTCCCTCAGCTCTTGCAACTGAGACCCTGACCCTAAACATCAGATCTCCTGACCTTCTCTGTTCAGGCTTCAGGGAAATGTTCCCCACATCTCTTGCCTCACATCCAAATGCCATCAGAGATGTGGATCTTGCTGCTGTGGACTTCAGAGATGGACACTGCTGCAGAGGTTTTATGGGTTTGAGTGGCTAAAACACAAGAGAAGACAACTTGCCCAACCTTTCCTCAGGTACCATGAATGGAATAGACTATTGCATTAAAGATTGCTTTGCAGTAGTGTTCAGAGGCAATTTTCTTGCTTTTTCTAAATATTCCAATTCATGGTTCAAAGAATAGCACATATTTTATAATTTGTTAGCTTGATTCAAAACATTTGAATAACTGTTGATACTTTTCTCTCAAACCCCACAAATGTTAGGGTGGGCCTGCCTGTGAGTCACCCAGGAACCTGTCACAGGACATGGGAAAGAACAGGGTGTGACTGAGATTCTGTTTCCTGGGGATTCATTACCTTTGCATCTATTATCCAATGCTTCTGTGTCCTCTCCCACAGGGTGTGTCTCAAAAAGGCCAGGATTACCAAACAGTGAAACCAAAATTCTCATATTTGGCAAACATTCTCTAATATTGATGTGGATGCCACCAATTAGGCTCATTCAACAGATCAACTCGGAAAGCACATTTGATAGCTGACTTGTTTGAGTAAAGGGAAGATTTTCTCTACCCCTTCTCCCACCCTAATCAATATACACTTCCCTATACCAGGTCTTTTCTATAGAGCTTCTGTGTCCTCCCTTCTGGGGAATGATGGAGAGGGAATCTCCATGTTTTCTCCCTAACTACTTGCTGTTGCTCCTCAAGGGAGGAAGGGCTGAACCAGTTGGCCAGAGCTTAACACTGACTAAGCCCCACTCTTATCTATGGTGGATTACATGTCTCATAATAGGAGGAACAGGCTCCAGCCTATCTAGTTCAAATTCTTCTTGTCCACCCCTGTGCTTCATTTATCCATATAGGAGCAAAACCAGCAAGGTCCTCTCACAAGGGGAGGCCAACCATTCTCTTCCCTGCCCTGTTCAGCCTTGACCTGGGGAGTGAGATGGACTTTGCCTCCACGCAGGTGGCTGGGTTAGTTGGAATCTGTGCTGCAGGCTTAGGCATGTGCCCAAAGACACACTGGACTTTGTGAGTCCTAAAGCAGAGATTTAGGGTCAAAGATGGGAGATCATAGGTCCAAGTCATACTCCCCAGCACAATTTGCCAGAATCCCTGTTTTTTGAAGGTACATTAGACAAAGTGGGCTAAGTAGCTGTGATGGAAGACCCACTAACTCAGAGAATGCAGAAGGTTGCCTCTGTCATATTTTGGTCTTAGATGACTCGCTCAGGGTTGGCAGACAGCTCTGAGCCACATAGTCCTTTGAGAGCTGGTACAGACAGTGTCTCTTGCTATCTTCAACATGCATCTCCCAGGGCTGCTCTATTCCAGCTATCCAGAAAGGGAAAGAGGACAGTCCAGGGCCAGAGATGACTCTTAAGTAAATAGGATGAAAGTTGCCCAAATCAATTCCTCCCAAACTCCAAAGGAGCCTGGGAAATAGAAGCACTGATTCTGGCAGACAGCTAGCATTCTCCACCACAGAGGAGTTACTGAGCCTTTGCAGGATTTAAGTTTAGTCCTTATTCTACAAGAACACATTAAGTGCTTATTTGTTTGTTTGTTTGTTCATGGTCTGGGTAGTTGACTGGCAATAGTTACAAAAACTTCTCAGCCAAAATCACCTGTTACATACAAATTGGTGCAGAACTCACAATCATTAGCTTGCTTCAATTATTTAAGCAGATTCAAAAATTCATTTTGGGATAAAAATAAAGTTATTTTAATAGGACTCATGAAGCCTATCTTGGGGTAGAAGAGGGATGACCCACCACCTGTAAGTTTCCTAAATTAATACATCTTTGTCAGTTTTATTGCCCTTCCTAAAGCTTATCAGTGCCCCTTGAATCAACACTAAGTTTATGACCCCTCCCTGATTAAGCTGTGATACCTTTTAGTTAAGAGACACAGCCTGAAGGATATATTAGTTTCATTCATTTAGGTTCTCCAAACAATAATCCTAACTTTCTATATTTCTAACTTCTCAGCTAAGATAATTGAAAAGCAATATACCTAGGGCATATTGTCTTAGTTCTCCCAACCCCCTCTGCCAAAATAATGGGTGAGTTTTTTTTTTAAGTTAGGTACTTGACATTTGGAAGATTAATTTTTTAAAAATCTATTTAACATCATTTGTTTTCAAAGCTTATCCACTACGATCAAGTAGGCTTTATCCTTGGGAGGCAAGGTTGGTTCAACATATGCAAATCAACAAATGTGATTCATCACACAAACAGAACTAAAGACAAAAACCACACGATTATCTCAATAGATGCAGAAAGGTTTTTAATAAAACATCCCTTCATATTAAAAACTCTCAATAAACTAGGTATTGAAGGAACATATCTCAAAATAATAAGAGCCATATATAACAAACACACAGCCAACATCACATTCAATGGGCAAAAGGCAGAAGCATTCCCCTTGAAAACTGGCACAAGACAAGAATGCCCTCTATCACCACTCCTATTCAACATAGTATTGGAAGTTCTGGCCAGAGCAATCAAGCAAAAGAAATAAATAAAAAGGCATTCAAATATGAAGACAGGAAGTCAAACTATCCCTGTTTGCAGATGACATGATCCTAGATCTAGAAAACCCCATCGTCTCAGCCCAAAAGCTTCTTAAGCTCATAAGCAACTTCAGCAAAGTCTCAGGATACAAAATCGATGTGCAAAAACTGCTAGCATTCCCATATACCAACAACAGTCAAGCCAAGAGCCAAATCACAAACAAACTTTCATTCATGATTGCCATAAAAGGAATAAAATACCTAGGAATACAGCTAACAAGGGAATTGAAAGATCTCCACAAGGAGAATTACAAACCACTGCTCAAAGAAATTACAGATGACACAAATAAATGGAAAAACCTTCCATACTCATGGATAGGAAGAATCAATATCATTAAAAGGGCCATACTGCCCAAAGCAATTTATAGATTCAATGCTATTTCTTTTAAACTACCATTGACATTCTTCACAGAACCATTTTTAAAGACTGTTCTAAACTGTAGAAAAAACTGTTTTAAAATTCATATGGAACAAAAAAAGAGCCTGAATAGCCAAGGTAATTCTAAGCAAAAAGAACAAAGCTAGAAGCATCACACTACCCACTTCAAACTACTACAGGGCTACAGTAACCAAAACAGCATGGTACTGGTAGAAGAACAGACACATAGACCAACAGAATGGAATACAGAACCCAGAAATATGACCACACAACTACAACTATCTGATTTTCAATAAACTTGACTCAAAAAAAACCAATAAGGAAAGGATTCTCCATTCAATAAATGCTGCTGGGATAACAGGCTAGCCATATGCAGAAAATTGAAACTGGACCCCTTCCTTACATCATATACAAAAATTAACTCAAGATAGATTAAAGACTTAAATATAAAACCTAAAACTATAAGAACACTGGAAGACAACCTAGGCAATACCATTCAGGACACAGGCATGAGCAAAGATTTCATGATGAAGGTGCCAAAAGCAATTTCAACAAAAGCAAACATTGACAAATGGGATCTAATTAAACTACAGAGCTTCTGCACAGCAAAAGAAACTATCAACAGAGTAAACAGACAACCTACAGAATGGGAGAACATTTTTGCAAACTATGCATCTGTCAAAGGTCTAATATCCAGCATCTATAAGGAACTTAAACAAATTTACAAGAAAAAAAAACCTCATTAAAAAGTGGGCAAAGGACATGAACAGACACTTCTCAAAAAAAAGACATACATGCAGCCAACAAGCATATTTAAAAAAGCTCAACATCACTAATCATTAGAGAAATGCAAATCAAAACCACAATGAGATATCACCTCACACCAGTTAGAATTACTATCATTAAAAAGTCAAAAAATAACAGATACTGGTGAGGTTGTGGAGAAAAACGAACACACTGTTGGTGGGACTGTAAATTAGTTCAACCACTGTGGAAGACAGTGTGGCAATTCCTCAAAGACCTAAGGACAGAAATACCATTTGACTCAGCAATCCCATTACTGAGTATATACTGAAAGGTATATTAAATTGTTCTATTGTCTATTACATAGTATAAAGACACATGCACACATATGTTCACTGCAGCACTATTCACAATAGCAAAGATATGAAATCAACTTAAATGCCCATCAATGATAGACTGGATAAAGAAAATGTGGTACATATACACCATGCAATACTATGCAGCCATGAAAAAGAATGAGATCATATCCTTGGCAGGGAGATGGATGGAACTGGTGGCTATTATCCTTAGCAAACTAACACAGTAACAGAAAACTAAATACCACATGTTCTCACTTATAATTGGGAGCTAAATGATGAGAATACATAGACACATACAGGAGAACAACACACACTGGGACCTATTAGAGGGTAGCAGGTAGGAGGAAGGGGAGGATCAGGAAAAATAACTAATGGATACTACGCATAATACCTGGGTGATGAAATAACCTGTACAACAAACCCCCATGACGCAAGTTTACTTATGTAACAAAACTGCACATCTTGCACATGTACCCCTGAACTTAAAAGTTTTTTTTAAAAAAATTTGTTTTTTAATTAAATAGTAATTGAACATATCACCGTTTAAGTTACTCATGATTTCTTATATAAGCATCTATGCAGTAAATTCCTTCTAAAATTTTAACCTGGAAAATTTTATAACTTCAAGTGAAGGTAATGAATCTATTATTTTTTCTTATAAGAACCATACAATCTATTCACACCCCTCATTATCTTAATTTCTAAGATTGGCACTAAACTTAATGATCAACTGTAATAATTAGTTCAATTCTGGTGCCTGAAATCTATGTCCCGATTTGCTTTACATTTTAATGAATGTTTTACTTTGGAATAATTTTAAATTTATAGAAAAATTATAAAATAATTTGTACAGAGAATTCCTGTAAATCCTTCACTCAGTTTCTCTTAATATTAACATCTTACTTAACCTTGGTACATTTGTCAAAACTAAGAAATTAACACTGGTGCATTTCTAATAACTAAACCACAGACTTTGGATATCACTAGTTTTTCCGCTAATGTCCTCTTTCTGTTCCAGGATATCTAACTGCATTTAGCCCAGTTTGTTTTAATTGAAATACAGCATCCTGGTTGAAAATCATTCCTAAGAAATTTAATGACTAGAAACTGGAAAAACATTTATTTAAGATTCACAAAAGGTTTTCTTTCTCAAACAAAAAAAATTGTCTACATTTTAATTTTTAAGCTATCATTTAATTTAAATATGGTTTGCTAAATGATAAGGAAATTAGATTTTTATACTTGAAAATTTAGAGAACTTATTAGATGTGGTTCATCAGGAAGGCTTAAGAAGCACATACCTATCATGGAATAACTTTATAAAAGAGAAATATCCCTCTTAAGAGTTTTGGCTTTCCTGTACCCCAATCCCAGTGATAGCCATAGAGATTCCTGTTGGTTCATAGCCAAAATTTAAATACTATCTTGGCCATGCACACCCAAAAAAAAACCAGAACAATAAAGTCCTTAGAAACAGAGCCTTTAGATACTTCTTTTGGAAACAGCGCTAGAATAGAGCTTCTAAGTCTTCTAATTGCTATTGCTGACGTAGTCTGCTGTAAAATTACAATAGTGAATAGGCAAGGACCGGAAGATTCCAAATTGTGAAACAATTTGGAGAGGTACTACAAATCATCTATCTTAAAAAAAAACATGGCTGTCAGAGCCTGGGACCTGATTCGGAAGACATCTCTGACTGGATAATGCTGATTATGAAAATTGCTGAAAGGTTATAAATAAAATGTTAAATAATACAGTACAGCTAATTCTTCAGGTGTTGATTCCATTCTCAAGTAAGAATCTACATGAATCAAGTAACAGCACACAACTTTCCTGGGGGTAAAGATGGGGAGCTAGGAAGCCCAAGGTAAATGCGCATTTTTATTCAGATTCTCGAAGAGGTATGTGACCCAAAAAGGGTTAAAAACTAATGTTATCTATATTATTTTGTAAACTGCATCTTTTAGTCGGTACATCTTGTCATCTTATCATGTCATTGAATATTCCTCTACAACATCTTTTCAAGTAGCTAGAAGAATTTTAATGTATGCATGTGCCGTTATTTGTTTAACTATTCTCCTAAAGTTGAACATTTAGTTTACTTCCCATTTTTGCCAGTATCAACTTGTAACTAAATCTTTGCATACATCCTTAATTATTTGCTTTAATACAGTAAAGGGGTTAAATTACAGGGACCAGGCTGGGCGCAGTGGCTCATGCCTGTAATCCCAACACTTTAGGAGGCTGAGGTGGGCAGATCAGGAGATCAGGAATTTGAGACCAGCCTGGCCAACATGGTGAAACTCTGTCTCTACTAAAAATACAAAAATTAGCTGGGTTTGGTGGTGGGCGCCTGTAATCCCAGCTACTCGGGAGGTTGAGGCAGGAGAATTGCTTGAACTCAGGAGGCGGAGGTTGCAGTGAGCCGAGATCGCGCCACTGCATTCAAGCCTGGGTGACAGAGCAAGACTCCATCTTGAGAAAAAAAAAATTATAGGGCCTAATATTTGCAATTGTGTATGGGAAAAACTGGCTTCACACAGGATATTTCATCCAGGTTTGAGATCATAACCTTCCTTTAAATCAAAGAGCACAAAGCTAGCAACTTCAAAAAATGAACATTTAACAGCATTTGTATTTATTTACATTGAATTGCTTTACCATTTCTTCAAGTTGCTTTACCATTGCTTCAATCAAAGCAGCAAAATGTTAGTAATGCTAAATTGAAAGAAATTCTGAAGGTGCCATCTGGAAATGGCAGCACCTTGGCCCTAAAAAGCATTCTTGACTCAATATTGAAGATACTTGTCATGGTATTTTTTTCTGATTCCAGGGAGTTTTAATATATGTTCAATTGAGTGATAATCTTAGAAAACAATCATGGACCTCTTCACTATGTTTCCAAGAAAGATCTCAAGCCTTCGAGATTAGCACAAATCTTAAAAGGTCATATCTGAGTACTTTTGGTTTCTTACCTCCTAAAAGGCAAACCAGGCCATTTGTTGTTTTGCCTGGTAACAAGAGGAAAGAGCTTCTAAAATTAGTGTGAAGCCAGACCTACTGTGAATTAATAATGAATAGAATCACTGATTCCATAAATAACAGGATTCAGGGTTGAGAAGGTCAGCTTGGCTGCACTCCTAGAGGAGTAAAAGCGCCTCCAAAGTTAATGCTAGAAATAAAAGGTAGGGAGCCATGATGTTTCTAAAGGAAACCTAAAGAAAATCTTGCTGTGCAGGATGAATTTCAGTAGTGGCCATTCTTAAAGTCAACTGCATCTCAGATAATCATAGTCAAAAAAGTAAAGCTAATGAACCTCATCCAACAACTTGGTTTAGGATTATTGTTTGTGATAGCGTACTTTCTGTCATGTTAGTCATCACCATGAAAAGCTGTTTTTAAAAAGTGATCCCAGGCTGGGCACGGTGGCTCACGCCTGTAATCTCAGCACTTTGGGAGGCTGAGGCGGGCGGATCACGAGGTCAGAAGATCGAGACCATCCCGGCTAACACGGTGAAACCCTGTCTCTACTAAAAATACAAAAAATTAGCTGGGCTTGGTGGCATGTGCCTATAGTCCCAGCTACTTGGGAGGCTGAGGCAGGAGAATCGCTTGAACCCAGGAGGCAGAGGCTGCAGTGAGCCAAGATCATGCCATTGCACTCCAGCCTGGGTGACAGAACAAGAATCTGTCTCAAAAAAAAAAAAGTGATCCCACTCTCAGAAAACATGAATAGGTCCCCGGCCTGTATAGCCCTCCCAACTGGCTTTGATCTTTCATACCTACATGTTGTCAGGTAAATTAATTTTTTTTTTTTTTTTTTTTGAGACAGAGTCTTGCTCTGTCACCCAGGCTGGAGTGCAGTGCCACAATCTCGGCTCACTGCCACCTCCACCTCCCAGGTTCAAGTGATTCTTCTGCCTCAGCCTCCCAAGTAGCTGGGATTACAGGCACCCACCACCATGCCTGGCTAACTTCTGTATTTTTAGTGGAGATGGGGTCTCACCATGTTGGCCAGGTTGGTCTAGAACTCCTGACCTCCAGTGATCCACCTGCCTTGGCCTCCCAAAGTGCTGGGATTACAGGCATAAGCCACCATGCTTTTTTTTTTTAGACAGGGTCTTGCTCTGTCGCCCAGGCTAGAGTGTAGAGGCATGATCTCGGCTCACTGCAACCTTCACCTCCCGGATTCAAACAATTCTCCTGCCTCAGCCTCCCGAGTAGCTGGGATTACAAGCGTGCCACCACGCCCAACTAATTTTGTATTTTTAGTAGAGACAGGGTCTCACCATGTTGGCCAGGCTGGTCTCAAACTCCTGACTCAGGTGATCCGCCCGCCTTGGCCTCCCAAAGTGCTGGGATTATAGGCCTGAGCCACTGGCCCGGCCGTCAGGTGAATTAATTTAACAGACAAGACAAAACCCTTAAGGCTACATTTGGATCCCCTATAGAGCTCTGATAGTCAAGGAATCTTGAAAGTAGCCCAACAGCCAAGAACTTGTCTCAAATTGTATTCCGTTTTCTTATTTCTGATGAAACTTGGTTTCCAGAGATGAATAGTAATCTCATTTTTTTTTGTACGTTCAGGTGTTCAATTGCTGTTGTTTTTCTAAAATGGTAGTTTTCTTCCCTTTAATCCACCGCTTCATGTCACCTTGTGATATCAAACAAGGATATCACATTTTGAACCACACTTAGCACAGGCCAAATACTTTATGAAATGGGCATGACTCAAACTTGACAAAGTGAAGAATAAAGACCCATGCTGCCCTTTTCCTAGAAAGCTGATGAATCCTTCACCAATTCTTTTCAGTAGTTTTGTTCCTGGCCCACAGGGCTGTTCGTTCTTCTCAGCACACACTATTTACGTATCTTTCACTACGGTACAGATTCTTCAAAGACCTTCCCTTTGTATCTCTAAGATAGCTAAGTATTTGAAACATCCACCCCATTTAATTAATGCAACCCAAATAGTAGAGATTAAATCATCCCAGGCTTCCAGGCAAATGGAGGCTCTTTCCTCTGGTAGGTCACAAACACACACACAAATAGAAGCAAATGTACACCTATGTAAAAATACCCATCGACTCCAGAACTGCTCACAACAGAATCTCGGGAAGCTGCCTTGTTACTAAAAGATCCCAAAATAAAAATACAAGAAAATAGATTCAAAGGAATAAGGTAAAATTTCACCTTTGGAGAGCTGGCTCTAGACAGGATAAACTTGATCCTGAATTTGGTCATAGCATGCAGTTTTTTCATGGGTTGGCACAGAGGACCAAGGAAGAGCAGACCTGGGAATCACAGGAATGCTCTATCTCAGGCTCATGGATGCATTGGCTGAGAGCCCCAAACACGTGAAAGTTCTATTGCCACTATCATGGTCCCACTGTGGGAAGACCCACTGTTAAGTCAGGTTACATGTTTGAAATCAAAATTTAAAAGTATGCTCCTCTAAGCTAATAGTATAGAACTGTACATGACCTTGGCCTACTCTAACCCAGTGAAACATTACCAGCTCAGTAGAGCAGAAAGAGGTCATTTTCAAAACTGGTTGAATTATAACAGGATTTCCTGAAGGCCAAGAGGAAACCATGCTGTTTCACTGCAAGCAAAGCAGAGTGGGCCAGGATAATAAAGTACTCAGGAGTGAATCCTGGCACAGAGAGAAATTAAAGAAACATGTGGCTGGACACTGTGGTTCACCCCTGGAATCCCAGCACTTTGGGAGGCTGAGGCGGGCGGATCACCTGAGGTCGGGAGTTCGAGACCAGCCTGACCAACATGGAGAAACCCTGTCTCTACTAAAAATACAAAATTAGCCAGGCGTGGTGTTGCATGCCTGTAATCCCAGCTACTTGGGAGGCTGAGGCAGGAGAATCACTTGAACCGGGGAGGCAGAGGTTGCAGTGAGCCGAGATCGTGCCATTACAATCCAGCCTGGGCAACAAGGTGAAACTCTGTCTCAAAAAAAAAAAAAAAAAAGAAAAGAAAAGAAACATGTAGGTGGGGATAAGAGTATTCTTAGGGGTTGGGTGGAGTCACACAGAGGTGCAAAAATAAACGAAATATATAGAATAGTACATCCACAGGTCAGGAATACCATGCCTCCACTTGCCCCAGGGTTCTGCACACTGCAGGCACTCAGTAAATGTTAATTGACTGAATTAATAGGCTTCATAGTTCCAACATGCAGTACAGTGCCTAATTGGCTAGTCCAGGCAAGCCCTCTTAATACTATATTTGGAGAACGAGAGACATGAACTGGTTGAGTGACCTCCTCAGGTTACCCTCTATGTTAGAAGCACAGCCAAGACAGGAGTCGAGGCACAAGCATCCACCAGCCACCAATGAACTGGCCCACCAACGACGAGGCCAGGAGCTGAGGAGGCAGGAATGCTAAGATAAATGGAATTTGAAGTCTAAATTCAGAGAATTTTCAGTTCTCTCGAATCACAAATGAGAACATTTAAAATGAACTCATCAAACTCTCTCACAGGGTGGCTCAAGAAATAGAAGCCTCCAAGTTCAAGTGAGAAGTTGTATAGGAAGAACTCTAAGATGGCACAAGGAAGGGCATGAGCTCTGGAAGCAGGCAGTCCTGGCTTTGAATCTAGCTCTATTACTCACCAGCCATGACCTGAAGCAACTTAACCTCTTCAAGACTCAGTTTCCTCGCCTCTAAAATGAAAATGATAATGACTGTCTCATAGAGTTGATGTGCAAAGTAAAGATGTGATATAAGCCCCTAACATCATGAGTGGTCCAAAATGGGCACTCAGGTACAAAGCCACAAACAAAATGCTAGTTATGACAATGATTCCACTAGGAACAGCAGAGCATCAGTCAGAGGTCGTGTAAAGTTTCCACTGACTTGATGATCTAAAGTAATGAATAAACACAGGAACAGGTCATTCAAACTGCAGATTACAAGGATAGTTTTTTTCAGTATGAGAAAAATGCTGTTTGGTAGCTCACAAGCAGATTTAACTCTGGAGCAGTGCCCTTGACGCAGAGCAGGCTGGGCTTTCTAAATTGTCTGCTCTCTCTCTCTTTCTTTCTCTCTCTGAGCTTCTGATACATAATATTCAGCAAATACACCACATACTGGAGAGTGGTATATCATATACCCTGTGACTGCATTTTACGACAGACTCCCAAGATTGAGGGCAGATGTACTATGCACTTGAATATGCCCAAAGTTTAAGAGTTAAGTTACTTAATGCTACATCCAGTGGCATCATTTGCAACAGAGCTGGCTACCAAAAATGCATTTGGGGATTCTCACTTTCCAACTAAAAACTACATTAAACCAGCACAGTGCATTGGCATTTTATATGAGACTGTAATAGTTGACAACATCCGTATCTCCATATCAAAGAGAAACCATCCCTTTTTCACAAGGACCTTATTTCAAAGGAGTTATACTTCTGAATGAGAGACAGTCCAACGATCTGGACCTAGAATCTCTGAGACTGTAGATGTTGAATAATATTAGTGTTATAAGAACCTCAGTTATTGTTATTGTTATTATTATTATTATTGAGATGGAGTCTCAATCTGTCGCCCAGGCTGGAGTGCAGTGGTACAATCTCAGCTCACTTCCACCTCCACTTCCCAGGTTCAAGCGATTCTCTTGCCTCAGCCTCCCAAGAAGCTGAGATTACAGGCGCACGCCAAGAAGTCCAGCTAATTTTTGTCACGCCAAGACGTCCAGCTAATTTTTGTATGCTTTTGTAGAGATGGGGTTTTGCCATGTTGGCCAGGCTGGTCTTGAACTCCTGGCCTCAAGCAGTCTGCCCACCTTGGCCTCCCAAAGGGCTGGGATTCCAGGTGTGAGCCACCTTGCCCGGCTTGACCTACGCTTTTCTAAGTCCATTTCTCAGTTCTCAGGTCACATCTGAGGTGTGTGTCAGTAGCATCCGACACAGTGATGACTCCCTTTCCTCTGAATTTGTTTCTTTACTTGGCTTCCAGCACAAACCCTTTCTTCATTTTCCTCCTATTCACTAGGCATTCCTTCTTAGACTGCTTCCCTGGTCCAGCCTTTTCTCTCTGACCTCATAATCTTGGAGGGCCCCAGGGCTCAGCCCTCGGGCACCTTTTCTTCCTTATTCACCCTCTTGGTGATCTCACCTGGTTTCATAGCATTAAATCATTAAATATCACCAGAAGCTGCCAAATGTGCACCTCCAGCTCAGACTTCTCTCCTGAACTCCAGACCTCTTTTTTTTTTTTTTTTTTTTTTTTGAGATGGAGTCCCACACTGTCACCCAGGCTGGAGTGCAGTGGCACAATCTCGGCTCACTGCAACCTCTGCCTCCAATGTTCAAGTGATTCTCCTGCCTCAGCCTCCCAAGTAGCTGGAATTACAGGCACCTGCCACCACGCCCAGCTAATTTTTGTATTTTTAGTAGAGACGGGGTTTCGCCATGTTGGCCAGCTGGTCTCGAACTCCTGGCCTCAAGTGATCTGCCTGCCTCGGCCTCCCAAAGTGCTGGGATTACAAGTGTGAGCCACCACGCCCGTTTGAACTCCAGACCTTTATCCAGATGCCTGCTTCATGTATCAAACTTAACAAGTCCAAACTTGGACTTCTGTTCTTCCCTTTGAAGCCAGCTCCACTCCCAGTCTGCACTCTCTCAGTCGATGGTGACTCTATTCAAAACCTTTAGAGTCCTTCTGGACTCCTCTTACTTTTTTTTCTTTTCTCACATCCGAATCTTATTGGCTTCCTCTTCAAAATATATCCTGCATCCAACCACTTCTCACTACCTCCACTGCTGCCACTGTGTTCCAATCCATTGTCATCTCTCTCTTGGATTATCACATTCCCTTCCTCACGACAGTCTCACTGTCGCCCAGGCTGGAGTGCAGTGGAGCGATATCGGCTCACTACAACCTCAGTGATCTTCTGATAGCCTTGTAGTATAAAGCAATTCTCTCTCTTGACCCATCATAGCTGTCCAGGTACCATTTAAAGAATAACAACAACAAAAGGTGACCATTTAGACAATTTAAGAATTACATCCAAAAAGCAAACACATGGAGAAAAAAGCAAAACAAAATATAGGCTAGTGAGCACAATTAATTCCAATAGCCGGTTACAAATCCTTGCAACTTTCTCATTCCTTTAGGTTCAGAGAAGTCAGAAGACTTCAGGTTGAGGAAAGCCAGGAATATAAAAGCCAAGGTCAGCTTTTAATTTACCTTTAACATGATCAAAACTAAACTTTTGCCCGGGAGTTTTCTCAGTAACAAAGGTGAGCAATTCCACCTTCAAAGGCATTTTTGGGTCTACTCAACAGCTTCAATTGCAGTATACCCTGTTTTCCTCAAAATTAAGTTTCACATTTGTAAATGTTGATCAATAAACTAGTTCTGCTTTCCCAGGTTTCACGCTCAATTCTGAATGTCCTTAGGGGGACTCTGTGAAATTTATAAGGGCTCTGCTTCTTCTGCCTTCCTTTAAAGGATGGTGTTCCACTAAGATTCACCTTTCCATCTTCCACTCTCTTATCTTAATTTACATACTTTCGCTGGGTAATCTTGCCCACTTCTTCCCCTATGCTCATGACTCTCAACCCTCTACCTATCTCTAGCTCAGACCTCTCTCTTGAGCTTCAGATCCATATATCCCTGGATGTCCCATTCTCAAACACATAGTGCACATACAGAGTTCTTTCTCTCTGCCAAATGTACACCTCTTCCTCCCTTTCTTTTTCCTTACTGGTGCCAAGATTCATCTAATCACTCAGGCCAGAAACCTGAGCATGGTGCTATAAGATCACAGAGGAGAATCCAAGGATAGTAGCAATTTGCTGCAGGGTAGGAATGCAGGGAGGCATTCCAAGTGACATAATGTAACTATAGAGATGCCAAAATAAGAAAAAGCATGGTATGTGTGCTGTTAGGATAGAATAGGACAGGCTGAGGTAACAAATAAAACCCCATAATCTCAGTGGCTTTTGCTCATTAAAAAAATATATATATATGTCTTATGCCAATTGGTCAGCTTTCCTGCAACAGAAATTCAGGACCCAGCCTGCTTCCATTTTACAACCCACTGAGTTAGAGTTTTGCACATCCTAGCATATGGACAAAAGAGAATAAGCATGAAGAACTCAGACCCCCTCTTAGTCTTCCTGAACCAGAATGCCATATCCCTCCACTCACTTTTTTGTTGTCAAAAATTTGGTCAGTGTCCCAACCTAGCTGCAAAAAGAAACTGGGAGATGTCTTCTCATCTGCCTAGGAAGGTGAAATGAGGTAGTGAACATGTAGCATTTTCCCTACTATGACATGTTTAGGAAACCGTAAGAAGACTGGCATACCTGGAAACCAATGGGAATTATGGGTTGGATTGGGGGTGTAATATGTGTTGTGGAGAGAGGGTAGGTAGACAGTGCTAGGAGACACAAGAACGTAGGTACCATGGCCAATATAACTAGAAGGACTGGGTGGAGTCAAGAGCCTGAGTGCCATGCTAAGAATAGCATGCCAGTTCAATGGGAGTTTAAAGATGGGAAGTGAGCAAAGACAGGGAGAGGTGGTCAGTGGAGAATCCTAGAGCTCAAACTTCTCAACCTGAGAGCCCCAAGTAAAGGACCAGCTCTTGCTCCAGGACCAGCCTGAGGTTCCAATTGCTTTAAGAATCCATCGAGTGCAGACCAGGATATGAGACTCTGACCTAAAAACAAACTAAAAAGTTCTGTGTTCATTACCTCTGGACATTGTGTGATCCTTCCTCTAATGGCTTGGCTCCCAAAACCTCCCCACTGGCGCTCCCCTCTCAGCTGCATCCCAATTCCCTCCGCTGCACCCCAATTCCCTCCGCTGCACCCCAATTCCCTCCGCTGCACCCCAATTCCCTCCGCTGCATCCCATCTCCCTCCGCAGGCTCACCTCCCTTTTCTCTCCGGGTTCAGCCTTTCTTCTTGATTTTGATGGGTGCGGGTTCTTGGCCCCTTCTCATGGGGCTCTGCCTCCAGTAGTACGTGCTCCAGCTGACTTGCATTCTGTTTTACGCTCAGCCATCTTCAACCAGGCCTATCCAATCAAAATAATAACATTAATAACTAGTATGTACTAAATGGTTACTATATGCCAAGCGCTATTCAAACATGTTTTATAAGGTCATGTGCTGTATAACAATATTTCAGTCAATATACTATTGTGGTCCCATAAGAGTATAATACTGTATTTTTACTGTGTACTTTTTCTATGTTTAGATGTGTTTAGATACATAAATACTTACCAGTGTGCTACAATTGCCTGCAGTATTCAGTACCATAACATGCTGCACGAGTTTGTAGCCTAGCAGGAATAGGCTATACCATATATCCAAGGTGTGTAGAAGGCTACACCATCTGAGTCTGTGTAAGTACACACTATGATGTTCACACAAACTCATGATCGCCCAGTGACACATTTCTCTGATCTTAAGCAATGCATGACTGTATATAATTATTTATTCTCAGGAAAAAAACCATGAGGTAGGTGGTATTGTTATTGCTTTATGCAGATAAAGAAACAGATGCAAAAAAGGCTAACTTGCCACATTCATGGCGCTTATAAGTGGTCAAGCTAGAATCTGAATCCAGGATGTCTGGCTTTTAACTAGACGTAAGTTAAAAGTGCTATCGGTACTACTAAGTAAAGGATGAAGGAGAGGAAAGATAGAGACAACATGCCTTCATGATCTTGAAAGTAAAAAAAGAATGCAAGTAGCAGTTGTAATCACTAAGAAGGGAGAAGAAACAGTCTCCATTGTAGATAATTGCAAAGAAGGAGGCGCCACCAGAGGATAAAAAGCCTCCAATCATTCACACAAGGGACATTTGTTTCTTAAAAGGGAGACAAACTCCTGGAAGAGAATAGATACGCCTGATTTTTTCTCAGTGGAATTTCACTTGCCCTGGCAGGTGGGTGGCAGGGAGATCTGAGGCCCCTCGAATTACAGCTCCTGGGCCCTGCCTCAGAAAAGTCCATTCGTCTCGGTAGAACCCCTCCCACAGACTCACAATGTGGCCGTCTCGAGCTGGCCCGAGGCTGGACGTGCAGTCAGCCGAGCACACAAAATGAGAACTGTTTCCCTGCGTGCAGCTGGCGCGCGCTTTCCGCTAGTCGCAGCTGCTTGGAGCCCTGCGCGCTGGCGGGGCCACGCCCCCGATGAATATTCATGCCCAGCTTGGGCTCGGGAGCCCAGGATTTCAAAGCCCCTGAAGGGATTTGAGGGGCGAAGGAGCTTCCTGATAGGGAGTTAGAAGGAAGGAAGGAGCCGGGCTTTGTACGGGCTTGCTTTTGAAGACTACAAAGAGGAAGGGTCACATGGAAAGTCAAATCCCGGGTTGCTAATCTAGGCTAGGTCAAGTTTGCAATGAGAGCTAGCTCCCTCCCTCCTTGTAATTTATCGAGTCTTTCAATGTCCTTTCACACAGACAACGTGCAATTACTGGTGTTTCGCAGACAGGCTCTCTTTCTAGCACTGGGGAGCATGAAAACAACCGAGAGTAGGCTTTTAGCTGGATTTTAAGTGCTTACTTCATAACTCTTACCCAGTTAAACGTCTGCGATGACAACGCTCCTTCTTCTCACATAGGTTTCTGTGCATGGATTTTAATTTGCACACATTCTTTACCTAATCTATGATTTTTAGATACGTCAGTCTGTCATGGGCTAGAAACTTAAAAAAAAAAAAACAAAACTTTTAAAATGGATATACTCTTAGGTCTAGTTGAGACACTAAGTATTAACCCTATTTATTAGCACTCAAGTTTGGCTATTATTTTTATTAATGGAGAGATTTCCCAGCACAGATCATCTGAAAGAGTAGATAGTTCCCAAATGCATTTCACTGACTTATATATAATACTAGGTGGGCTTTTGAGTAAGTGGATTCACTGTCTTTTGTTGTTGTTGGGGCCATAAAAGTGTTTACTTTAGAATCCACTTAACAGAAATTACTGGAGCTTTATTGAGTGCCTCTATTCCATTAATCCCTCCATTAAGAGAGAGGCTTAATGCTTTTTACCTACAAATTGGAAATGGAAGAAATAACATTGGGAGGAAACCAAAGAATAAACAGGAATATATTGTGAAAGCATTTAGCTTACCTTAAATGAAGGCAAACCCCTCCCCCACCCCACTTCCATAATGGAGAACTGAACAAACATGCAGATATGAGGGTAGAACCACTGCGAGCAGCCCACGGGATCTTATGGGAAATAGGACGAGGATCAGACAAAGGACATAAACAAATATCCCCATAAACTTGGATTCTAGCAATTATAGACAGACACATTTGCCATCAATCCCCAGCAAAGTTCTAGATTGAATAGTTAAGCAAGCAGCTAGTGAGCACTTTAGAAAGGTGACTCCTAAGAACCAGTAAGAGTTCACCAGAACTAGTCAAGCCAAACTGTATTTCCTTTTTATTTATTTTTAAAAAACAAAATGCTTGACTTCATCACAATCCCAAAAACAACGAACATATTGACAAAAGGATGACCTATGTCCCCCAACCTTTTCTTTTTTTTCTATAATGGACTCAGTATTCAGAATTGCTAAATTGAGTATCTGGTTGCTATATTAGTCCATTCTTGCATTGCTGTAAAGAAATACCTGAGACTGGGTAATTTATAAGAAAGGAGGTTTAATTGGCTCATGGTTCCGCAAGCTGTCCATAGTGGCATCTGCTCCTGAGGAGGCCTTGGAAAGTTTACAATCCTAGTGGAAGGCAAAGGGGGAGCAACATCTTACATAACCAGAGCAAGAGGAAGGCGAGAGGGAGGTGCTACACACTTTTAAACACCCAGACCTCATGAGAACTCTATCAGGAGAATAGCACGAAGGAGATGGTGCTAAACCATTCATGAGAAATCCACCTCCATGATCCAACCACCTCCCACGAGGCTCCACGTCCAACATTAGGGATTACAATTCAACATGAGATCTGGGTGGAGACACAGATCCTACACCATATCAGTAGCCAAAAGAGAATAGACTTTAGAGCCAGAAGGAACTGGGTTTGATTCCAGGCTCTGCAACTTACTATTTATGTGAGTAGATTGGACATCTCTGAATCTCAGTTGTCACAACTGCAAAATGAGAATAGAATATTTACTTCATAGATATTAAAGAAAATACATAGGTACTCATAGGTACTCAAGAAAGGGCAATCATTATTAAGATGCAGTTCAAAAGGTACAAATACAAACATAAACTGAGGAAAGAGAAGAGCTGAATCAAATAGTTCATATAGAAAGAATTTTTTAATTTATCAAAAGCTCAATATGAAATAACAAAGTAACATGTTTCAGGTGCAGACTGAAGCTTATTAATATTAGTACATGGAAGCCAATAGTAAAGAGTCCCAATTAATTTTACTTGGTCAGATCCTATCTGAAATTCTCTGCCCCCTTTTGGGTAGCACACCTGAAAGGGAGCAAGGAAAAATTAAATAACATCCAGGATGATGTAAGACCCAGGAACCACAATATCTGAGAAATAATTGAAAGAAATGGTGGTTTTTATCTAGAAGAGGTTACAAAATGGCTGTCTTCTGATAATTGAAGAGCTGTGATGTAGAATAGGTATAAAATGGGTTTGTATGGCTCTAAACGGTAGAATTAGGAGACATGATTAGACGTTGCTGTGAGATAGATTTTAGACTTGAACATGTAGAAGAGCTGTTCAACGTAGCAATGAGCATTCCTGAAAAATAGTAAGCTCACAATTACTGAAAGAATTCCTACAATGAGTAGAATTCAGCTGTCAAGAAAAGTGTAGAAGAGATTATGGCATTGGAAAAGAGTGGCCTAGTCTTAGAGTTAGTCATACACCATATACATGCCACCACCCCCAGCAATGGGAGTCTATGACTAATCAATGACAGCTGTCTTCCCTGCTGAGCTAAACTCAGCCTAGCAATCCTTTTCAATACAATGCTCCAAGCCATCCCCACCAATTTATCAGAGTTGACAACCTATCCAACCCAGATGATCCCTTAGTGTCTCTAAGATCCTATAACTTAAAATTTTGCCCCCTATAGCAGGTCTACAAAATACATCTGTAAATTAACTAGAAGGAAAGTCATCGTTAAGCACAAAATATTTCCAGGTATCTGTGTATGTTTGTGTGTTTATGTCTGTATATGTACATATATGTGTGACAGTATATACATGGCTACTCCAAAACAGGAATCTTATGGCGGAAATAACATATTGGCCACAGGAGCCCTTAAATAGTGAATCTCATTTGTGACATGCCAATAATTAATGACGTTGCTTTCTCCTCCACAAAAATTCAAACCTTTTGCTACCCTATTCCACCCCTTATAAAATTTCAAACTTATTTTGTAAGTTTTAACTTTTGGGGCATCACAGGCAGGTTGGTAGAAAAGGAGAGAATGTGAGGAATTGGCAGAGATAGTGCCAGAGTACTTATAAACTCTCAAGAAAAGGGAGGATTTTTATTAGTAAGCAGAGTGGCCAAAGAGAAGCCAATAAGAGACTAAATTACAATGTTCAAAGGTATTAGCAAACTTAGATTTCAAACTAATGGGTGGGCAGCAGGAGGTACTCCTGGAAGGAGTCCTGGTTGAAGACAGGTGGATGGCAGCTCATATTTTGGCTCCCTAGCTAACAATTAAGAAGAACAAAAATTCCAATTTAACTCCCAAAGAGAGGGAAGAAGGTGCAAAGACAATTCAGTGAAGAAAAGATAGTCTTTTTGATAAATAGTGCAGGAATAATTGGATATCAGTATGCAAAAACAAAATTGAATCCTTACTTCTCACCATTTAGAAAATTAACATGAATCACAGACCTAGATACAAAACTTATTAACTATAAAACTTGACATTTTCTTTAAAAAATTAAGGTATTTAATTTCAAAAGTGAGTCCATTTAAAGACAAATATAAGTAAATAACAGTATGTACAAGTGGTATACAGATATGCAAAAATGATGAAGTTGGCACTCCCCAACTGCCCTTTAACACACTGCCTCCGAGGGCTGAGAGGTATCATAGCCCCAGCCAGGCAGGATGGTGTTTAATAAAGAATTCAGTTTCAGGAGGAATGTCTGTCAAACCAGGAAACTCTGCCAGAACCTCATCATATGGGCATGGGAGACTGTTGGATGAGGATGTGGAGAAGCTGCCATTTGCAGCCCAGCGTTTCCCTAGACTCCCAGGATCTCAAGTTTAGGAGACAGGAACATGAATTCTAGTTGTCACTAGCCATCACTTGTGCAGCTACTTTTCGGCAGCCCGGCCTGAACATAGTGGGCTCAACTGGCCAGACAAAAACCTGAAAAGTAAATGTATCAGCACCTGCAACTAATTGAGCTGAGTAAGGCAGGAGGAAAGTATGTGCTTCTCATCTCATGTCTTAAATTCTTGGACCTTAAATTATTATGTCAGTTACAACAGCTTCCTTTATTCAGATCAAACTCCACTCTCCAATATGTCAAGAATTCTTTCTTTTTTTTTTTTTTTTTTTTGAGACCGAGTCTCACTCTGTCACCCAGGCTGGGAGTGCAGTGGTGTGATCTCAACTCACTACTACCTCTGCCTCCCTGGTTCAAGCAGTTCTCCTGCCTCAGCCTCCCGAGTAGCTGGGATTACAGGTGCTCGCCACCATGCCCAACTAATTTTTGTATTTTTTGTAGAGACAGGGTTTCACCATGTTGGCCAGGCTGGTCTCGGACTCCCAACCTCAAGTGATCCACCTGCCTTGGCCTCCAAAGTGCTAGGATTACAGGTGTGAGTCACCGCACCCGGCCCAATGTCAAGAATTCTAAAAGAAGGTATGTAACAAATTTTTTAAGAGATCTCCTGACAATTGATTTTCTAAGAAAGTTACAAAATATTCCTTCCTTCTTTACCCATAAAAGTCTTAGACATATAAAGGCAACATAAAGCTTAAAAGCATTATCTATGGTGTCAGGTTGTCTGGGCTCAAGTTCTAGCTCTGCCTCCTAATAGCTGTGTAAGCTTGGCCTGGGTTCCTAAGCTCTCTGAACCTTAGTTTCCTCTTCTGTAAAGTGAGGATTCCACCGCGCAACACACACACACAAAGGAAGTGTTTATTTCAAGGTGCATTTAGCACATAGCGAACCAGAGTTACAGAGCAGGAGGGGAGTTGAAAATCTTCTAGAATTTCTCTCTCCTCTGTTGTACTAGTAGAGCAAGGCCCAGAGACATTGGTAACTTACCCAACATCTCATAGCTAAATTAGGGGCAGGCCTGTTTTTCAGAAATTGAAGTACTATCATTTTTCATTTCAGTTTCCTTTCCTCTCTTGGTGTTTGGTACAATTTCCTCGGTACCTCCTCTTCTTGTGCCAGACTGACAACAACTTGCACCATATTTTACTCTAGGATTTTCCACGGCTTTTCTGTGACCCCACATCCTTTAGCACTCCTACATTGTGAAAGCTGAACACCATCTGTCATTGATCAGCACACAATGGTCCCTCAAGAGCTTGGTAAATGTCTTTTCTGTAAAGCATCCTTCTCCTTTATGCATAATGCAATGTTATAATTTAACTTTCAAGATCCACTCAGGGTAGAAGGGATGATAAGACAGGTCCATACATAAACATTCTCCCCACTGGACAGTATGACTATAAGTATACCACAATGTGCTCTTCTTGAGCTAACAACACATTACCTAATGATCTTCCACTTCCAGGCTTTTAAGAGCTCTTCTCCCAGAAAGAAAAGATAATGCATTGGTTTCTACATCGTTTCTTTAAATTATGGGCAGAAGCTACTATTCTAAAAAGATTAGCTAGTTAACACAAGCTAATTCAGGTGGGAAATCTCCATTGCTTTCCTGATGATTTTCCCGAAGTCTATAAGGTAGAGTCATAAACTACAGCAGGTTTTACTAATAACAGCTAACCAGAAGGACAAGCTATTTGGAAATTAGGTCACATCTTAGGGCTTTCTGCCAAACTCACACACAGGAATAGTAACATCTTTGCCAGAATATCTCTGAACACAAAGAACAATGATAGATAATGTTGTTCTGCTGGGAATGCTGAACGGCTGGATTCCTTGTGTGTAGGGTGTCTTGGAGTAAGTTTCCTGACCAAAAGAAAAAGGTTGAGGGGAATGCTTTCAGTATCTGCATTTCCAAAATAGACTTTTCTATACCACTTTTACTATATTTTACATTTCCTGCACCTAAAATGCCTGGTATGGAGTAGGGGATTCAAATGTACAGAACAGAGGAATGAATGATTGATTTTCTTTCCCTTCTTCTATTATCCCATTCACGTACTGCCTCAGAGATACACATAAAAATGAACAAGCTTTATCAGTGAAGAGCTCAGACTCTCCTTTTTGGTTCTATTGCTGGTGTTTGTGGGACATTTGTTCAGGGCTCTGTGTCATCAAGTGGCCTTTGAGTGCCTAGCACTCTGCCCTTGTCTCACACCTGTCCTTTCTACCTTGAAGAGGAATTCTGTCAGGGAAAAGAGTTTAAAGTCCTGCCACAGGTAGCACCTGGGAGCCTGTTGAAAATGTAAAATCTGAGACCCCACCCCAGAATCAGAATCCACATTTTAAGGGGCTCCCCAGGAGAGTTTGAAAAGCGCTAGGTTAAGCCTGCTTAAAAGTGGATCCTCCAAACACTGCTGCCTGCTAGTCTCTGAAGATGTACAGCCTAAGATTGTATCCCAGGTTGACAATGGTTTTTAGAAAGGGAAGAAAGACAAGAAGCCCACCAGACTTTGGAAGTTTGCAAATTAACAGTAGTCCTTAGATTCATGGCAAAGGACAGAGCATCTGCTTCAGGGGACAGAGGTACACTGTTGGCACAGGCAGGCAATCGAAATTCGCTTCTGTACATCTTCGCAAGACTTTGAAACTATCCAGGGCCCCTTCTTGTTTTTCTTCTGTGTGTTTCATAAAAACTGTTGCCAAAGCATTTCAAAACCTGAAATTACAACTGATTGCCTAGTTGCTTATTAAAAGAATAAAGCTCCGTGGAGTGTGCAAATTCCCATTTCAGAAGAAATCAATAGAAATTGCTAATCTGTCAGTGATAAATGATTGTATGTATTGATTTTGGGGCTCTTAGCATCAGCGAGGAAAAGGCTGATCATTCCGGAATGTGTGTGCACTTACAGCATAGCCCCAGGGAGCAGAGAGCTTGCCTGTTAGCCCAGAATATGTTATAAACAAATTATAGGCAAAAAAATTCCTTTACTGTGGTAGAATTCTCGGTTTCAGCTCTCTTTAGCATTTACAAGGCAAACAATACCAGGGATGGAACAAACATTTAACAGCCATCTGCTTTGTATGCAGAATTAGATAGACAGAGTCACATGCAGTGTGACACTTTAATCTTTCTTTTAAAATACTGCCAGCAGCATTGTTCAATGAAACCCTGTCCTTCAATGCAAACTCTAAAAAACATGCCATAACTATTCTACTGGTTATGTCATAAGAGACTGCCACATAACTGATAAAGGATGAGAGAAACCACTGGAAGCATCTATATGTCCCTTTGTAGATGGAATTTGTTCATGGGGCTTCCACTGTCTGCATGCTTCCCTCACACATCTCCACTGGTTAAAATCTTGTTTATTCTTCCTAGCTGTCTATGGAACCTTCCCAGAGCCTACAAACTAGACTTCTCTTTGCTTCCTCTGTGTTCTCTGTGTTCTTATAGCAAGTTATGTGATCTTCTAGTACACCACAGGACTCTTTCTACCTTACAGTCTAGCTGCTTGGCATGCTTCATCACTATTGCTACACTGTTTGCTTCTTTAGAGCTGCACCCTTATTAATCTGTGTGGCTTTCCATCTAGCACAATGCTTGGGATATTGTGTGCCGTCCATTAGTAGTGATTGATTTGAACAACTGAGGATTTATTGTGTTCTCATTATCCAGTATTTCATATCCCAGTTCAACCAAAGAGCAATCAATATGGAAAAGCAAATATTAGGGGAAAGGCAATGGGACTCCACTAAGGTCTTAATTCTCTTTGTTAGCCAGTCAACAAACAAAATTAGCACCTATCATGTACTTGGAAAGAGGAAATTACAAAATGAGGAAGAGGAAGTTCCAATCAGATTATGAAGTAAAAATTGGGGGGTGGGAGCAAGTACAAAGCAAAAACACGAAGCAGGCAGAGTTTCATCCATCATCTTTCTACACCATCTGTCCTCCTCCCTCTGATTTCCTGCTGTCTGCAGTTTCTTTGTTCCTTTCCCATGTCCCTGTATGTGCATCTAGTATAGCTCTTATCATGCTAACTGGTAATTAAGTCAGGAGATTAAGTTTGAGCCTAGGCCATACTTGGGGTTCAAGTATGTCTGTTTCCCAGCAGTTACTCAAAGACCAAAACTGTTCTTACAAAAAGGAGCTGATGCAGAATTTGAAAAGGGCTATGATCATCAAGGATTTTGGAAGAAGAGGGGCCCAGATACCTTTGCATTGGGACGCAGAAAACAAAATGTTGCAATGAGCAAGGGGAGAGTCATTCTCCCCATTTCTGCGTAGAAGATAACTGGGTCACAGTGAAATGTGGATTGAAGGACTAACCCTATTTTGACATTTGTTCATTCAACGTTCACATATGTATTGAGCAGCTAGTAAGTGTCGGGCACTCTTCTAGGTCTGATGAAGACATGAAGAAAATGGACAAAACTTCTGCCCTCATGGGGTGTGTTGCTGCTGTGTGATGACCAGGGACCACTATCTGTAGCAGAGTATTTATGTTCTTTTAACCCCTCACTCCAAAAGAGGGGGCAGCTTGCTGAGCTTCAGTAGAAAATGTCTGTTACTCTGCTGTCCCTATTTTCTTCCTGTCTTTTGGCTCCACATTTGCTCACTGGGTTAAACTAGCCTCTTCCTTTTTACAGCAGATCAGTTTAGAAAACAGTAAGCATTCTCTACGATAAGCTATTCGAGAGACACTGGCTGCCAGTCAGGCTGCCTACTGCAGCGATTTCTCCCCTGTAAAATGTTTTCTAGAATTTTTTGAAAAGCTTTAAACTAGTATAATAAGTAGTATTTTTTCTTCCATCATTTAATAAAAGTTTTAAAAGTAAAAAAAAAAAAAAAGATGAGGAAGAAGTACCAGATACCTGGAATCCTTGAGGCTTGAAAGCAGCAGCTATGAACAGGGGAGAGCTGAACTAGAGAAGCCTCAGGGGTCAGTGTGGGAGTCTCTGTGAAAAGGCTGGCAGGAAGCTAAGTTCCTATATACGTAAGTGGGCCAAAGCCTGTGAAATCTGGGTTATTTTTCTTATGAGGACCATATTTGCACTCATAGACTGGTGAAGCCTGGACAAATTTAGGTTATATTATAACTTATTTTGTTATTTTCTCCCGTATTAAAATATGAACACATTGATGATAAGGACTTTATCTTGCCAGCATCTTGAAGGGTGACTGGCATAGCTAGGTGCCTATGAATTATGTGAGAAAGGAAGGAAGGGAAAATATTCAATGATTTATAAATATTAAGATAGATCTATTTTTTAGGCTGGGTGCGGTGGCTCACGCCTATAATTCTAGCACTTTGGGAGGCCGAGGTGGGTGGATCACCTGAGGTAGGGAGTTCGAGACCAGCCTGACAAACATGGAGAAACCCATCTCTACTAAAAATACAAAATTAGCTGGGTGTGGTGGCACATGCCTGTAATCCCAGCTACTCAGGAGGCTGAGGCAGGAGACTCGCTTGAACTCAGGAGGCGAAGGTTGCAGTGAGCCGAGATCGCACCATTGCACTGCAGCCTGGGCAACAAGAATGAAACTCCGTCTCAAAAAAAAAAAAAAAAGAGAGATCTATTTTTTTTTTTTTTGAAATGGTAGGACTCTATCCAGAGCCAAGCCTGATGACGATGTGATATATCTTTATCAATATCAGATGTTAAAATAAAGTGAGGAGATTGGAGGAATTCTAAAGATATTTTGAGAAATGGCAGCATTACTGGGATATGAGTCCCAGTTGTGACTTCATTTCACAAAACACATTGGATTTCTGAACTGTGGCATGTATGCTAAAATCTTTCTGGTATGTTATGCTCACACCTCATCCTGTCAAGTGGTAGCTTGTGTTTTTGATCATAAGGTCTGCAGAGATTCATTATCGGGAAAAGTTTTCACATACCCATTTTGTTATTGTTGTTGTTGAGACAGGGTCTCACTCTGTTGCCCAGGCTGGAGTGCAGTGACACAATCATGGCTCACTGTAGCCTCCAACTCCTGTGCTCAAGTGATCCTCGTGTGTCAGCCTCCTGAAAAGCTGGGACTACAGGTGTGTACCATCATGCCTAGGTAATTAAAAAAAATTTTTTTTTTGTAGAGATGGGGTTTCACTGTGTTGTTCAGGCTGGTCTCAAACTCCTGGCCTTAAGTCATCTTTCCACCTCAGCCTCCCAGAGTTCTGGGATCATAGGTGTGAGCCACCACACCTGGCCCAGATACCCGTTTTTAAAAAGAATCAGTAATGCCATCCTGGCCTTGAAATTACTGAACTAAAGAAATGGAGAACCCAAAAGAAGAAAGATATAAAACTGATCAGCATTTTAACCAAAAAAATAAGTGAAATGATTAAAGTAGTACCCAAAAAGAAAATCTAAAAAGAACAGGGAAGGATGCCTTTGTTTAAAAATAACAGAAATAAACTCTGACTAGTTTAACTAACAAAGAGGACTTGTTGGAGGGATAACAGCAGAGTGATATTTAGCTGATTCACCCCAGCATGGTTATCCTACATGTTTATGGTTGGTTGGTGTTTATGCTCTACTCTTTGTTAAATATCTTGCCCAGCAGCCGTGAACACTGGAGTTCCTCATATACTCTAAGAGCTAGATGCAGCCGGACCCCGAAAATGAGCAAGAACCAGTGTATCGTATCTGCTAGTTTTGGCAACAAGTCATGAAAACTCAGACTTAAACTGGCTTATAACACGGGTTGGCAAATGATAGCCTGTAGATTAGCTACTTGTTTTACTGGGACACATTCACATCCATTCATATATGTATTGTCTAGTACTGCTTTAGAGCAAAACAGAGGACTTGACTAGTTGTGACAAAGACCTTACGGCCAGCAATCTTAAAATATTTACTCTCTGGCCCTTACAGATAAAGTTTGGCGACCCCTGGCTTCTATAATGGGTCATTTACTATCTAATATATTGGCTTGAGTGCCAAGGTGGACTCAAAACTGCCATCAGAGGTCCAGGCTTTTTAGAATTCTTGCTGCCATCTTCAGTGTTGCCCTCAAACAAGCATGGTCACGTTCATGATGGCAAGAAAGCTGACAATGGCAATCAGAACTATGCACTTCCTTGTTCACGTCCAGCATAAGACTAATTTCTCCCCTAGGAATGGAATACAAATCTTCAATCAGATGATTGGGCCAATTTAGGTCACATGTCCATCACTGGATCAATACAGTTGCCAGGGCATTGCCATGCACATAGTGTCTTGGACCAGTCTGCAACCCTCTCTAAGGATGGATGGATCCAGAAAAACATCAACATTAAGAAATGAAGAGTGGGCCGGGCATGGTGGCTCACACCTGGAATCCCAGCACTTTGGGAGGCTGAGACAGGCAGATCACTTGAGACCAGGAGTTTGAGATCAGCCTGGCCAACATGGTGAAACCCCGTCTCTACTAAAAATACAAAAATTAGCTGGGTATGGTGGTGCACATTTGTAATCTCAGCTACTTGGGAGGCTGAGGAAGGAGAGTGGCTTGAACCTGGGAGGCAGAGGTTGCAGTGAGCCGAGAGCATGCCATTGCATTCCAGCCTGGGTGACAGAGCGAGACTCTGCCTCAAAAAAGAAATGAAGAGTGATTGTTAAGTTAAGTGAGCAACAGTTCCCACACAACCAGGCACTGGAGGACTATGGAGGAACCTAGGAATGGTTTCTCTCTTCTGTCTCTAAATCTTTGCTTCTCTCTTCGACTCTGATTCATTTTTTTTTTTTATATCACAACCTGGTTTCTGCTACTTCTCCCAACATGGTGGCAAATACAGCTACCAATAGCTCAGATATTTACTATTACAGTCTTACGGCTCAAAAAAACTAAGCTCTCTTTTTCTCCGTCTTATTTTCAAGTACCTGGGGAAAGATTTTGACTGGCCCAGCCAGGGTCAAGATTATCCTTTAACCAAAAATGGGGTCATGTTCTTGAGTTTGGAAACTCCCACTATAACCACCTAGACACTAGTACAGAGTCAGTTAATTCTGAAAAAGAGTGTTGGCAGATAAGCCAATAGGTGTCTGCTACAGTATGTTGGTTTCTTCATGTCAGATAAAATCTATCTTTTCCATTATTCGTGATTGTATACATTAAGATTATTTTTCATTTTGAGAAACATAGACACAAAAGAACAGTCATTTAAACAAGACAGTTTATCTTTCATACAAAGCTGCAGAGGTAGACAAGCTTATTACATTTCTGTCCACTCATCTGCACTGTTACCCTTGTCTTCATGGTCCAAGATGGCAGCCAGAGCTCCTGCTTGCATGTCCATATTGGAGGCAACAGGACAGAGAAGTTGCCATATACTTCCATTAGTACTTTGCAAGGGAAATTGGAAAACAGCTGCTTTTTTTTTTTCTGAACAGCTACATGCCTAGCTTAAAACTCAGGGGTTCGGCCGGGCACAGTGGCTCACGCCTGTAATCCCAGCACTTTGGGAGGCCGAGGCGGGCAGATCACGAGGTCAGGAGATCGAGACCATCCTGGCTAACATGGTGAAACCCCATCCCTACTAAAAATACAAAAAATTAGCTGGGCCTGGTGGCGGGCACCTGTAGTCCCAGCTACTCAGGAGGCTGAGGCAGGAGAATGGCGTGAACCCAGGAGGCGGAGCTTGCAGTGAACCGAGATAGCGCCACTGCACTCCAGCCTGGGCGACAGAGCGAGACTCCGTCTCGACAAAAAAAAAGAAAAAAATCAGGGGTTCTATCACTATGGAAGAAAAGAACACATATTAGGGGACCAATAGCAGTCTCTGCATTTTGATTGTTCATTTTTAGAATACATAAGGCTCTTAAGCTAGAATAGTTTCTTATTTATTTTTAATTGACAAAAATTGTGTATATTTATGGGGTACAATGTGATTGTTTGATCTATGAATACATTGTAGAAAGAGTCAATCAAGCTAATTAACATATCCATCACCTCATCAACTTACCAATTTTTTTGTGGTGAGGATGTTAGAAAGCTATTCTTTTAGCAATTTTGAAATATACAATACATTGCACTGAATGGTGACCACAGTTAAAAGAGTTTCTTTTTAATACAGAAAGAAAAAGAGTAGTCATCATCAAGTAACAGAGTTTAAAAATACAACTCATGTTTTATACCCACATAATTGAAATTGAAATACATTAAAGTAACAGAAAAAATATACAAAACACTGCCATTGTTTACTTATGTCATGTGTGGCCTTCAAATAAAGGCAATTTTGTGTCATAGTGAGGAGCTATCTGCCAGACAGTGACAACCAGTTCATGTCACTTTTGACAAAACTCTGTGTAAATTCTGTAGGTTTGTGGTATAAAAGGAGACAGATTAACATTCCTTTAATTCAGTCTCAGTCTTAGAAACATGAAATGCTGAAAAGTTATTTTTTAAGCCCAGGAATCTTCTCCCACCCATTAAGCTATCAAAATGGAAATGTCCAAAATGACCAGGTGTGTTTGCTCAACGAAAAAAAAAAGTGTTTCAGTTCTGCTTACTGCAATGACAGCTTGTAAAGCCTTCATCAAAGGAGGCTTTACAAGTTACAAAGCAAGCCTTTGTAACTTGCTTTTTCAAATTATGATTAATGGGCCTACTCTTTTCACAGCCAGTTTCCGATGGAAAGAAGATTCAAGTAATATTCTCCATGCTACTGTGGTCTGTTCTTAGTGGTGACTACTACAAGCCTGACTCAGTCAATTTAGATTTAGAAAAAATAATAAAGCTCCAGTCTCATGCCTGTGAATGAATGGGGAGTAGAGAAAGGGATTTTTTTTAGTACCTGAAAAGTTCCAGCAAAACTAAGCTTCATTGCTGAGGGTGTGTCAGCTGTTCAGGGCAACACCCTTCCTGCAGTTCGGGAGTACAAGAGCACAGACGTCAAGTATTATTTGGTGACAAGAATAGAACATTATTCTGAGCAAAAAAGTGTTATTCAAATTCTACCAAAGCACACAGATGCTGTGACATGGTAATTATTCTAAGAGTGATTAATTTAGAAATTACCTAACCTTTTTGGTTTCTATTTTCGATGACATTTGTAATCTAAATGAGCAACAAACCTGTGCCTCTCCAGCTTTTACATCAAACTCCAAACCTGATTTCCACTTTTATTTTAGGATCAGCAACTCATTTATTAGCGTCAGTCTGTATCTCAGAGATATAAGGCCATTCTAGGGCCAGGTGATCTGCAGACAAGGAATGGAGAAGTAAGAGAAATTACTGCTATCGTTTTCGAGCAAAGCAGGAGAGTAACACATCACCATTTGACTGTCCCCTTCCTCTCCCGTGCTGCCCCTAGAGATCTGAGCAGAAGAGGAGGTCATAGAATGGCTGATCTTTGCTGAGGGTTGGGACTTTGGCCTCTTCTTGTGAATCAACAAAATAATCAATCCAGCATTGGTTGTACTTAATTAAGTTTTAGATCCTCAGCAGATCTGCTTATTAATCCATTCTTTTGCAATAATTTTTCTAGCATCTGCCTCTACTGGGCTCTGTGTTAAACTACGGGTATACACAGAATCATCAGAAAGGGGCCCCATTCTCAAAGAACTTACCATCCAGTGATACTGGTATTAGTTTCAGTTATAGGAATAAGCAGCATGCATTTAGGAAATGACTGACAGGAAATATGTACAAATGATCATAATGGTTAGATGAAATTATGGGTAATTTTTAAAACTTCCCCAAATTCCTACAATGTTATCATATTCCTATAATTATATTCATCTAATGGTTTGAATTTAAAAATACAACAGTAATCTCAAGCCCTAGTATTGAAATTGAGTGATGAATTTTTATTTCTTCAAATAAAACTACTTTAAGTAATATAACCTCCATTATAAATTGTAAAAGTTACTTTTTATAAACAGACGTCAACTATTTAATCATAACACAGATTCTATCTATCATAGCATAACACAGTTATTACAGCAAATCCACTTAAGTCTTCCTGGGACAAGGGAAAAGGGCATAGGTGAAAACCACAGAATAAAATATCTTGGACTATTTTAGGCCTTCCAATGAGGGCAGTGAGATGAATGGCCCTTTTTAACCTCTATACAAACCATGTTGTCATTTACCATGCACCTATGATGTAGTGGCTAGGCTTACCAGAAAACACTCTTAAGCAGCCTCAGAAATGTTGAGTCATTCGTACATGTAATCTACCTCATAATACTGAGAAAAGTACTTGAAATGTCTCAAAAAGAGAAGCATTAGTACAAACTTGTAACAGCTACAGTGGTCATCAGACCCGGACCAACTGTAGTCAATGGTTTTACCCACAAGCCAACTTGTGAGTCAGAATCCCACTTGTTTTCAGCTGAAAACACAGGTGATAGGAATTCAAGCCCTCTACCCAGTGCTATGAACACTGTGAGTACTCTCCAGATGGGAGCTATGGGTATTGTCCTTCAAAGATACAGAATAAATGTTGAGGTGTCGTTTTGACCATGAAACCTGATCAGTTCTATGCTTTAGCTACATGCCTTTCTGATGCCTTCAGAGTACAAATACCCAGATGGTTTGAGTATTTAAAAGGAGGCTTATCAAAAAAAAAAAAAAAAAAAAAAAGAAGGGTTGAAAAGAAAAGGCACTTATTGAGTTCTTCAAAAACAACAGTTGAAGTGAATAAACTGTCATGGGTGCTTTTAATATGTAAATTTGCAAAGTCATATGCTTATTTCTGTTATCAGGAAGTAAGTGAAAAAATTCCTTTTAAATTCACTGAATCAACACAGATATGATGTGTTTTGTTTTGTTTTTTTTTGGGGGGAGTGCGGTTTTTTTGACACAAGTTCTTGCTGTTGCTCAGGCTGGAGTACAGTGACACAATCATAGTTCCCTCTAACCACAAACTCCTGGGCTTAAGCAATCCTACCACCTCAGCCTCTCAAGTAGCTAAGACTACAATGCTATGCCACAAAGCCCAGCTAACTTTTGTATTTTAATTTATTTTATTTTAATTTAATTTTATTTTTTGGTAGAGATGAGGTCTCACTATGTTGCCCAGGCTGGTCTCAAATTCCTGGACTCAAGCAATCTTCCTGTCTCGGGCTCCCAAAGCACAGGGATTATAGGCATGAGCCCGCATGCTGGGCCCACAGATATGATTTTTATAGACTTTTCTCATTTTTGTCGTTCCTGTCTCTGAAGTTCTGAACTTTCATTTATTCAAGCATATTTACTGATTTCCTACCATGTGGCAGACATTGATCTGGTGCTTAGAATACATCAGTGAACAACAACAACAAAAGATCTCTGTCTTTATAGAGGTTACATTCTAGGTAGAAGACATAAAACAAACTATAAACACAATAAGTAAGTAATTTCAGTAGGATATTACATGCGATAAATGCTTTGGGAAAAGGAAATGTTAGACCAGGGTAAGGCATCAGGAGTGCCAGCTGTGGAGAGGGAAGGCAAGTTCAGTTTCAGCTAGGCAGCAGGGGAGGCCTTGCTGAGAAGGTGAGAACTGAGTGAACAGGTGATGAGGATGAGGGGTGGGTCATGTGCTGTGGGGGAAAGTATCCCCGTCTGAGGGAACAGACATAGCTGGGGCATTTGAGGAACAGACATAGCTGGAGTGTTTGAGGAACAGTCAGGAGACCAGTGTGGCTGGCATGGAATGAGTGAAGGTGAGGTTAGCAGGAGATGAAGCCAAAGAGGTAATGAAGAGTTGGTCATCTGAGTGGTGTAGGCCTTTGTAAGGACTTGTATTTACTCTGAATGAAAGAGGGCACTATTGTGAGTTTTCCAGCAGAGGCGTGATACGATGAACCTACACATCTGAAGCATCTCTCTGACCAAATCCCACAGTGTGGCAAGGGTAGAAGTGGAGAGACTTGTGAGGAAGTGAATGTGATCATCCAAGAGAGAGATGACAATGGCTTGGAACAGATTGGTAGCAGCGGAGGTAGTGAGAAGTGGTTGGATGTGGGATATATTTTGAAGAGGAAGCCAACAAGATTCGGATGTGAAAAAAGAAAAAAAGAAAGAGGAGTCCAGAAAGACTCGAAAGGTTTTGAATAGAGTCACCATCGACGGATGGGGTGCAGACTGGGAGTGGAGCCAACTTCAAAGGGAAGAACAGAAGTCCAAGTTTGGACTTGTTAAGTTTGATATATGAAGCAGGCAGCTGGATAAAGCTCTGGAGTTCAGGAGAGAAATCTGAGCTGGAGGTGCACATTTGGCAGCTTCTGATGATATTTAAGGCTATGAAACCAGGTGAGATCACCAAGAAGGTGAGTAAGGAAGAGAACAGGACTAAGATTATGAGGTCAGAGGGAAAAGGCGGGACCAGCAAAGGAGTCTCAGAAGGAAGTGAGGAGGAGGAAAATAAAGAAAGGGTGTGTGCTGGAAGCCAAGTAAAGAAGCTGTTTCAGAGACAAGTCAGTCATCACTGTGTCGGATGCTACTGACACACACCTCAGATGTTGCCTGAGAAGCGAGCAATGGGCTTAGAAAAGTGTAGGTCAGGCCAGGCACAGTGGCTCACACCTGAACTCCCAGCCCTTTGGGAGGCCAAGGTAGGCAGATTGCTTGAGGCCAGGAGTTTGAGACCAGCCTGGCCAATATGGTGAAACCCTGTCTACAAAAACATACAAAAATTAGCTGGGCGTGGTGGCGCATGCCTGTAATCCGAGCTTCTTGGGAGGCTGAGGCAGGAGAATCACCTGAACCCGGGAGGTGGAAGTTGCAGTGAGCCGAGATCGTGCCACTGCAGTCCAGCCTGGGTGACAGAATGAGAATCTGTCTCAAAAAAACAAAAGAAAAGTGTAAGTCATTGGTGACTTTGAAAAGACAAGCTTCAGTAGAGGATTCATGGGAGAAAAACTTGTCTGAAGAAAGATTAAGAGGTGATAAAAAGAGAGAAATTAGAGGCAGCAAATATCGATAACCATTTAGAAAAATTCTGCTTTCAAAAGGAGATGCAAAGAATTGGGGCTGTAGCCCCATTTTTCTTAAGTGTTTTTGTTAGGCATTAGTATGTAAAATTAATACTTGCTAAATGAATGTCCTATTTTTTCAGACAGGCAAACATGTCTAATAAGTGTCTACTAAATACTATGTAATTACTAGAACATTATTGGAAAATTAACAATTTACAATGGAATTAACAAACTATGAATTTTCTTTTCTGTACAAGGTCTTTTTAGAGATTATAATATCATCTCCATTATAGAAGAAACTGTGCAGGCCAGACACAGTGGCTCACGCCTGTAATCCCAACACTTTGGGAGGCCGAGGAGGGCAGATCACTTGAGGTCAGGAGTTTGAGACCAGCCTGGCCAACATGGTGAAACCTTGTCTCTACTAAAAACACAAAAATTAGCCAGGCGTCTTGGCATGCGCCTGTAATCCCAGCTACTCGGGAGGCTGAGTCAGGAGAATCGCTTGAACCTGGAAGGTGGAGGTTGCAGTGAGCTGAGAATGCCACTGGACTCCAGCCTGGGTGACAGATCGAGATTTCATCTCGGAAAAAAAGAAAGAAGAAAGAAAAGAAGAGAGAGAGAGAGAAAGAAAGAAAAAGAAAGAAAGAAGAAAAAGAAAGAAGGAAGGAAGGAAAGAAAAAGAAAGAAAGAAAGAAAGAACGAAAGAAAGAAAGAAAGAAAGAAAGAAAGAAAGAAAGAAAGAAAGAAAGAAAGAAAGAAAGAAAGAGAAAGAAAGAAAAGAGCAAAAGAGGCCTTCTCAAATTGATATATGTTTTAGGATCTTCACTCCCATCCTTCTCAAAATGCTACCATTTATCTCAGCAAGAGCACCTTGTGAAGCATAAGCACAGCAACCTTTGCCACTTATACCCAAGACCTTGCAGCTCTTAGCATCCAATGTCTTACTTCCAATAATACTGTACGATGGGGAAAGGCAGTGAGTTGGTATGTGGGTGCTGTGGGTGTGAGGAAGATAAAGACAGAGGAGGAAGCATGTCTTAAAAGTCAGATATAACTCCAGTGACTAATTTTGACTGTAATTTTGGTGTTTTGTGCTAATAACAAAGGCTAACTTCAAACCCAAAGGTGCATGTGTGTTTGTTTGTTTTTAAGACTTTTCTTTTTTGGAGAGGTGAGAACAGCAGGAATTTTTTGCTATTTTGCTCTTTATTCAAACTATACCTAAGCCATATCATGGTATCTAAATCACTGGTAATATCCTGAAACTTGCATTTTAAAAATCTGATTTAATTTAAATAGCTCTGAAAATATCCTCCAAAAGAGATAACATTTATTGCACCCACAATCATAGTAAAGATCATCTCTAAGTAAAAAGAACATGTTCTATCTTATGCCTTTCACTGACACAGATCATTCCTCACCTAGCTGTATAAGTAGTTTCCTTGTGCAAGAATAAATGTTGAAATTATGTTTAATATACTATGGAAAAGAATGTATTGCTAATCTCTGTGTGAAACTTATGTCTGTGTTAGCAACATTCCAATTGTAATATAATATAGCAGAATGGTTAAGAACACTAGTTTTGAGACCTGCAATGACAGTGATGGCCCAGGAAGTGCCGATGAAGGGGGAGGCATGCCCTCCTGAGTTCATCTGGGCACTGGAGAGACAGGTACTGCGCAGGGTTGGGTCTAGGATGTGGCAGAAAGACAGAACATGAGGAGGATGCAGGGCCTCCTGCTCCCATGCAGCGCTGGCTACCATGGGGGCAACAATGCCTCCATGCAGCAGAAAAAGTACTGCAGGGAAAGCTGCATCCTCAGGCCCTGGTGACCTGCAAGTTGGAGAAGTTCCAGGACCAAACAACCCAATGCACCTGCAACAACACAGTCAAAGAGTTGATGGATACGGGGAGCAAGAGTGTGGATGAGCACATAAACCATATCTATGATCAAAAATATAAAGGGTTCCCTCTCATCCACTGGAAAATAAGGATCTTTGCCCATGACCATCAGGGTTAAGAACAAGAACTATTTAAAAGAATGAAATATTTTGTCTTTTAAGAAAAATTAAGGAATGAAGCAATCAAGAATTGTATTAAGTTCAAATAATACGTTAACTTGCCACTGGACATTTGGCTCCATCTTACATTTTGATCCATAGGAATAGAAATTGAAGAAAGTGATGATAAATTTTGGGTCAGAGCCTGGGCACAGTGGCTCACACCTATAATTCCAGCAATTTGGGAGGCCCAGGCAGGCAGATCACTTGAGGTCTGGAGTTCGAGACCAGCCTGGACAATATGGTGAAACCTGACTCTACTAAAAATAGAAAAATTAGCTGGGCATGGTGGCGGGTGCCTGTAGTCCCAGCTACTCAAGAGGCTGAGGCAGGAAACTCGCTTGAACCCCGGAGGCAGAGGTTGAAGTGAGCCAAGATGGTGCCACTGCACTTCAGCCTGGGCGATGGAGTGAAAGTCTGTCTCTAATAAATAAATAAATAAATAAATTTTGAGTCAGTAGTAGTGCAAGATTTTTCTAGAGCCAGATTTCATGCAGTAAGAGCTTATTTTAGCAGTATGGGTTTCCCCTGTCACACCAAGCCAGAGCCCTCTGAACCAGTTGTTCTTGGTACACAGGTAGCAATGAACTAGAAAATTCCCCTAATCTACCTGTGGTCTGATAGAATTTGAAGAGGGTAATTCTGTTTGTTGCCAAACTCCCATATACCAGGATGTGCCACCACACCATTTTCCATAGGCCATGAAGAAACCTACATGATGTCATTTCTAATTTGAAAAGAAAAAATATTTTCAGAGTATTTTTGTATGGTTTGGTTTGATTTTTATGTTTGTTATGGTTTGAACGTGTCCCATAAAGTTCATGTGTTGGAAACTTAATCCCCTACCCAACAGCATTGAGGAGTGAGATCTTTAAGAGATGACTTTAAGAGACAGGCCCCCTTCCTCACCCTCTCTCCTTCTCACACTGTCTTGCTCTTCTGCCTTCTGCTATAGGATAACACAAAACACAGGCTCTTGCCCGGTGCAGGCCCCTGACCCTGTACTTCCCAGCCTCCAGAACTGAAAGAAACCTGTTCTTTATAAAATACCCAGTCTCAGGTATTCTGTTATAGCAGCACAAAATGAACAGGGACAACATTCAAGGGATTGAAATTGATTAAGATGTGGCACTTGGAGAGAAGGGTAACGATTAGAACTTGGACAGACTCCTGATAGAAGTGCCTTTCTTTCCACCAAGACACAGCTGTGCTTTTCTCGAGGTTCTTGCACATTACATCTTTCAGCCTGGACCCCATGTGATACATGAGAGGCATACATCATAGTGGGCATGGGAAGCAGAACTTTTCTCTTACCTCCATGATGGACCCTGGTGCTTCCTTCCCCTGCTCTTCTGCAGGAGAATAGTGGGAAAGGCAGTGATGCTCTGCTTTGAAGGGAAAAGGGATTTTGATTATAATGTGTACCAGTGACTGGGCACAAACACTGAAAGACAGATTCTTGGCTGCTTAATTATGAAGTGTTGTAAAGTACTAGATTTGGGAAGACTTGTTTTTTTCTCAAGCACAATGGGATGAAAGCCTAAACCTGGCGTTGCTTGTTTAGCCCTCTCTAGTTGCAGAGCCACCACTAAGAAGATGCCTTGGAAACAGTGAAGATAAGAAAACCATGTCCCCTTTAGCACAAAAGAGGATCGGTGCCCCCTTTTCCAAATACCACTTTTGGTCAAGCCAGGGTCCTCTGGGTCGCGCCACGTTCCTTCCCTGGCCTGGGCATTGTGCTGATTAGAATCTTGCTCTCTTTCTACCACCTGATTATTTGAAATGATAACAGCCTGTATATTTGCAACTTCAAGGCTAGGATATAGTTTCCTAGTGATTAAAAAATAAATAAGATTTACTCCACTCACCCACCCCTGGCCATAATAAAGCTACAGCTATGAATCAGACCCACCAATATTTGAATCTCAACCCCTTGACTTACTAGTTAGGTAGTTTGGGCCATTTTTTGTTTGTTTGTTTGTTTGTTTGTTTTTTCAAGACGGAGTCTCACTCTGTCACCCAGGCTGGAGTGCAGTGGCGTGATCTCGGCTCACTGCAAGCTCCACCTCCCAGGTTCACGCCATTCTCCTGCCTCAGCCTCACGGGTAGCTGGGACTACAGGCGCCCGCCACCACGCCCGGCTAATTTTTTGTATTTTTAGTAGAGACGGGGTTTCACTGTGTTAGCCAGGAAGGTCTCGATCTCCTGACCTCGTGATCCGCCCGCCTCGGCCTCCCAAAGTGCTGGGATTATAGGCGTGAGCCACCGCGCCCGGCCGGTAGGTTTGGGCCATTTTAACCTTCCAGGGCCTTGGTCTTCTCACTGTTTTTGTTTTGTTTTGTTTTAAACGGAATCATTTTGCCTACCTTCATGGGTGAGGATCAAGTTAAGTCAATGCAGGTAAACTATTAGGCAACTAGTCAACTCTCAACATTTGGTGGTTATCAGAGTTCACTATGTGGATGAAGACAATACAGCTAGGAGCCCTCCTAGACAAACCCTGGAGAGGAAGAGCTGCTGCAAAGTGTGCAGGAAGCAGGGGGCACCAATGCAGATTTTGCACCCCCTTTCCTCAGGAACTCCCAGGAACAGCCAGGTCACTCCCCAAGCTGCTTCCAGCACCCCCTCGTGTATGCTGATCACTCCTCCAGTGGAAGTGAAAATATTTAATACTTGGAGAACTTTGCAAAGGTCAACTGTGGCTAATAATCCATCCCCCAAGAACCTCATACCACAAGAACACAGACACACGTGCACACATGCATGCACAGACACTCATCTGGCTTAAGAGCATCAAGAGTCAAGGAGGTAGAGCAATTCCAGAACATTATTTTCTCTAGATGTCAACTTCCACAGAGCAGGGCCAGAGAGATTCTGGGACCTGTCCCCAGGGGAATTATTTCTAATACCCTTGATAAAATGTACAAAGCTAGGGTAGGAAGTAGCAAGGTGACAGCAGTGGTTAGGTGGAAAGTTTCTCTAAGAGAAAGAACTAATGAATTCGTTCAATTGAAGCTTTTTAAATATATTTATTCCTGTCACCTTTCAAGTCAGCAGCTTTTTCCAGGTGACATGGCAAAAGGGCCTGGCAAGTGCACAGGGTTAAGCCAAGGACTATCAATACTGCTCCCTAAAATATTTTCACCTCTGGTTTTGGGGATCTGCTTCTTCTCGGGGTCTCTCCTGCTGCTTTCCTGGTAATAGCACCTAAGAGACCCATGAAACAAATCCCCAGTTCAATACAAATTTATAGCTGAGTAAATATGAGCATAGGCTTTAGGAATCCACAGAATTGGAGCTTTGCTTAATACCAGCCGGGAAAATGTGGTTGTCAGTTAACCTCTCAGAGCCTCTTCGAGGCTTGGTTCGCTCATCTATTAAATGAGTCTGAATAAGCCCTACTCCTCCAGGTTGTTGCTAGCATCAGACGAGAAATGTATGCAAAGCCCCAGTGCCATGGCTGACACACAGGAAACATTCAACAAGTGGTAGTGCATTTTCACTAAGTAAAAGGAGTAATGATTTCTTTAGTGGTTTCTTTTAACACAGGGGTTTCTATCCATCCCAAATAGAGGATAGATATTCTAATAAAACAATCATTTATGTGATTTGTGATTACACCGTACAACTCAAGTTCCTGTGGAATGTTTAGCGTAATCAATCCGAAGCTCTCAGCAAGCTCCCTGGGCCTGATTTTCAAATCCAATGTTACTGTAGCAAAGAACTAAAGGAGGGGAAGAAAAGCACCACTGTATTAAATACACCCTCCTCCCCTTTTTCCTAAAGGCTGTTTGTCCCCTTCTCTTGATAAATCTTCAGTTCCCAGAGAGCAGAGACTCTTGGGAAACAGGAAGTAGCAAAATGCCAGTGAGAAAATCCCCAGATGAAGAGCAGCAACAAGTCTCCGGGCAACAGTGTGGTCAAAAGGGGGAAATTCCCCCATCAGCGCTCAAAAACAGTCCCTCAGGAAAGCTTAGTGAAGGTTAATTTGGGAAATTCCCTCAGAGGCCATAGAACAGAAACGGAAAACTGCTGTTTAAGAGAAATCTGAACGGAGCAAGCCAGTTCGTGGCTGCCTGGGGTGCTCTCTGCGTGAACCGCGCTGCTGCTCCAGCCTGACTTCCCCCTTTTCATCCTGATCCTGAGGGCAACCCCGAAGGGGTCCAGTTGCCAGAGCCACTTGACACCCACCCTGCCCAGGCTCCCAACCCAGGAGAATTAATGCCGCAACACCCAGCCTCTTGAAACGAGCTGCTGCTAAAGCAGATTTGCCTCCCCGTTAGGACCTCCTGTGACCCACCCTCATTCCTGTCCCCATGGTAGACTAGCAAGCCACAGTCATCATACTGTGAGTGTCCCTCACAGTCACTTGCTATAACAAGTCCATCAGGTTTTACTGGGTTTTAATCTAAATGTGACCTTAGGATGACATTTCTTAGTGCTGCTAAGCTCCAAGAGGCAGGGAGGAATCCTCCCCACAAAGAAGAAGAAAAAAAAAATCACATAAACATTGTCCCATGAAAGGCTTAGAATGGAATATCCTCTGATCAGCTGAAGCAGAGAAAGCATATAAACACTGCTGGAAAGGGGGCTGGGTCAGGGGCAAGTACTGGCTCTACAGAGCCCTGATCTCCAGATGCAAGCGAGGCCCAGTTCCCTGCTGCAACCAGCTCTCCGTGAATCATTTCCATTCCCATAAAACTTCTATTTGCTGTTTTGTTTTGTTTTTTTATGTGTGACTTAAAATGACCATTTCAAGAAGATGACAAAAAGGAGATTTCAGTAGAAGAGAGAGGAAAGTAGACTCCATCATGACAGCCTAAATTTGTTTTACTGTACACTTACGCAAAATAGGTATCAAATTTTGGAAAAGAGATTTTAAAGGAGAAAGTACTCTGGGTTTAAAATTCTATTAAAAAATATGCTCTACTAGAGCGTGTGTGCCTTTTTTATGTAATCAGGACCCACTGCTGTATGAGTCACAATTATAGATTCTACTTTCAAATATTTTTTGACTCCTAGAAAACAGCCCTGACAAAAACCACTTTTCTGATGTCTTCAAACAAACAGGTTCTTATTCACTTTCATTCCTGTGGTTTTGTTAAGATTCTTTTCTCCAAAAATTGTAAAGATTCTCAGCCACCTAGTTTTTCCTATGCTTGAAAAAAAGCAATAAACCTCCTTTTTAGGTTTGCATGTTTCCTAGCAATTAGAATAGTCCTTAAATTCATTTTGTATACACAAATAGTAATTACAATCGTTACATTTAAGCTACTTTCAAAGTCTCCTACACTTGAAAATTCTAGACAGACTGTCAACATACTCTCAAGAAGTATTCTTTCCATTTTTCTTCTGGGAAAATAGCAGGTATTCAATTCTTAATTCCTAACAAGGAATATTTTTTATTTCGGGGAAAATTTTTCACTGGCTTTCAGCGCCACTATAGTTGTGAATGTGAAATCAATTAAACGAATATGTGGGTCAGCAAAAAAAAAAAATCTCTTTAATGCAGGCACAGATGAAACAGATTCCAACATGGGGCTGAGAGTAATAAATAAACTAATAAAAAAAGGAAAGCATGGAGCAACTTTGATAGAAGTAAGCTGTTTGCCTTTGCCCTGGAAAGTTTATAGTGTTTTAAGCAATTGTAAACATGTCAGTATACGTGGATACCGTTTCCATAGCAGCATAGCAACAGTTAGGAGTTTCTCCAAACATATCCAAAGGAAACTAAAAATAGTCTGTCTTCAATATCAAAATACATACGTATACATATTCAGACAACAGTACATAGAATGATGTGTAATGAGAAGTTCTGCAAACACCAACCTTTCACAAAAGTACATTGCGGATAGTTTTAAAAACCATTGAGTTGGGTGTTTTTAGAAATGGAATAGAAACCAGAGTCTGAGGGAAAGCCACATGCCACATTGAGTTCTAAGATCAGAGGTCCTTGACAACAACTGCCTTCAGCCATTGCTTTGGCTGCTCTACCTGACACTGCTTTTGCCCTTAAAGACCTCTGTGCCCTATTCATCTTTGGCCTGTACCAAAACTGGAGTTGAGTATATGATATGATACATACTCTGATCTCCATTTATTGCAGTATTCTCTCATCTTCTTAAGTTTTCTAGCCATTCATTTCTTCCTCCCTATAGAGATTGGACAGCAGCTGCATTTTGTAAAATAATGTAAAACCACAACAAAAATAATGTGAACCAAGTTCACATTTTCCCAATGAACTGACTTAAACTGACGCTCAGTGACAGAAATAGTGATTCCAAAATGAAGACAGAGTGTCAAGTACATTTTTGGTCCTTCGCTGTTTGTACTTTTTATTTATATCCAAGAATTACAAGTATTTTAAAAACATCATCTAGTGGGAAATATTATTACTAGGGTATATATAATTTATCATCTAAAAAGGAACACTTGAGAGTGAAAGGGGTTGCTATTTATACTTACATTGGGAAAACAGGTGTAAACCAAGACTGTCTCAGGAAGGCCCAGATGAATGGTCACACAGTGTTACACATAAGAGTGTAAGTGTCTTGAGGGCAGGAATGTTTTATTTATTTTTGTATCTTCAGAATCTACTGCAGTGCTTGACACCTAGAAAGAATTCAACAAATGCTTTTTAAATGAATAAAATTTATCATTGGATTATGTTTTTGTAAAACTTTGAAAAGTATTTCTTATACATAATACTAAGCTGAACATATTTCTTTTTTTAGGTCCATAGTCCACATGTTAGGGTAAAATAAAATCTTATGTAGCACTACAGGGTGAATCTTCTTCATCATCTGATCTTCTCCCTCAAAGTAAAGAGGATAAAAATGGCAAAGTAAAATATATCCATGAGTCATAAAAAAGATAATTCTATCAGTCTGGGAGGGGTTTATGAAAGCACTAAAGAAAGGTTAGAATATGAATTCAGATAGGAAGCAATTTTATAATCTGATTTCTATGGCTATGATCCTGGTTTTATTTTTCTTTGCCAGGAATTTTGGCCCCTAGGGAGAAATGCAGAAGGAGTAGCAAATGAGCACACTGACTGGAAAGAATGCTATTTGTCTTTCACTATGTGGAGTTCAGAAGAGCACTGGCCATTGGCGAAGTCCCAGAAGTGAAGGTAAGAGCCTCTTCTCTTTCTGCCCCTATCTGCCAGTTTTGCAAGGAGTGCCTTAACACAAATCATTTTTCCATTTGATGGGCCTCTAGTCAGTTCTTGGTTTTGTTCATTTGTTCGTTTGTTTTGTTTTGTTTTTAGATGGAGTCTCACTCTGTTACCCAGGCTGGAGTGCAGTGGCGTGATCTTGGCTCACTGCTACCTCTGCCTCCTGGGTTCAAGTGACTCTCCTGCCTCAGCCTCCCAGGAAGCTGGGATTACAGGTGCTCACCACCACGCCCAGCTAATTTTTTTTTTTTTTTTTTTTTTTTTTTTTTTTTTTTTTTTTGTATTTTTAGTAGAGACAGGATTTCCTCATGTTGGCTAGGCTGGTCTCAAATTTCTGACCTCAAGTGATCCGCCCACCTTGGCCTCCCAAAGTGCTGGGATTACAGACATGAGCCACCACATCCAGCCTAGTTCTTGGTTTTTAAACCACACCAGGCAGGGTGCAGTGGCTCACACCTGTAATCCCAGCTACTCGGGAGGCTGAGGTATGAGAATCCCTTGAACTTGGGACACAGAGGTTGCAGTGAGCCGAGATGGCATCACTGCACTCCAGTCTGCCAGGTACGGTGGCTCATACCTGGAATCCCAGCACTTTGGGAAGCCAAGGCAGGCAGATCACTTGAGGCCAGGAGTTTGAGACCACCCTGGCCAACATACCAAAACCCCATCTCTACAAAAAATACAAAAAAAATAGCTGGGCGTGGTGGAGCATGTCTTTAATCCCAGCTACTTGGGAGGCTGAGGCAGGAGAATCGCTTGAACATGGGAGGTGGAGGTTGCAGTGAGCCGAGATCACGCCACTGCACTCCAGCCTGGGTGACAGAGAGAGATTCTGTCTCAAAAACAAAACAAAACTATAAACCACACCAAAGGATTGCTGGGGGAAGTTATCATTACATTCAAGCAAAGCACTTAGTGATCCTCCTATGAAAAGGTCTTGCTATCAATCTGCTACCCCTTAGTGGAGAGGCAGCAGAGTTTGGGAGATGGTATTACCTGTCCTTATCATCTCAGACTCTGCAGTCATTCTGTTTGTTTGGGTTTGCAGCCAGATTATTCTACAGGATGTTGCCTAGCATATCTGGATCCCAGTTTCTTTATCTTTCAAAGGGGAAAATAATAATAGTATCCCTTCTGGGGTTATTTGTGAGGGTTAAAAGATATCCATGTAAAACACTTGCGACATGAATCTAAGCTATTATTATTGTCTAGCTCTATATTTCTTTGGACATTTAGCAAGAGTACTACTGAAAAAAATATGTAATTAAAGGCAAAATTTGTACTTTCATGTTTCTAATCCAAATCAACCCAAATGTATGTAACCTAAGGCCAGAAGGAATCTGCTAGGCCTTAGGCCACTTAAGGACTAGATCCTATTTTCATCTCTTTCCCAAGAATTTAATTGTTTATTGCTCTCACACCAAGGAGACCTGGCGTTTTATTATTGTTGTTGTTGTTATTCATTAAATTCCATCAAACTCTAGCCAGTTTGTATTCTGGGCCATACCTAGCCACTACATTTTAGGGAAAGCCGAAGGCCTGTCCCAAAAGAATGATATCTCTTCTTTAATACCTAATTTAGAGGCTAGGAACATTCCAGATAAGTGAGTTTATTTACAGAATTATGTAAGGCTTTACATTTAATGAATTTCTGGTGTCTAAGGGTAGGAGCAGGGGGAATAGGCTCTTTATAAATACCAAATCATGCTGTTATCTACAGACTATGTGCCCGTTGGTTAAATAGAGCCAAAGTCTGTTCAGTTTGATAATTACTAAATTTGACATTCATAGAGGTTCTTTTTAATTCTGGGAGTAAGAAAACCACAAACTCATTAAATTATGATATGTTTCAACCCTATTATCCTAATACAATTACCCCACAGACTACATTGCCACAGGAAGTCTTTGGGACAGCTCCTAAGGGTTAGAAAGTCTCAGTAAAAGGGATTTGATTCACCTAAAAGCCACCACCGTGTGTGTGTGGTTTTTTTCTTTTTTTGACAAGGTCTTGCTCTGTCACCCAGACTGGAGTGCAATGGCATGATCTCGGCTCACTGCAACCTCCACCTCCCAGGTTCAAGCAATTCTCGTGCCTCAGCCTCCTGAGAAGCTGGGACTACAGGTGCACACCACCAAGCCCAACTAATTTTTTGTATTTTTATTAGAGACAGGGTTTCCCCAAGTTGGCCGGGCTAGTCTCGATCTGATCTCAAGTGATCCACCCACCTTGGCCTCCCAAAGTGCTGGGATTACAGGCATGAGCCACCACATCTGGCCTGGTTTAAAAAATAAAAGTGAACATTAATCCACTTGATATAAAGTTATGGTTAATGATTCTAAAGAAAGATATTTTTACTCATGCCCAGCGGAGTCTTTATCCAGTACATCTACACTGGCATTCAAAGTGACAAACAGCAAAGGAAACAGGATCCAACTTCTTTAAGAATATTTGGGGGCAGGAAACTTGGCCATACATCTGTTTCTTTTGAGTAACAATAGCAATAATTTACTTATCTAGTAGTATTGCCATTTATTCTTTAGCCACATCAAGGGAAATCTAATTATTTCCCACAAAATGAGAACTTCTAATGAAACTTTTCTTATTCAATTCATTTAATAAACTATAAAGGTCTAAATAGCACCTAGATTTTCTTAGCACCCTGACTTCTCCAAACCTCTCCTGAAATGTCCATGTACTATGAATGGGACAAGTGTGGCCGGGTGGAAGTGCATGAGACTGAGAATAGGAGATATTGCTTCCTACCACAGTCACGGTTCTGTGACTTAGTCGCTATGAAACTGGGTAAATCTTTTGGCATTAAAATGTTGTCAGAAAACAGGAAATTCACATAGCTTCAAAATGTCACCCCAGGCCGGGCGCAGTGGCTCACACCTGTAATCCCAGCACTTTGGGAGGCCGAGGCAGGCAGATCACGAGGTCAGGAGGTTAGCCATCCTGGCTAACACAGTGAAACCCCGTCTCTACTAAAAATACAAAAAATTAGCCAGGCATGGTGGCGGGCGCCTGTAGTCCCAGCTACTCAGGTGGCTGAGGCAGGAGAATGGCATGAACCCGGGAGGAGGAGCATGCAGTGAGCCGAGATAGCACCACTGCACTCTAGCCTGGGCGACAGAGCGAGACTCCGTCTCAGTTGCAAAGAAAGAAAGATATCTACACAATGGAGAAATTTGTCCTTCAAAATTAAAGTTTATTCCTGTAAACACTCCCAGTGGTGGCAAAGATACCTCCTTTAAGGTTGAATTTGTGCTTAAATGTCACCATTCCCATTCCAACCCAGCCTACATTTCTCTTCTTGTTATTTCTCTAGCTCAGTCCCTTATCTGTTGCCTTCATACCTCTTATCCCAACTCTGAAGTGTTTTATTAATTTGTTTGTTAGATGTTGTGGCGGGGGTGGTTTTGGTCTGTCTTTCTTATTATATCAGCTCCAAGAGAGCAGGAACTGTATCTGTCTTATGCATCACAGAATCCTCAACTTCTAACACAGAGCCTGACATGCAGGGGCATTCAATGAGTACTTATTGAAAAAATGAATCTATGGATGAAGGAGTAAATGAATAGATTTAATTTTTTTAAATACCCCAAGTTATTTGGAGTTAAATCTAGAAGGGAGAAAAATAACTAATCAACCTTCTGTGTCGTGGCTAAAAATTGAAGTAAAACACTAAGTATTTAGTCCCGAGTGGTCTGCAGACCCTAACCTTGGTTCTGAAGGCAACTCTAAGATAAAGAGTTCCAAAATGCTTTGCAAAATGGTGTCTTTACTAGGATAAGTTCATATCTCCCACTATGATTCCTGGAAGAATAGCACTAATTTGAATGTATAAGCTATGCCATTTTTTTTAGTTGTGTCATTTTTTAAAGCAAACTGTATTCCTTACCTCACAGTCCTACATACCCCAAATATCTCACATAACACCTGGAGAGGAATTTTCTCACTGTAAGTCTCACTTTAGAAAACTCCCTGGTCATCAGCTGACCCCATGAACAAAGCGTCCTTTCAATGCCGAGAGCAACCACAGCTGAATAGCAGATCGGATGAACCCATACTGCCATGGCTGTAATGACATCCTTAGAAACGCAAGAGTCCTCACTGAAAGAACAAAGATCAATATTTAGTTTCTTGCGTCCCTACAGGCTGTTCATCAATTTTATAGCCTCCTGTTTTGCCACTTCCCTCACCTCTAACTCCAATTTGCTCTTCTAGGAAAAGAGAAAGGTCAGGCTGGAAGTACATAATAGTAATACGAATGCAAAAACACTTCCAACAAAATCCAAAGTTTGAATTACAATAATTGTGCTATGTTGACACCAATATTTGGTATTTAAAAAAAAATAAATCTTTTGCTGTATTTTAAAACATTTCAATGCATTTTAAAAGAATAAATCTTTGGCTGTAGTTTAACACTTTTAAATGCATTTTTGGTAGTAACTAAATGGACTTTATTAACTACCTTACAAGTGAAAGAACAGAAAGAAAGGGGCAAAACTATTGCCTAGTTATCTTTTTTTTTTCTTTTCAGACAGAGTCTCACTTATCGCTCAGGCTGGAGTGCAGTGGCAATCTAGGCTCACTGCAACCTCCACCTCCCGAGTTCAAGCAATTTTCGTGCCTGAGCCTCAAATGATTTTCGTGCCTCCGCCTCCTGAGTAGTTGTGATTACAGATACCTGCCACCTTGCCTGGCTAATTTTTGTGGTTTTCTTTAGAAGAGACAGGGTTTCACCATGCTGGCCAGGCTGGTCTCGAACTCCTGACCTCAAGTGATCCACCTGTCTTGGCCTCCCAAAGTGCTGGGATTATAGGAGTCAGCCACTGTGCCTGGCAGCCTAGTTGTCTTTATATCCGTTTTATTCCCTGAAATCCGCAATACTAAGCATTGCACGGTCTGACTCTTGGCCTCAACCATTCCCAGACATAGACTTTACATGCTGCTGCCACGGTTTCAACTCCCATGATACACTAACCTCCTAATTTTCATACATTTAATTTCTTAATAAAACAAGGAAGAAATTAAGACTAGTCTCGTAGTAATATAGTTAACTTTCCATATAAATTTCTTCAAATAAACTTTGGAGCTGATGGCATGGTTCGGGAGTGTTTTCGATGATCAGCCAAAATGGGATGTGATATGATATGCAGTGAGGAGCTAAGCCAGGTCCTTGTCACCATCCACCTTTCCTGTTTAGAAAACAACCATTAACATCGCAAAGAGGCTGCCAAGTTAAGTAATTGTAAAAGACTGTCACTAGGGTAAAAATGGAAGATATCTGCCAAATGGAATATGTTGAATGAATGGTCAGTGTCACCCAAGGGAAACCACAGCCAGAGTATGATGTGACAGAGCCAACCAGATTTTTAAAAGAGCTGGGTAGCACCGCGTATGACAAGACCCCCTCATCCCACATTCCTGTGGTGGAGAGCATGGAGGTGACTGAGCTGTTGGTGGCAAACTCATGCCTTCTGCAACTCAATCAGACATCACCAAGGACATTATTATTCTCTAGCTTATGAATAACTATTTTTATGTCTTCACTATTTTTTATAAACTTATTGTTTGTGGAAATAAATTCCCTGGTCATAATGAAATAAAGGAAAAAAGAAAACAATACAACAGACTTTTTTTCAACCAGCGGAGCATATTTTCATTTTTTTTTCTTATGACAACATTTTTAAATTATATTTAAAATTACTCATCTCTTATTCATAACCATCCTGTTGATCAAGTGAGGGACAAGAGTAACCTGCCCAAGGTCCCCAGGTATCAGCTGATTAGGGCCTCTGGGCAGTTGTATCACTTTGGTTCCATCACAAGCTTTTCTTTCTACCCCTTCCCACATCCCATCTCCAGACACTCACCAGGTATGCCATCTCCAGGTGTCCTGGAGCTCCAAAATGACCCTGCCCTTTTCTTCAATAGTTAGTCCCTGTGAAGGTTTCAGTCTTGTGCAAAAATGACAAGTTTAAATGCATCTTTGTTGCATCACCCTATCTGTACCCTTCTGGTATCCTTCTCCTATGACATTCCATGAAGGGAGTTGTGGGCAGAGTCAGGTTGTACTGGGGTTGCAGAAACAGAGGAATCTTTATAGGATCATCTCTATGTTTAGGCATCAATCCACCCACCTCTTCAGATTCTGCCAAGAACTTTCAATTGGCAGAAGTCAGATAGCTCCATGGAGCCAGAGAGTGGTCCATTACCTTAATGTTGCATTATTCAATTTGTGTTTGAAAATGAATTTATTGGTCTGCCGTTTTACCAGGTTGTGATTTGTCAATTAATATTTAATAATTTTTTTGAGACAAGGTCACACTTATTGCCCAGGCTGGAGTGCAGTAGCACAATCAGGGTTCACTGCAGCCTCAACCTCCTGGGCTCAAGTGATCCTCCCACCTCATCCTCCTGAGTACCTGGGACTACAGGTGTGTGCCACCACACTTGGCTAAATTTTTTGTGTTTTTTTGTAGAGATAGGGTCTCGCCATGTTGCTCAGGCTGGTTTACTATGACTTTTAATTCCATTAGAGTATTTTGCATTTAATTGTACTTTAAAACAGAAATGTTTTATGATATCTTGTTCACTGTTACCCACTTCCCAGTTTACCACACACTTAATCCTTCTAGTTTGGTAGGGTAACACCAAATGCTAGCCTAGATAACTATTAAAATGTCAGTGGTTTAGCACAATCTGTTGGTCAGCTTTTGCTAGGTTATTCTCCTGTGACAAGCAATCCCCATATCAACCGCAAAGGTTTATGTTTTGCTATGGAATATGTTAGCTACGTGTCAGTCGCTCCTCTGCTCCACTTGTCTTCTTTATCTGGGATCCAGCCTAAATGTCCCTTCTGTATATGGGATCCAGGCTAAATGCTGTTCTAGAACAGGAGAAAGGATCATGGTGGAATCATGCAATAGCTCTTGAAGCTTCTGCTGGAATGTGGTCTACATCACGTCTGCTCACATTCCACTAGCCAAAGCACGTCAGATGACCAAGCCCAACATCAGTGGACAGGAAGGATGCTCTTCCTCCAGAGAAGCTCACCACAGAAGACCCCTGTAGCTCTACAGGTAGCAGATAAAATTTACCTAAAACTAGAATTCTGTTTCTCATTCACGTAATACTTCAATGCAAGTGTGCCTGGTTTGTAGGCAGCTTTCCTTCATGTGATTATTAAAAAACCCAGGCTATTTCCATCGTGTGGTTCCACCCATCTGCATTCAGCCAGCAGATGGGGAAGAGAAAATGAAGATGCCCCCACTCATTTCTTAAAAGTCTGGGCCTAGAAAAAGAGACATGCACACCTTCTGTCACATTTTATCGATGACCACCTGGATGCAAGGAGTCAGGAAGGTAGGACATGCTAAAAAATGTAGCCTCCATCTTAGAAGCCACCTCCCAGCAATAACTCCACTATGAAAAGAGGAGGGTAAAGTTTTGATGAATCATTGGCCATCTCTGCCATACAAAACCTCAAACTCGCTATCCGGGGTGTGCCTAGGTTTTATTTCTAGACCCATTTATACTGAAATGGAATGGCCAAAAATATTCCAGATCTTGTGATTTGGGTTTTTGTTGTTGTTGTATTTTTTCATTTTTAATGTAGACCCTACTGAGTCAAATAACAAGGCATAAGCGACTTAGAAAATCACCATGTCCTGGCCAGGTGCAGTGATTCACACCTGTAATCCCAGCACTTTGGGAGGCTGAGGCAGGCGGATCACCTGAGGTCGGGAGTTTGAGACCAGCCTGACCAACATGGAGAAACCCCATCTCTACTAAAAATACAAAATTAGGCGGGCGTGGTGGTGCATGCCTGTAATCCCAGCTACTTGGGAGGCTGAGGCAGGAGAATCACTTGAATCCAGGAGGCGGAGGTTGCGGTGAGCCAAGATCGCGCCATTGCACTCCAGCCTGGGCAACAAAAGCAAAACTCCATCTCAAAAAAAAAGAAGAAAAGAAAATCACCATGTCCTTTGCCTAAGGAAACTTTCTACCCCATCTATCATGTTCCAAAAACCAAATAAATAATTTTATTTCTTGATAGTTCAGAAAGAAAACGTTAGTAATGATTTTCACAGTTGTCTCTTAGTTTTTCCATTTCCCAGTTTGGAGTTACGCAACCACTAACACCGCACCGTTGTGTTTGTCTCCAAACCCCTGAATTTGCACATGCAATCCTTTTGTTGCTTAACTGCCCAAGTGAAAAGAACAACTGGTCATTTACAAGCACAAATTTGTGAGTAGGAAGAGGGATTTCACCAAAACTAGGAATGCAAATACATAAACTAAAATTGAAAATTGACCTCGATGATGACAAATGACTACTTAGAAGTAGCTGCTTCTTCAGTCAACGGAAAACCTCTCTATCATCAAATCCCCCAACTACTTCCACCTACTCCCTAGCATAGGCCCTTCACTTCTGCCTTCTCTAACATCTGATAGTGGCCCAAATGCACAGGATACTGGCTAAGAGCTCATTTGCAGCCATAGCCTCAGGCTTCCAGAGAACTTTGTTTTTAACTTTTTAATAGCACAGTCACATTCTGTCTTGTATCTTTGTAGTTTGTATACAGCTCTCTCTCTGTCTCCTAGATAATAATAAATCCCTTGAAATCAGAATCCATGTCATATTTGTCTTTCTATTTCCTACAACACTTACCTGGCACATAATCAAAGCTTACTATTTTTTTATTTTGAATTAGGTCAAGTTACAGCTTAATCTGGGCTCATACCCTGCAACTGAGTCCACCTTCAGATGGTGCTTCCACTAAGAAAGCTGTGGGATGCCTACGCTGCATTCATTAGGTCAGGCACGTCAAGGTCGCTAATTCCTCTCTCGTAACCCCTCCACTTCTGTCTGCCTTTTCACCAAAGATGCTGATGTCATTGAATCTTGCTTCTAGAGTTTCACATGCTAGAAGAGGAACTCGAGAAGGAAAGGGAAATCTGTCCTGCCCTCACCCCTAGCTTCCTTTTTTCCTTACTTAGTTTTCATGTTGGCCATACGGCAGCCATAGGAAGATGTTTTGGGGTTCTCACTCTGAGGCTCTTGAAAACATAGGAAAGCTGTCCTAAACTTCCGGGTCTCCTTTTTGGTCTCTCCTACCCCCACTCCAATTCATAAGCCAAAAAGGTCATCCTGCTTCTTTTAATTCTTCAGGAAATTGGAGCCTAAACCCAGACAGACCTTTCAGATTTTTCTGTTGTAGATTTAACACATCTCAGCAATATCTGTGAAGAAACCATAATCCTGACTTTACCACAAAGGAAGAAGGAAATGGAGGAAGTGTCCTGGTGTGGTAGAAAGAACCATCCAGTAGCCTGGGCAACATAGCAAAACCCCATCTCTGCAAAAAATAAAGAAAAAAATTAGCCGAGCATAATTGGTGTGTGCCTGTAGTCCCAGCTACTTGGGAGGCTGAGGTGGGAGGATCGCTTGAGCCCAAGAGGGAGAGGTTGCAGAAGGCTGAGATCTCACCACTGCACTCCAGTCTGGGCAACAGAGCAAGAAAGACCCTGTGAAAGAGAGAGAGAGAAAGAAAGAAGAGAGAGAGAGAAAGGGAGAAAGAGAGAAAGGGAGAAAGAGAGAAAGAGAAAGAAAGAGAGAGAGAAAGAAAGAAAGAAAGAAAGAAAGAAAGAAAGAAAGAAAGAAAGAAAGAAAGAAAGAAAGAAAGGAAGGAAAGAAAGAAAAAGAAAAAGAAAGGAAGGAAGGATCCACCCAGGTAGGAATCAGATCTTAGTTTTGAGCTCTGGCTCTTTTCCGTTTCACCTGGCTGACCCTGGACAAACCATGTTATGCCCCTCTGGATCTCACTCCTCAGTATAGATGAGCAAGCTCAATTAGGATACCTTTAACATCTTTCCTAGGCCTGGAAGTAGGAGTCACTAACATGGCAGGTTGACGTTATTGTAATAGAGCCACCGTTTCCGATCTGCTAGAGATATGATTTTCAGCCCAAGCATTTGCCATCTGCCTCTTTTGAGTCTTGGCTGGTAATCCATCAACTGTGCTAGATATAAGATCTTATCCAATGAATTAAGTGATATTTCTTCCATTTTTCCATTTAGAAGAGGCACAAAAGTACATATACCATCCTAATAAAACAGACTTCCATTTTTTAAAAAATGTGACTAGCAGCACAATACTTTCCTAGCACACCACCTGCCATTATCTCTCCAGGTGTTTACTGTGGGCAGCAGGCTAACAAGGCCTAAGCTTCCTCTTCTACTTTAGAGCTCACTGAAGGAAATAATGACCCCAAGTGAAGAAAAAGCTCTAATTTCCAGCTCCAGTTCTAGTTGGGGTAGAGGGTTCTGTTGTTTGTCAAGATGTTCTAATGGGCTTCTCACAGCAGGAGTTAGGGTATTATCTGGCAACAGGAGAAAGGAAATGAAAGTGTTCTGCATAAAAAAATGTAAAAGTCTGTCTCCCTTGTGGGCACAGGAATTTGGACAAATACTCCCAATTGTATTTAGGAAAAAAAAAAAGGTTTCTATTCAGTCTCTGAGAATTGTTGCTTTTTCTTTGTGCATGCTTGCATGTGTGTGTTTGTGGTGTCTGTGTGTGGGGAGGGAGGGTGTGTCGGGAGAGGGAGGTGAAGGAGATGTTCTCATATTCACCCCTACAAAGCTTGCAGGGAGAATGAGAAACTTCTGCACATCTCGGCAGTGAAGAAACCTTGAGGGGACCTTTCCTGAAGGGTTGGAGGTTCCCATTGACTGTCCTGATAAAGTCCCTATGGGGCTATTCTTGATTGAATAACTCAGACCTCGGGCAATGCTGTTGTGGTATCATTAGACTACCTGGTCAGACAAAAGGAGGAAAGCATCTGGTACTGATTTTAATATAATTTCCCTCTTTGGCAGAGTTTCATCCCTGAAGTCAGTTGGTAAGGAACTAAGAAGGAAAACAGAGAGTTGTAGATCTCTTAGGTGGCTTTATTCTTCCTCTATCACTTTCTAGACCTGAGGGTAAAAGAATGGGATGGAGTTTTTCTAAAAACTAGAGCAGCAGAGAAGCAGCACTAAGAAAATTGAAGAATAGGCCATTCTCAGACAGAAGAGGCAAGAGAAGCCTTGGTAACATTGGAGCAAGGTTGAGAAGGGCAGTGTGCCTACAGAGGAACCCATGAACAGTTCCCATTGTTTACTGATTTTACCTTGCTAGACTAGAAAATGCATTTGTCAATAGGAATGTTATCATCTCCAAGGGGGCAAATATTGGTTCTCAGTGGATGAACAAAATCTTAGATATTATAATGGCTTGTGGCCTTCCCAATGGCCACAGTAAATAAGCAAATATACAGTGTATCTGTGGAGTTTAAATTTCATGAGTGGAGTAAAGGTTGGGGTGGAGTACAATTAGGAAAAAAAAATGTCTAAAGGTCTCCTTTGGGGGAAGGGTGATAAGGAAAAAAAAAAGGTTGAGGAACAGTGTTCCAGAGCAATTATATTTAGTTTCAGCTTCAAATTATTCACTCCTGCTTGTAATTCCCTTTTGTTCTCTATCCTTTCATTTAAAAACATATAAGTTATGTGTTTGAGGGGGTGTGGGGAATTAGGCCTCCTGCACCTTACCTCCCAGCTGGGAGCTCCCAGGGAGGCCTGGGATCCACGTGGAGACAGGCAGTGAAGGAAGCAAGAGCCCAAGGCAGAGATGAAGGCTGTGGGTGGATCCACGGCCACGGGGGCGATTCAGAAACTGACAGGAGGCCAGTTCCGTCTGTGGGTCTTGAACTGTGGTGCCTGGACCAGCAGCAGCGGCGGCATCACTGGGAACTTGTCGGAAATGCAAATTCTCAGGTCCCACCCCAGACCCGCTGAATCAGAAACTCTAGGGGTGGGGCCCAGCCTCCAGGTGAGTCTGATCCTCCCTCAAATTTGAGAGTCATTGGTTTAGAAGTGAAACAGGTGACTCAAGGAAATGAGGAGGTACGCTTTGGGAGAAAGGAACAAGAAAGCAGAGTTTCAGTAAACTAAAATTTCCCACTCTCTAGTTTTTTAATCATCTTTAAAAATTTTCTTTTAGACCCTAGCAATATAAATATTGCTCGTTTCCACTAGGGAGGAAAACAACTCTGCTGTCAAATTTGCTGAGCACAAAGTGAAAGGAAGTCTGCAATCTGTTGGCTAATTAAGACCCATGTAAGTAATCAAGGCAGACAAGTCAAGGACAATGAATCTCAGGCTTGTCTTGGCTGATTCTGCCAACTTCACCGATCACCTAAACTAAATAATCAGCAATCACTTTATTTTGTGTTGTGTAAACACAGTAGAAATGTTCACAAAGTATTCCTAATGTGTAGCAGAAAGATTGTTACTTACTCAGCTTCCTATGTAGGGAAGCTAACATATCTATTCAGGATCACACTGTCACTGATGGCAAGATCCAAGCTCCCAGGTTCTGACTCTAAACTTTCAAATGAAGAGTTCAACTTCTTTTTCTTTTTAATTCTCTCCTTCCTTATGAACTACAGCAATTTGATTTGTAACTTTATTTTTTTTTCTATTTATGAAGCATTAGCAATTATTTGCCCTGAAAACATTTTTAATAAGAAGAAAACTAAGGTTGAATGCAAACAATTTAATAACAACCCACCTCAGTTTGGTCCTTCTGCGCCTTAGGCCACTGCCAGGTGCATGAACTTGCAAAACCCTAGATTAAAACCCAGGTTCTCCACAGCGCTTTTTGCAGAGTTAATTTCTGTCAGAGACATATTAATGACAGACTTTAGAAGAAACACCAAATAACAGTGACTTTCCAGTAACTTCAGTACTAGTCCTGCCCCTAGGTTACCCTATGAAGCTAGACTCCAGTGAAAATACGCCAACGATTCTTTTCCTGACCAAAACCATAACTGAGTCTCTAGAAAAATTTGTTTGCTGTGATTTGTATTTTTGATATAATAATTATGCCTCCATGCTATTTCTGGTTTATATCTAAAATGACCTTGTACCAACTCTTTTGACTACTCTGGCAAGGAGACACCTAAGATTAACCCTAAACAGGTTAGCTATCTCATAAGGAAGTAAGTCTTCACTCCCTTATGATTTAATAAATCCAAAATACATTTTTTAAATGGTATTGCCCTCCGTCTCTTACTGAACCAGTTAATGTATCACCTTTACAATAACTTTTGTCTGTGTTTCTCAAAAGCCTGTGCTGGCCTTGATCACATGTCAAATTTCAGGTCCTATGAGTTCTTGACCGTGTAGTTATTTGGAAGCTCATAGCATCTTTCTCCTTCTGGTGGGTTTTTAGATCATCTCTCTTTGCAGATTTGTACAGAGAGGTCTGTTTCAAACCAACACCCTCCCAACTCCCAGATGCAGGCTGAACTAAGAGCTAATGAGAAGGCATTCCTGCAGAAGAAAGGAACTGCTCTCAAGATATGCACAGCCTCAGTGTTGTTTTTTTTTTTCTTTTTGAAACTGAATGTTTTGTAAAGTTCTTTAATTGCCTTTTTATTTTTGAGCAAATCAGAGAGGGAGACCCTAAGTGTCCTATTATATTATCAAGTGAGTACATATGTAAGGAAAGTCTTTTCTTCTATTGTTTTTTTTTTTATTTGAAACACTGAATTAGACAAATAATTTACACTTAGTGGCAGGTGTAATCCTTCTTAAAGACATTTCTTAAGGATCTCCAAGCTTTCCCTGAACAAGCATACATTTTATTCAAACTATGAAGTAATACCCACTAGAGCCTCTCTGGGTATTGCAAAACACTCTCTGCATGTTCCAAAAGAGCCTTCTTTTAGTACAAACTGTAGGTAAACTAATGAAACCACATCATAAGAGCAAGCCTGAGCCACAGATACTAAAGGCTAATGTTTATTGAACACTTACTATTTGCCAGGCACAGACCTGAATGTTTTACATGTATTCATTTGGACTTCATTAAAAATCTGATGACCTAAGTAGACTTATCATCCTCATTATACAAATGAGGAAAGTGAGGCCCCGAAAAGTTAAGTAACATGCCCAAGGTCACCCTGCTGGTGAGTGGTCAGGCCAGTAAACAAGAGCTCTCATATATGGCTTGGAAAGATCTTCCCCACCCCCAACCCCCACTCTTTTATCCCACTGCCTCCCTTTCATCCTCCTTCCCACTTGCCTCTTTATGCATTTTATACTGTGGGGTTGGTTAAGCTGGAGCTCTGGTTGCCTTCAAATTCCTTTCTTTCCCTAAACCCTGTCTTAACCTACCCACAGCCCTGCCCCTGACTGGAGTCACACAGAAAGCCTGAACATCTGACACTCATTGGTCATGCTTCCTCCCACTAGGGACTCATTTCACGCTGTGCTTAGAGATGCATGCAAAAGCATTATCTTCTGCTGCAAGCAGCAGCCCCTAGGATGTACATGTGCTCTCTGCTGATGGCTAAATTTGGGGAAACTGAGACACTCTAACACAGCAGGAGCAACTTAATTTCTCAACTGCTTACATTAAAGATGAGACCAAGGATGAACATACTTGGACTTTTTCAACCTGATGTTTCATCTATCATGCTGCCCCTCCTCCCAAGACTTTCTCTTCCTGAGGACCTCTTGGTGAGAAGTTGCCCACCCCATACCCAAGCCAAAGTGGAATGGCAGAGCCCTGCCAGAAAACCAAGCAACATTTCTACTAAAGGCAGGTGGCTACTGCTCCTTCCTCTTTCTCCTTATCTGAGATGATTAGAAGTCCAGGTACAGAGGAACTGACCCATGTGTCCTACCTTGAGGACCCTGCAGTATTAATTAGTTATCATTGTCTGCAGAATGAAAAAGAAAAGAGCCTGTGCATGAATAGCAAACAACACCCTGTCCTCCTCCCCACCCCACCAAATACTTGTGTCAAGAGCAACTGGAGGCAGCAATTGTTCTATTCAACATTTGTCTAGTTGAGACCATTTTGGGGTCTGCTTTATCTCTGCCAGAGTTCAAATCCATGGGAAGTTTTAGGAGATGCAATAATAATATTGGAGATTTATATTTGCTGCATACAACTTAGATCATATCAAGGTTATCATCCAAAACTTATTTGAAGAATGTTTCATGTAACATCCAGGAATTTGAGAGCTTGTTAAGGAAAAGTTTTCAAATGTAAGAACAAACACAAAGCCAGACTCCTGGTATGGCTGAACCGTGGCAGAGATAATTTCCCTCTCATTTCACAGTCAACATGGGTTTATGGTGAGAGCCAGAGACAAAGATTCCTGTCCTCATGAGACTTTCCAATGGCTTATTTTGGGAGATTCTTGGATACCAGCTATTTACTTTCAAAAAGTTCAGTGGGAATTATTTTAATGTAAGAAATACTCATGACAGCCGGTTCGGGGGCAACTTTTCCAAACATGCTGTAACAAAATTGGCACTTTTAGCTAAATCACACCCTGTTCTTCAGACATTTGACTCAGATTTTTCTTTACTACAGTAAATCTGTACTTGGATCATGGAAGCTTGTAGGGACTAGCCATGTCAGTCCCACCTTGAAGACAGAGTTCCAGGCTGGATTGCATTTTCTAGAACAAATCCTTTAAATATTTTCATTCAAAGAGAACAGTAATGACAGCTTCCAACAATCAAACTGAATATTTTAGTAGAAGCTTTTCTAGACATTTGTGTTGGGATAACTAATGGAACTAATAGATTTAAGAAATTTCAGAACTCCTAATTAAGCCCTGGATACTGCCTCAGATTCTGAATGACTGAATATATTGGGCATTTTATGCCTCATCCTTCATGTAGTCCAACAAACACCTATTCTATATTTATTCTAAAAAACTTTACTAAAAACTTTACTAATATTAAATTTTCTAAATACTTTCTAAAACTTTACTAATATTAAATTTTTTACTTAAGATCTTCAGAAAATTTTCCAAATTTTATAAATTGTATACATTTTTGATGCTGCTATTGCTATAGATGTCTTCTGGAAGTTGAGTTGTGCCTTTAGGAATATTTTCCCACTACATCACTGTAATGAGTGTTACAAAAAAAGTCTCTGTACATTCTGCATGCCTTGATTAAATGTATTAATTTTCTACCAAATCACTATTCCTATAAGTGTTTAAAATAAAAATGAATATGGTCTTCAAACATTCATTCTAATACTATTTACTCTCCCCGTTTCAAAAACTCCCAAATACTCAAAGTTGCATATTTCTCAGATTCTGTTATATATGATTGCAACAGCAGTGAGTGATTGAAAGACATTTTCCCTAGAGTTTTAAGTCCTTTTCTATGCAAAGTTTCAACAACAAAAAAATTTTTTTTAAATAGAGACAGGGTCTTGCCATGTTGCCCAGGCTGGTCTCAAACTCCTGAGCTCAGGCAATCCACCCGCCTCAGCCTCCCAAGTGCTGGGATTACAAGTATTAGAGCCACCGTGCCAGCCAGTTTCAAAGAAATTATAATGAAAGAAAGTTAGGCAGCACAGTAGGAACAAGAATTCCACTTCCATGTCATAAAGACTCAGGATCAAGTCTTCTAGAGCCCTAGCTCTAACTAGCTGCGTGACCTTGAGCAAGTTACTTAATTTTCTAGACCTCAGTTTCCTCATGAGCAAAATGAAAATATTAACACCATCCTCAAAGTTACTGTGAGGACTAATTAAAATAATACTTGTATCCTGCTTAATCCAGTGCCAGCACATAGTAAGCTCTGAATAAGTGGTTGTTAGAATTATTACCAACACGTGGGAGGACCAACTTTACATGAGAGACAGTGCTGGGTGGTCTCACATATGCTACCTCATTTAATCCTTCACAATCCTGAGAAACAAGGAAAAACTCTTCCCATTTTTATGGATTAGGAAAGTAAGGATCAGAGAGGCTGAGTAACTTATTCAAGGTCATATAGCAAAGTGACAGGGCTGGAATTTGCAACCAGGTCTGCCTGACCCTAAAGTTCATTTTTACATGGAAGTTCATCCTTTCCAAATTTCTTTTACTATTTCATGCAAAAATAGAGATTTCCATTTTCAAGTTTGTGTCCTTTAATACATAGCTACATGAAACTGCTTCTTTTATATTATCATAAATAACAAATATATCTTCTGCCATATTTAGTTCTTTATTCAATTCGAGATAAACATATTTTGTCTAAAGGTTTTATTGGCATTTGGAAGAAACTCAAAGTCTGTACTCAATTAAGATCTGTAAACAGAAGCCAGATCAAATCACAGAAAAAAGAGATTCCCAGTGCTGGGTATGGATCTGTCTTGATCTAAATTTGGATTTCAATCATTGTAACCCATCTTTATATATTCCTGTCTTCATTCAATAAATATTTATTGAATGCTGTATGAGTTAGTCATGGAGCCTGCCTTCAAGGAGCTTAGGGTTCAATAGGAAAGAGAGATATACAAAAAGACGTATAATTCCAGGCAAGAAACAACGGTAGGTGCTAGAAGAAAAATAGGGAGAAAATGATGGGGAGTCTCAAGGGTGGCCGTTACTTCCTACTGGGGAGCAAAGGATCAAAGAAGGCTTTGGGGGAAAAGTGGCCTCCTCTATTAATTGCTCCATCCATCTGTAAACTATTCACGAATTTGTTTTAAAATGCAGCAAGTCCCCGGATAATGCTGTTTCGTTCAACATTGTTATAACGTTGATGAGAAAGAAAAAATGGCCTCTGCGCCAGGGCCCCTGTCTGTGTGGCATCTGCATATTCTCCCCATGTCTGCATGGGTTTTCTCTGGGAACTCCTACTCAACTTTCCTCCCACATCCCAAGATGTGCACATTAGGTAAACGGGTGCATCTAAATGGTCCCCATATGAATGAGTATTGGAGTGTGATGCACTCTGTGATGGGATGGTGTCCTGTCCAGGGCTGGTTTCCATCTCTGTGCTCTGAGGTGCTGACATACGCTCCAGTCACCTGTGACCCTGAACTGGAATATGCAGGTTGGAAAATGAATGAATGAATACAAGTTATTATAAAATAAAAATCTGAAAAGTGTTCAATAATCACACAAATGCACAACAATAAATGATGCAGCACAAAAGCACTTAGCAAGCCTACCAGATTTGTCCTTGTTTGATTTTGAACCGTATTGGTGGGAGAAGATGCTCCTTATGATTTGTACTTTGCAAACATTTATTCTTTGATTTAACCCACTACCTTTATGCCTACCATCACTCAGTGATTCACCAAAATTGGGTAATTATCCTGTTTATATTAATCTTCCTTAAATGTAGGTATAACTCACGTTTATTTCAGTGTTTAATATTATAAGTGTTTAGGGTCTTTATTTATAAGTCTGGTGATGTTTCTGTGATCAGAAATATGCCATAGAAACTTAATTCTTTTTAAAAAATGTTATTTTCATACATTTAGGAGGTACAGGTGCAGATTTCTTACATGTATATAGTACATAGTGGTGAAGTCTGGGCTCTTAGTACATTTTCAACCCTCACCCCTCTCCCACCTTCCCACATTTTGGGGTCTCCAGTGTTTGTTATTCCACTCTGTATGTTCATGTGCACCCACTGTTTAGCTTCCACGTGCAAGTGAGAACAGGTGGTATATGACCTTCTGTTTCTGAGTTATTTCACTTAGGATAATGGCCTCCAGTTCCATCCATATTGCTGCAAAAGACATGATTTCATTTTTCTTTATAACTTTATTCCATGGTGCATCTACACCTCATCTTTATCCAGTCCTCCATTGTTGATTCCCTATGTTTGCTATTGTGAATAGTGCTACAATAAACATGTGAATGCCGGTATCTTTTTGATGTAATGATTTATTCCCTTTGGGAATATACCCAGTAGTGGAATTGCTGACTGGAATGGTAGTTCCATTTTTAGGGATGTAACTCTTGTTTATATATCAATTACCCTATGACAAAATTGGTTTTCTTACACATTGTTTCTCAGTTTCCAAGAACCTATGGATGAAGTTAAGTGAAGACTTGTTGTGTAATACAGAAAGTGGTGAATAGGTGGGGCTGTGAATGAAACAGGACTGGCCATGAGTTGATCATGTGAAAGCTGAGTGATGGCAGTACATAGAACTTCATTACACCAGTGTGTCTGCTTTAGGATATGTTTGAAATTTTGCATTATAAAAAGTTAAGGCCGGGCGCGGTGACTCACACCTGTAATCCCAGTACTTTGGGAGGCCGAGGCAGGTGGATCACGAGGTCAGGAGATCAAGACCATCCTGGCTAACACGGTGAAACCCAGTCTCTACTAAAAATACAAAAAATTAGCCGGGCGCGGTGGCGGGCGCCTGTAGTCCCAGCTACTTGGGAAGCTGAGGCAGGAGAATGGTGTGGACCTGGGAAGCAGAGCTTGCAGTGAACTGAGATCGCACCACTGCACTCCAGCCCGGGCGACAGAGCGAGACTCCATCTCAAAAAAAAAAAAAAAAAGTTAAAATATTCTACAAGCTAACTTACCTGTAGGACTTCCACAAGTCATTTACATGTACACATGTAAGTGGCTACAGAATGTATGATAATGGTTTGGGCCTGGAAGGACATTAGTGACCACCAGAGTGAAATGAACTGAATCTCCCTGCCTCCCGCTCCATACACACAAGCCTACTCAACAAGATCTCTTTAATGTAAAGCCACAAGTCAGAAAGGGTGAACACAGGGTAATAACCCAGGGACTTGCCTAGAGGCAATGCTTACCTCTGGGCAAGGACTGAGCACATATCCTAATGAAAACAATTTGTGTGTGTTTGAAAGAAAATTGAATTCAGTACAATCGATAACGTTCAGAAGCTTCAGGGGATCTGCAGATGTGGACTCATGGAGCAGCATCCTATCACTCCTATCACTCATGGAGATTTTACACATAGGCCTAGGGAAAGACATGGTATCAACTTGTCTCGTGTGGGTGAGACAAAAGCATCCAATACTGCGTCGACCCAAGAGTTCTCACTGGCTCTATGTAGCACATATCCCCAGAATATTCAGGTGTGTTATGTAGTGATTTCTATTGAATGCAATAAAATTTTGTTATAGTTATTACGCATGTCACTTAATTCACATACTCTCAGGCATACCAAGAAGGGAGAAGAAAGGGTGAAGGATAGAGTTCAGCCACCTGGCAGCATTCCATAAAAACTGGGCAGATTCATGAAATATTACAGTGGGAGAGGTGCTCAAAATAGTTTTTGCACACTTTTGAAGATAAGAGAGTCTATCTGTCTTAGATATTCTGCCTGGATATGTTACTAGCATCAGGATGTTTTGAGGAGGCCATGCCACCCTGACTCCAACCCCAAATTAAAATTACAGCAGTCAAAATTAGAGTGTCACACGGCCAGGCACGGTGGCTCATGCCTGTAATCCCAGCACTTTGGGAGGCCAAGGCGGGTGGATCACGAGGTCAGGAGATTGAGACCATCCTGGCAAACATGGTGAAACCCTGTCTCTACTAAAAAATACAAAAAATTAGCTGGATGTGGTGGCGGGTGCCTCTAGTCCCAGCTACTTGGGAGGCTGAGATGGGAGAATGGTGTGAACCTGGGAGGCAGAGCTTGCAGTGAGCGGAGATTGCACCACTGCACTCCAGCCTGGGCGACAGAGTGAGACTCCATCTCAAAAAAAAAAAAAAAATTAGAGTGTCACATGCTACTTTAGTTCTGTGTTGTGGTACTTCAGTGGCTTCTCATTTGAAAGTGTTGTGGTACTTCAGTGGCTTCTCATTTGAAAGTACATAATTATTTTCAAATTATCATATATCATTTCATGGTTAAATTAGATTATCAGCTAGAACTTCCAGGGGGATTGGAATTCTACATGCAAACTAGATTTCAATCCCTATTTATGATCATTTTGGACATCTTTGTTTCCTAAACCCTCAGATCAACTGTTTCCCTGGATAACCCTAAGGCACTGGGAAAAATCTGAATGGAAGAGATCAGCGCTGTTTTTTATGGCATGTTTGCAAGAGACATATTTTGTCTATGTCAGAAACCTAGCTATTCAGTAGGGATATATTTTTCCAAGAACATCTCAAAATATTTCTTTAAGAAAATGTAATTCATCTGACCACTTTCCTCTTAATTAAACCCAGCTGCGTGTGTGTGTGCGCGCACGCGCACGTGTGTGCGTGTGTGCGTATATGTGTTTTCTGTACCTTATTTCAATAACAGAGAAGGAAGCTCTTAAGGGCACCTCTGCCTTACACACTATGAGTCAAAATGACTTGGAAACTCCCTGGCTATACTGTGATCAGTTGTTCAACTTTCAGTTTTGACAGCTTTAATAATTCTAAGCCACCACGCTCCTGATATTCTTCTTTCTAAAGAGAAACAGTTGTTTTGTTTACATATGTAGTCAGTATGATAATTATCTAAATTTGTTCCTACAACCTTGTTTGATCTCTGTAGTGTCAACTGATAAAATCCATCCATTTTGTAGAGCCAAACATCTTTTAGATCTCAGGTCAGAGGTCATTTCCTGGGGGAAAATCAGAAGACTTTAAAGAGGTTGCAAAGCCTGGACTTCCTCACAGAAATCACCACACAGGATAATCTTACAACCTTCAGTTCTTCTAATTTCTACCAGCTGTGTGATTATTTGATTGGTATCCATCTATTCCATGAGACTATATAAATTCCACAAGAGTAGGGCCTTGGTCAGTTTTGCTCACCATTATGTTCTCAATGCCTGGAACAAAGAAGGCCATCAATAAATATTTGTAGAATGAATAAATGAACGTAAAAATATATAAATGTGTCCATGAATAAGTGAGTAAATTACAGAAATTTCACAAAGCGGTTTTATCAATAACACTTTAGAACTGCACTGTTCAACACAGTAGCCACTAGCCATATATGACTATTTAAATTTAACCTTAAATTAATTAAAATTAATAAAACTAAAATCCAGTTCCTCAGTTGCACTAGCCACATTTCAAATGCTCAATAGTCACACATTGCTGTTCACTACTATATATGACAGTGCACAATATACAGCATTTCCATCATTGTAGAAAATTCTACTAGCACAACTCAAGCAATTCTAAAATTCAAGGCCAAAGACAGCATTATTTTTTCCAAAATGAGTCAGATCATTATTATTGGTGCCATTGATAATATTAATTGTGCAACTTAAACCTCTTTCCCCTAAAACTGTTCCCCCTTGATGACTGAGCTTAAACCAAGTATTTCACCTCTTTTTCTTTCAAAATATATAACAAATAATTTGTATTTGTCTACTTTGATTTGTAAGGCTCTATATATAGTTTTATATACTTTCCTGAGTACTCAAAAGAATCCTTGAAATTGGGAATATATACTTTTCTACAAGTGCATTTTTTACACAGGCCAGGCCTCTATGCACTATACGTTGGATAAAAATGGGAAAGATATGTGTTCTAGAAGCCATCATTAGTATATGAGGAATTGGGATTTGTATTAATTTCCCTAATTATGTTAAGTGCGTGATTGCACACATTCTGGAATTGTAATTATGTGTAAATTGATATAGTTTTCCAAATGAATAATATTCAATATGTTTGGTGAGATCCTTTAATTTCAACAATTAAGCTTTTTTTTAAATCAAAGACTCTAGTTACAGTCATCTTATTCTGTAAACTATAAACAAGCATTTTGTTTGTGAAAGCAAAGATCAGAACATTGCCAGAGTTAGGAAAACAAGATTATACATTTATACTTAATTTAAAGCAATAATTTGATTTAAATACCCATACAAGCAAAAGCATCTTTAATTATATAAGTTTGAGAAAAAGCATAAGAGAATAGTGAAGATATAAAGGAATGGGGCAGATCCTCAGATTCAGGTACACATACTGGGAAACTGAGCACACCAGGAGAAATTCACAAATGTAAATTCCTACAAGGCTTCTCTTATAAAGAGCAAGGTTTTATGTCTCCTTTTAGCAAGTTAGACTCTATAATCCCATTTATCTCCATATCTTCATAAAAAAGGAAGATTCTATTCAATAAATCTATGGCTACCTTAACTACACCCAGGTGTTTTAAATTATGCCACAAATTTTTGTCAATCTTTACCATAAAATACCAAATCCAGCTTTTGCTTGTCAACATAGCTAAAACATTATCATTTATCATATTCTAGTACCTTCAAGTTTTCATACCACGTGTGTTCCAAACTCTAGGAAATTAAATATTTGCCTAATACCACACTTTAAAACTTCAAGCCCTACAAATTAAGAAGTACACAATTAACCCATTTTCAAGTGTATTTGCAGAGATTGCACCTGTGCCTACTTATGAACAAATCCTAAGTTTTCTGTTTCCCTCTTTTGGTGCTTAGTCAGCCTTTATATCTCAGGACTTTTCATTTACAAAATGCATGTCACATTTGACAAAGGTGAAATTGTATGGTTTCAGCACTTGGTTTTTTGAGCAATTCAGGTCTTAATTCTTAGAAGGTAAACGTAGCCGTTGTCAGAATGCCACACAACAAGTTTATCCATAAAGAACTTTCAGGAATGAGCTGGGAGGGAAGGGGTCAGATGAGTAGAAAATTGAATTGGGAAGGTTCATGCCCCTTGTCTCTGTTGATTTCCATGTGGAAATTCAGGACCAGCCAATCCCTTTGAAATCTGTCCTAGAAATCATGACTCTGCAGGAGCTGGAAGCTCACATGCCTTCTAGATTGAGGCATGTAGCATCAATAAGTGAAGGAAGGCTGGGAGACAGATAAGGAGAGATGATTAGAAACTGTGATAAGCCCCATCTGAAAACATTTAGATAGGCTTTTTTTTTTTTTTTTAAGTTTTAAAAGATTGCACAAGCCCATTCCATGCAATCTGTAGAGCTGCCAATTTGGAGTTTCTGCTTTAGGAGACAACTCGAGCTTAGGGCTAGGGTAAGAGAACTACTGGCTGTAATAATTTAAGGAACTTTTTTTTCCAGTAAAAGTCACAGGCCATGCTTTAAAAGGGCCTAGGAGTCTATTTAGAGCAAGTTTTTCATGTTTTATGTTGTAAAACTGTATCTAATTATGAGCCAACTTTAACCTTTCTTCAACTTTTCTCCATCTCTCTTCCCAACTACTTCTACGTTTTGTTGGCTTGAGCAAGGCTACTTTGTTAAACACTGCCTCATACCAAGTTCTTTCCCACCACTGGTCTCATTGCAAACCATAGAGGGCAGATTTATAATTTGCCCAGATTTTGTGTGAAACTATAACAACCAAAAAGGAACTCTAAGATCTGTTGTAAGTTTTGAAGGTGCTGTATTTCTGAAGATAATCTTCCTACAGGAGGTATTCCTGTTAACAGAAACAGATTATTTGAAATGGTTGGGTTTACATTACTCCAGAGTAAACTGGCACTGTGTTTAATCCTGTGTAATTTGGGGGCAAGTAAATAATCTCTCTACTTCAATTTCCTCATGTTTTAATGTGAATGATGATGGTCACAAGATTGCTATAAGTATCATGTGTGCTAAAGCATGTAAAAGTACATTGTATGTTACCTACTAAGTACTCAATAAATATCTATTTTATTGTTACACATCCCACAATCATTCACTAATTATCCTGAACATTGATGATACATACCATGGCAATGACACTGATAAATTTGGTAATAGTGCTTAAGTAGAAGAGTATCATGAGAGGAAATGGATTGAAAGCAAAGCATAAATGACAACATTTATTGGGTGCTTACTATGTGTCAGACTGTGAATAGTGCTTTCTTTGCATGTATTAAATCTCATTTACTTTTCACAACATCCCCATGAGCTATGAACTCTGAATAACTACATTTTTAAAAACGATTCACGTGGTGATATTTACTCCTTCAATCAGCTAAGCTAGACCTTCTCCAGAAGGTTCTCCAGAATCCTCTCCCCAGTATGATTCTGGTGTTGATTTTGCCAAAAGTAGAATTTGCAGGAGATTTGGAAGACAGAAGTAAAGCAGCAGCCATTACTCTCTGAAGATTGTCATCTTTCGATACAGCAGTGGACAGACATAAAGGTGCCAGTGGGCTCCAGCTGTCTGCTCTCCTCTACTCCACGTCCTGCCATTTTGGGAGGCCTCTGGCATCAATGATTAATTGCAGTGCCACCTTATACTTGAATGTGACCCTTCTGTGGCAACAGCCCCCCATAGATTTCTCCACCAGCTCCCTATTCACAATCCTATTTCAGCAGCTGGGCGTGTCTGCCTTCTCAGGTGAACTGATGGGTGGCCCCTCTGATCTTCTAGCTCCCCCTTCAGACCCTCTCCTCCCCAGTGCCTCCCATAGTAGCGGCTCTGTTTTTCTGGTTGAACCCTGATTGATACACATGTTTAAGATGAAGTAGCTTACCCCAAGATCACTCAGTCTGAATGGCAGAACCAACATTAGAAGCCTTAATTAGCTTCCAGAACCCATGCTCTTCATAACCACAAGGCAGCATTGTCTGAAGGAGAGGGGAAGAAGAAGGAGATAAGGAAGAAAGAAAAGAGAGAAAGCATGAAGACTATAGAGAAAGAGGAAAGAAGCAGAAAAAAAAGAAAAGGAGGATAGAGAAGGCAGGAGGGAGGACTAGATGATAAGCAATGGGGAGTGGGAGAAAAGCGAAGAGGAATAAAAAATAAAGAGAGGTAGGATAGTGCAATGTCAGCTCTACTTGCTCTGCCAATGCTTTAGCACAAAGCGGGGAATTTCAAGCACAGCTAACATATGCCACAGGACTGCAGAGTTCTAGCACTCGGGTGTTGAGGAAGCAAGTTCCCTTTTGGTTTTACTCTTCTATTAGGAACTAAATCTAAATTTTCATAAAAGTTTGTTTTCTTTTTTTAACAGAAGACCTAATAATTTCTCTAAGTATTCACTCTTTTTTTTGGCCATTTTTAATCTGTTTTTTACAAACTTACATAAGCCAGTGATAAATAACAACTTGCAAAGCAGCGATCGTTACTATAGATTTTACCCCTGAGTTGAAAAATCAAATATTTTTATGCAACAGAACAATGGCTAATAACTTAATTATAGATCATCATGTTCAACTGGGGTAGTTATCAATTTAACTCTGTATTATTCAACAACACAGATGTGGCAAATTTTGCACATAATTCCAAAATAGAGGTGTGAAATATCATTTTCCCATGTGACTATTTGGTTTAACCTAGATATTTACTAAGTATAATATTACAGCTGCCAGGGAGACATAGAAATTAAAAACAAGATAAAATCTTGTTGAGTTTTATTTTCTACTCTGAGGCAGCTAATTTTTAAAATATCCTGCCCAGGGTACAGGAAGTGCTCCTCAGATGTCCTGATGTGCATGGAGGCAAGAGGACATTATGCCTGATTTAAGGACAAACCATCTCACCCACTGTCATCCTGCATGACTGCTCATGCACTGCTCCTGACTTGCATTTTAAGCACTGGTCAGTTTGCTTTTGGCAAGAGTGTGCTAGAGCAGGTTTTATGAGAGGACAGTGATAGAAGATGTGACAATCTTGTCCCAAAATGCCCCTTCTCTCCTTAAGGACTTATCTCTCCTTGAAGCTCCAAGATGCCACAGTCCCTGACCAAGGGATCAAGCTATAGAGGGAGAAGGGGACACCAAACTTGCTCTTACAATGGGTTACCTTCTTGCTTTCCCAAGATGGGGTTGGGTAGGGCAGGCCTGGCTCAATATATTATTCAAAAGACAGTTATTTTAAAAGACTCTCATCTAAATTTACTTCACTAAATGGCAGTGAGTTTTGCCCCTTAAGAGGCTATTCCAGGCTCAGAATGGTATCAGAAGGCAAAAATTGGATTTTTAAAATTTTTATTATAAATAATATAGTGACAAATTATGATTATTATATATGCAACACATATAACTAAATATATAGTTATAGATAATATATACTATTATCTGTAACTATAATAGTAATATATACTATTATCTATGACTATTTTTATAATATATAAATATATTTTTATAATATGATATATGTAACATATATCATTATATTATATAAATTATAACAAATAATTGTTAATTATTTATTATCACTGTGAATCAGAAGAGGCACTGTTAGTTCCCTGAGACATCTGGGGCTGGGCCTGGAGAATCACCCTCAAGTCCACTCCCTCAGCCATCACCACATGTAACTGTGCCCATGGAGTGCTAATACCCTCAGCCTTTGTCTTACTTCATAAACACCTTCCCACCCTCCTTTTCCTACTGGTTCTCAGTCCTCCCAGATTCTGGCCTCCTGGTTTATTTTCTTCTCTGTCGCCTCGGACATGACTCAGGTTACTGCTGCTGGAGCCCAGGCCTTTCACTACCCTACTCTGCCAGAAGGCTCTCTCTGACTAGTGATGACTGGGGGTGAGTTCTGTTAGGATTCTTATCCTTTATCCCAAAAAGAATGAAGGCTCCTCAAGCTTCAAACCAATTTCAGAACCACTTGGGGCAGAGATGACACATGACAGCCACTTGTTGCTTCTTTAGCACTGACTTCACACCATCCCCTGGCTATGAAAAGGAATCCAGATATGCAAATAACCTGTAATTATTATGTGGGTGGATTACCATAGCAATGGGTCTGGGTATTTTAGCTGCCTTAGATTATCCCCTAAGGAAGCATTTTACCCTTTGTTGCAACCAGCCTTCTCACTCTGGTTCCAGCCTTCTGCCATGAGCTGAGGTTTTGGTTTCTGTGAGAAGCTGAGTTGAAGAGTGTGTCTTCAAGACAAGAAGTGGTTTGTCAAGGCAAGGCCTCAATCACGAATGGATATTATCTACACATTTTCGTCTGGACCATCAACATATTTACTGAGGTCCTCTCCTTTACCTCCTCCTCAAGTCTCTGACAGCTTTGACCTCAGATTTGCCCCACACTGTGATTCTTCCATTTGCCCTATAGTAATCAAGATTCTTGTATGCAGACAACTGAAATGGACTTTGTCTTAAGCAGATAAGGAATCTATTGGCAGACTAATAAGTAGCTCCTAGAATTGATGAGAAGCCTGAAGAACCAGCTGCAAGAAATGAGCCAGAACCAAGAGAGATTAAGAGATCAGAACAGACGAATCTACATGTCTGGTCAGGGTACACTGGACTGCTATCACTGACAACCTCTCCCCTACCTCCACAAGACATAGAAATGACCCTGGAAGCCCCATAGACGCTGTTGTCACTAGACATTGGATGCTGCTGCCACTGTCACTTCTGCCAAAATGAGTTATTTCTAGACCTTGCTTCTCCAGTCTAGAGTTATTAGTGGTCTAGATCACATGGCATGCCCTTATTGACAAGAATATGGAAACTGAGTCACTGGCCTTGCACTTTAGTGATGGAAAGTGGGTCCTATAGCTACCAATTGAGAAAAGGGTTCGACATTGAATACTAAAGACAAAACTACTATATACCTTTACTCAGACATTCTATTTTGGCCCAATATTTAGCCCCAGAAGACTGCAGACTCCGATTTTGTGTTATGGATCAGGTTTGGGCATTCCACATTCCATGAAGCTCCAACCTGTGCCCATCCTGGTTTTCAGGGTTTACTACTCTAGCTAGACATTTATAGCTTGTAATGACTTTGTCCCAGTAGGCATCCCAAGTTAAGACTATTTTAGTTTCTGCTTAAAATGATCAGGTCAAATTCTGCCCCTAATATACACTTAATTTATATTGAGGCATTTGAGTATTTTGTACAATTACCTAAGGGTTGATAAATTATTTTCTTTTGTGTTCTAGGGTTTGAATAATAATATTTATTAAAGGCCTATTATGTATAGACATATTATAATTGTTACTATAATCTTGTATTATCACTCGTTTTTACAAATGAGGAAACTGAGGGTCAGTGAGGTTAAGTGATTTGCCCACAAAACTAGTAAAGCCAAAATTTAGATTATATTCTGATTCCTCAGCCTGTATTTTCCCCACTGTACCATGCTGCCTCACCAGAAAAACTAAGAGTTCTATAGATACATTATTCCATATGCAGGTAGAGCTAAAATTATGCCTACCAATTTTGCTTCAGATTTTAGATGTGTGCTTACTGTTTCTTGCCTGACAATTTACTTTCCATACTTGCCTGACAGAGAAGGTAGTAGATGCACTGTGTGAGCAGAAGAAAAACAAAATGTGTCCTCATGCCAAAGTCAAAATTAACTCTAACGAGAGGGAAAAGTTGAAGGCAATTTGCTTTGTGATAGGGTTTGCTTTAAATCGTCCATGTTTCTACAACATTTTACAAATCATAGATGCTATAAGGAATCTACCTTTAAAAAATTGTTTATTTAATGAAAAGGTTTGCAAATTTTTTCAGAGTAATAGTTAACACTTCTTACTTATTCGCTTACACTTTTTCTTTCCCTACTTGACTCTGTGATCCATGGATACCATGTATCTTATTCATCTTTTTATCCCTAATACCTGACAAAACGTAGGAACTCAAAATTTAATGATTTAGTGAAGGGAAGAAGGAATAACAAGCAAACTATTATCAAGGCAATAATAGTATAAAGGAGATTAGGCAGTCAAGGCTAAGATCTTTTCTCTCCCAACCAGAGTTCTTTACAGTCCTCTGTCAATCTCCTTAATAGGACAGGAGTCTCTTTCCTGAAGTGTAAAAGGATACTTAAAAGGAGGTAGATTCAAATTCAGCTAACACCCACTGAGCACCTGCTGTGTGTCAAGAGCTTTTCATGTACGATATCTTATGCAAAACATCTAATAAGCTCATAGCTATTATTATCTCCACTTTTCGGATGAAATCGCTTGGGCTCAGAGAGGTTAAATGCTTTGCCCAAGGTTACACAGCTAATTAAGGGCAGGGTTGGAAGTCAAACCTGGTCTCAGTGAAAGCTCAGCCCTCATTCTACTCCCTCACTGCTCCGTCCCCATAGTGCATCAACCCATGTACAGTCATACGTTGTTTAACAACCTGAATACCTTCTGAGAAATGCATCGTCAGACAATTTTTTCATTGTGTGAACGTCATAGAGTGTGCTTACACAAAACTAGATGGTATAGCTTACTATGCACCTAGGCCATATGGGATAACCTGTTGCTCCTGGGCTACAAACCTGTACAGCATGCTACAGCCTACTGAATACTGTAGGCAATTGTAACACCATGGTAAGTATTTGTGTATCTAAACATAGAAATGATACAGTAAAAATATGATATTATAATCTTATGGGACCACCGCATATATGCAGCCTGTTGTTGACCAAAATATTGTTATGTGGTGTATAACTGTATCATATTTCAGTAGAATTTTTAGCACATCTTTTTCACAGCTTAGCAGCCCTGCAATAGAGATGAGTTTTATAAATAATAGTCTCTTAAATTATATGAAATATGGTCATGGTTTCCCAAAACATAGTAAGTCCACCATCCCTATTCTATACCATTATCTCTAACCAAGAGTTAGTGTTGGAGACCACCATTCTGTTTGTACGTTAAAAGAAATCAGGAATGACCTGTAATAACTTAAAGACTGTTAGGAAGATATCTCTGATTTACAAAAAAAAAAAACTGGTTTTTTTTTTTTTTTTTTTTGGATAACTACCAAAACCTGTAGCTTAGTATATAGTCATTTAATTGGCTTATTCCCTGTAAACCACCTAATGGAGATCACTTCAGAGGCAGCAACGGCTTTGATTGAGAGTTAGATGCAGATCAATTGGGGCACTGAAGCCATTTGAGAGGACAATGCAGTACTTTGGAAAATATAAAAGGTGCCTTAAAAGAAGGTTAAATGAGAAAGGATTGGGTTGAGGAGTGGAGTTTAAAATGGTAGTAAGCATTTTAAGAAGGTAAATAAATAAATATACGCCAAACACAGACTAACTTAAATTTTAAAAAGTATTCATAAAGAGACAATAGCCACTAGGATGGTGACATTAAGAACAAAGGGAAGCTCTAATTTCACATTTATGAGTTAACCAAATGCCCAAGGTAAAGTGAAATAGTCCATAAATTATATTTTAACATCAAAACAATGTTAAGTCACTGATTATTACATTGTCCTAAGAAAAAACTATTGCCTTTTGTGCATATTATCAACCAAAAACATTCTCAAAGTTGACTATTTAGGTCATGACCAAGAAGTATCCAAAAGGCAAGAAATCTGCATTTGACCCTGGGTCATTGGGCCCAGTTCCTGTCTCATCTAGGAAGACTTCTCAGTTCAACAAAAATTTTGTCCCGACCCAGAAGCCACTAGCCAATTTCCAGGTCAATACCAAGACATTTGTATAACCAGTTCTAGGCCCAGCAGTTACAGTGACAGAATAATAGCCTCTCTGTCGCTGACCTGAAAAGTCTGTATCCCAGTTTACTGAACAGGCCAATATGGTGCCTACCATATTGACAGCTCCTGTCTAACAGGACTCCAACTCACAGCTCCTGTTAGGAGGAAGAGGCCCCAAGGTTTCCTCAAGGATACATGGCCATGTTTTGTATTTCAGGACCCAACTCCATGGTTGTTGCTAATTGGACCAGGGGAAGGTAACTGAAAGAGCATTTTCGGTTCCCCAGTAGCCTACGAAGTAGTCTGGTTCAAGAGAAATTTCTGATTCAGTATCCAAATTGTACTTACTGGGTTGTATCTGTCTGCAAGATATGTAAAATACAACGATGCAGAAAAAGACAACTGGCAATTGGAAGTGGAAGCAGAAGTAGACACAGAAAGAAGCAGATCTAAAGGGAGAAGCTAAGTTACTTTAGTGGTGGAGCAGTAAATCAACAATGATCCTAAATAACCTTCCAGTTCTATTTTCTGAGACAGCTGGCTGTGTTTCCTGTTTTTCCTGAGATATATTATTTATTTAGATTTTCCTGAGTTCTTCTGAACCCAATGCATCAGTTAGAAGTGCCTAATTTTGTGATGGTAATAAGTAACATGAATATTTCAGAGTTTAACACAACAAAAGGTTATTTTATTTTTGCAGAAAAATCTGCCCCAGGTCTGGGACAGTGTCTAGGGTTTACATCCTTCAATATCACAGACTGTTTCTAGCTGGGAACTGATCACTGGCTCTTAAATACTTCTTTCTACATGTGATATATTACTTCTACTCCCAGCCAATTGGCTGGAGCTCATCATGTGGTTCACCCAATTGCAAGGGAACTAAGAAATGTGATTTTTCCAAGTACTGAGAAGAAGAAAACTGGATATATGGCTGAATCAGTGGGATAACTTGCTACCATCCCTTTAACCCTTCATTGTGACCTTATGTTAATCATTTTAGCTCCTCCTACACATCAGTGAAACCCATCAGGTAGTATTACATTCATGTGATTTACTCGCCTTTGATTCACTCTGAGACACACCTAGACACATACCTCTTGCCACTAGCAAATTTGATGCCTCATGATAAATAAAATTTATAGCAAGAAGGGACTTGCATTGTTGAGTAGATGATTTCAGCTGTGTTTTTTTTTTCCTTCTAAAATCAGAATAGTAACAGAGAATGATGGATTTCTGCCATGTGGGGGAAAAAAAGATTATGAGAGCTATTGAGATCATCTCAGCAGGACCAAACTACTATAATTTATTTCTTTGCAAGTTATTATAGATGGGTAAATTCAATCTAAAAAGAAGAAAAAGAGGAAGGAAGCTAAAATTTACTGACTATCTACTATGTGCCATCACTTTACACAGATATTATCTCATTTATTTGCCACCAGGCAGTATCTGTGGGCTAGATAGTGCTGTTTTTCAGTTAATTAAACTGAGACATGAAGAAGTTATATGATTTGGCCAAAATCACACAACTAGTACATGGTGCTCCAAGAATTCAACCCAGGTTTCTAAATCCAGACCTCCAAATCCATGCTTCTCATAATTTCATGAAGCATGAAAAGCAGCAAACCTAAAATACACCCTAGGAGAGATGACCCAGATTTTCTGGGGCTATTCCAAAAAGAAATAATGTTCAGGAAGGGCTGAGCTGATTTTAGGAAAGCCCCCAAAGCTTTTGAAGATGGAAATCTCTCTTGCATTCATTTATGCTTTCATTTATTCAAACAGATTTAATGAGTCAGGGTAAAAAGGAAATAAGGATAAAAAGACAAGATTGAAATCCCTGTTCTCTAGTTTCCTCACTATATTTAGGCATAGACCCATAAGTAAACAGACAATTATGATATGGGTTGGCAGCGGGGGGACAAGTAAGAGCTGTGATAGGAGTAGGCAAATGGTATTAAGGGTCCTGGCCCAGTGCTGCTCTTCAGTTCCCTGGGAAACAGACTCAGAGGGATATTTGTGTGCAGGAGGCTTGCTTTCAGAATTAGCACCTATAGGGTGAAGTGAAAACAGCTGAACTGGGCAAAAGGCGAAGTGGGATTATGATGTGGTTGCCACAAAGTCCTCAGCCTTTCTATGGGAGAATTATGGAGTTAGGATGGCCTACAGAGTTGTCCCCACTGAAGCAATGGGACCAGGCTTATAAAAGTATAAACTTCTGAATCAATTAATAATTGTAGTCATTCCTGGGCTGGCTCTAGGAAGGAATGCGTGATCTTAAGCTCTCTTCAACCAAGGGCAATCTCTAGAACAAAATGTTGCCAAGATCTATCCGTTACCAACATTCCCAGCAGTTAGTGAAATCTGTGCTTCAGTCCCAAGGACATAGAGAA